>NC_000019.10:56615874-57240874 GCF_000001405.40 Homo sapiens
GAAGATTTATTCCTGTGTTTTATTCTAAGGTTTTAGTGGTTTAGCTCTTCACTGAGGTCTTTGATCCATTTTGAATTAATTTTTGTGAGTGATGTAAGAACGGGGCTCAACATCATTCCTTTGCATGTGAATATCCAGGTGCCCCAGTGCAATTTGTTGAAGAGCAGAAGTTTTTAATTCAATGAAGTCCAGTTTATCAATTTTTTTTGGTTTTGGTGTCATTTGTAAGAAATCTTGGCCTATCCCAAGGCCTCAGAGGTTTTCTTCTGTAAGTTATATAGTTTTAGGTTTTACATTTTGTTCTTTGATCCATTTAGAGTTGAATTCTTAATATGATGTAAAGTATTAATCCAAGTTTATTGGGGTATGTTGGGGGGACAAATGTATGTCCAGTTGTCCAACACCATTTGTTGAAAAGACCACTTTCTCCAATCGCCTTTGCATTTTTATCAAAAATCACTTGTCCATACAAGTGTGGGTCCAATTCTGAATCCTGTTCTGTCCATCTGTTTGTGTGCCTTTGCACCAATACCAAGCAATGTCATCCTTTCAGATCTTGCTTTTATGACTTGTGCCCAGTCTAGAATGACATTCTCCTCAAGATCATTCTGGGTTTTCTGCCCAAAGCCCCATGAATGACAAGGTTTTACAGTCTGATTGGTAGGAAAAGGCACTGTTCCCAGCCCTGTGTCAGCTCCGGTCACTGTTTTCAAATCCTTTCAGATGTTTTTTTCCTGTGTTGGGTAGTTTCCTGACATGCACGTTTTGACCAATAGTCTGCTAAATACTGGAGGGAGTTCCTTGCAGGTCTTCAGAACACTGTGCAGCTCATTCCTCTCTCATCTGTCCTGGGAACTCTATCTGCCTTGGTCTCTCAGCTCTGTCTCCTCAACTTGGGGAGTTGGCCAGACTGTACCTCAATTTACCTTTCCTTTGTCAGAGCCTGGAAACTTCCCAGGCAGTTAGCTGGGGCAGTTGTAGGACCCACCTTGTTTGATTTTCTTCTCTCAGGGATTTTGCCCTTCATTGCCTGATATTCAATGTCTTCACAACCATTGTTTTATATATTTTGTTTTAGGCTCAAGGGAATCTTATCCTTTATACTCTGTCTTGGACAAAAGCCCCATTTGGGGGAAAAATGTGTGTGTGCATGTACAGGCGTTGGAGGGGAGTCTAAAATATAAACCAAACTGTTAACTCTGGTGAGTAAGATTACAGGAGACTTCCATTTTCTTTTGTTTTTTTTTGTTTTTTTTGAGACAGTCTTGCTCTGTTGCCCAAGCTGGAGTGCAGTGGCATGATCAGAGCTCACTGCAACCTCCGCCTCCCTGGTTAAAGCGATTCTCCTGCCTCAGCCTCCTAAGTAGCTAGGATTACAGGTGCCTGCCACCACACCCAGCTAATTCTTGTATTTTTAGTAGACATAGGGTTTCACCATGTTGGCCAGGCTGGTCTCAAACTCCTGACCAAGTGATCTGCCTGATTCAGCCTCCCAATATGCTGAGATTACAGAGACTTCCATTTTCTCCATTACTGTTTTGGTGTTTGATGTTTTAAAAACAAGTGTGAATTACTTTCTAATCAGAAACAAGCATAGAAAGACAGAAAACTGAAAAAGTGTGAAGGACGAGATTTAGCAATGTGAAAAAAGAATGCACCTACATTTGTATCAAAAGGAATGAATAGCGTTTTGCACATTAACGGCTTTTGGCGAAAGTGCCCTCTGCAGAAGCTTCGGATGTCTCCCATGACAGTGGCCATGCCGTCAGACTTCCTGCTCTTTTGCTGACCTGACTAGAGAAAAGGTGTGATCGGGTAGTTTTAATCTGGGTGGTGTGGAACTGTGTTTTCACAGCTGTCGTGGTTAAGGGCTGAGTGTTTGCTGTTTGCAGATGATCTCTACTGCAGGGTTTTAGCCTGAGAAAGGGAGGTGGCTTCCTCCCCTCTGTCCCTCTGCTGGTATGCTGCCCCCAGCTCTCCTGATTTCTCCAGGTCATGTTCACTCCAGGAGACTTCCAGCTGTATTCACAACCAAGACTCCTGGTCCTCTCCGATAGCTGCCAGCTCATATTCCAGAGCATCTCAGACTCCATCAGCCCCAGACAAAATTCACCATCACCCCTGGAGACAGTCTTCTCTCCACCGAGTCTACACCCCACACTACCATCTGTGCCAGCATCTGGGCATTGTGCCACACCCTGACTAGGGTCTCTAAACCACAATCATTCTCCTGCATGAAGTATTTCTCAGTTCTTTTCCTCTGAGATGGGAAAAGTGATGCATGGTAATATAGCCACTCCTCAGGAGCCACAGCTCGGGGGCCACACTGCCAGGGCTTGAATCCTGCTGTGCCTCAGGTGTATTGTGCCCTCGAGTACATCTCTGACTCCATTCTTGTATCTCCGTTTCCTCATCAGCAAAATGAGGATGGTCATAACTATCTACTACTGTATGTAACTCAAGTATGATTGTGAGGGTCTCCAGAGATCCGTGCAAATTGTTCAGCACTGTGCCAGGCGTGTTGCCAGTGCTCCATACTCGCTTATCTGGTACCTTCTGTGTGCAGGCTGTGTGAGGAGCTGGGGGGTGAGCAAGGCCCTTGCCTCTAGTGGAGCTGACTCCTGCTGGGGGCCGATAATAATCAGATCAAGGGACAGGCAGAGAAAAATTGCCACAGGTCACTGAGTGTTCATAAAGAAGTGGGCAGGAGGACCTTCCTTCCTTACGTAGGGTGGATTGGGAAGGCTCCCGTGGGGTTGTGGGGAAACAGGCCTGAAGGATAAGGACGTCCACGGCAGGTCCACAGGACAGTGGATGCAGAGGCCCTGAGGCAGGAAGAACACACGGACAAGAGGGAGAGCATGGTGATGAGAAACTGGGAGGGAGGGTGGGCAGGGGACGACTCAGGCAGGCCTGCTGGGTGCTGAGGGCCCTGAGGCTGCTGGAGGTCCTGGCATCATTCTCAGTACCGTAGGGAGGTCACGGGAGGGTTGATCTGACTCCTCAGAAGACCGCACTCCCGGAGGAGTGGAGGACGCATTGCAGGGGTGAGAATGGGGTGGGGAGGACAGAGAGGAGCTGCTGTCGCATTTCAGGCAAGGACCCGTGGTGGCCAGCCGGCTTTTTGTCAGTGGGGACCGGGAGATTTGGTCTGATTCAGGCTGTTTGCGCACAGCAATGCTTGCCAGCAGTCAGGACGGTGGGAGGGAAAGGGCAAGTCAGGATGTCTGCTAAGTCTCTCTAAAACAATTTTTTAAATTTTATATTTAAAACTGTGAAAAATATATAGAGAACATAAAATGTACCATTTTAACCACTTATAGGAGTACAGTTCAGTGGCCTTAAGGACATTGATGTTGTTGTGCAGCCATCACCGCCATCCATCCCCACAGCTCTTTTCATCTCCCGCAAATGAAACCCTATCCCCATTAAACACCAACTCCCACCCACTCCTCAGCCCCCGGCATCCTCTGTTCTACCGTCTGTCTCTGGGAATCCGACCTCCAGGTACCGCAGATGAGTGGAATCACATGGCATCCATCCTTTCATGTCTGATTTATTTTACTAAGTCTCTTTGATGGGCTTTGCTTTTTTAAAAAATGTTTTTCATGGGGAAAGTCTGAAATCCCAAGTTTCGTATCGGATGTGTTAGGCTTGGGCTATCCAGTTGAGATGCTGGGCTTTTTTGAACAGTTTGGACATAGCCCAGAAAGCAGGTCTGGGCTGAAGGTGTATGTTTGAGCAGCATCAGCCTGTGGATAACGTTTAGATCCAGACTCACTTTGTGTGGCTTTGAAGGTCCAGTGTGATTCAGGAGAGTGGTCTCAAACTCAGGTGGCCTCAGGAACTACCAGGTGGATCATTTATGTGGAGGAGGGGGACAGCTGCTGCCCCATGCAATGTCTTGTTGCCCATAAGAATGAGGCTCCACGTGGCCATATCTTCATGTTTTTTATGAGCTAGCAGCCACATGGACAGCAACTTTTAAATGCTGGGAATGAGTCCCCTGATGCAGAGTCTAGACTCCACCTAGGCTAGAAATCGAGGTTTAGAAATGAACAGGATACACGTGGAAGGTGATTGAAGCTGTGGGCACAGAGGTATTTAGCCAGGGAGGGTGGATGAGCAGAGAAAGAGGGTCTGAACCCAAGCTCCACGGAATGCCTGCCACCCAAGAACTAGGCAGCGTGTGACGTAGCAACAGAAGCAATTGTGAGACCCCAAGTCATGTGATTATTGTGGGCTCAAGTGAGCGGTCCTGTGTGTATGAACACTTAGTGCTGAGGCTGATGAGAGGGCTGGGGTGCGGGAGGGCTGGGGCCAGCCAGGGCAGGTGCGTGATGAGCTAGCGGGAGCCGGAGCCCCAGCCAGGGGAGAGGATCTTGCAGCCAGCAACCCTGGGGCAGCCATACCAGAGAAGTGGCAAAGGGGCAGGAGAAATGCCCGATTTTTCTCTCATTTCACTTCCAGTTTCCTGCCTTTGGCCAAACACACAGGAAGCCAGTGGGCAAAGTCAGCATCCTGAGCACAGGGCAGGTCAGAGAAGGGTGGAGAATAGAAAGTGGGTCGAAGGAGTAGAGAATAACCAACACATGCCATATAAATGCTAGCTATTTATTATTTCTTTATTCTTTTTCTTCTTTTTTCAATATTTATTTATTTATTTATTTTTTAAGAGACAGGGTCTCACCCTGTCACCCATGCTGGAGTGCAGTGACGTGATCATAGCTCACTGCAACCTCGAATTCCTGGGCTCAAGTGATCCTCCCACCTCAGCCTCTCAAGTAGCTGGGACAATAGGCATGTGCCACCATGCCTGGCTAATTTTTAAAAAAAAATTTAGTAGAGGCGGGGGTGGGGGGTCTCACTATGTTGCCCAGGCTGGTCTCAAGCAATCCTTGCCTCAGCCTCCCAAAGTGTTGGGATTACAGGCATGAGCCACTGTGCCTGGCCATCTTATTATTTCTGATAAAAACTGTTGCTTGAGGAGCACGACTGGTTGTGGATCTGCAGGATGAAGTGAGGAGGCCCTGCAAGTCAGTAGCCGGCTGCAGTCATTCCTACTCAGGTTTGCAGAGCCTGCCCTTTGCTCCCTGCAAGCCCAGCTCACTACTGCAGTTTCTCTCCAGGAGTGCCTGTCATCCCTCTTCTGAAGGGACATTTGCTCTCCCTGTTCACCTCCTGTGTTGACTCTGCTTCATAAACCACATTGGCCTCAGTTCCATGCCTCCCTCCTCCCTCCCTCTCTGATCCAAGGTTCTTCTTTGCTAACTCGCTCTGTGCCTTGGGCCTCATTGGGGTCGGTTTCATTTGCTCCTTCCTGCTGTGGAGCTTCCTCACTCCCAGCATCTTTAACTACATGTATTTGCATCTTCTGTTTTTGTTTTTTTCAGACTGGGAGACTAGACCTGAAATGAAAGAGTTGGATCCAAAGAATGACATTTCGGAAGACAAGCTCTCCGTTGTTGGGGAGGCCACGGGGGGACCCACGAGGAATGGTGCCAGGGGTCCTGGCTCAGAAGGAGTGTGGGAACCAGGCAGCTGGCCAGAGAGGCCGCGGGGAGATGCAGGTGCAGAGTGGGAGCCATTGGGAATTCCCCAGGGGAACAAACTCTTAGGGGGCTCAGTACCCGCATGTCATGAACTGAAGGCATTTGCCAACCAAGGCTGTGTCCTGGTCCCACCACGGCTGGACGACCCCACAGAAAAGGGGGCCTGTCCACCCGTAAGGCGTGGCAAGAACTTCTCCAGCACTTCAGACCTCAGTAAGCCCCCCATGCCCTGCGAGGAGAAGAAAACCTACGACTGCAGCGAGTGTGGCAAGGCCTTTAGCCGAAGCTCGTCCCTGATAAAGCACCAAAGGATCCACACGGGAGAAAAGCCGTTTGAGTGTGACACCTGTGGGAAGCACTTCATCGAGCGCTCGTCCCTCACCATCCACCAGCGGGTGCACACGGGCGAGAAGCCCTATGCCTGCGGGGACTGCGGCAAGGCCTTCAGCCAGCGCATGAACCTCACTGTGCACCAGCGCACGCACACGGGCGAGAAGCCGTATGTGTGCGACGTGTGTGGCAAGGCCTTCCGGAAGACTTCCTCTCTCACCCAGCACGAGCGGATCCACACGGGGGAGAAGCCCTACGCGTGCGGGGACTGCGGCAAGGCCTTCAGCCAGAACATGCACCTCATCGTGCACCAGCGCACGCACACCGGGGAGAAGCCGTACGTGTGCCCCGAGTGCGGGCGAGCCTTCAGCCAGAACATGCACCTGACCGAGCACCAGCGCACGCACACCGGGGAGAAGCCGTACGCCTGCAAGGAGTGCGGCAAGGCCTTCAACAAGAGCTCCTCGCTCACCCTGCACCAGAGGAACCACACCGGCGAGAAGCCCTACGTGTGCGGCGAGTGCGGCAAGGCCTTCAGCCAGAGCTCCTACCTCATCCAGCACCAGCGCTTCCACATCGGCGTGAAGCCGTTCGAGTGCAGCGAGTGCGGCAAGGCCTTCAGCAAGAACTCCTCGCTCACGCAGCACCAGCGCATCCACACCGGCGAGAAGCCCTACGAGTGCTACATCTGCAAGAAGCACTTCACGGGGCGCTCGTCCCTCATCGTGCACCAGATCGTGCACACCGGGGAGAAGCCCTACGTGTGCGGCGAGTGCGGCAAGGCCTTCAGCCAGAGCGCCTACCTCATCGAGCACCAGCGGATCCACACCGGCGAGAAGCCGTACAGGTGCGGCCAGTGCGGGAAGTCCTTCATCAAGAACTCCTCCCTCACTGTGCACCAGCGGATCCACACGGGCGAGAAGCCCTACCGATGCGGCGAGTGCGGGAAGACCTTCAGCCGCAACACGAACCTGACGCGCCACCTGCGGATTCACACCTGAGCGCCTCTGTGCAGGGCTCTCACTGGCGGTGCCCAGGACGGACGCCAGATGGCTGCGCGCTTTGTCAGCAGTGCTGTGAGAAGTTCTCCCCTGGGGTGGGGACTCGGGGTCAGGGGAGCTCAGGAATGTGGGGTTGTGGAGGGGCTGGCTGATCACACATGCCCCCTCCTTACTGAGCCTCAGAAAGCAAGCCCCTCGGTGTCTGACGTATCTGGGGACACTTCAAGGTTCACTGTAGCTGAGCCATGGCCGCTGGTAACAGACATCAGGGTTCCAGACTAGCCCTCTTGAGTAACTGTCCTAGAGCTGGGACAGGTCACGCCTGCCTCCACATCTCTGTTTCTTCAGCGGGAAAGTGGAGCTGGTGGAGGGGAGGGAGGAGACATCTCCCTCTTTGTCAGATACATCCTGGAGTCCAGATGCAGCTTGTCACCATCTGCATTTTCTCCGTGGGTTGGGAGCGTGAGGGCCTTCCTATCCCTCCACCCACCGTTTCCCTGCAGTGCACGCTGGCAGCCACCAAGCTAGGAAGTGGCAGGAGTTTGCCGGTTGTTTGTGAGGGGAAAAATTTTTTTTTCAGAGTTAGCAAATAACAGTAACTACTGCTTTGAATGCCAAAGTTTCTTAGAGTGGTCTGTTACGTTTTTTAAAAATAAAACTTTTAATTAAGGGAGACTATGTTATTTTAAACAGTCTTCTGTTTTGGCCAGTTGTCTGGTCAAAATCGGCTTCAGTGATTGTGGGAGGGGCAAGAAGGAAAAGAAACAGCAGCAGGTTTGATATTCAGAAAGAAATATGCATGGATTCAATAAGTATATACATCTGAGCACAGATTATTTTTATAGTGATTTTTGCAGCTAAATGTGAAGGCAACTGTCTTAAGTCCCTTCCTGCTGCTGTAACAAAAGACCTTAGACTGGGTAATTTATAAACAATAGAAATTTGTCACTCATGGTTCTGGATGCTGGGAAGTCCAAGATCAAGGCTCTGGCAGATTTGGTGTCTGATGGGGTATGTTCTTCATAGGTAGTGCTTGTGTCTTGATGTGTGTCTTCACGTGGTTGTAAACGGCAGACTTCCTCAGGCCCCTTATAAGGGTGCTAATCCCAGTCACAAGGGCCCTGACCTCATGACCTCCCAAAGGTCCTCCCTCTTCATACTGTTACATTGGGGATCAAGTTTCCAATATGTGAATACAGGGAAGCACCAACAGACCATATCAGTAACTTCGAGTGAGTTTCCTAAGGCCGACTGAAGCTCTGTTTACACATAAGAGTGTTCCCCAAAGTGCACTTTCTCTGGGGCCTTTTAGGCCATACTTTTAATTTTGTTATTTGATACTACTGGTTGCTAATGTTCTGGCATTTCCAGTTGTTCCACACTCCCTGACACTGGTGTACACAAATAAATAATACAGAAAAAAAATTATATCAGCAAGCACATTCTGCAAATAAGAAAAACAGCCACTCGGGCACGTATAAACAAGGTGGACCGTTTTTCAAATTCTGGCAGTCAAGTGGGCCTCAGGGTGGGTTTGATTCAGGCTCTCATCATTGGAGCCATAGCTGTGGTTCTCTGTGATGCTCTGGCTCTCCCTTCATACTTCTTAACATCATCCTCAGGCTGGCTTCCCACGTGGGATTGTGGTGGTTTCCAGCAGCGAGTCTTGATCAGACATTGCTTTAGTTGCATCTGTTGTGGGAATAAATGAGAATATGTATGCACTGCAGAGAATGGAGTGTTAAAACAGTCAACAAATGTTAGCTAATATGTACACAAGATTTTACTACTCTTTAGCAGCAAAATGGAGGGGAAGACCTTCTAAGGCCCTTTGGAGAGATGAAATGGCTCATTTAACCCTCACAAGATCCTCGAGGTAGGGATTCATGTGCATGTCGTATAGATAAGGAATCTGAGGTTCAGTGAGGCAAGGTAAGCTTCCTGAGGGCACACAACATGGAAGTGGAGGGGACAGGGTGTGAGCTGGGGTCCACCTGGGCTCCGAGGTCCGTGCTCCTTGCCTACACTGGACTACTTCTAGAGATGGACATATTGAATTTCTCAGGACTTGACTCCTGGCCTTGGTTTCCTGGACTCCCCAGTGTGTGAAGCAGAGATGGGATCGAGGCTGCACCACCACCATCCCCCTCTCCCATCCAGAGAACCAGCCGGGCCACCTCTCAGGTCCCTCCTGTTTCTTTTCTCTGCAACCCAAGCTGATGTGGAGGGCATTGAGGCTCCTCTGGGGGGATGCTGTGGTACCAGGTGGGTCTCACATCCCTGGTCTCCCGCCTCCTGGGCAAGCTCCCCACTCAGGGCTCCACGTTTCCCCAAGAGGAACCCTGAGGTGGCTGGAATAATGGCCACATTGACGGAGTCACTTGTCCAACTCTGAGGGGGCGCTCTCATCACCCCCACTCTACAGATGGGGAAACAGGCTCGCAGAGGTTCAGGCACCTGCCCAAGGTCACACAGCTGCTGGATTCAAACCCATTCTGACTCCAGAAGCTGGACTGCAGTCCACGGCACCACTCCACCCACCAGTTCCTCAGTCAGGTACTTACTGAAGCCAAATTAAATTTACCCCCCTGAAAATGTGGGTTTGGCAGGGATCAAGCAGGTCAGGAACCTGCTTTTTAACAAGTCTTCTATCCCATACATCTGTCCAAGGCACTATTTGGGGTTATGTGCTGGCCTTCGAGTTCACCCTCACTGGGCCCTGTGTCCCTGTGTCCCTGTGTCCCCAGGCCTGACCCAAGCCTGGCCTTGAGGTAGAGGTCATGGGTGCTGGGTGGGGTCTGAATGACCCCTTTATCACTTGGAGTAAATGCCAAACTCCTCACAAACCCCTGTGTGACGCAGCCTCTCCCAGCTCCCGTCCCGCTCCCCCTGCTCACTCTGCTTCAGCCACACTGTGCTTTCGTTCAGTCCCAGCGCTGGCCCAGCCCACTCCCACCGCAGGGGCCTCTCCCTTCCTGGCCCAGCACCCACGCTGAGCTTCCTCAGGTCCCTGATGCTCAGTTTCACGTGTCGGCCTGGCTGGGCTCCAGTGCCCAGCAGGCCCATCGCAGTGAGTCCCGGTGGTGCTGAGAAGACACTTTATAGATGTGGATGTCACCCATGTCAGCTGACTTTAAGTAAACGATTATTATCTGCAATGTGTGTGGGCCTCATCTAATCAGTTGAAGGCCTTAAGAGCAAAACCAGTTTCTTGGAGAGTAAAAAACTCTGCCTCAGGATTACAGTGCCAACTCCGGCCTGAGTTTCCAGCCTACCAGCCTACCTTATGGATTTGGGACTTGCCAGCTCCCACAGTAGCATGACCCGGTTATTTAAATTAAATCTATTTATATATAAAAGTATACATATGCCATATGTATAACAAGAAATATGAGGTATATAAAAGGATATGTATAAGATATATATAGGGTAGGGCATGGTGACCCACACCTGTAATCCCAGCACTTTGGGAGGCCAAGGTGGGAGGATTACTTGAGACCAGGAGTTTGAGACCAGCCTAGGCAACATAGCAAGACCTCATCTTTACAAAACGTTAGAAAAATTAGCCAGGTGTGGTGGCGTGTGCCTGTGGTCCCAGCTACTCAAGAGACGGAGGTGGGAGGATTGCCCGAGTCCAGGAATTAGAGGTTGCAGTGAGGTATGATCATGCCATTGCACTCCAGCCTGGGTGACAAGGGAAGACTCTCTCTTAAAAAAAAAAAAAGGTCAGTCAGTCAAGGTGGCTCATGCCTGTAATTCCAGCACTTTGGTAGGCCGAGGCAGGCAGATCACCTGAGGTCAGGAGTTTGAGACCAGCGTGGCCAACATGGTGAAACCCCATCTCTACTAAAAATACAAAATTAGCCGGGCATGGTGGCATGTGTCTGTAATCTCAGCTGCTTGGGAGACTGAGACAGGAGAATCACTTGAACCCAGGAGACGGAGGTTGCAGTGAGCTGAGATCATGCCACTGCACTCCAGCCTGGCCGATGGTATGAGACTCTGTCTCAAAAAAAAAAAATCTATATGAGATATATAATGTATATATAATAAATGCATAATATATATAATAGCATATATATGATATATCTATATGGGATATATATGATCTAAATAAGGCAATCTATATGATAGGACATATATAACTATATTAAGTTGTATCACTACTGCCTCTCTGGAGAACCCTAACTGATAACAAGGCCCTCCCTGATCGCCCTTCTTCCCCTGCTTCGTATTCCCCATCACACGCACTGCAGTCTGTATTGATACTTGTTTTCTTTCTTTACCATCCATCTCCATCACGGGCATTCAGGTAGAGATCTGGATGTTGCTGGTTCTGCTCACTGTTGTTTTCCCCAGCACTTGGCACGGCACAGGCACAGGCAGATAGTAGGTGCTCAGTAAATGTCCGTTGAATGAAAGAGTTAATGGTAGGTGCTCAATAAATGCTTCCCGGCTGAATCACGAATAAGCAAGTGAGTTTTCTGAGGCAGCAGCCCATTCCACCCTGGACCTAACATAGTCCCTGGAGACCTGGATCTGACTTGGATTCCTCAGCCTTTTGTCCACTGCCCCTGTCTGATTTAAAATGTAGGTTTTATTCTTATTCTGAGAAGGTGAGGCCCATAGGTCAGGAGACACCAGGGATTGAAAAGAGAGTTGCTACAGTTCCTGAGAGGCGAGGGCAGTGCCAGGCCACACAGGGAAGCCCAGGGCAGGTCAGGAGGTGGAGGGGCTGGGGGAAGACGGGGGCAGGAGCTTCTCTGTCGCTTCCACAGCAAGGAGCAGGATTGGCTTCTCTGAGTAATTTAGCGGTTCTGGGGCACAGGGGCTGCCCTTGTTGTCTGGTTCTCAGCCCTGGATGAGGGCAGGTGCACAGAGCCCCTGAGTGTGGGAGCCCAGTTGGGGAGGTGCTGGGTGTGGGCTCTGGATTGGGTGGTTTGCTTGTGAAAGGCACGCTCTCAAGGGGATTCTTTGCCGTCTCTAGGAATCACCTGGATCTGGGAGTGACAGTCCCTCCAAGGTCGGCAAGGCTTCAAAATGTCAAAGCATCAGAAAATAAAAGGCATTGTTCATACAATCTTTGCTCTAGCCAGAGATAATCCCCTGCATTTGGCCTTAGCATGGGCAGCCGGAGAAGGCTCTGGGCCCAGATCTTGGCTGAGGGGCAGCCTCAGGAGACCCAGGCTGCAGAGGGAAGGCCCTTCTGCTCCTCCCTGCCTGGACACCATCTTATTGTAGGAATCCCAGTCAGTACCCGGGAACCCAGTGCGCCTGCCCCAGAGCATGATGAAGGGGCCTCCTGGGTGGACTGATGCCCCTGGCAGCCGCAGATTCCTGGGCTGAGAATGGTCCAACTGAGAGGCTGGGCCTCAGCTCACAGCCTCAGATATGGGGGAGAGGAGGAAGGTCTTCCTGCAGAATCCCAGTGTGGTGGCAGTTTCCAAATTACATGAGATGAGCTAGGGATCCTCTCCAAGATCACAGACTTTTCTATGACCCCTGACAGGCCAGGCGTAGGGCCATGAACATGAGTGATTTGAGTCAAGCAGGTGCACTATCCAACACACACCTTACAGCCCTAATAATATTTTATTATACATACTATTATTTATTAATAGAAAGTTTATATTTGTAATAGAGTCTTAAATATTTATATAAAAGAGCTACATACATTAACAGGGCTTACATCATTAATATAGGGTAATACTATTCTCACTTTCAATTGAGGAAACAGGCTCAGAACACTAATAATTAGTTCGAGATGATGGAGCTGAAAAGCCAGACTTTATATGCAATGTTTCTGATTTCTAAATGGCAAAAATTTACATATTTGTTAAGAAACGCTATTTTGGGTCAGGCGTGGTGATGTGTGCCTGTCCTCCCAGCCACTCTGGAGGCCAAGGTGGGAGGATTACTTGAGGCCAGAAGTTGGAGGCTGCAGTGAGCCATGATTGTACCACTGCACTCCAGTCGGGGCAGGAGAGTGAAAGGCTGTCTCAAAACAAACAAAAAATATATGCTCTTTGGGCCTGGACTGGACAGGCCACACAAAATACCCCTGGGGAAGAAGGAGATTTGACTCCTGGCTTGCAGCCTGTGTAGGGCCACCAAGTGATCAGGTGGGGTCTGGGGTCAGGGAATCCTGGGCCCAGCTGCTAGTTCCATCACTTACAAGCTGGTGCTTGCTGAGCTCACTTGGTACCTGGGGATGGTCCTAGCATCTTATGCACAGGGGTTAGGCTCCAGGTGAGGTTGCAGATCTTGTGCTGGTTGGCATGGACTGGATGCATCAACAAGCCCCAGAGACCAGGAGATATCCCACACTGGAAAGTATTCCTCATGCATCAAGTCTGATTCTGCTGCTCTCCCTCAGCAGGAGGATCTACTCCATGGGGTGACTCAGGGATCCAAGCTCCCTCCACCGTAATTTCTCAAGTAGACATCTAGGCAGCAGACAGGGGAGGGCAAAGCCATTTCTGGACACATAGCTCTCCTCTCCTTCCACTGGTGAGCAGTGTTCCTTGCACCCTCCTGCACACAAAGGGTCATGGGAAGTGCAGTCTCTGGTAGGGGGTCAGCCAATCCCCAGGACCAACTCCACACCCTGGAAGAAAGGTGCAATGGTCTGAATTTGTGTGTCTCCCCAAAATTTACATGTTGAAACCCTAACCCCTAAGGTGATGGTATTAAGAGATAGGGCCTTTGGGAGGTGATGAGGTCATGAGGGTGGGGCCTCATCCATAGGATTAGTGCCCTTATGAAAGGGACCCCAGAGAGCTCCCTCACTCCTTCCTCCATGTGTGGGCACAGCAAGAGGGCTCCCTCTATGAACTGGGAATGGGCCTTCACCACACACTGACTCTGCTGGCACCTTGACCTCAGCCTTACCAGGCTCCAGAACTGTGAGCAATGAATGTCTGTTGTGTATAAGCCACCCAGTCTGTGATATTGTTACAGCAGCCCAAAAAGAAAACAAGAGTTTGAGCGGAGGCTGACCCCCCTGCTACCCAAAGCCCAGGGTGGTACCAGCACATGTAGACATCAGGTACAGGTATAAAAGGTTAAATTCCCAGTGTTTGGGGGGGCATTTCTGAGCCATGACAGTAACAGAATAAATTGCCACCCCTGCCTGGTCCCAGCGATGCTCACCCCTTGCTGGGATGATTGCAGAGGTCTCCCCGCCTCACTCTTGCTCCATCCTCCCTGCCCCGAGCCTGTTTGCCACGCAGAAGCCCTTCACGTCCCTCCTCTGACCATAACCCTCCATGGCCAAATTATATTCAAAGACATACAGACTGTGTTGGAATAAATTATATTGAAAGACATACAGACTGTGCCTATTTGAACCAGATGAAGTTCTAAGGGCTGGAGAAACAGCTATGAACAAGACTTACAAAACCCCTGCCCTTGTGGGGTTGATGTTCTTCTGGGAAGTGACAATTTTTTTTAAAGCCGTGGAGAAAAAAATCTCAGAAAGAGGAGGGTACTATGCAGAGGGTCGGGGCAGGTTCCAGATTTAAGAAGGTGGAGTGGGGAGACCCGCTGAGGAGGAGACAGGAAAGCAGAAACTCAGAGGCAGGACAAGGCGGGTGAGGATGTGGGGGAAAGTGTTTCAGGAAGAAGGAACAGCCAGGGCAGAGGCCTGGGGTTTTGCCCACGCCTGAGGCAGAGTGACAAGAGGACAGAGAACAGATGGGGGCTGGATCAGGAGGGGCGCTGGCCGGCGGGGTGAAGACTGCAGCTTGATGGGTGAGGTAGGAGTCATGGAGGGTTATGGGCAGAGGAGGGACATGATGGGCTTCTGTGTGGAGAACAGGCTGGGGGCAGGGAGAATGGAGCAGGGGTGAAGCGGGGAGACCCCTGCAATTGTCCCAGTGAGGGGTGAGCATGGCTGGGACCAGGCAGGGGTGGCGAGAACGTGATGGATTCTGGGTAGGTTTTGAAGGTAAATCCGTGATACAATGGACTTTGGGGACTCGGGGGGAAGCGTGGGATGGGGAGGCGAGGTTTAGATAAAAGACAACATACATGGTGCAGTGTGATGGGTGCACCAGAATCTCACAAATCACCACTAAAGAACTTATTCGTGTAACCAAATTCCACCTGTACCCCAATAACTTATGGAAAAATAAAATAATAATAATAAAAAGAAAGTTAAGCCAACAGGATTTATGATCCAACACAGCATCCGACTCCACTGTATAAATCTTGGGTCTCCAATAGGAAAGCACAGCTCCGAAGGGGTCTGGGCTGGTGAGCGTTGCAGGCTGAATTGTGCCCCCCACCAAATTGATGTCCTAACCCCAGTACTTCCCAATACAGTGACTGTATTGGGAGATGGGGCCTTTAACCAGGTGGTCAAGGTCAAATGAGGTCACAAGAGCCAGCCCTAATCCAATCTGCTGGTGTAATTACAAGGAGATTAGGACTCAGACATGTACAGAGGGTCGACCATCCACAAGCCAAGGAGGGAGGCCTCCGGGAAACCAACCCTGCCAACAAATGATGGTGTGTCCCTTCGGGGCTAAACCCCAAGAGGCCTCTGTGCTCTCTCTTACTCTCAGGTCCCTGCTCAGCCATGTGCACTGGCTTGAGCTAGCTTGCTGGAGGTTGACAGGCCCATGGGGGAAGTCATCCTGGTCAAAGGTATTCTAGGCCAGCCAGCACAACCCCCAGCCCACAGTCCAAGCTGTGGACAGATACAGGAGCAAGTCCAGCCAAGATCAGCCAAATTCAGATCAGCAGAACTGTCTAGCTGGTTCATAACTTCATGAACTATAATAAATAATGGTTGTTTCTGTTTTAAGCTTCTAAATGTTGCCATGGTTGGTTATACAGCAATAACTAACTGATAGACCTTCCCAGAGCAATGTCTTTATTGGTACTCCCACCACCAATGTATAAGAACACTTATCTCAGTTACTCCCTGACCCATCCTGAGGAATAACTGCAAACTTCTGATTTTTTAGATCTTCAAGGGTCCAGGGTGGGTGTGTAGAGACTGCTTATTGTTCCCCAACATCTGGTCTCTCCTTCTTCCATAGTACTAGAACCCTTACATTTTAGCTGCATTTCCCAGTCTCCCTTGCTGCTAGGTGTGGCCATGTGACTAGGTTCCAACCAATGAGGTATAAGTAGCAACATCATATTGCCACTTCCAGGAGATGGACTACTGCATTCAGATTCTGGTTTTGCCACTTCTCTGTTGAGGAACTTTGGAAAGGTGACTTAGTTTCTCTGGTGCATCAGTTTCCTCATCTGTAGAGTGGGGATAACGATAGTATCTGCCTTATAGTGTTGTCAAGAAGTGAAGTAACACAATGATGCATTTAGAACATGCTTATGGCTGAATGTGGTGGCTAACAGCCAGATGTGGTGGCTAACGCTTGCAATCCGAGCGCTTTGGGAGGCCAAGGTGGGCAGATCACTTGAGGTCAGGAGCTTGAGACCAGCCTGGGCAACATGGTGAAACCCTGTTTCTACTAAAAATACAAAAATTAGCTGGGTGTGCTGGTGCACACCTGTAGTCCCTGCTGCTCAGGAGGCTGAGGCATGAGAATCACTTGAACCCAGAAGATAAAGGTTGCAGTGAGCCGATATTGTGCCACTGCAATCCAGCCTAAGCAGCAGAGTGAGACTCTGTCTCAAAAAAAAAAAAAAAAAAAAAAAAGAACAGTACTTACACATGGGAAGTTTTGTTATGTGTTGTTATCATTATCAGTATAATAATACTTTCATTTTATTTTTTGAGAATGGGTCTTGCTGTATCCCAAGGCTGGAGTGCAATGGCGTGATCATGGCTCACTGCAGCCTCAACCTTCTGGGCTCAAGTGATCCTCCCACCTCAGCCTCCTCAGTAGGTGAGACTACAGGTGTGTGCCACCACATCTGGCTATTTTTTTTTAGAGTTTTTTGTAGAGATGGGATCTCTCTATGTTTCTGAGGCTGGTCTCAAACTCCTGGGCTCAAGCAATCCTCCCACCTCAGCCTCCCAAAGCATTGGGGTAACAGGTGTTAGCCACCACACCCAGCCAATAATACTTTTATTATCAGCTCCTAAGGTTGATGTAAGGTTTAAATATGACCAAGCTCCATGTCTATTATCAGAACAAGTTTTCCTGATGCTTATTTGTCTACCAAGACCAGGAAGAAATATTAGGAATTATATCCATCCATCTACTCCCTCCTCCCCAGCACCACCCCATGAGGCTCAGTAGATTTTCCATTTCCTTCGTGATACGTACTCATTTGCCCAATAAATCTTTTTCAAAGCATGAAAATTCATAGGGGGATCTTTTTGGCCCAAATTTCTTGTAAGAGATGCCTACAGGGAGGTAAATGTTCATTTATAGCTTATCACCTGTTTTACAGAGAGGTTGAGAGGTGGAAAGAAATGGAGGGAAGGAAGAGGTAGGAGTGAAGTTGGCATTTTTCATTGTTGATCCAATGTAGCACACAGACGTTGGTGTGAGCAGATGCATGTGGAAAGGAGGAGGAGAAATTTGGGTCAGGAAGGAACCTGAGCTATTTTTTTCTCTCAGTGGTGGGTGAGTAGCTGTTTTAAGGAAAAAGAAAGTGGAAAAAAGGAAATAAGAGAGTGAATGCCTAATATATAAATACTCAGAACTTCTGCACCCTCTGATAAGTAGGAACCCCAAGAAACAAGAAGCTTTGGGGGTGAACGGGGTGTCGTTCATTCAATAAACATCTGAGCACCTATTCTGTGCCAGGCACTGTTGCAGGGTCTGGGAACCGAGCAATGAACAAACCAAAGTCTTTTACCATATGGAACCACCACTCCTAATTTCTGGGCATGATCAGAGAATGGGATGAAATGGAGAGTGAAGGGGAGGCCGCCTCAACTTCAGTGGTCAGAGAGGGCCACTCTAAGAAGGTAACATTTGAGCAGAGACCCACTTGGCAAAGAGAAGACAGTTACATAGGTATCTAAGGAAGGCATTCTCCTTTCATCAAAGTGTTCACTGATGCTTTGCTTAGAAGAATTGACAACACCCAAGAGTCCATCCTTAGAAGACTGGCTGAATGTATCAGGATTCAACTGGGTGAGAAATGAGTTGAATATTTGAATATGGTAGGAGTTCTGAATTACAGAATTAAATGAAAACAAACAGAACAATCGATGACAGCATATATGTGTACTCTCATTTGTGTTTTCTTTAAGTGAGGGGGCTTCAGGGGCTTTCACTCAGCAGCTATTTACCTACTTTCACAGAAACATTTCAATAAGTTAGCAACCTATATAGAAGTAGTAGTGCTCTGCTAATTATCAGTTGTGTATATAAAGCGTATCAGTCAGTTTTGCTGTGTAACAAACCACTCCAAAACTTAGTGACTTAAAATAACAAGCATTATTAGCTCATGAATGTGGCCACAGGGGCTAAGTTAAACTGGATAGTTCTGGCCTCAGCTGACTTCATGTGTTCAACTGTGGTCAGCTGTGGGCTGCCTGGTCCAGAATAACCTTGTCCGAGATGACTCGCCTCTCCTCCTTGGGCATCTCATCCTCCAGCAAGCCAGCTCAAGCCAGTGCACATGACTGAGCAGGGATTTGAGAGGAAAAGAGAGCATAGAATTCTTTTGAGGTGTGTGTGTGTATGCATTGATCCTCAGCCTCACTTCTCCCATACATAGAATGAACCTTGTTATTATTACTCATTCCATAATAACAATGCCAGATGCCTATCAGCCGCAAACTATGAGATATGCACTGTTGTTATTGGATAAGTTGTGATAAGTAAATTTTTTTTTTTTTGAGACAGAGTTTTGCTGTTGATGCCCAGGCTGGAGTGCAATGGCACAATCTTGGCTCACTGCAACCTCTGTCTCCCGGGTTCAAGAGATTCTCCTGCCTCAGCCTCCCAAGTAGCTGGAATTACAGGCACCCACCACCATGCCAGCTTTTTTTTGTGTGTGTGTGTTTAGTAGAGACGGGGTTTTGCCATGTTGGCCAGGCTGCTCTCGAACTTCTGACCTTGGCTGATCCGCCCACCTCGGCCTCCCAAAGTGTTGGGATTACAGGCTTGAGCCACCGTGCCCGGCCAGTAAATAATATTTTATTGATGCTGAGTTGTTAGTTATTTACATTTTAATATTTCTCACATTGAAATATGTCTTACAATTGTTCATATCTTTGGCTTTTCTTCTTTTTTCCTTACAAAGTTCTTAACTTCTTTATTTTATAAGCAATACATCTGAAAGGAAAATCATCACATTCATGGCATATCATAGTCAGGAAGAAAAATTAGGTTGCATCCTGAGGTTGACCAAACATACCAGATTCACCCTGTTAAGTCCTGGTCCCCAAATAAAACATTGAGCACTTCCTGTAAGCCGGACTCCTTAGCAAAAAAAAAAAAAAAAAAAAAAAAAAAAAAATATATATATATATATATATAAAATGATTACCACATCCAGAAAGTTTGTGAACTCTCTTCAAATATCAGCATGGCAAAACTCACATATATATATATATAAAATATATATAATATATATTATATATTATATAAATAATATATATTATATAATATATAACATAAATATATATATAATATAATATAAATATAAATATCTATCTATCTATCTATCTGAGTTTTGCCATGCTGAGATTTGAAGAGAGTTCACAAACTTTCTGGATGTGGTAATCATTTAATATTATTACCGCTTTTTTTTTTTATCATGAAAGAACAAATGTAATGTTGGTAAGCCTGGTAATCTTGTGATTTTTTTTCTTTTAAATACCTTTTGTGTTTTTAACTTGAGAAGACTTTATAGACATATCTATGTGCCCACAGAAAATATCGACATTGTTTTATGTGTTGCTGGGTTTTCACGTCATTCATGTCAGACTGCATCTGTAGATTTGCAACTTGCTTCCCCCATCCTCCCATGAAATGATGTGTCTTGGAGACCTTTTCATATCCATCCACGATGATCTATTTTGTTCTGTAAAATGAGTATAATAACAACACTCAACCAACATGATCTTGGTGAGGACACATTAAGCTCTCAATAAATGTTACTTGATTTATAATGATTCTGTCTTTGGAATCATTTTTCTAGCGAGACTGCAGAAAAGCCCTGTGGGCTGGAAGTGGCTAGGAGAACCTGTTTCTCTAAGCAGACTTGACAGCTCGCTGCCCTTGTATGATTTACCCCATACACCCCCAAGTGATTGTATCCTTCTAGGTTTTAAATAACAAGGTGAGTTTTCCCATTTCAATCATACTTCTTCCCCTTGCAATCCCACCTTAAATAAATGGAAAATTTTTTAGTAGTAGTGAAACAAGAAGGTCTTTGGGGACATATCGCTCTGGGTTTAATCCTGGATATGCCATTTACAAGCTGACCTGCCCCAGGGTGTCCGAGGCTCCCAAATGATCACAGTTTGGAGATGGCCACGTACACTAGATACATCCACACAATGTGATTAATTCCCTGCAGTTGCCAAAAAGCATGAAATAGATTCCTCTCCTTGTGGGATGGTCCCTACTGATAGGATTCCCTGCTTGGTGCCACAGAACCCTGCCTTATGGGCCACAGCAGATGTACCAGAGGATAGAACAACAGGTCACTGGCCCATGAAGTGGTCTTATGGCAAAGTCTTACTCAACAGGGGTCTGTGATCTTGGATGTCTCGATCTGGCAGATCATAGACTTCATCCTGCCAACTGACGAGCACAGTTCAGTTCAGGTCACGTCACTCATTTTCCTTTTAATTTAATGAATTACCATCATTAAAACATTGAGATAGTTTACATTTACAAACACCGTTTTTCATTCATTCGACTGTTTCAAAACAACATTCATGGGCCATCTGGTATGTGCCAAGACACGTTCCAGGTTCTGGAGGCTCAGAGGTAAATTAGAAACACACAGCCCCTACCATCATGGGTCTGTACCATTTTAGAAACAAGGCAGACAGTAAGCAAAAAGAAATATTCATAAAGTAATGAGCTCCAGCTTATTTTGAGAAATTGAAATATCAAAACTCACTGGGCCAGCAACTCCATTAGAGGACATAATAGAAAGATAGTGAAGAGCCATATCACAGTGGTTCTAGGTAAACAAAGAGCTCAAAGTCAGAGCCTCAAAGCTCTCTGGCCCTTGAAAAGTTGTGAATATCATCCTATTAGGCATACAGGATATGCTTCAGGCATACTGGGTGTCACCTGCAATGTCCAGCACGTAGTGAGTGCTTTATGAATGTCTGTCTCTTGAGTGATTGTGGAAGCTGTGCCTTTTCTGGTGACCAGATCATTGGGAAGAACACTTATTCATCCATTCAACAATTCCAGAGAGATTTGATTTTGTGAAGGACTCACTCTTGCAGAGGGTGTACAATTCAAAACCCACATAATTCAAGACTAACCCTGACAAAAAGATGGTGGGTGTGTCTATTCACCAGCTAAAGCGACACTAAAATAACAGTCACAGTTTACAATGTATGTGATTGGTTGTATTTGGAAGCATGAGAAACTGTAGCCATGCTGCATTTCTGTAAATCTACAATAACATCCCTCTTGTGACCCCAGCTTGCAACATAAAAAATAGCGCTTTGCCGGCTGGGCGCCGTGGCTTACGCCTATAATCCCAGCACTTTGGGAGGCCGAGGCGGGCGCATCACGAGGTCAGGAGATCGAGAACATCCTGGCTAAGACGGTGAAAACCCGTCTTTACTAAAAATACAAAAAAGAAAAAAAAAATTAGCCGGGCGTGGTGGCGGGTGCCTGTAGTCCCAGCTACTCGGGAGGCTAAGGAAGGAGAATGGCGTGAACCCGCGAGGCGGAGTTTGCAGTGAGCCGAGATCGCGCCACTGCACTCCAGCCTGGGCGACTGAGCGAGACTCCATCTCAAAAAAAAAAAAAAAAAAAAAAAAAAAAAAAAAAAAACCTAGGGCTTTGCCAATAACTCGCATATATTTATATAGCCCTCTCCTCCCCACTCCACTGCTTCTCCCAACCCAGAATAACCAACAGCCTGAATCCGGGGCATACCTTTCTCTGAATTTCCTTTCTGTACTTTCCCCCTCTTCAGAGCTTTTTGGGAAACTTCATGTTAATAATTTCAATCCGGTTCAGCCAGGCCCTGCTGTCCTAAGAACAAAAGCTGTCACTTAAAAATGACTTTGCAGTTGTTGCCCTCATCTGTTTTCATCCCATGATCTCTACAGCCCAGAGATCTTTGTTTCCAGGAAACAGCAGGGCTTTCCCCAGGCGGATGGGTTCTTTGAAGGAGGGGGAAAAAAAAAAGTCTTCTCCAGCTATTCTGTGTAGAGCGTCAGCACCACCGAACGCTAATGCTTGAATGGTTTAGAACTGCGGACAGCTCACGCCAGACAGATTCAGCACCACGGACAGCCCCCAAGGCAGCTCGTGATGTGAATGGTTCAGCACCGCAGACAGCTCAAGCCTCGCCGGACAGCCCTGCTGGAAGTGGTTCAGCACCACGGATAGCCCCGCTAATATCCATCAGAACCCCGGGCGGCTCAGGCCAGAATGGTTCAGCACCACAGGCAGCCCCCCAGGCTCGCAGGACAGTTCCCCCCAGCCTCGCAGGGTAGCCTGTGCTGGGACTCTTCCGGTATCACGAAGAGCCCTGCTGGACTGGTTCTGCAACATGGATAGGAACAAGTGTCATTTCGCCATCACCTGTGCTAGATGTAGACGCTCTTCTGAGCTGATTCCTGAGCCCCCTCTGCAACTTTCACCTCTGGAGACTCTGATGGGGCTATCTGGGTAATCCAGGCTCTTCTGGAGTTGACCTCAGAAATGCAGGCATCCAACAGTTAATATGCCCAAAAGGGAACTCTGGATTTTCCCCACAAAATAAACTTGATCTCACTTAGGGCACTTCAGGGCACTCAGTTGCTCAGGCCCAAAGCCCAGAAGTCTCCCTTGATTCGTCTCTTTCTGTCACACCTCGCACTCCACCCATTAGTGAGTCCTCTCAGCTCCACCTGTAGAGCAAATCCTGAATCTACCCACTGCTCTCCATCCCCATTGCCACTGCCTTACTCCAGGCCACCGTCGCTTCTCACCTGGTTTACTGCAAGAGCCTCCTAAGTGATCCTCCTACTTTACCGCCCCTTCTAGTGCATTCCCCACACAGCAGTTTCAGTGAGCCTTGGAAAATGTAAACCAGAGTCTATCATACCATTCCTCAGTACCTGCCACTATCTCCAATACACCTATAATAAAATTCAAAGATCTTCCTGTGGCTTTCATGACTCTGGATGCCTATCTTTTTTTTTTCCTTTTGAGATGGAGTCTCACTCTGTCGCCCAGGCTGGGTACAATGGCGTAATCTCGGCTGCAACCTCCGCCTCCCGGGTTCAAGCGATTCCCCTTCCTCAGGCTCCTGAATAGCTGGGACTACAGGCGCGTGCCACCACGCCCATCTAATTTTTGTATTTTTGGTAGAGACGGGGTTTCACCATGTCGGTCAGGATGGTCTTGATCTCTTGACCTCGTGATCTGCCCACCTCAACCTCCCAAAGTGCTGGGATTACAGGAGTGAGCCACCGCGCCCGGGCGCCTCTCTATCTTACATCCCATGACACTCTCGCTTTCCTGGTCACACTGGCCACACCACCTCCCTGTTGGTTCCTCAGGGCCTTTGCCTCTGGTGTGCTCTGTCCATGGTGCTGAACTCATTCAAGTGTGGATTCAACTATAACTGTCTCCTTTCCACCATTTGGTCCTTAGCTCAAAATATGACCTTTTCTAAAAGGCCTTCCCTGACCATCCCCACCTAAAGTGGCTTCAAAGTTACTATCACAGTGATTTATTTCACAGAATTTAGTACTTCACAGAATTTAGCACAAACTATATTTCATTTTGCATTTATTGGTTTACTTGACACTGTCTGTTTTCATCATTAGAATGTAAGCTCCATTAGGCCACAGACATCAGTTGCCTTAGCTACCCGGAACAGCATCTTCACATGGCAGTTGTTTAATAAATATTAGTTGTATGAGTGAATGAATGAATGAGTGGATGAATTCTCAGCCCTGCATTAATTTTTCTTTTCCTGGCTAGTCATGGAGCCCCAAAAAGATGTCAACAGCACTTACCTCCTGGTAAAATTGTGGTCCAGGGTTTGTGTTGGGGTCCCCAAGATCATCCGCAGGTTTGATGATTTCCTGGGAGGAGGACTCAAGAGAGACTCAGCACATAGTCATACTCACGGCTATGATTTACTACAGTGAAAGTATACAAAGCACAATCAACAAAGGGAAAAGGCCCATGGGGATAACACATCTGTACTCCAGCCCTTGGCTTGCTATGAGGCTATGGCAAGACAGAGAATGTGTTATGTTACAGTAGGATAATGAAGAATTGGAACCAATAATTCAATCTACCACACGTAGTGGTGGCATATAGCTATAATTTTTTAATCGTGATTTTATTTCCCTTTTAGGTTATGGCACTTGAAACTGGCTTTCCACTTATAGGAGTGCTGTAAAGTTTCCATTTAAAGGTACTTCTTAAATGGTTTTAGAAAATGAATTCATTTTAAATAAAAATATTAAGTAAATAGGAATGCAGGGATGTTATGTGTAAATGAAAGCAATCATGAAGATGTTACTCATTGCTGCAGAAACAGGGCAAACATTGAAAAAGGGTGTTTGAGAGGTTGAAGTTTGAGAAACATTAAAGACATAAAACAGGATTCCAGACACTTTCCCTTCATTGTTTTCTTCTGTTTAGGGAAGAAATCACCTCTAAGGGGTCACTCAGTAACATTCCTTTCGGCCAGGCACTGTGGCTCACGCCTGTCATCCCAACACTTTGGGTGGCCGAGGCAGGTGGACGACCTGAGGTCAGGAGACCAGCCTGACCAACATGGAGAAACCCCATCTCTACTAAAAATGCAAAAATTAGCTGCGCATGGTGGTGCAAGCCTGTAATCCCAGCTACTCGGGAGGCTGAGGCAGGAGAATCGCTTCAACCCGAGAGACGGAGGTTGCGGTGAGCCGAGATTGTGCCACTGCACTCCAGTGTGGACAACAAGAACAAAATTCCGTCTCAAAGAAAAAAAAATTTGTTCCCTCAGAATTCTGGGGAAGCCCCTCAAACTTGAGTCCATTTTGAAACAACCATAATTCATCTGGACTATCAGGATCATAACTGGAGATTTTTACCCCATATTGAGGACCTGCTGTTCAATAATTATAATGATAATACCAGTGACATTTACTGAGCACTCAAAATTAGGAGGCATATGTATTAACCTATATGATGTTCACACTAACCCTATGAGGTAGAAAATATTATTGTCCCCATTTTGCAGGTAAGGAAACTGAGACCGAGTTAATTCACTTCCCAAAGTTATACAGCTAGTACATTGTTAGATCTGCATCTGGATGCCCAGTTCCTAACCCTCTCAAGACTCTGTGACCTGGGGCAGCTCACCTGGTCTCCTGCACTAAATGTCTTGTTATCAAAGGAGGTGATGAGGATTGGATGAAATGTCTAATTCTTGACACTTCATCTCTCTTCTCTGCACACTCTGAACTATCTTTGGAATGGCAGGAAACTCATCTTCTAAACATAGAAATGAAGAAAGTTTCCCATCCCAATTACATAACCTATCTGAAAACTCGTAGGCAAACCCAATCTCAGTCCTTCCATAATCTTACTGTGTGTCCTTTGTACAACTCATTTAACTCCTTTGTGCCTCAGTTCTCTTCTCTGTTAAATGGGGATAATAATACTACCACTTTGGGCTGTTGGAATTAAATGAGATAATATTAACGAGATGGCTTTCCTTGTAGTATTTTTTTGATAAATGACAGTTATTTTTGTTTTTCTGAATAACCAGGGTAATTCAATTTTCTATCCATTAGGGAAAGGAGGTTAAATCCTTACCTCATACCATTCAAAAAAATTCCAGAAGGTTCAAACAAAATAAATATATAAAATAAGACTGTAAAATATAAGATTATACAGGAAAATGTGTTTATGAGAGTAAGGGGAGGCCAGGAGAAGTGATTCATGCCTGTAATCCTAGCACTTTGGAAGGCTGAGCTGGGAAGATCAGTTGAGGCCAGGAGTTTGAGACCAGCCTGGGCAACATAGTGAGACCCTGTTTCTACAAAAAATTTAAAAATTAGCCAGGTGTGGTGGCACATGCCTGCAGTCCCAGCTACTCAAGAGGCTGAGGCAAGAGCATCACTTGAGGCCAGGAGTTCAAGGCTGCTGTGAGCTATGATCACACTACTGCACTCCAGCCTGGGTGACAGAGTAAGACCTTGTCTCAAAGAGACAAGGAGGGGGAGGAGGGGCGGGGAAGAGAGGGAGAGACAAGGCTGAGGAAGGGCATCTTAAGACCCTAAAAGCAAAAAATAAATAAATAAATAAAAAGGATATCTTGTATTTTTATTAAAATTCAAAACTTCAGGCACTGTGTAAACACAATAAAAACATAAGGGAGGAGCCAGGAGAAAATATTTGCCACAGATAGAGTAACAGGCAAAGGATTAATGTGCAGAATATAGAAAGAATGTCTATTAATCAGTAAGTAAAAGCTACATAAACAAATAGAACAATGCGGAGAGGAGGAGATAAACGGGTAATTCACAGAAGAGAGAATAAGCCTGTTCAAATACATGTGTTTAATTCTCCTCACTAGTAATCAGGGAAATGTAGCTAAGATGATGCAGGGACGCCGTTTTCCCCCTACCTATGGCTTTGCCGAAAATTTTAAAAATTTAATGTAGCCTCCATGAGAGCAACTTGGCTGTAGTCACTGCATTGTAAATTTGAACAACAATGGTCATTGATAATAATAGCAGCTATTAGGCACTGTTGTAAGAACTGTACGTGTATTACTTATTATTGTTATTATTGTTTTACTTTCACAGAAATCCTGGGACTTGGTAACCATAATTATTCCCACTTAACAGCATGGGCAACCGAGGCACGGAAATGTTAAGTAACACACCCGAGGACTCACTAGTAACAAATGGCAAAGCCAGCCGCTGCCCCAGGCGGTCGGGCCTCAGGGTCCCCGGGCTGCCACCCCCTGCCCCAGCTCCTTCTCCCTTCCGCCCACCCCGGACTCCCGGTTTGCAGACTGGAGAACCACGGGGGGCGTACGCAAAGCCGCTGGCCTTGGGGCGTCTGTCGCAGGGTACCTCGAACATAACCTACGTGCTCATCAGCTAGAGATGGACCAGCTCGGTACCACACCCCCCTGCAACCACGCCGCGGGTACCCCGCCTCTGCGGCTCATCCACTCCCTTCCCCACGCGCCTCCAGGTGCAGGCTTCCCGGGGGTGGAGGAGGGGAGGAGGACACCCACGCTCCCCAATTCCCCCACCTCCCATCTCCCACCTCCCCCCACCCCCCCGCAGCCTCCGCGTCTGCGCAGCCGCAGTCAGTGCGGCGCCAGCTCTGCAGAGCCCAGACAGGGTCCGGTTGGGGAGGGTGAGTCCTTCGAGGGACCCCCGCGGGCGGGAAGGAGGCGGAGAAAAGGGGCTGGGGGCGCGGGCGGCGATCCGGGGATGCGCGCGCGAGTATGGATGCGCAGAGGGTGTGTGTGCCTGGGCGAGGGTGAGGGGCAGAACCGCTCCAGGGATAGGGTCCGGGGAGAGGGCGTCTCCAAGCCCGTCCGGTGGGAGAGGACCGGGGTCTGTCGGGGTCGGGTCTGTTTCTCCGCAGCGGAGGTCTGTGTCCTGGCTTGGGGGTTGCAGGTGAATTCCAGCCTCCTCGTGAGGAGGGGAGCACAGACCTGTGTACCCTCGTGGGGCGGCACGGGCACGTGCGCTCGTCTCGCTGGGGCTTGGTGTCGATGTTCGCTCCCCCTGGGGTGTTCAGCGCACCTGCCCGAGTGTGCACCTGTGCGTGTTCGCGTTGTGTGTCCGCCTGGGCCCCTGTGGACCACCCTGCAACGGTGGGAGCGCAGGCTCTCAGCAAACAGGTGCAGCAGCCCCGCCCCCACTCTTCTGAGCTGTGTGGCTTTGATCAGGGGACTTCCCTGTCTGTTAAATGGAAACCTAATAGTATCTGTAGCGAGAAGTATGGCCACCTTTATGTGAGAAAAGGGATTCGCAGGGCTCAGCAGGGCTGGGCACAAGGAGAGTTCTGGGCTCCGGGAAACACTGCCGGTATTTTTATTGCTTTTACTGTGGTTGCTGGTTGTCGTTGTTGTGACTGCGTCTCCATTCTCTCAGGGGATGACTTGTTTGCTATTTCACCATGAACACTGAGGCTGTGGGGTGTGAATCTCCTCCCCCCACCATACCTCTGTCTCATCCCCTTTCCTTCTTCCTCCTCCATTCACTGCGGATCCAGCTTCTCCTGACCTTGACCTGATGGCTGTCGTCTTTCCCATCTGTCACCCCGCTTGCCTGCATTTTCTCCTTTCTCATGCCTTCCCCTCCCCTCAACCTAGATCCATGATTAATTATGTCTCATATTAAAAACAAAGCCAAGCAAAACCCCAAAGCAATAAACAAATCAGAACTCCCTAATGGTACTCTCTAACACTCTTTCCCACGAAGGTCCCATAGGAATTTTCTTGCCCTGAAAAATGTCTAGGCAGCCTCCTCTCCTCACTCCCAACAGACTCCCCGGCCCACACTGAGGTTGCAAATGGGCAACCCCAGGGTCTAATTCAGCCCCACAACTTGTGCTATTTGACTAAAGGTGTCTTCCTGTTAAACACTGGAAATAATTATTGACATCATGAAATGTAGAAAATGCCATCTGAAAATATAGATTTCCAGTCTTCTTTTGAGAAATCACAGGATGGGCGACACCAGTCCCATGCGTTTGCTCTGCAGACATTAGCTGAGTTGCATGGTGCAGCTTCTTCAGACAGGAGACCTGATCTCTCTTGCCCCACTCCCCACTGCCTCCGTCGTCTCTCCCCATGCCATATATCCACTGCCATTTGTTCATGTGCTCCTTACAATAGAGAAGTATTTCTCTGGACCTATATTTAATTTTCATTTGTAGAAAAGTGACAGTAAAAGAGTCCTCTTGATTGACTCATTGATTGATTTTTGAGAGAGTCTTTCTCTCTTACCCAGGCTGGAGTGCAGTGGCACGATCCTAGCTCACTGAAGCCTTGAACTCCCAGGTTCAAAGGATCCTTCCAATATCTGAGACTACAGGCTCGTGACACCACACCTGGCTAATTTTTAAACTCCTGGGCTCAAGCAACCCTCCCACCTTGGTCTCCCAAAGTGCTAGGATTACAGGTGTGAGCCACCTCGCCTGGCTGATTTATTTATTAATTCATGTCGTTTCCTATCCCATTTGTTATATACAAATGTGCAGACTGGAGAATCATGTGTGGCTGTAGGTGTGTATATGAGTATGTGAGTGTGTATGTGTGTGAGTATGAATGTGAGTGTGTGTGACTGTGAGTGTGTATGAGTGTGTGTGTTAGTCTATGTGAGTGTGTGTGAATGTGGATGTGTGTGTGTTTGTGTTTGTGTTAGTGTGTGTGTATGTGACTGTGTGTCTGTGTGTGTGTATGTGTGGATGTGTTTATGTTTGTATGTGTGTATATGGGAGTATGTGAGTGTGTGTGTCTGCATGTGCCTGCCCATGACAATCACTCCCTTTCCAGCTTTGTCTCCAGAGCACCCTCTAGCGTTTGACCTGCTGTGTGCTTTATTTGTTCCCTGCCTGTCTCTTTGTCTCCCTACTAGAATGTAAGCCCCAGGAGGGCAGGAATCTCCACTTGATTACTGCTGTATTTCTAATGCTTACAGTCGTGCCTAGCCCCTGCTGGCCCTCTGTAATGATTCACTGAATGATGAAATGTCCATCAGTCCTCAGGTTCTGAATCTTGTGCCTGGAGAACCAGAGAGGACCCTGGAGCAGGAGGAGAAAGAGAAGCTTGTCTCAGAAGCTCCACCTCCTCCTGGGGCAATGCAGAGTCTCAGGCCTGAGCAGACACGGGGGCTGCTGGAGCCTGAGAGGACCAAGACTCTGCTGCCTCGGGAGAGCCGGGCCTGGGAGAAGCCTCCTCATCCCGCCTGCACCAAAGACTGGGAGGCTGTGGAGGTTGGGGCCTCCAGCCATGACAGTGATGAGAAAGGTGAGAGGCAGGGGTCCTTTGGGAGGTGAGTGGGTGGAGAGGAAGGAATTGGCAGAGCCTAGGGAAAGACTAAACATTCACTCCTTCACTCATCCATTCAACAGCTATTCATGGAGCACTGTGTCAGTCAGCTTTTGCTGTGTAACAAGTCATCCCCAAACTTAGGGGCTTAAAGCAACAATCACTTATCAGCTCATGATTCTGTGGGTCAGAAGTTTGACCTGGCTTCAGGGGACACTTTTCCTGCCTGTGCTTGTCTGTGCAGCCTCAGAGAGCTGGTGAGGCCACTGGTCGATCTCAGATGGCTTTACCCCCATGTCTGCTGGTGCTGGCTGTTGGCTGGCTTGGTGGTGCTGAGGACAGGCCATGTGTCTCCAGCAGGATTTTTCAGGGTTATCCTCATGGGGGTGCTTGCAGGGTTCTCAGGGATGGCAAGAGAGGGAATTCCCCAATTTTCAAGCACTGGAAGATTTGAAGAGGAAAAACACATGATCTCATTTGCATTTCAAAAATATTCCTCTAACTCAGTGGATTTCAACTGGGCGTGGTCTTATACCCCACTTCTCCTCCCCGGACGATTTTTGGCAGTGTCTGGAAACATTTAGGATTATCCTAACTGTGGAGATGCTGCTGTTATCTTGTGGGGAGAAGCCAGTAGTGATGCTGATAAACGTCCTACCATGCACAGGACGGACCCTCCCCCCACAGAAAGAATGGTGCAGCTCCAAATGCCGATAGTGCCAAGTTTGAGAAACCCTGAGTCTCACTGCATGTGAGAATGGATTGTAGGGCTAGGAAGTCAAGAATGGAAGGTGGGAGGCCAGTTAGGAGATTCCTGCAACTGTCCAAGACAGAGGTGAGGTAAGTGGAGAGATTTGGGACATCTTTGGGAGAAGGAATCAGTTCTTGCTGATGGATGTGGAGAAGGGGAGGAAACGAGAGGTATCATGATGACTTTTAGGGTTTTGGCCCAAACAGATGGATAAAGGATGGTGCCATTTGCCGACATCTCAATGACACCCCATAGCAGAAAGGGGCTGAACCTTATACCAACTACTAGGCACTGTCTTTTTCCTCAGGGGATGAGCAGGGCTGGGACAGAAGGAGTGGATAACAGAGGCCAGCTCTGCTAGTGAGGCTTGGAGCTCCTGGCTGGGGCTAAGGTGCAGAAAGAGTGGAAAATGCCAGGATTTGCCCAGTCTATTCAGCTTAGGGATGAGAAGGACACTAAGGTTCTGACTATGGGGACATGTCCCCACTAGTGTCTGTTCTTTGGAAGCTGGGGAAGCCTCCATCATCCTGGTTTACTTCTGTGGCTTTTTCTTCTGCTCCTTCACTCAGTTTCTGCTGGGGGCCTGTAGAGAAGGAACTCTTTTATCTACTGGACAGGTAAGGGACTGAAGACTCAAGTGGCAGGGCACATCAGGTGACCCAGTTGAAGTTTTCTAGGTAGTTATAGAACAGAATTCAGGTCTTTCATTCTCTCAGCCCCATCTGAATCATCACATAGGCATATGTGTGTTTGTGTGTGTGTGGGGTTGTGTGTTTGTGTGTGTGTGAGAGAGAGAGAGAGAGAAGGAGGGTGAGAGAGAGAGAGAGAGAGAGAGAGAGAGAGGAGGCTATTACTAGAAAAGGGACAAGATGCCAGTGGGAAGAGCCCACTCCTGCCATCTGGCCACTCACTCATGGCTCCTTTTTCCTCCACTCCCACCCTCACCCAGACCTGTCTTCTCAAGAGACTGGGCTTTCCCAGGAGTGGAGCTCGGTGGAGGAAGATGACGAATCAGAGGGCTCCCAGGTACACTGGGGGGTTTGTTCTTTTTCCACAAATGTCCCACTCTGTAGATCTCAGCACTTTGTCACATTTGCATTCTCAGCTTGGAATTTACCTGCCCCATAAAAATCTCAAGAGATCTCTTGTGTCTGATCTCTATGGTGATCAGACACAGACTGGAGGGTCTCCATGTGGTGTGTGTAACTCAGTTCACATGTACCCTCCAACACTTCCTTCATAAATCCATCTACCCATGCATCCACCTCTGTACTTCATCTTCTGTCCACTTATTCATCAACCCTCCCTTCCATCCACCCTCTTACCTTTCCAATCACTCATCCATTCATTCATCCACCTCTCAAACATCTACTAGCCATTCACTCATCTGTCCACTCTTTCATCCACCTAAACTTTTATTCACCTACTTGCTTGTATACCCATTCCATCCATCCATCCATCCATCCATCCATCCATCCATCCATCCATCCATCCATCCCTATACTTCATCTGTTTATCCACTTATCCATCCATCCATCCATCCATCCATCCATCCATCCATCCATCCATCCATGCATCAACCCATCCCTATACCTCAGCTGTCTATCCACTTTTCCATCCACCCATAAACCCTCCCTTCCACCCACCCTCTCACCTTTCCATTCACCTGTCCATTCATTCATCTACCCATTGAACATCCACCAACTATTCATCTGTCCACTCATTCATTTACCCAACCTTTCATCCCTTATGCATCCATATACCCATTCCATCCATCCATCCATCCATCCATCCATCCATCCACCCATTCATCCATCCATATATCCAGTTATCCATATACATACTCATTCACCCTTTTATTCAGATGCCATCAATCCATCTGTTCAATCCACCCACCTACATATCCATCCCCTATCCACTCAACTGTCCACCCACCTATTCATCCCTCTACTACCTGTTGGCTGTGGTGAGGATATGGCTAGTATGCATCCACCCATATGCCCACACATTCATTCATCCATCTGTATCTATTCACACACCCAGTCATAAGACCACCTACCAATCCATTCACCCATCCACCCACTATTCCATTTATCCATCCACTAATCATCTACTGAGTTTTAATCCAGATACTACAAGTAAAACCAAAGACAATTATCAAACACATTTCTTTCACTCAAAAACCTAATGTTTTCTTTTTTGAGGAATAAGATATCAATATAAGAAAACCAGTGGTTCTTTCATTTATACATTCATCTCATACATGAGAAAAATCACATAATCACTCTCAGTGAGCACATGAGAGTCCCATCCATCTCCCAATCATGTCAGGAATGTAACTCTGGCTGCCTCAAGCCAGAAAATGGATTTATTGGCTCGTGGTGCAGGGATGAGGGCGAGGGAAACAAACTGGCCAACAAACCATGATAGTGCAGAAATAAGTGCTGGGCACAGTGGAGTGGCCCAAAGGAAGAAGTTAACTGCATGCCAGGAGGTTTATTCTTGGATATCCCAGAGAGGAGGACACACCACACCTGGAGTTTTCGGGATAGTAAGAATTCCACAGGCATAGCAGGGAAGGGAACAACATGTGCACAGGCAAGTTGGTATAACAAGGTACGTTTCAGGGACACTGAAGTTAAGGGCAGAGCAGTGGGAGGTTTGGGTGAAAATATGGCTGGGATGACATCATTCACTCATTGCACGTCTATTTCTTGAGCACCTGCTCAGTGCCAAGCAGTGTTCAATGCACAGAGTGTACAATAGTGAGACAGAAGTGGTCCCTGCCTTCATGGAGCTCACAGTCACCGAGGTAGACAGACGACAATTGAAATAAGCAGCTAAAATATGAATTGGGTTGAGTGGTGATAACTGCTATGGAGAAAAATGAAGCAGGAAGGGGGTTTGGGAGTAGGAGCTGGGGCTGGGGGTTGCTATTTTAAGAAGCTTGTCTAGGAAAGTCCCCACTGAGAGGGAGCTATTGAGTGAGGACCTGAAGGAGGTGGGGAGTGAGACTGGCAGATGTCTAGGGAGAGCGGGCTCTATGCAGAGGACACAGCAAGTGCAAAGGCCCTGAGGTACAGATGTGCCTGGTACATTTGGGGAACACCAAGGGGCATGGTGGTCAGTGTGGCTGGAGGGTGGGAGGGAGGACTAGGAGGTGAGGTCATGGGGGCGATGGGGTGGATGATGTAGTGTCTCATGGGCCATGGTGAAATGTGAGTTTTACTCTGAGTGGGTGGGAGCCATAGGCGAGTTCTGGACAGAGGAGGGACATGTTCTGATTTGGCCTTTAGCAGGACTCCTCTCACTGCTAAGTCCCACACCGAGGAGGTTGGATGTGTTTTGCAGGCAGTGGGAGCCATCGAAGGTGTTCGGGGACTTACAGAATCACTCTGGGAGCCCATGTGGAAGGAAGGTGGGTTGGATGTGGCTGGGGTTAGAGTTTAGAGGGGCAAAGGAGCAAGTCAGAAATGTATAGTTAGGGAAAAAAGGTAGAAATGAAACAGAGAAGAGTTGCCACTTTCCTTGTGCATGTTACAAGCTTCATGCTATTCTTTTTATTTTTTATTTTTTTGAGACGGAATCTCGCTCTGTCACCAGGCTGGAGTGCAGTGGCACTATCTTGGCTTACTGCTCACTGCAACCTCCGCCTCCTCTGTTCAAGTGATTCTCCTGCCTCAGCCTCCTGAGTAGCTAGGACTACAGGCGCACACCACCATGCCCAGCTAATTCTTGTATTTTTAGTAGAAATGGGGTTTCACCATGTTGGCCAAGATGGTCTTGATCTCTTGACCTCGTAATCCGCCCACCTCGGCCTCCGAAAGTGCTGGGATTACAGGCATGAGCCACGACGCCCAGCCAGCTTGATGCTATTCTAAGCTCATCTTATTATAACACATCTAGTAACTGAACACTCATTAACTCTCATAACTCATGAGCCTTGTGAGATTGTTAGCATGGTTTCCTCCTCTACAGATGAGGAAACTGAGGCAGAGAGGAACCAAATGGCTTGCTTCAGGTCCCACAATGAGTGGGTAGCAGAGCTAGCATAGAGTTTGGGCTTGGAGGGGAGGATAGGAGCGAATGGGACCCAGGACCTGATGACATTTCCAGACCTGTGGAACGTAAAAGGTGAAGGAACAGGGACAAGCCCAGGGGCAACACGTGAATTCTGATGTGGGGACAGGGTAGAGGGAGGTTCTAGCCTCCAGCATAGGGATCAAGGAGGCAGTTTGGAAGAAATGACAAGGTCGATTTTAGACATGCTGCTTGGGAGAGGCCTCTGTGACATCATTCATTCACTCACTCGTTTGCCCAGTTGTAATTCCTTGAGCCAGCATTGATGGAGCACACACCAGGGGGCTGATAGGGGAGGGCCTCTCATTGGCAGGCCCTGGGTCAGTTTTCTGCATGGACAGACCCTCCTTCCTGCAGACAACCACCCTCTTTCAAAAAAGAAAGAGGAGCGGGCTGTCTGGAACCAGAGACCTTTGATGACAGTTACAGCCTCATTATGGGCCAGGAGCTGGACTTTGTGCTCTACTTACCTTAATTTACTTGGTACTCTTATCAGTCCTTGATGTAGGACCTGTTATCCCATTTTACAGATGGGAAAACTAAGGCACAGAGAGGTTATGTGACTTTCCCTTGTCATGCAACGTGTAAATGGCAGAGCTAGGATTTGTACCCAGCATGTCTCTTAACCACTAGGTGTCCTGCCTGTGCTTGGGGCAGAGATGAAGGCCTCTCTCTCCCTGTTCTCCTAGTCACTATACCTCCTGTGGAGAGGAGTGAGTGAAGAAGTGGAAGAAAGAAAAAGAGTTACTTTCCGGGAGGGCAGAAGTTCCCAGTCTGTGGGCACAGAAGAAAGCAAGCAGGGGAAAATGGTCCCATCATTACCGTTCCATAAAATGCAAGCATATGTAACACCTGCAAATCTTATCTAAGTGCATGAGATTTTAAAAAGATCAATGCCCAGAAATAACCCCTGGTAAAAGTTGCTGTAACAGGCCAAATTCATCCATAGTGTGAGAAGTTGGGGTAGTGGTTACCTTTGAGGTGGGGGGATTTCGGGGTTGATAATGATCTGCTTCCTGTTTGGGGTGCTAGTTACATGGTGTGTTCACCTTCTGAAGGTGCCTCAGGCTGTACACCTAGGATGTGTGCAACCTCCCCTTTCTACATTCCACTTCAACAGAATGTTTTAAGCTGGCTGGGCACAGTGGCTCACGTCTATAATCGCAGCACTTTGGGAGGCAGAGTCAGGCGGATCGCTTAAGGTCATGAGTTCGAGATCAGTCTGCATAACATGGCAAAACCCCATTTCTACTAAAAATACAAAAATTAGCTGGGCATGGTGGCACATGCCTGTAATCCCAGCTACTCAGGAGACTGAGGCAGGAGAATCGCTTGAACCTGGGAGGCAGAGGTTACAATGAGCTGAGATTGTGCCACTGCACTCCAGCCTGGGAGACAGAGTGAGACTCTGCCAAAAAAAAAAAAAAAAAAAAAAAAAAAGTTGCTGTATATATCCTTGTATATATCCTGCCAAACATGTTTCCCTATATACTGAGACTGAATTGAGATTTGTGTGCCAGTGCTTGATTGAGGGTTGTGCTCTCAGGTGAAGCCCAGCGGGGAGTGAGGGAAGCTGGAGAGGGGAGGAGAGGGAGCCAGGCAAATATACTGGTAGAACTGAAATCCAGTCTCCGTCTTATCGCAAGGGAACCCTGGAATGTGAATAGAGAGTTGTCCTCCTCTGGGCTGGGCGCAGTGGCTCACGCCCGTAATCCTAGCACTTTGGGAGGCCGAGGTGGGTGGATTACGGGGTCAGGAGTTCAAGACCAGCCTGGCCAAGACGGTGAAACCCCGTCTGTACTAAAAATACGAAAATTAGCTGGGCATGGGGGCGGATGCCTGTAATCCCAGCTACTCGGGAGGCTGAGGCAGAGAATTGCTTGAACCCAGGAGGCACAGGTTGCAGTGAGCTGAGATTGCACCACTGCCCTCCAGCCTGGGCGATACAGCGAGACTCTCCTTCTCAAAAAAAAGAAAAAAAAAAGAGAGAGAGAGAGAGAGTTATCCTCCTCTGAGTCAGTGGAGTGGCCTTTTGTATCCCATATGAGTTATTGTTGGCTGTGGACTGCCCTGGAGGGCGAATTAACCTCCTGGGTAATCCTCTAGGAAGGAGGATCTCATTAGCAAAGGGCATTTGTCAGAAGAGAAGGAGCAACTACAAACTGTAAACCATACAAGTAGCGGCCAATACCCCTAGCCTCCAGGGGAGAGCTGCACCAGCCTGAAAAACAGAAATAAAGAGAAATTAGGTGAGGCATCCATGGGTCTATTATGTGTGATGTGTGTAAAACTATTGGATTTCAGATTACCTGTATTTATTACATTTTCTTAACTTTATATTCTGCTTTTCAAAATTGAAGTATAATTATTTCCAATAAAATGCACTAACCAGAGAGTGTTTACACATGTACATCCGTGTAACCAACACCCCAATCAAGATATTGAGTGCTGTCATAATTCTAGAACATTCTCTTATTTTCCCTTCTGGTCCATCTCACTCCCCAGCCCTGGAAGCAACTACAGTTCTTGATTTCCACTTGCATGGATTAGTTTTGCTTGTTGTTGAATTTTATCTAAATACTGTCATGTAGTAAACTACATATATATTTTTTAATTCCAAAAAAGGAAATTATGGCAAAATTGTTATTCCTCCAGTTGGCATTTTCACTTAATACGTGCTGGACAGTTTTCCATTTAATATATATTGATTATCTTCATTGTATTTCAAAGTTACTTTTTCCTGCTGCCAAATATTCTCTAGCTCAGTTGTGTCAGACCCATTTCCTTGGGTGATGAATTGCTAGGCTCCCATTGCTGTCACTGTTACAGAAGACAATGCTACAATGAGCGTTTGTTCAGTTGGCCCAATTTTACGCATGGATTATGAGGAACTTTATAAAAATTCACATTCTCTGGTTCTCCTCAGATACACTGAACCAGAAAATCCAAAGGGGATCCCAAGATATTCAAAAACCTCTCCCAACAACTTTTGGTGCTCTACCAGGTTTGGGAACTGCTTAAGTGGGTCATTGTCCCTAGGTATCTGGTTGTAAAGGAAGATTTGAAATAAGGTGTCATCCAGAGGGAATCAGCAGGCTAAAGGGAGGAATTTGTTTCAAAGATTATAAATGTGAATTCCATCAATGATTTATAATATACTTTAATAATTCGTAGTCTGTGTCCTTCCATTTTTCTTTTTTCACAGGATTTTTTTCAGTGTTCACCATTGCCTAACTTTCCAGATAATCCATTATGTCTTGTACATTCACCAAACTTCCTTGATATTTTAATAGCAATTGCACTAAATTCATCATTAATTTGGAAAATTGTCATCGTTAAACATTTTGTCTTCTCATCTCTTATCATGGTATGTTTTTTCATTTATGAACTCATTCAACAAATATTTACAGAGTTCATACCCTGTTCCAGGCACTGGGAATACAGTAGCAAACAAAGCAAAGGTTTGCCCTCTTGGTGCTTACAGTGTCATTGGAGGAAGAGACAATAAACATACATAGCATGTCAGGTGGTGATAGGAGCATGGAGAAAAAGACAAGGGGCATGCATAGTGCAGGGTTAAGGGTATCTGGAGGAAGGGCATTCCAGGAAGAAGAACTCGTAACTACAAAGGCTTGGAAGTGACTGTGGCTGGAACAGAGTGAGAAAGGCAAGGAATGACGTCAGCGTTAGAAGGAGCACTCTGACTGGCCCATGGGCAAGAAATTGGGTGGGATTATCAAGACAAGAAACAAAATTCTGTATCAAGAGTACAAGATAGATGACAGTGGCTTTGGCCAGGGTGGTGGTAGTGAAGGGAAGGGAAATGGTCAGATTCTGAATGTTTTGAAGATAAAGCCAACAGTACTTGCTGATGTCTTGAATGTGGGTGGTGTCAGAAAGAGAGTCAAGGATACAACAATTGGAGGTCTGGAGGGGCCTGAAGGGGTAATGGGAGGAAAACTGCATGAGGAGCTTTTTTTTGTGGGGGACATTACAATATTTGTTTGGGGACATGTGAAGTTTAAGATGTCCATCAGATATCCAACTGGAGATGGCAAATAGGCAGTGAGATATATAGTTGGGTCAACAAATACACATACATATGCAAGCACACACATATCTCTTGAGGGGGTGGGGTCATTAGAGCATAGATGGTATGTTAAAACTGAGATTTAATATACCAGTGAGATTTTGAAATTGTCATCCCATTATTCGAACATTTCCTCTGAGAGAGCATAGTTATGTTACATTCTTTTGTTTATCTTATATCTACTCAGTTGTACCGTTTTAAATTCAAACAGCTTTTCTCTTGATATGACATTTCATTTCTGATCATATAAGTCTATTTTCCTGCAAGTAACAATGGTGGCCCCTTCCTTTCCAATATTTATCCTTTTCCTTTTTTCTGTTTCAGGGCTTTGTGGAGTGGTCAAAAGCTCCACAACAAACAACCATAGTCTTGGTAGTGTGCGTGCTTTTTTTGTTCCTGGTTTTAACGGGGATGCCTATGATGTTTCACATTTAACTATAATGGTGGCTGTTGTTTTAAAAGTTTAATTTAATGAAATAGATGCCCTATGTCATGTTAAGGAATTGTGCTAGTTAAAAATCAGGAATAGGTGTTGAATATTTTCAAATGCCTTTCAAACATCCTTTGAGATGATTTTTAAAAAATTTTTGGTGTGAGTTTTCACATACTTTATTTCCATGAAATGAAGACATCATTGATTGTAAAACATTATTTTGTATACCACGGAGAAAGAAAAGTGCTAATTAATCATTAAGATGCCACCAACTGGAAGATATCTCCTGACTTTGAGAAGATGAAAAAATGTGCAACTGAAGATCAATGAAATCTGGTACATTTCCTAACATCAAACCAACTTTGCATTCTTAAGGTTTTGGTGCACCAGTCTTTTCATACACTAGATTATATTTATTGATATTTTATGTAGGATTCTTGCCTCTATCTTCACATGTGAGATTGGTGCTATCTTTGTGAAGTTTTGGTATCATGGTTAAGCTTGCATCATAGAAAGACTTGGGTAACTTTTACCTTTTCTATGCTTTTCAATAGTTTCTGTAGCTTAGGAAGTATCAGTCCCTTGACACCTTACATGAATTCATTGTTATAACCAGGTCATAGAGTCATGGAGAGAACGTTTCAGCTAATTCTTGGGCAGCTTTCTTAGTTCTTTACAATGTTATCAGTTTATTAATACTTTTTACCTCTTGCATTTATTTTGGCGAATTACAGAGGTTTTTGTTTTTTTTTTTTTTTGAGACCGAGTCTCACTCTGTCACCCAGTCTGGAGTGCAGTGGCGCCATCTCGGCTCACTGTAAGCAGAGGGTTCATGCCATTCTCCTGCCTCAGCCTCCCAAGTAGCTGGGACTACAGGCGCCCACCACCATGCCCAGCTAATTTTTTGTATTTTTAGTAGAGACGGGGTTTCACCGTGTTAGCCAGGATGGTCTCGATCTCCTGACCTCGTGATCCGCCCGCCTTGGCCTCCCAAAGTGCTGGGATTACAGATGTGAGCCACCGTGCCCAGCCCAGAGTTCTTTTATCCTCTAGAAAATTCTTCATTCCATAGAGCTTTTTCATATTATTAGCTTAATTATGCATAATGTTTTATAATTAAAAATTTCTCTTTATTTTGTTCTATCCCCTGTTTCCTGTAAACTGCTGTTTGTGGTTTACTCGTTATTAGATTTGTCAAAGGTTTATCTAGCTTACTATTGTTTTTCCAAAGAACCAACATTAGGATTCATTTATATCCATTATTTCTTTTATTTGTAATTTGTTTTTCTTTGATATGTATTGCATTTATTTTTTATTGTTTTTCTTCTTTGTCTCAGTTTTTATACTGAATACTTGATTTATATTCTCTTTATATTTTCTATAATAGCATACTTATTAACGCAAATGTACTTCTGGATATAGCGTTGGCCACATCTTAACATTTGATTATTCATTTTTGTTTATGTTGTCTAAAAATTACATTGTAGTGTGTCTAAATATTACATTGTAGTGTTTCTAAAGAGTGCTTTGAAACTCAGTGATTTGGTTTATTTTTTGTTTAAAAATAGTTTTGTTTTCTTGTTTTACTGCACTGTGAACACAGAATGTGGCCTATAACACATCTGCTTCCAAAACTTTTTAAAAAGCTTTTAGTGTGGCCTAGAACATGTCCATTTTTTGTAATTGTTTCACGAACATTTAAGATGAAGATATCTTCTCTGTCTGTAGAACTGAAAACTTTATGTGCCTGTTAGTTAACTCAGTATCGTCAATTATATTGTTCAGATTCATGTGTTATCTAATTTTGGCCTATTATATTCATTAAAAACCAATAAGGTTATGTGAAACTTTGTTAGTACAATTGTTTTTGCTAATAAATTTTTATAATCTTTGCTTTATGTACTCAACAGCTGTGTAATTCGAGGCATATAAGTGCAGCATTGTTATGTCCTTGTTAATTAAATAATATATGTAAAACACCATATGACAATGGCTGGCAGATAGTAGGCACTCAATAAATGTTAATTAAAACCTGATTCTGAATCCTTTGTTAAATATAAAATGATTGTTTTCAGTCAATTTAATCCTTTGCCTTAAATTTTACCTTGTCTAATACTGGTTGATATTATCATCCTGCGCTCTTCTGTCTATGTATATGAGGTTCTTTAGAGAAATTAACAGGGAAAAGTATGGATTATCTCTCCATTCCTCTCTCAGGCTGATTGCCTGCAACAAGCAACCAGCCCTTAAGAGAAAGGAAAACAGGCCTTAACTATTACATTTTTTGAGATTCTACTGGAAATAAGAGAAGCTCAATTCAAATGAGCTTAAGCAAAATAATAATAATAATTATTATTATTATTCGTTCATGTTACACCAAAGTTTAGGATAAAATTGGCTTTATTTACAGCTGGTTCTGGGGGACCTAAAAATATCACTGGGGCTTTTCCTCTCCTCACCTCCCTCTCTTCCTTCTACATGGCTGGAGACAGCTATCATGGACCCTGTGATCATCTCTTCCACACGGCAAGGTGGGAGACCTGGCAGATTCCCATCACGCACACCTGCAACTCGCATCCTTGTTCTGCCTTGGGGACAAGAGTCCTGAAATTAGGGGAGAGAGAGCAGCAACTGCAAAGGCCCTGAGACATAAACCGACTGCCCAAGTAAAGGATGGAGAATGGACTGCAGCAGGTCAAAGGCGGAAGCAGGGAGATAAGTGTGGAGACTGTCTTAGGTGTCCAGTCAACAGGGGATGGGCCGGGCATGGTAGCTCATGCCTGTAATCCCAGGAGGGAGGCCAAGGCAGGAAGATCACTTGAGGTTAGGAGTTTGAGACCAGCCTGGGCAACACAGTCAGACCCTGTCTCTACAAAAAATAATAGTAATAAAAATTGTCAGGCATGGTGGCATGCACCTGTAGTCCCAGCTACTCAGGGAAACTGAGGCAAGAGGACTGCTTGAGCCCAGGAGGCTGAGACTGCAGACAGCCATGATCAGGCCACTGCACTCCAGCCTGGGTGAAAGAGTGAGACCTTGTCTCAAAAAAAAAAAAAAGCACCCAAAAATGAAAAATAGGGGATGATGTTGGGGGGCTAACTGGGCTCTGATTAGCTCAGACAGTGCCACAGGTCTTGACTGATTTTGTGGAATATTGAAAATAATCATGGCCGGGCATGGTGGCTCACACCTATAATCCCAACACTTTGGGAAGCCAAGGTGGGCAGCTCACTTGAGGTCAGGAGTGCGAGACCAGCCTGGCCAGCATAGTGAAACCCTGTCTCTACTAAAATACAAAGAAATTAGCTAGGTGTGGTGGGCACCTGTAATCCCAGCTACTTAGGAGGCTGATGCAGAAGAATCACCTGAACCCGGGAGGTCGGGAGGTGGAGGTTGCAGTGAGCAGCAGAGATTGTGCCATACCACTGCACTCCAGCCTGGTCAACAGAGCAAGACTGTCTCAAAAAAAAAAAAAAAAAAAAAAAGAAGAAAGAAAGAAAGAAAGAAAAAAGAAAAAAGAAAAGAAAAGAAAAAAGAATCATGATACTATCAGTAATATAAATCACATTAGCAATGGTCTTCTAATTAGCTCTACAGTATGCCAGGGACCTAATTTCATTGACGACAGAAGTATCCACTCAAGCCACTGACGTTCCATTCTCTACCCGACAGCTGGATAGATCCCATTAAAACATAATCAACCAGATTGGGCAACATAGTGAGACCCTGTCTCTACAAAAATAAAAATAAAAATATTAGCCAGGCATGGTTGTGTGCCCCTGTAGTCCCAGCTACTGTGGAGGCTGAGGCAAAAGGGTCGCTTGGGCCCAGAAGTTCGAGGTTACTGTGAGCTACAACTGTGTCACTGCACTCCAGTCTGCACAACAGAGAGAGACCTTGTTTCTAAAACAACAACAACAATAATAATAATAATAATAATAACAATAACACAATTAGGACCATTCATAATCCTCCCATTTCAGGTAAAGCCAAAGTCTTCACAATGCCATCCAGCCCTATTCCAAGTGGCTTCTCTTCCCTCCTCCTTATCTTGCTCCCTCCCACGCAGCCACACTGGCCTCCTTGCTGTTTCTCAAACTCGCCTATCATGCTTACTTCAGGACTTTTGCACTGTTCCTGCTCCGCGGAATGCTCTTTCCCCAGAAGCTCCCATGGCTCCCTCATCTCCTTCAGGTCTCAAATGTCACTTCCTCACAGAAGCCTTCCCCGACCACCCTCAAGTAGCACCTCTCTCCGCAGGTCCCGCTCTACTCGTCTTCACAGATTGTATCATGACCTGACAAGTAATGGGTCAATGCAGTTCCAGTCTAGCGTCCTCAATGGCCATTCCTGCCCCTTGGGTGGTTCTCCCTGGAGGAACTGTGAAGATGGAATGGGGGGAGGAGAGGGCTGTGGAGTTCAGGTTGTGCCTCCCCGGAACTCCTCACACATCCATACCAGCTTGTGGCACCTCCACACGACCCCACCCCCATGCTCTTGAAGCTGCTCCGTCTCTTCCTGGCTTTTTTTTTTTTTTTTTTTTTTTGAGACAGCATCTCGCTCTGTCGCCCAGGCTGGAGTACAGTGGCGCGATCTCGGCTCACTGCAAGCTCCGCCTCCTGGGTTCTCGCCATTCTCCTGCCTCAGCCTCCTGAGTAGCTGGGACTATAGGCACCCGCCACCACGCCCGGCTAATTTTTTGTATTTTTAGTAGACACGGGGTTTCACCGTGTTAGCCAGGATGATCTCGATCTCCTGACCTTGTGATCTGCCCACCTCGGCCTCCCAAAGTGCTGGGATTATAGGCGTGAGCCACCGCGCCTGGCCACTCTGTCTCTTCCTTTAACAGGGCAGGTTGGACCAGGGTGGTATTTGAATATAGTATCTAGGGAACACTGTGTAGGGGGAAATAAGTACTAGAAGTTGGTAAATACGGCAAATCTAAAATCACAGGGATTAGGCCGGGCGCAGTGGCTCACGTCTGTAATCCCAGAACTTTGGGAGGCCGAGACAGGTGGATCACCTGAGGTCAGGTGTTCGAGACCAGCCTGGCCAACATGGGGAAACCCCGTCTCTACTAAAAATACAAAATTAGCCGGGCGTGGTGGCGTGTGCCTGTAATGCCAGCTACTCGGGAGGCTGAGGCAGGAGAATCACTTGAATCCGGGAGGCAGTGAGCTGAGATCAAGCCAGTGCACTCCAGCCTGGGCAAAAAGAGTGAAACTTCATCTCAAATAAATAAATAAAATGAAGTAAAATCACAGGGATTAAGTGGACCACCCCTTGGGCCAGTCATGTGGCCTGTGGTTAGTAATTCTCATAGTGAAATAGCCCGATTACCCGCGAGATGGTTTGGGAGGGATTAATGAGAAGGCTGCACGCTGCCACCAGAGGGCAGCTTCGGCATCCAGTGCTGTGAGGGTTCACAGAATCCTAGGTCCATTTCCTCTTTACCTTATCTGTCAATCCTTACATTTCAGAAGCTCAGAAATATTTTGGATAATTTTTCCTCCACGGACTCAGAGGACTCTAACCTCCCGGGTGCTTTTCTCTTTCTACAGCAGGAGGGGTTCATGGCAAATTCTCATCACCCCTCCCTATTGCTGCTCTGCCACTGAACAGGCGCTCACGGCAGACCAATCTGCCCACACCCAAGACACTTTCCAGCGGCGCCGCCCATGGGCGTCCCTGCTCCGCGGGAAGCTCTCACCGGCGGATGCAGCCCGACGCCTGCGCACTGGAGAGGCGCCAAGCCCCCTGCACCTGCGCACTCCGACTGGGCGGGGTCTCCTCGACGTCCTGGTGGAAGGGTTCGGAGGACGGACGCCGATCATGCCCACTACCACGCCCCCAGCCCTGCCAGTTCCCCACAGAGCGGGTTTGACCCAGCTCTTTCTGCTGCTCTCTTGGGTGATAAACTGTGCCCCATGTCTGTAAACTAGGGTAGCATTTCACGCATTCATCCTTTCACCCGGCACTGTCTGAGCCCGTACTGTGTGTCGAGGCCTGGACTGGGCGAAGTTCGGCTCTCTGTGGTCCCTGATTCTGAATGGCTCTAGGGCTGGTGTGGGATGTTCAACTTACTCATTCGGTCACTCAGCTTTTCTTGAGGACCTACTGTGTGCTGAGACCAGGGCTGAGCAAAGTTTGGGTCACAGGAAGAAACCAGAATGATTGGTCCCTGAACCTGTGGGCTCCAGGGCTGGTGCTGAGGATGTTCACCTGTTCATCCATTTACTTGGCCTCTCCTGAGGACCTACTGTGTGCTTGGCCTGGGCTGGGGGATGTCGGGGGTGAGGGGGTTAAGGAGAAACTAAATGTGTGGTCCTTGTCCCTGAATGACTCCGGGGCTGGTGCTGGGGATGTATAACTCTTCATACTGTCACTGACAATTCTTGAGGACCTACTGTGTGCTGAGGCCTGGGTGGTCAGTCAGGAGCCAAGGGAAGAACCAACTGCTTGGTCCCTGGCCCTAAAGAGCCTGGGCAACAGAGCGAGACTCCGTCTCAAAAAAAAAAAAAGAAGAAAATTCTGCATATCATATGCTACCATTTGTGAAGAAAGGTGTACTATATATCTTTCCAGAATATTCTATGCATATAAATATTCATATATATGCTTACATATAGTAAGCATTTGCTTCTAGTGAGGGGGACTTGGTAGCTGGGAGACACAGGAGTAAGAACAGTTTTTTTTTTTAACTTTATAAATTGTGGACTACATGAGTGTATTCCCCCATAAAATAATTTTCCAATGATTATAGTCATGTGAAGTTATGAGATTATAACTTTAATTCAACATTGTAGTAGGTGGATTACGTTCATAACTCCTACTTTTCACCCTTCCCTGGGACCACATGCTTAGGAAGGCTCTTCCTGTGCTGATCCTAGGCTTGGCTAGGAGGCTTGCTTTGGCCTGTGGGACTAGATGCAAATGTGACAATATCAGAGACTTGAAAGCATGCCTGTGTGTCCACTCCCTCTCAGACTCCTGCCACCTCCCTGAGAACACACCCAGGTGAGATGTGAGTCAGGAGAAGAAGATCAAATTGGCCCAGCTGAGCCCTCCTGGTCCAGGTCCAGACCAAGCCTGGTCCAGACCAACAGAACCAGCAGCTGACCTCCAGATGCATGAGAAATAGTAAATGGATAAATGAGGGCTGGATGGTTTGTTACACAGCAAGAGCTGACTGATACAAGCATTAAAGTCAGGTCTTTGAGTTAGGGGGAAAAATGGTGGAGATGGGTAGGTGTTTCCTCATACTGAAAAAAAGACTAGGCCCACTCTAAAAATCTTTTGTAGAGGAGAAGCACTCCCTTCTTCTAGAATAACTTTCAGCTCTAGATTTCTCCTGCTCATTTTCTCTAAGCACTATTTCTATCTTAGTGAATCCAGATTTCTTCTTCAGACTCTGCTCCTTTAGTAAATATGCCAACTTGGCCAAAGAAACCAAACCTTTTATTCACTTTAATTCAATTAAATTTACTGAGCAAGGGCTTACTCAATAAAATCAACAATGAAAAGGCCAGCTGGCCAGGCACCGTAGCTCAGGCCTGTAGTCCCAGCACTTTGGGATGCCAAGGCAGGCAGATCGCCTGATGTTAGGAGTTCGAGACAGCCTGGCCAACATGGTGAAACCCTGCCTCTACTAAAAATACAAAAATTAGGCTGGGCGCGGTGGCTCATGCCTGTAATCCCAGCACTTTGGGAGGCCGAGGCGGGTGGATAACGAAGTCAGGAGATCGAGACCATCCTAGCCAACATGGTGAAACCCCGCCTCTACTAAAATACAAAAAAACTAGTCCGGGTGTGGTGGCCGGGCGCCTGTAGTCCCAGCTACTCGGGAGGCTGAGGTAGGGGAATCACTTGAACCCGGGAGGCGGAGGTTGCAGTGAGCCGAGATTGCATCACTGCACTCCAGCCTGGGCGACAGAGCAAGACTCCGTCTCAGAAAAAAAAAAAAAAAAAAATTAGCCAGACTCCTGTAATTTTAACTACTCGGGAGGTTGAGGCAGGAGAATCACTTGTACCCGGGAGGCAGAAGTTTCAGTGAGCCGAGATCGCTCCACTGCACTCTAGCCTGGGTGACAGAGAGAGACACTGTCTCAAAGAAAAAAAGAAAGAAATTAAAGGCCAGCCATAGGTGTTTCTGCAGGTCTACTTGCCCGTGCCCCATTTATAATTTTGCACCAGGAAGACCGCAGGGGAGTCTGGCAGATGTGAGGTACAGTCTTAGCCCTGTGTCTTCCCCACTGTGTGCCCTCAGGCAAGTTAACAAGCTTCTCTGAGCCTCGGTTTCCTCACAGGAAGCGTCGGGGATAACACAGTATCTCCCCCATAGCATTGTGAGGTTGGAAAGGAGGCCCTCAGCTCTTAATCTTCTGCTGGTCCACGCGGGTTTCTGCCAGGGCACCCCTGTTGACAGGTTTCTCCTCCCTGTGAGAGCCCAGGTGTTGAGTCAGGCGTGGGAGCTGGGCAAAGGCGTCCCGAACTGTCTGCATGCGTCCTCTGGTGTCGGATGAGCGCGGAGGAGAAGCTGAAGGCCTTCCCGCAGCCGCTGCACTCGTAGGGCTTCTCCCCGGTGTGCACGATGTGGTGCTGGATCAGGTAGGAGCGGTTGCTGAAGGCCTTGCCGCACTCGGGGCAGGTGTAGGGCCGCTCGCCCGTGTGCGTGCGCTGGTGCAGGGCGAGCGAGGAGCCCTGGCTGAAAGCTTTGCCGCACTCGCCGCACTTGTAGGGCCGCTCTCCGGTGTGGATCTTCTGGTGCTCTATAAGCGAGGACACGTGGCTGAAGGCGGCCCCGCATTGCAGGCACCTGTAGGGCCGCTCACCGGTGTGCACGAGGCGGTGCTGGAGGAGGTGGGAGCGGTTGCTGAAGCGCTTGCCGCAGTCGTGGCAGGGGTAAGGCCGCTCTCCGGTGTGCGTGCGCTGGTGCTGCGTCAGGTGCGACACCTGGGTGAAGGCCTTGGCGCACTGGCCGCACGCGTAGGGCTTCTCGCCTGTGTGGATGCGCCGGTGCTCGGCCAGAGAGGCGCTCTGGCTGAAGAGCGCGCCGCAGTCCTGGCACGTGTAGGGCTTCTCGCCCGTGTGCACGCGCCGGTGCTGGGTCAGGTGCGCGATCTGCGCGAAGGCCTTGGCGCACTGGCCGCAGCGGTAGGGCTTCTCCTCCGTGTGGATGCGCTGGTGGCGGATGAGCGCTGAGGAGAAGCGGAAGGCCTTGGCGCACGCGGAGCACTCGTAGGGCTTCTCACCGGTGTGGATGCGCTGGTGCTCTATCAGGGACGAGCGGTTGCGGAACGCCTTGGCGCACTGGGCGCACGCGTAGGGCCGCTCGCCCGTGTGCACGCGCCGGTGCTGGGTCAGGTGCGTGACGCGCGTGAAGGCCTTGCCGCAGTCGGCGCAGCGGTGCGGCTTCTCGCCCGTGTGCGTGCGCCAGTGGGACGCCAGGTACGAGCCCTGGCTGAAGGCCTTGCCGCACTCGTGGCAGGCGTAGGGCTTCTCGCCCGTGTGCGTGCGCTGGTGCAGGGTCAGGTGCACGCTCTGGCTGAAGGCCTTGCCGCACTCGGGGCACGCAAATGGCTTCTCCCCGGTGTGGATTCTCTGGTGTAAGATGAACGCTGAACAGTAGCTGAAGGCCTTCCCGCAGTCCCCGCATTTCCACGGCTTCTTGGGGCCTCCACCTCTCTCCCGCTGGCGGCTGTCAGGATGCCTCTCCTTCGGGCTCTCCCCAGGCGCGCTGCACCTCCGGGAACTGCTGTCGTCGGGGACACTGGCTTGGGTAGCAGCAGGGCTCGATATGGTTCTTGGGATTCGGCTGAATTCATCGCGTTCCTGCATGCTGTCCCCAGCAGGGTCTCCCTTGCAGGCCACGGCCTCTGGCTCTGGACAGCTTTCCTGGTTTTCCTGCAGGTCCTCAACCTGGCCCTCGTGTTTCCAGTTTCCTTCCAACTCTGCGCCCTGGAGGGCGACGCTCAAGAGTCCCTCCATCCTCGATCCCTGGGCTGCTGTCTTGATCTCACATCTTTTCTCTGGGTCTGAAAAGAAAAAGATAGAAAAAAAAATTAAATGTTGCCACTTGTCCTGAGCTGGAAAAATGGCTAACAGCTGAACTGGTAAGAACTTAGCATGGGGTCCCTGGACCTCTGTGCCAATGACATTTTGGGTCCAATAATTTGGTGTGGTGGGACCCATCCTGTGTGTTGTGAGATGTTGAGCAGCGTCCCTGGTCTCTCCACACTGGCTGCCAGGGACACTACCCCTCAACCCCTGAGTTGTAACAATGAAAAATGTCTCCAGGCCGGACGTGGTGGCTCATGCCTGCAATCCCAGCACTTTGGGAGGCCAAGGCAGGTGGTTGCTTGAGCCCAGGAGTTTGAGACCAGCAAACTGTCTGCTGCCTGGGCAACACAGCAAGATCTCATTTCTACAAATGAAAAAAAAAATTAGCCAGGCATGATGTTGTGCACCCGTGGTCCCAGCTACTCAGGAGGCTGAGGCAAGAGGATCAGCTGAGCTCAGAAGGTTGAAGCTGCAGTGAGTAGTGATCACACTACTGCACTCTAGCCTGGGTGACAGTGTGAGACCCTGTCTGAATTTTCTTTAAAAAGTCTCCAGACACTGCCAGGTGTCCCCTCCCCTGGGGACAAAATTGCCCCCAGTTGGGAATCACTGACTTAATGGAACTAAAAACAAATTTAAAAGATCCCTGAAAAAGAAAAAAAAAGCATGAATCTGTCAGCTCTTAAAATATGGCCCTGTAATCTGGTGCTGTGAACTGAATTGTGCCCCCTCAAAATTTATACATGGAAGCCCTAACTCCCAAGGTGATGCTTTGTGGAGATGGAGCCTTTGGGAGGTGATTAGCTTTAGAGGGGGTCATGAGGGTGGGGCCCCCACAATGGGACTGTTTTATTTTTTTTTTGACATGGAGTCTTGCTCTGTTGCCCAGGCTGGAGCACAGTCTTGGCTCACTGCAACCTCCGCCTCCCGGGTTCAAGCAATTCTTCTGCCTCAGCCTCCTGAGTAGTTGGGACTACAGGTGCACGCCACCATGCCCGGCTAATTTTTGTATTTTTAGTAGAGAGGGGGTTTCACCATATTGGCCAGGCTGGTCTCAAACTCCTGACCTCAGGTGACCCACCCACCTTGGCCTCCCAAAGTGCTGGGATTACAGGCGTGAGCCACCGCGCTTGGCTGGGACTAATGTTTTGATAAGAAGAGGAAGCGACACCAGAGCTCGCTGTCTGTCAGGTGAACACATGGCAAGAAGGCAGCCGTCTGCAAGCCAGGAAGTGAGTCCTCAGTGTGGTCTGACCATGCTGGCACTCTGATCTCAGACTCCCAGCCTCTAGCACTGTGAAGAAATAAGTGTTTATTGCTTCAGCCACCTAATCTGTGATTTTTTTTGTAAGCTGGAGCTAAGATAACTGGAAAGACAGTTTTCTTTTCTGGGGAAAAATCAGTTGAAACTTTAATTCCCAGTGTGACAGCGTTTGATGTGGGGCCTTTGGAGGATGATTAGGTCATGAGGGCATCCTCCTTAATAGGATTAGCGTCCTTATAAGAGGAGACACCAGGGGGCTCACTTACTCTCTGCTCTCTCTGTCCTCTCTGCGTGTGAGGACACAGGGAGAAGGCGGCCATCTGTAAACCAGGAAGAGAGCCCTCACCAGACAGAATCAGCCAACAGTGATCCCAGATTTCACATTATGGGGACACTATTCAACTCACTATGCTCCCCTTCTACAGGGCTCCATCAGTGAAGGAGCTGCCCAGGGTCTCCCAGGCTCAGAGGTTCATGCTGGCTCGTGGGCCCAGGGTCGTTAGAGATGGTGATCTCAAGCTATTGCAGGTTACCCTGTCTGCTTTGCACATTTTCAGTGGAAAGCAGGGATCTGTTTTTATATGAGCCCAGGAAGTCACTGTTTTTTAGAAAGCCATAACAGAAGCCATACATATAGTTACTTCTAGTGGGGCTGTGATGCTGAAGGATTTATACCAATTGCCTGGTGTACACTGGACCTGCACGCTGGCGAGAAACTCACCACTGACTTCTGATGCTTTAGTTCTAACAGAATGGGAAGACAGATGGACAAATGACCTCCTGGTGCTGAGAGAGGGAAGGAGGCAGCTGCCTGTGGATCCACTGTGCTGGGGCTAGCCCCAGAGGAGGGGGCTCACACTGCTGGGAGGTCCTTTCCAGGCTGTGTGGCTGCAGGTAAGTGGCTACCTGCTCTGAGGCTCTGCCTGGTTTTCTCTCTCTAAACAGGGCTCCAGCCTCCCCTTCTCCCGAGGGACATGGCAGGTCTCTCAGCAAGCTTGGCCTCATGTTATGTGTGGGCTCAGCCCCTCACACACAGGCATTCCCTGAACCAACTAGTAGGCTGTGTGCATACAGCAGAGAGTGCTCGGCCTTTGGCTCCTCCGGGTACACTCCTGCTGCTGCTGGACAGGCTACGTCTGAAGCTTGTCCTCCCCACTTCCTGTGTGAGATCCTAACCCTTTGTGGTGGTGCTAGGAGGTGGGGCCTCTGGGAGGTGATGATGACATGAGGCTGGAGCCCTCAGGCGTTGGATTCCTGCCCTTATAAAAGAGGACCCAGAAGGCTCCCTTGCCCCTTCCTCCAAATGAAGACACAACAAGAGGGCCCGGTCTATGAACTAGGAAGCAGCCCTCACCAGACACCAAACCTGCCGGCACCTTGACCTTGGACTTCCAGCCCCTAGAACTGTGTGGAAATAAATGCTGTTTCTTTCTTTCTTTCTTTTTTTGTTTTTTTGTTTGTTTGTTTTGTTTTGTTTTTGAGATAAGAGTTTCGCTCTTGGTGCCCAGGCTGGAGTGCAGTGGCACAATGTTGGCTCACTGCAACCTTCACCTTCCGGGTTCAAGCGATTCTCCTGCCTCAGCCTCCTGCATAGCTGGGATTACAGGCATGCGCTACCATGTTCAGCTAATTTTTTGTATTTAGTAGAGATGAGGTTTCACCATATTAGTCAGGCTGGTCTCAAACTCCTGTCCTCAGATGATCCACCCACCTTGGCCTCCCAAAGTGCTGGGATTACAGGCATGTGCCACTGTGCCCGGCCAATAAATGCTGTTTCTAAGCCACCAGAGTATGGCATTCCGTCACACCCCAAAGGACCTAAAATAGGGCTTTTTTTTTTTTTTTTTTTGAGACAGGGTCTTGCTCTGTTGCTCAGGCTGGAGTGCAGTGTTGCAATCATAGCTCGCTGCAGCCTGGGAATCCTGGCTCAAGTGATCCTCTCACCTCAGCCTCCCAAAGGGCTTGGATCACAGGCAGGCACCACCAACCACACCTGGTCAAGACAGGGCTTTTGTGTGGGCTATTCTTTCTGCCTGACATGCTCTTCCCGCAGCGTGTGCCTCAGCAAGAGGACAAGAGGAGACCCTGAGGGAGTGATGATGTTTGTGTTCAGGGTGGAGAACACAGCAAGTGCAAAGGTCCCAGGGCAGGATGGTGACAAGGGTGGCAGAGGAAAGGTAAAGGGGGTGGGGCTGGACAGAGCAACTGAGGTGCAAGGCAGGGGAGATGCGGTAGAGTGGGGTGGGGGTCAGCTCACACAGGAAGTCACGTGTGCTGGTAAGAACTTGCTGGTGGGGGCCAGGCTGGGTCGGCTCAGGTGCCACGTCCACCGGCATCCCCGGAGTGTGCAGGGGTACCCACCTCGTGTGTAGGGGGAGGGCAGGTGGGTTCACAGCGGGGTTGGGTAAACCTGGGTGTTGTGCACACACAAAGGAGCCCAAGGGGAGACACAGGCTTGCTTGGGGGCAGTAGAAGAAAGCTGTCTACTCCCAGCACTTCTGACACGTGGGCTTTCTCCACACCAACAACCAAGTCTCCAATCTGCTCTGACTGGGAGGCACAGGCAGCTACCAACCATAAAACTGCCTCAACCCCTCCTTGGGTTTGGTGATTTGCTCACATAGCTCATTGAACTCAGGGACATGCTTTATTTACGGTTACTGGTTTCCAATAAAGGATACAACTCAGGAACAGCCAGATGGAAGACACACAGGGTAAGGTATAAGGAGGAGCTCAGAGCACCATGCCCTCTCTGGGTGCTCGACAGCCCCAGAGCTCGGCAAACCCTAAGTTTAGGGTGGTTATGGGGGTTCCATGACACGGGCGTGACTGACATAGGTGTGATGACACTGGCCATCGGTGATGAACTCAACTTCCAGCCCTCTCCCCTCCCAGGAGGTAGGGGCTGGCTGAAGGCTGGAATGCTCATCAGGGCTAGCTCCCGTGGCAACCAGCCCATCCTAGGGGCCTATCAGGAGTCCTCCATTAGCATAAATGTACTTGGGGGTCTACCAGGAGTCCTCCATTAGCATAAATGTACTTGGGGGCCTATCAGGAGTCCTCCATTAGCATAAATGTACTTGGGGGCCTACCAGGAGTCCTCCATTAGCATAAATGTACTTGGGGGCCTATCAGGAGTCCTCCATTAGCATAAATGTACTTGGGGGCCTATCAGGAGTCCTCCATTAGCATAAATGTACTTGGGGGTCTACCAGGAGTCCTCCATTAGCATAAATGTACTTGGGGGCCTATCAGGAGTCCTCCATTAGCATAAATGTACTTGGGGGCCTATCAGGAGTCCTCCATTAGCATAAATGTACTTGGGGGCCTACCAGGAGTCCTCCATTAGCATAAATGTACTTGGGGGCCTATCAGGAGTCCTCCATTAGCATAAATGTACTTGGGGGCCTATCAGGAGTCCTCCATTAGCATAAATGTACTTGGGGGCCTATCAGGAGTCCTCCATTAGCATAAATGTACTTGGGGGCCTACCAGGAGTCCTCCATTAGCATAAATGTACTTGGGGGCCTATCAGGAGTCCTCCATTAGCATAAATGTACTTGGGGGCCTATCAGGAGTCCTCCATTAGCATAAATGTACTTGGGGGCCTATCAGGAGTCCTCCATTAGCATAAACACAGGTGTGGTTGCAGGGGGCTTATTAAGAGTTGCAGAAGACACTCCTTCTACCCCTGTCACTCAGGAAATTCCAAGGGTTTTAGGGGCTCTGGTACCAGGAGCTGGGGATAAAGATTAAACATATATTTCTTATTATATCACAAGATCACAGGAAGACACATGCATTACATCACACTCTGACACACACAGGGTCATACACAATCATACCTGCCCAGACACACACAGACATGCAGAGACACCCAAACCCATATCCAGGGACACACAGTCGCCCTCCTAACCCCCATGCAAGGAGGCAGGTGGGAAGCCATCACCTGCAGCCACACTCACACATGCACACAGGGTCCCGGGCACACGTAGCTACACACACACCCAGCCCCACACGTAGCTCCCTGTGTGAAGAGGTGCACAGAGACGCACAAGGTCACACATGCCACCTGCTCCACACAGGCCGGCCATTACTGGGACACACCCACAGGGGATGGCTGGACACATGTGCAGTCACACTCGGTGGATAGAGCTCCAGCATAGCCAAAGCCCACATGTGCAGCGTCTCCATCATGTGCAGATGCACACACTTCAGACAGCACGGCACTCTACAGGCTCGCACAGCCAGGTCACCCATCATTGTGCTGGCAGGCACACGGGCCGAGCCAGCCTACACGGCGGCACACCCAGACATGCACACGTGGGGTCACACACCTCACATCCAGGAGAACTTTCAGACTTGCCCAAAGGCAGCCACACGTGTATGTGACATGCTGTGATATGCAGACACCGCTTCACATGAACGAGCACATAACACACCGATAAAGTGTTACATGCCTTTACCTGCAGTCACCTGCCTGGGCTGGCACCACTGAGTGAGCAGGTGCAGACACAGTGACACTCGGGGACGGGCTCACAGGCAGTCACACACCTGCAAGGCCTGGCACCGCCGAGTGAGCAGGTACAGACACAGTGATGGGCTGGCACCGCCAAGTGAGCAGGGGCAGACGCTGTGACACTCAGGGACGGGCTCACAGGCAGTCACACACCTGCACCTGCTGGTACCGTCGAGTGAGCAGGTGCAGACGCTGTGACACTCAGGGACAGGCTCACAGCCAGTCACACACCTGCACGGCCTGGCACCGCCAAGTGAGCAGGTACAGACACAGTGACGGGCTGGCACCGCCGAGTAAGCAGGTGCAGATGCAGTGACAGGCTCACAGGCAGTCACACACCTGCACCTGCTGGTACCGTCGAGTGACCAGGTGCAGACGCTGTGTTACTCAGGGACGGGCTCACAGGCAGTCACACACCTATACGGGCTGACACCGCTAAGTGAACAGGTGCAGACACAATGGCACTCGGGGACGGGCTCACACGCGGTCACACACCTGCAGGAACACGCGCACACTACACACCGTTGCTCTCGCCTCCCGGTATCACCTTCGAACGCGCTGGCCGGCCCCCTCCTAGCCTGGTGCAGTCGGCTCCGCTTCTACTCAGTCTCGGGTCCTCCTGGGCCAACGCAGACCCTGGTGCCTCCTTCCTTAGACGAGCTAAGGTCAAGACTTCTGCTGCTGCGGAGGAGCCCGCGCACCAGGCCGGGGTGGACTGCGCCTGCGCATCGGGCCCGCCTGGTTCTTAGGAACTACGACTCCCAGGGGGCGCTGCGCGCTCGCCGGCACCGCGACTAAAGCTTGCAAAGCCTGGGTCATCGAAACTACAACTCCCAGAAGGCTAAGCGTCTGCACACGCTAGGTCCGCAGGGCGCTGACCCCTGGGGGCCCGAGGAGCGCCGGGCTGCTGCCCCGAGCCCCGCCCACTACAGCCTCAGTGCATGGCGGTGGGCGCTTCCAGTAACTCAGGGGTGGGACTTTTTTCTTGCTCAGGGGATGAGGCCGAGCCCACAGGCTTAGAAAGAAGGAACTTGAGTCCGGGCACCTGTCATCCCAGCGCTTAGGGAGGCCGAGGCGGGTGGATCACCTGAGGTCAGGAGTTCGAGACCAGCCTGGCCAATATGGCGAAACCCCCGTCTCTACTAAAAATACAAAAATTAGCCGAGCATGGTGGCATGCACTTCCAGCTACTTGGAAGGCTGAGGCGGGAGAATGGCTTGAACCTGGGAGGCGAGGGTTGCAGTGAGCTGAGATCGCACCACTGCACTCCAGCCTGGGTGACAGAGCGAGACTTCGTCTCAAAAAAAAAGAAGAAGAAAGAAGGAAGCTGAGGTTCAGACAGGCTAAGTCCCTACTGCAGGCTGCGGAATCTAAAAAGGTAGGTGCCAGGGTTTGCAACCCACACTTTTATTTTGGTCTCAGGTAGCTGATGTCATTCCAGTCTATGGCAAAGAAGGTGGCAAATCCATTAACATAGATGAAGAATTTCATTTTACTTTTTAGTTTTATTTATTTATTTATTTTTATTATGTATCATGCTTTTAATACAAACTTTAAAAAATCTGGAACAATAGAAACTGTACAGATTTGATCAATCTTTTTGTTTTGTTTTTAAACTAAAATCTCTAAACACACCAATGTCCTATTCCAAAATATTGCACAACATTCTGAATACAAAACCCTTGATTGTATTCCTCCTTCACTGAAGAAAAAACTTCATGACCCTGCTCCCCGGGCTCCTCTCCAGGCTTGCGTCAATGCCCCCTTCCCATCCCTAGGGAGAAAACTAGAGAATCTATAACTCACTGCATTGAGAAAAAGACATCATTCTGGACTAACAGTTTCCATTCTTCAGAAGATAATCCACCTTTTGATTTGTTCCTGGGAAACAGGGATAGATAGAGGATGGGGAAAGGGGAGAAAAGGTTTTATTTCTCCTCTTTTTTTTTTAAAGTTTGTTTTTCCTGAAAAAATATGTTTCTCTCATCTTTTTAAGAAAAAATCTTGAAAAGAAAAAAATTGTTTTTACGTTAGAAATATACATATATTATATATACCTCTTACATTTTACAAATGTAGCAAATTATTCAATACAAACGGACACCAAAAAATGTAAAAAATAAAAAAAAGTTTTCCTAAGAACCAGGTAAATTAGTGCAGATTTCTGTTTTTGTTTTCTTAAAAAAAATAAAATTGAAGCAAAAGTGCCTAGATTTGAGACAAGACAGACTGAACTGGGCCCAAGAGCCCAGCACTGGAGTCATGCTCCTGAACACACATTTTTCTTCGTATTTCAAAAGACACAAAGGGGTTGGTCTCCCCCCCTCTCCCTACATGTGAGAAACAAGCAGACCTGGTGTGGGTGGGTGCCTGTGTGTGTGGATGGGAGGAGGGATAGAAGGGGATGTAAGGCAGCATCCAACCTTTCCCAGAGAGAAGCTATCTGCTGGGCCTGTCACCTGTGTGGGAGCCGAGGATGAGGGAAAGGGTGGCCCAGACTGGGCTGGCCCCTGAGAAGTCTAGGGGAACAGATGGTGCTGGGCTGAGAAGCCAGGACATTGCCTGCCGGGGGAGGTAGAGCTGGTGCCTACTGCAGGGAGAGGAGGCTGGCAGTGCCGGCCTGGGCTGGACCCACTGCCATAGCAGTTGCCTACTTGGGGTCCCTGGGTAGGATGGAGTGGGTGGGGTGCCAGGGGCTTTGGTGCTTTCTGGTGATGGGACCCTGATGCCAAGTGCCCACTTTGCAAAGATGAAAAAGTTCATGACCCTGCTCCCTTGGCTCCTGTCCATGCTTGCCTGGCCTCCTGGGGTTGGAGGAACAAGCTCTCTCCTGGCAGAGGCAGGAGAGAGTTTTATTTTTTAGAAACAGTTTCGCTTTGTTGCACAGGCTGGAGTGCAGTGGTACAATCACGGCTCACTGCATCCTCGACCTCCCCAACTCTAGTGATCCTCCCATCTTAGCCTCCTGAGTAGCTGAGATTGCAGGCATGTGCCACCACACTGGCTAACTTTTTTTTAACTTTTATTTTTTGTAGAGATGAGGTGTCGCTATGTTGCCCTGGCTAGTCTTGAACTCCAATCCTTCCACCTCGGCCTTAAATAATTTTAATAGTTGACATGCACATGGCATTTACTATTGGCCGGCATTATTTTAAGGTGCCTGCTCTGAAGGAATTCTGTTAGCCTTCCTAAATTATTCCCTTGGCCATTGGAAACATAGGCATGAGATCATTTTTAGATAATTGGAAAAGCAGAGAAATCTGTGAAGATAGAATGGGAAAAAAAATGCATTTCACTAAACCAACATGCCATTGATTGTGAGATTCCACATTACTTTATGTAGCCCCACGGCTGCCCTTAAACCATGACACATGCTTTATTTACAGTTCATATTTTACTTATTCGTAGACCTCAAGAGGCATTCTGTGCTTCCCTCTTCCTTCTGGAAGCTTCATGAGAAGGGACATTTTCCTCAAAGGATGGACAACAGAAACAACTCAAATATTCATTTCCTTTAAATATGGTTTTTAAGACAATTTTCTTTAGAAAGCCACATTTACCTGTTGGGGGTTGATTTATGCTCACCCCCCTCCCAAATATATGTTGGAATGCTAACCCCCTATTCCTCAGAATGTGACTTTATTTGGAGACAGGTTCTTTACAGAGGTAATAAAGTTAAAATGAGTAAATAGGGTGGGCCATAACCCAAAATGACAGCTGTCCTTATAAAAAGGGTGCATTTGCACGCAGAGACACGCATAGAGAGAACATGATATGTAGAGGCACAGGGAGAAGGCCGCCATCTGCAAACCAGGGAGAGAGGCCTGGAGCAAATTCTTCTTCATGGCTCTTAGAAGGAACCATCCCTGCCTACACCCTGATTTCAGATTTCCAGCCTCCAGAAGCGTGAGGCGATAAATGTCTGTTGCTGCAGCCACAGGTTGGCGGTGCTTTGCTGCAGTAGCCTTAGCACCTGATAGATGGTCTCTTTACATGTCAAGCACATTGCAGCGCACATTTGACACACAGGGAGATGGAAGCTCCTGGAGGATAAGTGTTTTGTCTGTGATTTTGAAGGTTGCAAGTGGAGGAACTGGGATTCGAACCCCTCTCTGTGTGATGCCTATGCCTCCTCTGTGTTAACATTTATTTTTACTTATTTTTATTTTTTAGTTTTTGTAGAGATGAGGGTCTCACTATATTGCCCAGGCTGGTCTTGAACTCCTGGGCCCAAACGATCCTCCTGCCTTGGCCTCCTGGTCTTGGGATTACAAGCATAAGCCACTGTGCCAGGCCTACACTTTAAAGCACTTTGCCTCTTTAAAGCACTTTGCCTCTTTCATTTCCTAGCCTGGAGAAAATGTACTTCTGTGGTCACTAAGAAAACACCTTCACAATCAGGCAAAAATGTCCCCAGAAAATGCTGGCTTGGGCTGCTGAGGAAATGCACAATCAAATCAGGCCACACAACGTTTCAGAGACCCTGAGGCAGGGACTCCATGTCCCAGCTATGTTTGTCACACACCAGTAGGCAGCCTCTACCCAGGGGTGGAAGATTCTAGACCCAGCTATAGGCTCTGGCAACCAGGGCAGGCAGCTCCTTCCAGGAACCGGTTTCTGTGGTTTTCTTTGGTCACTTCCATTAAGTCTTAAACACCCCCTGGAAGAAAATGAAAGTGTGACGTTGAGGAACGTGAGATCAGATGGTGGAGTAGTTTTCTAGAGCCACCATAACAAAGCATCACAGACCAGGGTCTTAAACAATGGAAACTTATTTCTTCACAGTTCTCAAGAATGGAAGTTCACGATCAAGTTATGGCCAAGGTTGGTTTCCCCTGATGCCTCTCTCCTTGGCTGGCAGACGACCATCTTCCCCATGTCTTCATATGGTCTTCCCTCTGTGTGTGTCTGTGTCCTAATCTCTCCCACACTCTTTTTTTTTTTTTTTTTTTTTTTTTTAAGAATGTCAGCCATGGGCCGGGTGTGGTGGCCCACACTTGTAATCCCAGCATCTTAGGAGGCTGAGGCGGGTGGATCACCTGAGGTCAGGAGTTCCAGACCAGCCTGGTCAACATGGCGAAACACCATCTCTACTAAAAAAAATAGAAAAATTAGCCAGGCGTGGTGGCAAATGCCTGTAGTTCCAGCTACTCAGGAGGCTGAGGCAGCAGAATAGCTTGAACCCGGGAGGTGGAGGTTGCAGTGAGTGGAGATCACGCCACTGCACTCCAGCCTGGGCGAGAGACTGAGACTCCATCTCAAACAAAAAACAAACAAACAAACAAAACAAAAAACAATGTCAGTCATATTGGACTTGGGACCCATGCTAATGACCTCATTTTATCTTAATTCCCTTTCTCCATCTCCAAGTACAGTCACATTCCAAGGAATGGGGGGTTAGGACGTCAACATAAAATTTGGTGGTGGGGCACAATTTGGCTCATCACAATGGGTAAAATGGGGCATTAAGCTCACATCCTGAATCTAAAACCCACAAGAGGCTGGAGTACTTTGCTTTCCCTGGTTCATGATCACCGTGCTAACTGGAGTGTGGTCACCTTGAAATTGGCTTAGAGGAAGATTTATGATATCCTCCCAAGTCAAGGGCTCAGGCTCTAAACACCGGCTTAAATAAGAGCTGAGTGAAAGTCCACAAATCTTGTTACATCAACTTCTGCTGGACTTTGTTGGACAGATGCTGAAGTCCTCTGTGGAGAAACACCTTAGCAACTTGTCAAAGTAGTTCATTTCTAGAGATCTCATGACCAATGAGCAATTATTCCAGATTCCCTGTGGGTTGAAATATTCTGAATTTTATGCTGCATTATCATTATAACTGGGTGATCTCTGGCTTAGCATCACGTTTGTGACCTCCTGGCTTCTAAATGTTTAGTGCCCACCTGGCCTCTACCACCAAAAGATCCTATTATTCCCACCAAGCTCATGGAATCCAATTTCCTCGTGGCATTTTCTCCATCCTACAATGGACAGCAGCCACAGGGCTCTTCACCGATCCAGAAGCCTCTTCACCTTACAGTGTTGGTGAGGCAAGTCTCCCATGGGTCCTCTGGGAGTATGTTTAAGGGTACCTGGGCAGTTTGCCTGCATAGACCGATGTCTACATTCACGTTTCCTTAAGCTTCCAGACTCCCCCCTTTACCGTGTACTAGGAAATGGCTGGGATTTTGACCTCAGGGGGGTTGCCAGTCCATTCCAGCTGCTATCACAAGACAGCATAAACAGGGCAGCTTATAACGAGCAGAACAGGTGATGTATTTATTTATTTAAACAGAGATGAGGTCTCCCTGTGTTGCCCATTCTGGTCGCAAACTCCTGGGCTCAAGTGGTCCTCTTTCCTCGGCATCCCAAAGCGCTGGGATTACAGGCATGAGCCACTGTGCCTGGCCTTGAAAAGAATCATTCTGAAGGCTAGAAAGCCTAAGATGAAAGTGCCAGGAGATTCGGTGTCTGGTGAGGACCCAATTCCTTGTTCGTAGATGGCACCTTCTTGCTGGCTGTGTCCTCACAGGGTGGAAGGGAGAAAAGAGCTTTCTTGGGCCTCTTAGAATTATGCTAATCCCATTCATGAGGGCTCAGCCTTCGTAACCAAATCACCTCCTCAAAACCTCACCTCCCAACACCATCACCTTGGTGATTAACTTTCAACATAAAAGTTTTTGGGGGGTGACACACACATTCAGGCCTACAGAGGTGGAGTGATCTGCAGATGACTGTTGATTCAGGCGTCACCGCTCCAACACTGGAGACTCTTTTTTTTTTTTTTTTTTTTTGAGACAGATTCTCGCTGTCTGGAGTACAGTGGCACGATCTCAGCTCACTGCAACCTCCACCTCAAGCAGTTCTCCTGCCTCAGCCTCCTGCGTAGCTGGGACTACAGGTGTGTGCTACCGCGCCCGGCTAATTTTTGTATTTTTAGTAGAGACAGGGTTTCGCCCTGTTGGCCAGGCTGGTCTCAAACTCTTGACCTCAGGTGATCCACCCTGCTCAGCCTCCCAAAGTGCTGGGATTACAGGCCTGAGCCACTGCGTCCGGCCCTGGTCCCTTGATCTAGGATTTCAGCCTCCAGAACTGGGAGAGAATAAGTTTCTGTTGTTTAGGTGACCGAGTCTGTGGCACTTTGTTATGGCAGCCCAAGCTCTCTGATATAGAGGCTAAGCAACTGCCATGCTTCATTTACTTAATCAGCTGTGGGTCGGCACTGTGGGTTGGGTTTAGTCAACTAGTTCTTCTGTCTTGGCTGGGCCCACTCGTTCATCTGTGCTGAGCTGGGTTGAGCGGCGGCTGGCCCATCTGTAGCCTCTCATCCTCTGCCAGGACAGCCTAGGGTCATTTCCATGGCAGCCTGGCAGGGTTCCGAGAGAGTTAGTAGGAACCGTCAAGCCCGTTGAGCACAAGGCTCTGTACTGACAGCTTTGCACTTCCACTGCAAGCTACTGGCCAAAGCAAACCACAGGTGCAGCCCAGATTTGAGGGATGGGAAAATGGCCACAGGACAAACGGCATGGGTTCAAGGAGGGGTGGAATACTAGGATGAGTTTTGCAATCTGTCATGTGCACATACACACATGTGGTGAGTTGGATACAGCCTGGTGTGTGTAATTACAAACACCCCTCTAATAAAAATGTGCAAAGATCTTTCAATTACTCAAGTGATGTTATTTCCAAACCTTTCCTATCAGACTCAACCCCCTTTAGATACGATTATTCTCATGCTGGCTGGGCGTGGTGGCTCACACGTGTAATCCCAGCACTTTGGGAGGCTGAGGTGGGCAGATCGCCTGAGGTCAGGAGTTTGAGACCAGCCTGATCAACATGGAGAAACCCTGTCTCTACTAAAAATACAAAATTAGCTGGGCATGGTGGCTCATGCCTGTAATCCCAGCTACTCAGGAGGCTGAGGCAGGAGAATTGCTTGAACCCGGGAGGCGGAGGTTGCAGTGAGCCAAGATGGTGCCACTGCGCTCCAGCCTGGGCAACAAGAGCGAAACTCCGTCTCAAAACAACAACAAAAATTATCCTCATGCTAAAATGTATTCCCAACTATGACTTGAATTTCTCTATTTATTGGTAAAAGAAAAATTCGGCCAAGCGCGGTGGCTCACACCTGTAATCCCAGCACCCTGGGAGGTCGAGGCGAGAGGATCATGAGGTCAGGAGATCGAGACCATCCTGGCTAACGTGGTGAAACCCTGTCTCTACTAAAAATACAAAAAATTAGCTGGGCGTGGTGGCAGCCGCCTGTAGTCCCAGCTGCTGGGGAGGCTGAGGCAGGAGAATGGCGTGAACCTGGGAGGCGGAGCTTGCAGTGAGCCGAGATTGCGCCACTGCACTCCAGCCTGGGTGACAGAGCAAGACTCCGTCTCAAAAAAAAAAAAAAAAAAGAAAGGAAAAGAAAAGAAAAAAAAGGAAAAATTCAGAGGTGGCATGTGCAAAACTTGCACCATACATTTATATAGCTGATACTCAATTGAAGAACATGTATGTGATTTTCAGATTCTTGCTGTGATAAATGATGTTTCTGTGAACATGGTTTTTACCAGTTTTTAAAAATGGGTGATATAATAAATAGAATGTGAAGCTGTATCAGTCAGGGTTCAGAAACAGAATCAATAGGAGATACTATGTACCTATCCACATATATATTATAGATGTATATATTAATAGACACAAATTGATCACGTGAGCCAATTCCTTAAAATCTTTCTCTTATCTCTCTCTGTGTTGTCTATATGTATACATATATAATAGAGATTCTGGTGGAAGGCTCTGAGATCAAGGGGGAAGGGAGGCAGGCCATGAAAAAGTCACTCCAAGACAGATTGGGGTCCTCAGCTCTGCAGACCCAGGAAATTCAGATATATGTGTGTATATATACCTGTCCCTATCTATCTATCTATCTATCTATCTATCTATCTATCTATCTATCTATCTATCTATCTATCTATCTATCCATCTGTCTATCTATCTGCCTGCCTGCCTGCCTGCCTGCCTGTCTGTCTGTCTGTCTGTCTATCATCTAATGTATGCAGAGGTTGAGATTTATTTTAAGGAATTGTCTCACACAGTTGTGGGAGTTGGTTTGTAGGGCCAGCCAGCAGGTGGGAAACTCAAGCAGACATTGATGCTGAAATCTTGAGGCAGGATTTCCTCTTCTCTGGGAAACCCTGAGTTTTACTCAGAAGGCCTTCAACTGATTGGATGAAGTCCACTTACATTACCGAGGGCAACCTTTTCTTAAAAAAAACTGGTTGTAGATGATAACCACATCTACAAAATAACCTTCACAGCCATGCCTGGATTAGCATGTGATTGGATTACCAGGCACTGGACCCCAACCAGGTTGGCCCATAAAACTCACCGTTAGCAGGAGTGTTGTGGGGAGTGGGCAGGAAGGGGTATGTAGAAAGAAATGACTGAGGAAGACTGATGAGATAAATATTGGTTCTAAGTACAATTAGGAAAGATCACCAAGTCCTACTTTACCAAAAAAAAAAAAAAAAAGAAAGAAGAAAGTAGGCCAAATGTAAACCATGATACATGTTATTTTGTTATTTATTCATTTTTTTTTGAGACGGAGTCTCGCTCTGTCGCCCAGGCTGGAGTGCAGTGGCGCGATCTCGGCTCACTGCAACCTCCACCTCCCGGGTTCACGCCATTCTCCTGCCTCAGCCTCCCAAGTAGCTGGGACTACAGGCGCCCACCACCATGCCCGGCTAATTTTGTCTTTGTATTTTTAGTAGAGACGGGGTTTCACCGTGTTAGTCAGGATGGTCTCGATCTCCTGACCTCGTGATCTGCCCGCCTTGGCCTCCCAAAGTGTTGGGATTACAGGCGTGCACCACCGCACCCAGCCCACTGCTTTCCATTTTTAAGGTCTTTATCTAGAATTAGAATTGCTGGATCACATGACAATTTTATTTTTAATTTTTTTTGGAAACCTTCAGACCATTTTCCAGAATGACTGCATCATACCACATTCCCATCAGCAGTGCAGAAGGGTTCCAATTTCTCCAAATCCTGCCAATATTTCTTACATTGTGTTTTATGGATAGTAGCCATGTTAATGAAAGTGAGGTGGTTTCTTATTGCAAAGATGATGATCTTTTAAATTTTTTCAGTCGTAATTGCTTAATAATAGAATGTGTGGCTGGACACGGTGGCTCATGTCTGTAATCCCAGCACTTTGGGAGGCCCAGGCGGGCATATCATGAGGTCAGGAGATCGAGACCATCCTGGCTAGTACGGTGAAACCCCGTCTCTACTAAAAATACAAAACAAAGAAAAAAAAATTAGCCAGGCGTGGTGGCAGGCGCCTGTAGTCCCAGCTACTTGGGAGGCTGAGGCAGGAGAATGGTGTAACCCGGGAGGTTGAGCTTGCAGTGAGCCGAGATCGTGCCACTGTACTTCCAGCCTGGAGGACAGAGCGAGACTCTGTCTCAAAATAAATAAATAAATAAATAAATAAATAAATAATAATAATAATAGAATGTGTGTGCCTGCTGGGCATTCTATACCTTCTCAAACATTGGCATCAGACTGGACTATGCCACCCGCACTTCCTCATCCTTGTTGATTTTCGTGGGTTTGATTCACAGCAAACACTGCCAACCCAGCATCACAAAGCATGATGTTATCAAAGGAAGTGTAGAGAGATCTTAGGCTGAAACTGTGGAACCCTGGAGGTGGAGGTTCATGTGTGTCAGATGTCTAATACTGCTACGCGTCCCTAAAATTGAAAGAATCAGGGTACCTGGGCTGACAGTTGCAGCTGTGGGGATAGAGAGGCAGAAAAGCAGGAGGTGTTCATTGGAGGGGGAGAGAACGGAAGAGCTCCCCTGGTCGCCTAGCAACGCGGAGACGCCCCACAGGGGACTCTGGTGAGAACAGGCAGTGGCAGAGGGGCTATTCTGCCTCAGCCAAATGTAGCTGCAGAGACTCAGGAAAGTAATGTAGATGTAGAAATTAGAAATTAATTAATTTCTTTAATTAATAACCCTCAGTTGTATATTGAGACGGTCTCCACTGATTTTTTCATGTCTACCGTTTGCATAGTTTTAGGCCAGTAGGTCCCAAAATGTAGTTTAAGGACTCCTGGGGGAATCAAGACCCTTTCTGGGGGTCCATAATTCCCAACATTTTCCTAAGAAAATTAAGAATTTACTTGCCTACCGACTTTTCAATTTATCTGCATGATGTAATACTGCAAATGTTTAAGTGGCAGATTTGAGAATCTAGCTGTCTTGTACTAAGGCGAACATTAAAGAAATTTGCAAAAAAGGCCGGGTGCAGTGGCTCACGCCTGTAGTCCCAGCACTTTGGGAGGCCGAGGTGGGCGGATCACAAGGTCAGGAGTTTGAGACCAGCTTGGCCAATATGGTGAAACCCCGTCTCTACTAAAAATACAAAAATTAGCTGGGTGTGGTGGCGGGCACTCGTAGTCCCAGCTACTCAGGAGGCTGAGGCAGGAGAATCGCTTGAACCCGGCAGGCTGAGGTTGCAGTGAGCTGAGATCGCGCCACTGCACTCCAGCCTGGCGACAGAGCGAGACGCCGTCTCAAAAAAACAAAACACAACAAACAAAAAAACCCAAACCCTCAGTTGTATATTCCCAAACCCATCCTCAGTGGAGACGGTCTCCACTGATTTTTTCATGTCTACTGTTTGCATATTTTTAGGCCAGTAGTTCCCAAAATGTAGTTTAAGGACTCCTGAGGGAATCAAGACCTTTTTGGGGGTCCATAATTCCCAGCATTTTCCTAAGAAAATTAAGAATTTACTTGCCTACCGACTTTTCAATTTACCTGCATGATGTAATACTGCAAATGTTTGAATTAAGTGGCAGATTGGAGAACCTAGCTGTCTTGTAGTAAGGTGAACATTAAAGAAATTTGCAAACATGTAAGACAATGCTAATTTTCTTACTAATTCTTTGGAAAATACTGTATAATTGCCTATAAAAATTGTGAAATGTTAATATATAATAAGATTATTATTTTTAAGTTTTAAGTGTATAATTTTCTCAGCTTCAATATGTAATTGTATGTAAATATAGATCATACAAAGAAAAAATTTTAGGGGTTCTCAATATATTTAAAAAATATAAAATTGGCCTGAGATGAAAAACTTTAAGAATTACTTTCTTAGGTTAAGTTTTTAGATATCAGCTGGCTGGGTGGAAGGAATGTGCATACTCGGTGCTTTTCATACACGGTGTCAAATTCCCATGAAGCTATCCAGTTGTTCCGTGGCTCTAAATTCTCATGGGAAATGTAACCCAGATCTGTCTCGCTGTTATCAATTTTTCACGCTGCCTACCATAATTAACCCAGTGAAGAATTTCAGTGAAAGGTAGATTGAGCTATTTGTACCCAGCCTTCCAGAGAATTCCCTTTATATAGGATAAGTTTAAATTCTTTTTGGGGGGCCGGCGGGGGTGGGGGTGGTGGTGTCTGGAAAGGAGGATCATAGGATAAGTTTAACATTCTTAGATGAGAAAGTCAAATGTAGATTCCTGAGTTCACAAACCCCAGCCCCAACATTCATGATGTGGGTGATCCTGGGGAAGACATCTGTCCTTCTGAGCCCACCTCCTTCACTTAGAAATGGGCACTGGGGGTGGGGAAGGATTGGACCTGGTGCCCCCCAAGACATTGTAAGAATCAAGAAATAGTAGCTAGGTGGGGGTTTTTGGGCATTTCTACCATAAATATGAAATATAATTTTATTTTAATAATGTGACAAATAAGATAAAGAGTCATCTTCTTATTTATTATTATTATTATTTTTTGAGATGGAGTCTTGCTCTTGTTGCCCAGGCTGGAGTACAGTGGCTCGATCTCGGCTCACTGCAACCTCTGCCTCCCAAGTTCAAGCAATTCTCCTGCCTCAGCTTCCCCAGTAGCTGGGATTACAGGCGCCCACCACCAAACCTGGCTATTTTTTTGTATTTTTAGTAAAGACGGGGTTTCGCCATGTTGGCCAGGCTGGTCTTGAACTCCTGACCTCAGGTGATCTACACGCCTCGGCCTCCCAAAGTGCTGGGATTACAGGTGTGAGCCACCTTGCCTGGCCGAGAATCATCTTCTTTGTGAATTTTTCCCCAACCACTGTATCGATAATCGTTAAAACAAATTCCTCCTCAATGCTGTCATAAGAGGTATGCTGGTTCTCTTGTTCCCCATCCCTCATGGGGATATAACTGACTGTTTACCTGTTTCCCCCACCAGGTCATGAACTCTGAGAGTTTGAGATGAGCCTCTAAAAGCTGTATCAATAGCACCTTGCACTGTTGAAGCAGGTAAGTGTTTTCCTTGTTACTTCTTAAGTTCAGTTGGAAACCCAACATAGCAAATCCTCTAGAATGCAGCTGAAGCAGTACTAAGGCTGGGTGTGGTGGCTCATGCCTATAATCCTGTAGGGAGGCAAAAGCGGGAGGATTGCTGGAGCCCAGGAGTTCAAGACCAGCCTGGGCAACACGGCAAGACCTGGTTCTCCACAAAAAGGAAAAAAAAATGCTAAGAGGCAAGTATATAGCAATAAACTCCTACATCAAAAAAGTAGAAACATTTCAAATAAGAGATTGGGGGCAGTGGCTCATGCCTGTAATCCTAGCACTTTTGGAGGCCGAGGTGGGTAGATTGCTTGAGACCAGGAGTTCGAGACCAGCATGGGCAACATAGCGAGACCCTGTCTCTACAAAAAATCAGAAAATTAGCCAGGCGTGGTGGTGCAAGCCTGTAGCCCCAGCTACTCGGGAGGCTAGGGTGGGAGGATTGATTGAGCCTTTGAGGTAGAGGTTGCAGTGAGCTGAGATTGTGCCATTGCATTCCAGCCTGGGTGACAGAGCTAGACCCTGTCTCAAAAAAAGAAAGAGAGAAAGAAAGAGAAATAAATAAAGAGAGAAAGAAAGAAAAGAAAGAAAACAAACAAGGAAGGAAGAAAGAAAAAGAAAGAGAAAGAAAGAAAGAAAAAGAAAAAGAAAGAAAGAAAGACTTCAATAACCTAAGGATGCACCTCAAGAATCTAGGAAAGCGAGAACAAACCAAACCCAAAAATTAGTAGAAGAAAGTAAATAAAGCGCAGAGCAGAAACAAATAAGATTGAGACCAAAAAAATACATAAAAGATCAATGAAAAAAAAATTGCTTTTACATCATGGTCTTGACCTTGCAGGGATGGCCCCTCCCAGTTTTAGCCAATTTCTCGAGTGATAAATAACTTGCTTGAGAGCATGCCTTTTATATATAAACCACCAATCCAGAGCCCACATCCCACCCACTCTCTAACAGGGCGCTATACTCACCCCAGGGCCAGGTATCACACCACTAAGAACAGCCCTTTTCCCCAGATCCCACTGAGGTTATCCAAAGTGACCAGCCCTAACCTATGAAATCTGCCTCACTTCTTCCTTTCCACAGAAACTATAGCAAAGTCTTGTCCACACCCACATTTCACTCACCTCCTTCTGACTCCTGGCAGATCCTGGCGCTTTCCCCATGGGGCTGCCTGAGCTGAGACGGGCTCTCTTCTCCTGGAAACTGAGTAACACAATTTATTTCAATGACAGTCACTTCCTCATCTGTTGGCCTCAGCGTACCTCCAATTTTCCATTACACAATAAATGGAAAATAATATAGGCCGGGTGTGGTGGCTCACGCCTGTAATCCCAGCACTTTGGGAGGCCGAGGTGGGTGGATCACCTGAGGTCAGGAGTTTGAGACCAGCCTGACCAGCATGGCGAAACCCCATCTCTACTAAAAATAGAAAAATTAGCTGAGCTTCGTGGCTGGAGCCTGTAGTCCCAGATACTTGGGAGGCTGAGCCAGGAGAATTGCTTGAACTCAGAAGGCAGAGGTTGCAGTGAGCCGAGATCATGCCGCTGCACTCTAGCCTGGGAGACAGAGCGAGACTCCATCTCAGAAAAAAAAAAAAAAAAGAAAATTGAATTGGGCCAGCCCCTCCACACCTGTGGGTATTTCTCATCAGGTGGGACGAGAGACTGAGAAAAGAAATGACACAGAGACGAAGTATAGAGAAAGAACAGTGGGCCCAGGGGACCAGCGCTCAGCATACAGAGGACCCGCACTGGCGCCAGCCCCTGAGTTCCCTCAGTATTTATTGATCATTATTTTTACTATCTTAACAAGGGGAGCGTAGAAGGACAACAGGTGGGGAGAAGGTCAGCAGGGAAACGTGCGCAAAGGAATCTGTATCATGAATAAGTTCAAGGAAAGGTACCGTGGCTGGATGTGCACGTAGACTAGATTTATGTTTCTCTTTACCCAAACATCTCAGTGTAGCAAAGAGTCACAGAGCAGTATTGCTGCCAGCATATCTCACCTCCAGCCACAGGGCGGTTTTCTCCTATCTCAGAATAGAACGAATGGGAATGATCGGCTTTACACCCAGATATTCCATTCCCAGGGACGAGCAGGAGACAGAAGCCTTCCTCTTATCTCAACTGCAAAGAGGCCTCCCTCTTTCACTCCTCCTCCTCAGCACAGACCCTTTAAGGGTGTCCCGCTGGGGGATATAAGGTCTTTCCTTTCCCATGAGGCCATATCTCAGGCTATCTCAGTGAGGGGAAACCTTGGACAATACCCAGGCTTTCTTGGGCAGAGGTCCGTGTGGCTTTCCGCAGTGCATTGTGTCCCTGGTTAATCGAGACTGGAGAATGGCGATGACTTTTACCAAGCATACTGCCTGCAAACATATTGTTAACAAGGCACATGCTGTACAGCCCTAAATCCATTAAACCTTGATTCAATACAGCACATGTTTCTGTGAGCACAGGGTTGGGGCTAAAGTTACAGGTTAACAGCATCTCAAAGTAGAAACCATTTTTTTTGGTACAGATCAAAATGGAGTTTCTTATGTCTTCCTTTTCTACATAGACACAGTAACAATCTGATCTCTCTTTCTTTTCCCTACAGAAAATAATATGGAGATGACAGTGTCTTGTACAACTGTGTGATGGCTTGTCTCCCCATGTCTGTGTGATTGTGTGTCCTTGAGTGTGTTGGATGGAGTGTCCTTCTGTGTGTGTGTGTCTGTGTTTCTCTCTGACTCTGTGCGGTTGAGGGCGTGTGGTCTCTCACGTATGATTGGATGTGACTGCGGATCTCCATGTGTGATTATGAGTCACGCTTCACCGGAAAGTTTCTATCTCAGCCTGGATGAGCCACAGGAATGTGTGTGTTCAGGTTTGCTGTGTGTCTGTGTCTGTTTGACCTGGGCTGTTGTGTGTGCATCTTAGTCTGCTGTGTTACATCATGTGCCGTTGTGTGTGACTCTCTCTAGGACAGCCCGAGTGTGACTGTGATCATAGAGGGGATGAAGCCCCCTGTGTGTGGGTTTGTGACTGTGAGTGTGTGCTCCAGTTAGGAGGGTTTTGAGCGCTCATGTGAGTGTGTGGGAAGATTGTGGATTAATTTGCTATGGCTGCTGTAACAAAACACCACAGACTGGGTGGCCTGGGTAGACTGGGTGGCTTAACCTAATACTAATAGAAGCTTATTTTCTCCCTGTCCTGGAGCCTGGAGCCCAAGATCAAGGTGTCGAAGGAGCCTGTGTTCAGGAGGCCTCTCTCCTTGGCTTCTTGGCGGCCGTATTCTCTTGGCGTCCACACTAGGTCTTTTTTTTTGTATGCATCCCTGGTGTCACTGTGTGTGTCTAACTCCCTCCTCTATAAGGATGCCAGTCAAATGGGAGTAGGGCCAGTCCAAAAGCCTCATTTAATCCCCTCTTAAAGGCCTTGACCCCAGATAGTCACATCCTGAGGTTCTGGAGTTTAGGGAATCACCAAATAAGTTTTCAGGAGAAAGCAGTGAGCCCATAACAGTGTGTTTGTGTGTGGATGTGTGGTCATGGGAGATGCTGTGAAGGTTGCCATTGTGTCCACATGACTGTGCGTGAAACAGTGATTCATGCAATTATGAAACCCATGTTGTGTGAGTTCCACAAGACCAAGGCACCTTTTATCCACTAAATGTGCACATGTCTGTGTGTGTGTGTGAGTCCCACAAAACTCAGGCATCTTTCATCCACTACCTGTGCATGTGTGTGTGTGTGTGTGTGTGTGTGTCCCACAAGACCCAGACACCTTTCATCCACTACATGTGCATGTGTGTGTGTGTGAGTCCCACAAGACCCAGGCACCTTTCATCCACTAAATGTGCATGTGTGTGTGTGTGTATGTGTGAGTCCCACAAAACTCAGGCACCTTTCATCCACTAAATGTGCGTGTGTGTGTGTGTGTGTGAGTCCCACAAAACCCAGACACCTTTCATCCACTAAATGTGTATGTGTGTGTGTTTGTGTGTGTGTGTATGAGTTCCACAAGACCCAGGCACCTTTCATCCACTAAATGTGCATGTGTGTGTGTGTATGAGTTCCACAAGACCCAGGCACCTTTCATCCACTAAATGTGCATGTGTGTGTGTGTGTATGAGTTCCACAAGACCCAGACACCTTTCATTGTGTGTGTGTGTGTGTGTGTGTGTGTGTGTGTGTGTGTGATTGAAGGAGATACTATTTGTGGATAAATAAATTGAAACCTCAGGCCACTTTCCTGTCTTATATCAACCTTATTAGAATCCTGCCCACCCCAAATGCGCAATTCCATAGGTAGAGCAAGATAGGTCCTAGGATCCATCTGGGAAGTGCCCAGGATGCCCTTCCTAGGATGCTTGGAGACAGGATTGGAGCAGGTGATGGAAGCATGGGCTCAGGGCCAGGCAGTCTGGAGACCTCTCCTCTCTGAGCCCAGTGTTGCCTGTAAAATGCAGACACTCCTAGGACCTCACTCACAGCCAGGGGTGCGGGAGATGGCCGTGCATATTGTACTGTGCACTTCGGCTCCTGTTCAAAAGGATACGTGGGATGTGAAACCCAGCCTGCGCTCTCTCCACAGCTGTGTCCATGCCAGGGCCAGAATTCCCACTGGAGTATGACATTGGTCCATCCAAAGTCCCAGAGCCTACCATGGCCATGTGCACCGTTGTCACTTGGGGAAAAAATCTTCTTAAACAGATAAACAAACATGTGCAAATGCATATATTTTAGAGTATCATCTTGTTTTTAAGCCTGGGCAACATGGTGAGACCCCTTCTCTACAAAAAACAATTAGCTCGGCGTGGTGGTACAAGCCTGTATTCCCAACTACTCGGGGACTGAGGTGGGAGGATCGCTTGAGCCTGGGAGGTCGAGGCTGCAGTGAGCTGAGGTCGTGCCACTGAACAGAGTGAGACCCTGTGTAAAAAGAAGAAACAGGACAAAACAAAAACCAAAAACCAAATCTTAACTTTTGTCCGCTAATTTGAAGGAACGCGTATGAAATCACGTTGCTGTCACTAGATGGCACTTTTGCACCATGAAAAAAATAGGCTCTAATTATTATTTTTTTTTTTACTTTTCAATTTTCAATTGTGGCAAAATACATATTACACAGAATTTACCATCTTAAGCATTTTGTGACTAATATGTGAAAGATATATTACTAATATCATAAGCCTGTGATATATGCCTTTTTTATTTTTTTAAACTATGGTATTTATCATTTTAAATATAGTCATGAATCGACAACAGGGATACATTCTGAGAATTTTGTGGTTAGGCAATTTTGACATTGTGTGAACATCTTAGAGTGAACTTACAAACACCTAGACGGTGCAGCCTACTACACACCTAGGCTCTGTGGTATAGTCTGCTGCTCCTAGGACACAAACCTGCGTGGCACGTTGCTGTACTAAATACTGTAGGTACCTGGAACACAGTGGTATTTGTGTATCTAAACATAGAAAAGGTACAGTACAAATTTGGTACTATGATCTTATGGGACCGCTATAATATATGAGACCTATCATTGACTGAAATGTTACTATGCACCTCGTGACTGTATTTTTTTTTTTTTTTTTGAGATGGAGTCTTGCTCTGTCACCCAGGCTGGAGTGCAGTGGTGCCATATCAGCTCACTGCAAGCTCCGCCTCCTGGGTTCTCACCATTCTTCTGCCTCAGCCTCCCGAGTAGCTGGGACTACAGGCGCCCACCACCACGCCCGGCTAATTTTTTGTATTTTGGTAGAGACGGGGTTTCACCATGTTGGCCAGGATGGTCTCGAGCTCTTGACTTTGTGATCCACCCTCCTCGGCCTCCCAAAGTGCTGGGATTACAGGCGTGAGCCACCACGCCCGGCCATGACTGTATTTTGAGTGTGCATCACTATTAAGTACATTCACTTGTTCTGCCACAATCTGCACCATTCCTCTTCAGAGCACCTTTCTTCTTGGAAAACAAGAACTCTGTGCCTATTAAGCAATAACTCTCCATTTCTCCTCCTTCCAGCCTCTGGAAACCACCCTTTTTATTTTTCATTCAGGAATTCTGACTCTTCTAAGTACCTTGTATACCTGGAATCATACAGTATTTTGTCCGGTTGTGATGGGCTTATTTCAATGAACATTGTTCCTCAAAGTTCATCCAAGTCATAGCATGGGTCAGAATTTCCTTTCTTTTTAGGCCCGAATAATATGCCATTGTCTGTATAGACCCCATCTTGCTTATCCATTCACCAATCGATGGAGACTTGAGTTGCTTCCACTTTGACTATTATGAATAATGCTGCCATGCACGCGGTTGCACAAACGTCTCTTTGATTCTCTGCTTTCAAAACTTGTGAGTAAGATTCAGAGGTAAATTGCTGGTTCATGGGTAATTTTATTTCTGTTTTTTCAGAACAGTCGGATGGTTTCCCACCACAGCTGCATCACATCACGATCGCACCAACGGTGCAGGTGTTTCAGCCTCTCCAAATCCTGTCAGTGTTGTTATATTCTGTTTAACGGATAGTGACCATGGAAACGGCAATGAGTTAGTTCCTTATTTCTTTGCCAGGGAAAATATTGCTTTCATTTTTAATACTTATTACTTAATCATGGTATATGTCTTTGGTTATACCGTGGCAATGGCTACTGAAGAGTATCCTGACACATGGATGGGGGTCAGGTCTTGACCTCTGGGGTGCTTTATTGTTAGGGCTGTTGTTAGAGTTGGCAGCAGTTGGATGAATAATGGAATATGATGAGGTGGAAGTTGTAATTGATTTTTTTTTTTTGGAAACAGAGTCGTTATCTGTCACCCAGGCTGGAGTGCAGTGGCATGATCTCAGCTCACTGCAATCTCTGCCTGCCAGGTTCAAGCAATTCTCCTGCCTCAGCCTCCCGAGTAGCTGGGACTACAGGCGCCCGCCACCATGCCTGGGTAATTTTTGTACTTTTAGTGGAGATGTGGTTTCACCATGTTTGCCAGGCTGGTCTCGAACTCCTGACTTCAGGTTATCCACCTGCCTCGGCCTCCCAAAGTACTGGGATTACAGGCGTGAGCCACCACGCCTGCCCAACTGATTTTTATATTATGGTATATTATGGAAAATTGTGTAATTTTTGAGGGCGAGGAGGTAGGATTATTGTGTGAAGATTCTTTAGGTGAGGCAGCCTTGTATAGTTACAGATGCTGATTGGTGGTGGTTGCTGGTCGATCTGTATTTGTGAGCATTTATCTTGCAATTGAGCGTACTCAGGGGAACAGGTTAGATAACTAAAAATAGAGTTAGAAGAGACAGGATAAGGAAAGAGAAGAAGTAGAGTTTAATTAGGCCTTTTTGGGCGGATATGAAAGTGGAGGCTGAAGTTTGGATTTGGACAATGTTTTTTGGTATTGATTTCTCTAGTCAGATTAGTCTAATAGAAGAGACACTAAACATTGACTTGTGTCTAGATTTGTGTGCGGGGTTGTATGGTGTACTGTGATTGGATAAAAACCTAGTATAGGCCGGGTGTGGTGGCTCATGCCTGTAATCCCAGCACTTTGGGAGGCCGAGGAGGGTGGATCACCTGAGGTCAGGAGTTTGAGAATCAGCCTGACTAACATGGAGAAACCCCATTTCTACTAAAAATACAAAAATTAGCTGCGCGTGGTGGTGCATGCCTATAATCCCAGCTACTTGGGGAGGCTGAGGCAGGAGAATCGCATGAACCCAGGAGGTGGAGGTTGCCGTGAGCCAAGATTGCGCCACTGCACTCCAGCCTCGGTGACAGAGCGAGACTCTGTCTCAAAAACAACAAACAAACAAACAAACAACAACAACAACAACAAAAACCTAATATATTTGAGAACTTGAATGTTTGTGATGGGTATTCAAGTTTAAAGTCATTGGTTATGAGATTAAGATCTGTTGCTACCGAGAAGCCCGTTGGGAATTGCACAGCTTCTCAAACCTTGGACCCAGATTGGCCCACGCCACCCTCACTCCTCATCCATGTTGATTTCAGTTGGTTATTGCTGTTCTTCACGGTGACCACTGACACTCCAGCACCACAAAGATGTCAGCAAAGGAAATGTAGAAGGATCTAAGGTGGAGACTGTGAACCCCTGGAGCCTTTAGTTCATGTGGTGTCAGGAGATATTGAATATTGCCGTTCTTCCCTTAAATTTCAAGCATAGAGGTAACTCTGCAGACACTTGCAGCTGTGAGGATGGAGCAGAAGGAATGCTGTACGTGTTCATTGGAGGGGGAGAGAATGGAGGCGCTAATCTGGTTGCCAGGCAATGCTCAGTGTCCTTGGAGATGACTCATGGTGGAATTAGAATGAGAACACGCAGTGGGGGAGGGACTCTTCTGAACCAGCAAAATGCAGCTGTAGAGACTAATAAACTGTATGGAAGTCCCACAGTCTTCCAAATGGATAATCTGTCATTTGTATATTCAGATAATCTCCATTTATATTTTCAGGTCTCTTATTTGTATATCTCCCAGGCCACTAGTTCTCAAAATATTGTTCAAAACCTCATGGCAGAATCAAGATCCTTTCAAAAGGCACACAATTCCAAACTATTTTCCTAGGAACATTAAGATTTTATTTGCCTTTTCTCTTCTTAGCTTTTTCTGCAAGATATAATGTTCCAGGTGTTTGAATTCAGAAGATGATTGGAGGGGATTAAAGGGAGTTGTAAAATGTTAGACAAGGCTGGGTGTGGTGGCTCATGCCTGTAATCCCAGCACTTTGGGAGGCTGAGGCAGACAGATCACCTGAGGTCAGGAGTTCAAGACCAGCCTGGTCAACATGGTGAAACCACGTCTCTGCAAAAATACAAAGAATACAATAATAGACAGGCATGATGGTGGGTGCCTGTAATCCCAGCTACTCGGGAGGCTGAGGCAAGAGAGTTGCTTGAACCTGGGAGATGGAGGAGCCGAGATGGCGCCACTGCATTCCAGCCTGGGCGATGGAGCGAGACTCCCTCTCCAAAAAAAAAAAAGAATCCCACAGCCCCACCATTGACGATGACCTGTCCATGGTGTTGAAGGACCCATTGGATCTATGAACTCTTACACAGGTAAGGGAGGTAGTTGATGCCTACTGACTTATGCAATGGCGACTTCAAAGTATATTTCTAAAATAAATTGAAACCAAGATTCCTTGTTTGATAACCAAGAAAAGAAGACCCCAATTGGGTCGTGTTCTGCCCACATCTTCACATAAAGACTGATTATGCATTTATCTCATCACTCAGCATTAGGGTAGTAAGTGCCATGTGTTAGCCTCCTCCTGTTGGGATCTGAGGGCCACAAATTATCTTTTCAGTGACAGCTGTTTTCTGATTGATTGACATCACCTTACTTCATATTTTCTATGAAGGATCCATCTTTTACGTCAATGTGGAGGTGAAAGTTTCCTGAGCGACGGTTTGATAGCCCATCTCCCTATGTCTCTGTGATTGTGTGTCCTTGACTGTGTTAACTGTGTGTCCCTCTGTGAGTGTGCGTTACCTTGTTTGTGGTTGTATTTCTCTATGATTCTGTGTGGTTGAGAATGTCTTGTCTTGAATGGATGATTGGATATAACTATGTGTATGTGTGTGTGTGTGTGTGTGTGTGTGTGTCTGTATTTGTATTTGAGTTCAAATAAGCCTGCAGCACATTGTGTGTTTGTGTCTTTCTGTGTGAATGTGTCTATGTTTGATCAGGAAATGCTGGTGATTCTTCATCTTGGGTGGTTGTGTTTTATCGTCTGTCATTGTGTGTGACTCTAAGAACTGTCCACATGTGATTGTACTTGCATGAGGGATGAAGCTCCCTGTGTGTGAGTTAGTCACGGAGTTTGTGCACTGGTTAGGAAAGTTTGCATCTTGAGCGTGTGTGAAAGTGTATATACTAATTTGTTAGGGCTGCCAAAACAAAACGCCACATCCCGGGCAGCTTGAACAACAGACATGTATCTACTTACCTTTCTGGAGGCTGAATTTTGAGATTAAGATGTCAGCAGGGCTGGTTTCTCTTGAGGCTGCCTCTGTAGATTGTGACCAATGCTTTCTTGCCATCTCTAACAGTCTTTCCTGTGTGTGTCCATCTCTGATGTCTCTTTGTGTCCATATTGCTGCTTCTATAAGAAGAAATTGGATTAGAGCCCACCCTAAGGACCTCATTTAACTTAATCATCTCTTTAAAAACCATATCACCAAATACAGCCACAATATGAAGTACTGTGTTTGGGAAGAGGAGGCAGTATTCAGATCATAACAGTGTGTTTGCGTGTGGATGTGTGCATGCTTAAGAAGTGGTTTGAAGACCATTTATTCTGCATGGCCTTGCGTGAAAACATGTGATTCATACTATTACAATCTCCTGCATATAAGCTAGGCTAGCTTAGTGTGTGTGTGTGTGTGTGTGTGTGTGTGTGTGTGTCTGTGACTTTATTGGAGTTTTGGAGAATACTTCAGGGACATACAAATTGGGTTCTATTTCCACTCTCCCTGCCTTATACCTACTTCACTAGGACCCTGCACACTTCAAAAGCCCCATCCAGAGGTTGAGGAACAGTTTCAGATCTGGACTCTCTTCTCTGGGAAGTGCCCAGAATACCTCTCCTTAGATGCTCAGAGACAAGATGGGAGCAAGTGATGGAGGCATGGGTCCAGGGCCAGACAGCCTAGAGACCTCCCCTCTCTGAGCCCAGCGTCCTCCACTGTAAAATGCAGACGCTCCTAGGACCTTACTCACAGCCAGGGCTACTGGGGATGATGGGATGCCTGTGCATATTGTAGACTGCACTGAGGCTCTGATCCAAGGAGATGACCTGGATGTGAACTCCAGCCTGTATTCTCTCCATAAACTGTGTCCAAGCCGGGGCTTCAGGCTTCCTACCATAGCGTAGCATTGATCTCTCCAAAGCCAGGAAGCCTACCATGCCCATGTGTGCAGTTATTGTCATTTTGGGGAAAAACCTTATTAAACAGAAAAGCAGACTTATAAAAACATACCCTTAGCCGGGCATGGTGGTATATGCCTGTAATCCCAGCTATTCTGGAGGCTGAGGCAGGAGAATTGCTTGAACCCAGGAGGCGGAGGTTGTGGTGAGCCAAGATTGTGCCATTGCACTCCAGCCTGGGCAACAAGAGCGAAACTCCATCTCAAACAAACAAACAAACACAAACAAAAAAATACCCATTTTGGCAGGGCACGGTAGCTCACGCCTGTAATCCCAGCACTTTGGGAGGCCGAGGTGGGTGGATCACCTGAGGCTGGGAGTTGGAGACCAGCCTGGCCAACATGGTGAAACCCCCTCTCTACTAAAAATACAAAGATTAACAGGCGTGGTGGCACACGCCTGTAATCCCAACTACTTGGGAGACTGAGGCAGGAGAATCGCTTGAACCCAGGAGGTGGAGGTTGCAGTGAGCTGAGATCGTGAAACTGCACTCCAGCCTGGGTGACAGAGTGAGACTCTGTCTCAAAACAAAAAACAGAAAACAAAAAACAAAACAAAAAAATACTGTCTTAATAATATCTTTTTGTTTCCTCCTTTCTTCCCATTTGAAGGAATGTCTGGGAAATTTTCAAATGCCTTTGCTTACGCTAGATGGCAATCTGGCATCATGGTAAAATTGGCTTTTATTTAACTTTTTTATTTTTACTTTTCAATTTTTAATTGTAGCAAAATATATATTACACAAATAAGCCATCTTAAGCATTTTGTTACTAATATGTTAATAATATGTTACCCATAGAATAAGCTTATTATTTTAATTTTTTTTTATATTCTTAAACCGTGGTAAAATAGTACAATTGAATATTCACCTTTTTACCTAGAGTCAGGACTCACCTAAGGGCAGAGATGTGTTCTGAGGATTGTGTTTTTAGGTGATATTGTCATTGTGTGAACATCCTAGAGTGTACTTACACAAACCTTGGTGGTAGAGCCTGCTGCTCCTAAGCTACAAGCCTGTTCAAGATGCTACCGTGCTGAATTCCATGGGGGACTTTAACACAATGGTAAGCATTTGTGTAACTGAACATGTCTAAACACAGAAAAGATACAGTAAAAATTTGCTGCTAAAATCTTATGAGACCACTGTTCTGTATATAATATAATGTCATTGACCGAAATGTTGGTATGTGGCTCATAACTGTATGTGTGTGTGTGTATATATATATATATATATATATATATATATATATATATATATATATATATACTTTTTGGAGACAGAGTCTCGCTCTATCCCCCAGGCTGGAGTGCAGTGGTGCGATCTTGGCTCACTGCAGCCTCTGCCTCCTGGGTTCAAGTGATTCTCATGCCTCAGCCTCCCGAGTAGCTGGGATTACAGGCGCGCCACCACGCCTGGCTAATTTTTGTATTTTTCGTAGAGATGGGGTTTCGCCATGTTGGCCAGGCTGGTCTCGAACTCCTGACCTCAGGTGATCCACCTGCCTTGGCCACCCAAAGTGCTGGCATTACAGTAGTGAGGCACCGCACTCAGCATATATATATATGTGTATATATATGTGTATATATGTGTATATATGTGTGTATATATGTATATATGTGTATATATGTATATATGTGTATATATGTATATATGTATATATGTGTATACATATATGTATATATGTATACATATATGTATATACGTATACATATATGTATATATGTATATACGTATATATGTGTATATATGTATATACGTATATATGTGTATATATGTATATACGTATATATGTGTATATATGTATATACGTATATATGTGTATATATGTATATACGTATATATGTGTATATATGTATATACGTATATATGTGTATATATGTATATACATATATATGTGTGTATATATATATAGTTTGTTTTTATTTGTTTGTTTTTGAGACAGAGTCTTGCTCTTGTCACCCAGGCTGGAGTGCAGTGGTGTGATCTTGGCTCACTGCAACCTCCGCCTCCCGGGTTCAAGCGATTCTCCTGCCTCAGCCTCCCGAGTAGCTGGAACTACAGCATAACTATATTTTTAAGTGTAAAGTTCAGCAATTAAGTACATTTACTTGTTGTATCCTAATCTGTCCCATACATCTTCAGAACTCCTTTAGTCTGGGAAAACCACGACTCTGTACCCATTAAGGAATAACTCTCCACTTCCCTTTTCCAGCCCCTGGCAGTCACCATTTTATTTTCTATTTCTATGAATTTGACTCTTCTAAGTACCTCGTATACCTAGAATCATATATTATTTGTCCTTTTGGTGTGGATTTATTTCAATTGACAGCATTCTTCAGGCTTCATCCAGATTGTAGCACCTGTCAGGATTTCCTTTACTTTTGTTCAATTTTTATTTTGGAATCATGGGATACATGTGCAGGTTTGTTGCAAAGGCACGCTGCCTGATGCTGAGGTTTAGCATGTGACTGAAGCCATCACTCAGGTAGTAGGCATGGTGCCTGATAGGTAGTTTTTCAACCTGTGTCCTTCTTCCTCTCTCCCTTGGCTGTCCACAGTACCTGTTGTTTCCATCTTTATGTCCACGTACGCCCAATATTTAGCTCCTGCTTATAAGTGAGAACATGTGGTATTTAGTTTTCTGTTTTGAGGTAATTTGCTTAAGAAAATGGTCTCCAGCTGCATCCATGTTGCTGCAAAAGACATGGTTTCATTCCTTTTTTTTTTTTTTGAGGTGGAGTTTCGCTCTTGTTGCCCAGGCTGCAGTGCAATGGCATGATCTTGGCTCACTGCAACCTCCACCTCCCGGGTTCAAGTGATTCTCCTGCCTCAGCCTCCCAAGTAGCTGCGATTACAGGCGCATGCCACCATGCCAGGCTAATTTTGTATTTTTAGTAAGAGATGGGGCTTCTTCATGTTGATCAGGCTGGTCTTGAACCCCTGACCCCATGTGATCTGCCCACCTTGGCCTCCCAAAGTGCTGGGATTACAGGCATGAGCCACCGTGCCTGGCTGGTTTTATTCCTTTTATGGCTGCATAGTATTCCACAGTGTATGTGTGCAACACTTTCTTTATCCAATCCACTGTTGATGGGTACATAGGTTCATTCCATGTCTTTGTTGTTGTGAATAGAATGGTAATGAGCATACAGGTTCATGTGACTGTTTAGCAGAATGATTCATTTTCCTTTGGGCATATACCCAGCAATAGGATTGCTGGGTTGAATAGCAGCTCAACGCTTAGTTCTTTGAGAAATCTCCAAACTGCTCTCCACAGTGGCTGGACTAATTTACACTAATTTGCATTTCCACCAGAGTATGTAAGCGTCCCCCTTTCTCTACAGCCTTGCTGATATGTTATTTTTTTTGACTTTTTAACCAAAACTTGGTTAACGAGCAACTTGGGTTGCTTCCACTTTTTTTTTTTTTTTTTTTTTTTTTTTTGAGATGGAGTCTCGCTCTGTCGCCCAGGCTGGAGTGCTGTGGTGCCATCTCGGCTCACTGCAAGCCTGCCTCCCAGGTTCATGCCATTCTCCTGCCTCAGCCTCCCAAGTAGCTGGGACTACAGGCACCCGCCACCATGCCCGGCTAATTTTTTTGTATTTTTAGTAGAGACGGGGTTTCACCGTGTTAGCCAGGATGGTCTCGAACTCCTGACCTCATGATCCGCCCGCCTTGGCCTCCCAAAGTGCTGGGATGCTTCCACTTTTGACTCTCATGACTAATGCTGCTATGCCCATGGGTGTACAAATATCTCTTTAATTTTCTGCTTCCATTACTTCTGGGTAATATCCAGAGGTAGAAAGATAATTTTATTTTTATTCTTTTCAGAACTGTTGTAATTTTTTTTTTCACAGAATCTGCATCTCATCACAATTGCACCGAGAGTGCAGATGTGCCAACTTCTCCAAGCCCTGTGGGTGGTTGTTATCTTCTGTCTTATGGATAGTGGCCATGAACATGGGAATGAAGTGGTTCATTATCTCTTTGCCAAAGAAAAAAATATTTCTTTCACTTTTCAATAGTAATTACTTAATAATGGGATGTATTTGTTGGTTCCTGCACAACTTCTCAAATGTAGGAATCAGACTAGACTGTGTCACCCTGATGTCCTCATCCTCATTGATTTTCATGTGGTTATTGTTTTTTTCATAGATACCACTGATAACCCAGCATCACAAAGATATGATGACTGCAAAAAATAAAAATAAAAAAATGAGAGAACCAATGTAGAAAACATGAATCCCTGCAGCTTATACTTAATGACTTAATGTGGTGACAGAAGATATGAAATATCACCATACTTCCCTTAAAACTAAACTGTAGGGTTACCTCTTTAGACAGATGTGGCTATAAGGTTATAATAGCGGGAATGCAATGCATGTTCATCAGATCAGGGAGAGAATGGAGAAGGTGACCTGGTTGCCGAGCAACCCTCAGTATCCTTGGAGATGAGTCACCATGGAAACAGCAATAACTCTTCATTTCCTTTTTTCCAGCCCCGACAACCACCATTTTATTTTCCATTGCTATGAATTTGACTCTTCTAAGTACCTCATGTACCAATAATCAGGTACCTAAGTACCTCATATTCCTGGACAGTTGTGGGGGACGGCGGGGAAGAAGTTCCTCCTCAGCCAAGGGAGCTGTGGAGACTAAGGAAAGTGATTGGATGTTCCACAGTTTCTTTCATGGACAACCTCTTGTTTACTCAAATGATCTCCACTTATAATCTCCTGTATATCATTTGTATATCTCTTAGATCACTTTTTCCCAAAAATGTAGTTCCAGGACTCCGGGGGGATTCAAGATTTGGAATGCACAATTCCAAATAATTGTCCTAAACACATGAAAAGTTTATTTGCATTTTCCCTCATTTTCTCTGGATGACATAATATTGCACATGTTTGATTTAAGTGGACAATTTGATCATAGCCATCTAGTGGTAAGGAAAACATTAAAGATATTTGCAGAAATGAAAAGCAACACCACCTTTATTGCGAAGTTTGTTTGGAAAATGCAAGCGTACATTTTTCTGTTGTGCTTTGTTTCACTGCGCTTCACAGATACTGAGTATTTTTGAATGGAAGGTTTGTGCAAGTCTGCATTGGCAAGTCTGAGAGTGCCATTTTCCTAAAGTATGTGCTAGAGAGAAGTCAGTGCCTGGCTTCAAAGCTTCAAAGGACAGGCCGACTCTCTTCTTAGGAACGAATGCAGCTGGTAATGTTCAGTTAGATCCAATGCTTTTTTTACTATTCCAAAAGTCCTAGGACTCTTTATTTATTTATTTATTTATTTTGTGAGGCAGAGTCTTGCTCTGTTGCCCAGGCTGGAGTGCAGTGGCACAGTCTTGCCTCACTGCAACCTCCACCTCCCGACTTCAAGTGATTTTCCTGCCTCAGCCTCCTGAGTAGCTGGGATTACAGGTTGCACCACCATGCCCGGATAAGTTTTGTATTTTTAGTAGAGACAGGGTTTTGCCTTGTTGGCCGGGCTGGTCTCAAACTCCTGACCGCAAGTGATTTTGCTGGTTTTGGCCTCCCAAAGTGCTGGGATCACAGGCGTGAGCCACCATGCGTGGGCTAAAAATTCTAGGACTCTTCAGGATTGTGCAAAACCTACTCTACCTGTGCTCTATAAATGGAACAAAGTCAAAATATCAACATCAATAGGAGTTTGAAAGAAGTTGATTCCAACTCCTATTTGATGACTTTGTGGGGTTCAAGAGTTCAACGGAGGAAGTCACTGCAGATGTGGTAGAAAGAGCAAGAAAACTGGAATTAGAATTAGAGCCTAAAGATCTGACTGGATTCTGTAATCTCATAAGAAAGTTTTAGCAGATGAGTTGAGGAGTTGCTTTTTTTTTTTTTTGAGAGACAGAGTCTCGCTCTCACTCTGTCGCCCAGGCTGGAGTGCAGTGGCACAATCTTGCCTCACTGCAACCTCCACCTCCTGGGTTCAAGCGATTCTCCTGCCTCAGCCTTCCGAGTAGCTGGGACTACAGGCACGTGTCACTATGCCTGGCTATTTTTTTTTTTTTTTGTATTTTTAGTAGAAACAGGGTTTCACTGTGTTAGCCAGGATGGTCTGAATCTCCTGACCTTGTGATCCACCCGCCTCAGCCTCCCAAAGTGCTGGGATTACAGGAATTGCTTCTTTTGAACAAGCAAAGTAAGTGGTTTCTTGAGATGGAACCTACTCCTTGAGAAGATGCTGTGAACATTGTAGAAATGACAACAAATAATTTAGAATTTAGATTATATTCTCCAGTTCACAATATCCCCACCTTAATGTAAAATATATTATTGCTAAAAAATTATAAGAATCACCTGACCCTTCAATGAGTCATAACCATTTTTCTGGTGGAGGGTCTTGCCTCAATGTTGATGGCTGCAGACTGATCACGGTGGTGGTTGTTCAAGGTTGAGGTGGCCGTGGCAATTTCTTAAAATATTTCTTAAAATATTTCTCTGTAGCATGTGATGCTGTTTGGTAGCATTTTACACACAGAACTTCTTTTAAAATTGAAATCCATCCTGTCAAAACATGCTGCTGCTTTATCAATTAATTTTACATTTTATTTTTTATCTTCCAGTTTACAAACCCCAGCCCCAACATTCATTATGTGGGTGATCATGAAGAAGCTACCTGTCCGTTCTGATCCTCACAATACATTGTAAACAATCAATAAATAATAGCTTGTTTTTTTTGCATTTCTAGTGTAAATATGGAATACAATTCTATTGTGATGATACAGCAAAAAAAGTGTTAGAAAGAAGAGTCACTTTCTTTGTGAGTTTTTCCCCAACCACAGTATCCACAATTGTTAAAGCAATTTCCTCCTCAATATTGTCATAAAAGATGTGCTAGTTTTTTTCTTCCCCATCTCTCATGGTGAAATAACAGATAGTTTACCTGTTTTCCCCTCCAGGCCATGAACTCTGAGAATTTGGGCTGCATTTTTAAAGCTGTATCACTGGCAGTTTGTACTCAAAAAGCAGGTAAATATTTCCCTGGTTACTCCTTGATTTTAGAAGGAAACACAATACACCTAAACCTATAGGATAGAGCAAAAGCAGTACTAAGAGAGAGGCTTATAGCAAAAAACTCATACTTAGAGAAGTAGAGAGACTTTCAAATAAATACATTAATCATCCACCTAGAAAACCTAGAAATGCAAGAACAAATCAAACCTAAAATTAGTAAAGAAAAGAAATAAGGAGCAGGGCAGAAATAAATAAAATTGAAGCCAAAAACAATTACCAAAGATCAATCAGACAAAAAGTTCATTTTTGGAAAAGATAAACAAAACTGAGAAATCTTTAGCAGACTATGAGAAAAAGAAGGGAAAAGATCCAAATAAATAAATCCGAGACAAAAAGGAGACATTAAACTGCTACCAAAGAAATATGAAGGATTATTAGTGGCTATTTTGAACAACTATTTTCTAATAAATTGGAAAATCTTGATTCTTCCTATCCATGAGCATGGAATGTTCTTCCATTTGTTTGTGTCCTCTTTTATTTCGTTGAGCAGTGGTTTGTAGTTCTCCTTGAAGAGGTCCTTCACATCCCTTGTAAGTTGGATTCCTAGGTATTTCATTCTCTTTGAAGCAGTTGTGAATGGGAGTTCACTCATGATTTGGTTCTCTGTTTGTCTGTTGTTGGTGTATAAGAATGCTTGTGATTTTTGCACATTGATTTTGTATCCTGAGACTTTGCTGAAGTTGCTTATCAGCTTAAGGAGATTTTGGGCTGAGACGGTGGGGTTTTCTAGATATACAGTCATGTCATCTGCAAACAGGGACAATTTGACTTCCTCTTTTCCTAATTGAATACCCTTTATTTCTTTCTCTTGCCTGATTGCCCTGGCCAGAACTTCCAACACTATGTTGAATAGGAGTGGTGAGAGAGGGCATCCCTGTCTTGTGCCAGTTTTCAAAGGGAATGCTTCCAGTTTTTGCCCATTCAGTATGATATTGGCTGTGGGTTTGTCATAAATAATCTTGAAAAAAATGAATAAATTATTGGGCACATTAAACCTACCGAGATTGAAACATGAAGAAATAAACCACTTTAATAGACCAATAACAAATGACTATATAGAAACAGTTAAAAAAAAGTGTTCCATGAAATAAGAGCCCAGGACATGATGGTTTTACTGCTAAATTCTAGCAAACATTTGGATGAGAACTAACGCCAAATCTACTCAAACTCTTCCAAAATATTGAAGGGAAGAGAATACTTTCAAACTCATTCTATGAGCACAGAATTATCCTGATACTAATGTCAGAAAAAGATACAACAAAAAAGGAAAACTATGAGCCAATATTCCTGATGAACATAGAAGCAAAAATCCTCAAGAAAATGGTAGGAAACTGAATTCAACACGTAAAAAGATCATTCATCATGATCAAGTAGAATTCATCCCAGGGATGCCAAAGAGGTTTAACATATGCAAATAAGTGAACACATTAGCAAAATCACAGACAAAAACCATATCATTGTTTTAATAGATGCTGAAAAAGCATTTAATACAACTCAATATCCCTTCATGAAAAAAACTGTTAAACAGGGTATGAAAGGAATGTGCCCCCAGACAGTAAAAGCCATGTGTGACAAACCCACTGCTAACATCACAATAAATGGAGAAAAATAAGAAGGCTTTCCTTTAAGATCTAGTATAAAGGAATGAGGCCCAATTTCACCACTTTTATTCAGCACAGTTCTAGAAATCCTAGCCAAAGCAGTTAGACAAGAGAAAAAAGTAAAGGGCATCCAAACTGGAAAGAAAGAAGCCAAATTGTCCTTGTTTGCAGATAACATAATCTTATATTTAGAAAACCTAAATATCCCACCAAAGAAGACTGTTAAAACTGACGAATGAATTCAAGAAAGTTGTATGATACAAAATCAAAATGTAATAGATAGTAGATTTTTATATGCCATCAGTAAACAATCTGAAAAGGAAATCAAGAAAGCAATCCCATTTGCAATAGCTACAAAAAATTACCTAGAAATAAATTTAAATAAAGAAGCGAAAGATCTCTACAATGAAAACTATAAAACGGTGATGAAAAATATTAAAGAAGTCACAGAAAAATGGAAAGATATCCCATTGTGATGGGTTGAAAGAATTAATATTGTTAAAATTTTCATACTACTGCAGCAATCTACAGATTCAATGCAATCCCTATCAAAACACCAGTGACATTTTCCACAAAAATAGAAAAAAAATCCTAAAATTTGTATGGAACCATAAAAGACCCTGAATACTGAGCAAAGAGAACAAAGCTGGAGACATTACACTACCAGACTTCAAAATATGCTGCAAAGCTATAGTAACAAAAACAACATGGTACTGGCATTAAAAAACAGGTACATAGGCTGGGCGCGGTCATTCACACCTGTAATCCCAGCACTTTGGGAGGCCAAGGCTGGTGAATCACCTGAGGTCAGGAGTTCGAGACCAGCCTGGCCAACATGGTGAAACCCCATCTCTACTAAAAATATGAAAAAACTTAGCTGGGTGTGGTGGCAGATGTCTGTAATCCCAGCTACTCAGGAGGCTGAGGGAGGAGAATCACTTGAACCCTGGAGGCGGAGGTTGCAGTGAGCTGAGATCACACCGTTGCACTCCAGTCTGGGTGACAAGAGTGAAACTCCATCTCAAAAAAAAAAAAAAAAAAATCAGAAAAAACAAAATAAAACAAAAAACATGTAAATATATCAATTAAACAGAGAATAAAGAAATAAATCCATGCATTTTCAACCAACCCATTTTCAATAAAGGCACCAAGAACATACACCAGAAAAAGGTGGTCTGTTACATAAATAATGCTGGGAAAACTGGATATTCTTATGCAGAAAGAAACTAGACCCCTATCTCTGACCACATAAAAAATTGATCAAAATAGATTAAAGAGATAGATGTGAAACTATGCAACTGCTAGAAGAAAGCATTTGGGAAGTGCTTCAGGACATTGGTCTGGGCAAATACATTTTGAGTTGACCTCCAAAGGACAGGCAACTAAAGCAAAAATGGGACTACATCAAGCTAAAAAGCTTATACACAGTAGAGGAAAAAATAGCAAAATTAAGAGAAATCTACAAAAGAGATACCTGCACTGTCATGTGTATTGCAGCACAATTGAGAAAAAGCCAAGTTATGGAATCAACCTATGTGTCCACCAATGAATGAGTGTGAAAGGAAATGTGGTAAATATATATATATGTATATGTATGTATACATATATATATATAATGGAATATTACTCAGCCATAAAAAAGAATGAAATCCTGTTCTATGTGGCAAAATAAATAGAACTGGAGGACGTTATGTTAAGTGAAATAAACCAGGCACAGAAAGACAAATATGACATATTCTGACTCATATGTGGGGGAAATAAAATTGATCTCATGGAGGTAGTGAATAGAATGCTGGTTACCAGAGGCTGGGAAGGATAGGGGGAGGGAGGGATGAAGAGAGTTCGGATAATGGGCTCAAAAATACAATGAGATAAAATGAATAAGATCTAGTGTTCAATAACACAGTAGGGTAACAAAAGTTATCAAGATTATATAGGGTATTTCAAACAGCTAGAAGAGAAGGTTTGGAATATTCCCACACAAATAAATGAAAAATGTTTGAGGTGATGAACATCCTAGTTACCCTGACTTGCTCATTATTCATTGTGTGCATGTATTAATTTATCACATGTATCCCATAAATATTGCAAAAATTATGTATCAATTAAAAAATCACCACCGTGGACTAAGGCCTGTCCATGGTGCTGAAGTGCATGTCAGGTCTGTGAAGAGACCTGATGCTACCTAATGTAGGCAAGGCTGACCTCAAAGTATATTAATAGAATAAATGGCAGCCAAGCTTTGTGTATTATAAGTGAAAAAGGAGACCCCAACTGGGTCATGCCCTGCCCACTGCCCCACATAAGGACTGGTTATATATTTATTTTATCACTCAATCATCTCTTAGCATATGACACATGTTAGGGACAATGCTGGTAACAGAGAAAACAGAACTAGTGCATATGTGGTCATAGCGTTCCACATTCCTCACAGTCTGTGGGTTTTCTGAAGGTGCAAAGCTGACAATTGCTGTTTATATTTTGTTTCCCCAATGGTTTAGAGCAGTGCCTGAACATAAAATGTATTGATTGCTAAATAAATGGGATTTCTGGAGATCCTGGCAAAATCAGAGCATATTGAAGGATGAATCAGAAAAAAAAAGAAGTAAGGGGAAAATATGGGAGAAAGGCAGAAAAGATTGGAAGAAGGAGGGGGAGAACATCAAAGAGAGGCAGAGTCCATTCACACAGAAGGAGATTCTAGGAGAGAAACAGAGAAAGGCAGACAGTCTGGCTCCAGCCACCTTGGCGTTTCACCTTCCCTGTATTGAATAAAGTTCAGGACCTTTGCAGGTGCAGCTCCCTCCACACCCTGAGTCTTCATGTGGCTCCATCTTGTCTCCAACCAGTGCTCTGAACAGAGTTCACCACCCAAGGGAGCCCTCTCTGACTGCTGTCCCCCGAGCACCTGCTTTGTTCCCTTCTTGAGGTTGGTGCTTTCTTTATTCACTTTCTGTTTACTGCTTTCTCTCCATTGGAATATAAATTCCTTAGAGTATGATAAAAAAGATGGACCTAAAGTTGTGAGTTTTTATTGGTCCTAGGTTTCTTACTGGAGGTTAGATAAGTCCAAAGGACAACAATAACAACCACTTCTCACTTTCCTGTGTATCATTATTAAAAGTATTATCTTCCTGCTTCTACTCTTACTTGGGAAATAAGAATAAAATGATAATGGGGTAAGAGAGTTGGAGGATACAGGATAGAAATGCAGTTATGCAGTAGGAATTCATTTGAAGGGAGAGAATGAAGGAGGTAATTTTCCAGGCACTGCTCAGCATCCTTGGAGAGGCATCATCATGAAATTACAGAGAGAACAGGCAGTGGAGAAGGAGCTGTTTCTCCCCAACCACATGCATCTGCAAGAGTGAGGAGTGGAACAGGCAGAGCCAGAGAACAGCAGAGTTGAGGTTTTCCAAGGAGGTACATGCAGCAGAATATGCAAGAGATTCGAGTGTGTCCAGAGGAATTTATCCTAACAATTGACCATGGAAGGTGACCAGATGGGTGTGAAGGTCAGTGAAAAATGGTTAAATAAAGACAGTGTTGGTCTCCAAAGAATAACGGGATGTAGTCCTTAGGTGAGAAAGAGGAGTCACTTGGAAAGTAGGACGTGATGTTGGAGATGGGATGCTAGAACTGAAGGCTTGGAGTGATTTTAGGCTAATGGGAGTGGATGGCTATGGGCATTTGGACAATAGCCATGGAGGAGAGAGGGTCCCTATATAGCTAGTCAGGAGTGTCAGGAGAATCATCTCCATTAGGGATTATCTACCCTGACATTATTGAAAATATGATTTAGATAGTTATTTGTGTTGCAGGGAAGGCTGCATTCTGCATTGTACATTGTTGTGTGTGGAATATGGTCTAGATAGTTATTTGTGTTGCAGGGAGGGCTGCTTTGTGCATTGTACATTGTTGTGTGTGAAATATGGTCTAGATAGTTATTGGTGTTGCAGGGAGGGCTGCTTTGTGCATTGTGCACTGTTGTGTGTGAAATATGGTCTAGATAGTTATTTGTGTTGCGGGGAGGGCTGCTTTGTGCATTGTGCATTGTTGTGTGTGAAATATGGTCTAGATAGTTATTTGTGTTTTGGGGGGAGGGCTGCTTTGTGCATTGTACATTGTTGTGTGTGGAGCAGCACTCTCGCTTCTACCCAGAGGATGTCAGTAATTCTCCTCTACTTGTGTCCAGACCTCGCCAACTGTCTCTTGGGGGCAAAGTCACTCCTAGAATAAAAATACTAATATTATATATTAGTATTTAACATTTTCAGCTGTTATAATCTTTTAAAAATGTCAACCTTTGTTTCAGATACAGAGGGTGCAAGTGCAGGTTTGTGACAGGAGAATACTGCACCCAGATATTGGGCATAGTACCCAATAGGTAGTTTTTCACCCCACACCACCATCCCCTGTCTACGAGTCCCCAGTGTCTATTATTCCCAAGTTTATGTTCATGTGTGCTCAGTGTTTAACTCTTGCTTATAAGTGAGAACATGCGGTATTTGATTTTCTATTCCGGCATTAGTTTGCTTAGGATTATGGCTTCTGGCTCCACCCATGTTGCTGCAAAGGACATGATTTTATTCTTTTTTATGGCTGCATAATATTCTATGATGTCTATGTACCACATTTTCTTTCTTTCTTTCCTTCTTTCTTTTCTTTCTTTCTTTCTTTCTTTCTTTCTTTCTTTCTTTCTTTCTTTCTTTCTTTCTTTCTTTCTTTCCTTTCTTTCTTTCTTTTCTTTCTTTCTTTTCTTTCTTTCTCTTTCTTTCTTTCTTTATCTCTCTCTCTTTCTTTCTTTCTTTCTTTCTCTCTTTCTCTCTCTCTCTCTTTCTCTCTTTCGATGGAGTTTTGCTCTTGTTGCCCAGGCTGGAGTGCAATGGCGCAATCTCGGCTCACTGCAACCTCTGCCTCCCAGGTTCAAGCAATTTTGCCTCAGCCTCCTGAGTAGCTGGGATTACAGGCACACGCCACCACACCTGGCTAATTTTTGTATTTTTAGTAGAGATGGGGTTTCTCCTTGTTGGTCAGGCTGGTCTTGAACTCCCGACCTCAGGTGATCCACCCGCCTTGGCCTCCCAAAGTGCTGGGATTACAGGCATGAGCCACCACACCTGGCTCACATTTTCTTTATTGAATCCACCATTGATGGGCACCTAAGCTGATTCTATGTCTTTGCTATTGTGAATAACATGACAATGAACATATGAGTTCATGTGTCTTTTTGGTATAGTAACCCATTTTCTTTTGGGTATGTACCCAATAATAGGATTGCTGGGTTGAATGGTAGCTCCATTTTAAGTTCTTTTAGAAATCTCAATACTGCTTTCTACAGTCACTGAACTAATTTGTATTCCTCTCAACAGTGTATAAGTAAGTGTTCCCTTTTCTCCGCAGCCTCACCAGCATCTATTGTTTTTTGACTTTTAATAGTAGACATTCTGACTGGTGTGAGATGGTATCTCATTGTGGTTTTGATTTGAATTTCTCTGATGATTAATGATAAAGAGTGTTTTCTCATGTTTGTTGAACGCTTGTGTGTCTTCTTTTAAGGAGTGTCTGTTCGTGTCCTTTGTCCATTTTTTCATTGGGTTATTTGGTTTTTGCTTGTTAATTTAAGTTTCTTATAGATTCTGGATATTAGACCTTTGTCAGATGCATAGTTTGCAAATATTTTCTCCCATTCTGTAGGTTGTTTGCTCTATTCAGTTTCCCTGGCTGCACAGAAGCTCTTTAGTCTAGTAGGGCCCACTTGTCACATTTCCTTTTTGTTTCAAGTAGTTAATATTTATTTTCTTTCTTTTCAGATAGTGTCTTGCAATGTCGCCCAGGCTGGAGTGCAGTGGTGCCCCTCCTGTTGTGAATGTGAGTAACAAACCATCTTTTCAATGGCAGTCTCCTGCTGACCTGTCTACCTGTTGTGTGTGAAGCTGTGTGATTCAAATCAGCTTGAATTACATTTTTGTGAGTTCTGGAAAACCCAGACACCATCTGTTCTTGTGTGCGAGTGTGTGTGTGTGTGTCCGTGGTTGAGGAAGTTTGGAAGACACCCCATGGTCAAACAAGGTGGAGTCTAGGGCCACTTTCCCTGCCACATGGCTATCTTATTAGAACCCTGCCTACCACAAATGCCCAATCCCAAGGGTAAGGCAAGACAGCAGCCCTGGAATCCCTCCTTTGGACGGTTCCAGGACCCTTCTCCTTGGATGCTCAGAGATGGGATGAAGAGCAGGTAAGGGAGGCGTGGGCTCAGGGCCAGAAAGCCTGGTAACCTCCCCTTCCTGAGTCCTGTGTCCTCCTCTGTAAAATGCAGACACTCCTGGGATGTCACTCACAGCCAGGGCTGCTGGGCTTATTGTACTCTGCAGTTAGGCTCCTGTCTGAGGAGATGAAAGGATGTGAAATCCAGCCTGTACCATCTTCACAAGCTGTATCCATGCCTGGGCTGCAGGATTTCAACCACAGCATAGCATTGACCTGTCCAAAAGCCCCAAAGCCTATCATGGCCATGTATGCAGTTATTGCTACTTGGGAAAAATTCTTATTAAACAGAAAACAAGCATAGGTGAAGATACCCATTTTGAAACAATCTTATTTTTTATCTTTTAATTTGAGGTGATGCTCATTGTCTTATAAGGGGCCTTTGCCATCACTAGATGGCATTCTTGCATCATGGAAAACTACACAGGAGCTCCTTTAAAAATCAATTTTGAACTGTGGCAAAATACACATCACATAAAATTTACCATGTTAAAATTGTACAAAGTACAATTTTAAAACGAATATTGACCATGACCATAGGTTTATAATTTTAAAAATTATTTATGTTTTCAGTTATTTTTCAACTTTTTATTTTTTAACTTGCATTTTAAGTCCAAGGGTACAAGTGCAGGTTTGGTATATAGGTAAACTGGTGTCATGGGGGTTTGTTGTACAGATGATTTCATTACCCAGGTATTAAGTCTAGTACACGTTCGTTGGTTTTCACAATCCTCTCCCTCCTCCCACCCTTCACCCTCCAATGGGCCCCAGTGTGTGTTGTTCCCCTCTGTGTTTTCATGTGTTCTCATCATTTAGCTCCCACTTGTGGGAAACAACAGGTTGTGTTTGGTTTCTGTTCCTGTGTTAGTTTGCCAAGGATAATGGCCTCCAGCTTCATCCATGTCCCTGCAAAGGACATGATCTCCTTCTTTTTTTATGGCTGCATAGTATTCCGTGGTGTACATGTACCACATTTTCTTTATCCAGTCTATCTTTTATGGGCATTTAGGTTGATTTGCCTTTTCGAAATATGCTAACAGGCATATAAGGTAACTGATCACTATAATTATTTTTACTTGTATAGTCCACTGGTGTGAAGGGCATTCACATTGTTCTGCCACAGTCTCCACAAACTATGTCCCATATTTTGTTAATCTTGCAATACTGAAACTCTGTGTCCATTAAACCATAACTCCCCATTTCCCCTCCCCTATCCCCTGGCAACCTCCATTCCACTTTCTGTTCCTGTGAATTTGACTATTCTACGTCGAATCTATTATACTTCTAATATACAAGTGAAATCATACAGTTTCTGTCCTTTTGTGACTGGCTTGTTTCACTTAGTGTAATGTCTCAAGGTTAGCTCATGTTGTAGCATGTGTCAGAATTTCCTTTCTTTTTAAGGCTAATAGTTCGTTGTATGGACAGACCACACTTAATGTCCCTCTTTATTCTTTGATAGATACCAGGCTTTGCTGCCACCTTGACTATTATGAGTCATGTTGCTATGAACTTGGGCATGCAAATATCTCTTCAAGACCCTGCTTTTTTTTTTTTTTTTTTTTTTTTTTTTTTTTTTTTAAGACGGAGTCTTGCTCTGTCACACAGGCTGGAGTGCAGTGGCATAATCTCGGCTCACTGCAACCTCCGCCTCCCGGGTTCAAGCAATTCTCCTGCCTCACCCTCCCCAGTAGCTGGGACTATAGGCACATGCCACCACGTCTGGCTAATTTTTTGTATTTCAGTAGAGACAGGGTTTCACTATGTTGCCCAGGCTGGTCACCAACTCCTGAGCTCAGGCAGTCCGCCCACCTCGGCCTCCCAACGTGCTGGGATTACAGGCATGAGCCACCGCGCCCGGCTGAAGACCCTGCTTTTAATGCTTTGGGCTCATATACCCAGAAACAGAGTTGCTAGATCATATGGGAATTTTATTTTTACTTTTTTCAGAAACTTTTATGTAGTTTTCCGTAGTGGCTGCCTTATATCACACCCTAACAACAGCACAAAAGTTTTCCAATTTCTCCAAAACCTGCCAATACTTCTTATGCTCTGTCTTGTGGATAGTAGCCATATTATTGAGAGTAACGTGATTTCTTTTCTCTTTGGAAAAAACATACTATTTATTTCACTTTTCAATATAGCTTAATAATAGGAGCTATGTGCCTGTTGGGCACTGCACGACTTCTCACACTTTGGAATCAGCCTGGAAAATGTCATCCTCAGTTCCTTGTCTTTGCTGACTTTTAGGTGGTACTTGCTGTTCTTCACAGCGACCACTGACAACCCAGCATCACAAATATGTGATGTGAGCAAAAGGAAATGTAGAGGGATCTAATGTGGAGACTGTGAGCCTCTGGAGCTGGTAGTTTGTGTGATGCATGATGATATAGAATATTGCTGTGGTTCCTTTCCATCGAAAATATAGCTATTCCTCTGCCGACATTTGCAGCTGTGAGAACAGAACGGCAGGAATGCAGTAGGTGTTCATTGGAGGGGTCGAGTGGAGGAGCTCATCTGGTTGCCAGGCATTGCTCAGTGTCCTTGGAGATGAGTTGCCATGGAAACAGTGAGGGGCAGAGAGGAGGGGCCGTTCCTTTCTAGCCAAGTGAGCTGCAGAGACGAAGGAAAGTGAGGCGGACGTCCCACAATGTCTTAAAAATCCTCTCCCATTGACACATTCAGATGGCCTCCATTTATAATTTCATGTATATCTGTTCTGCCTGTGGTTTCCAAAAAGCAGTTCAAGGCCTGCTAGGGGAATCAAGACCCTTTCAGTGTTCCAAACTATGTTTCTAAGATCAGGGAAATTGTATTTGCTTTTTTCCTTCCCATTTCCTCTGCATGATGTAATATTGCAGGTGTTTGAATTAAGTAGTCTATCCGGCCAGCAGTTTTTTCATGGGGAAAAAAAACCAGAACAGAATTAAAAAATCAGAGCATGTGGCTTAGAGTAAGTGCCATTCCTTTAAACTTTCACTTCAGTTACACAGACATTTACTCACAGACACACACACTTGCATGTGCACTGGATCAACATGGAGAAGGTGTGGGTTCCTGGGGCCTGCAGTGACCAATTTTTTTTTTTTTTTTTGAGACAGAGTTTTGCTCTTGTTGCCCAGGCTGGAGAGCAATGGCGTGATCTTGGCTCACCACAACCTCTGCCTCCCGGGTTCAAGCAAATCTCCTGCCTCAGTCTCCCGAGTAGCTGGGATTACAGGCATCCCAGCCACTATGCCTGGCTAATTTTGTATTTTTAGTAGAGACGGGGTTTCTCCATGTTAGTCAGGCTGGTCTCAAACTCCTGATCTTAGGCGATCTATCTGCCTTGGCCTCCCAAAGTGCTGGGATTACAGGCGTGAGCCACCACGCCCGGCCTTGCAGTGACCAAAGTTTCAGTGGTGCTGGTGTGAGCCAAGCTTCCAATTTTCACAGACACGGACTCAGGGGTGATGCTGCAGCTGCAGTAGTTGATAGCTCAGGGCCCATAACCAAGGGGATCTTTTCCTCCCTGCTTTTTATTATGGAAATTCTCAAAAATGCACAAAAGTAGACAGAATAATGTATACCCACTGTGAAAGCATTCAGCTATCTTCTCCTTTTTTTCCTTCTAGTTTAAGTAAAGTAAATCCCAGAAATAATATAATTTTACCTACAAATACCTCAGTACATATGTCTATCAGATCATAATTTAACATAATATATTAAAGGAATTTGCAAAAATGTAAAATAATGCCACCTGTATTACTATTTTTTTTGTTTGGAATATGCAGTGTAATTATTGTTCAAAAAAGTGTGTTATGATAATACACAATAGATTTATTGCAAAATTTATTATTTTATTTTATTCATCTATTTTGAGATGGAGGCTTGCTCTGTCACCCAGGCTGGAGTGCATTGGCGTGATCTTACCTCACTGCAACCTCCACCTCCCAGGTTCAAACGATTCTCCTGCCTCAGCCTCCTGAGTAGCTGGGATTACAGGCACCCGCCACCATGCCCAGCTAATTTTTGTATTTTTAGTAAAGATGGGGTTTCACTATGTTGGTCAGGCTGGTCTCGAACTCCTGACCTCAAGTGATCTGCCCGCTTCAGCCTCCCAAAGTGCTGGGATTACAGGCGTGAGCCACCGTGCCACAATTTTTATAATTTTAAACTTAATATTTTCAAATGTCAATGTATAATATGGCAAATATACATAGATACAAATTGTAACCAACAAAATTAATCATAATTCCTTATTTATCATTTAATATCTAGTCCTACATTTCTGGGGAACTTTATAACCTTTTCTAAAATTTTAAGCAATGCAAGTAAATTACATCAATGCAAAAATATTTAACTTTGTTCAAGTTGAAATCACGGGCACCTAGTGGGGCAACCTGAGGCAGAGGCAGCAGACGCTGGGATCCACAACTGAGTTAAGACCACAAGGCAACTTCCTCAGGCTGCAAATCCCAACCCGAGCCGACATGAAAATGCTCACAACTGAGAATGATGGTTTCCAGCTTCATCCGTGTCCCTACAAAGGACATACACATGTATACATAGGTAACAAACCTGCACGGTGTGCACATGTACCCTAGAACTTAAAGTATAATAAAAAAATACATATATAAAATAAAAATAAAAATAAGGGCCGGGCGCAGTGGCTCACTCCTGTAATCCCAGCACTTTGGGAGGCCGAGGCGGGCGGATCACGAGGTCAGGAGATCGAGACCATCCTGGCTAACACGGTGAAACCCCGTCTCTACTAAAAATACAAAAAAAAAAAAAAATTAGGTGGGCACAGTGGTGGGCGCCTGTAGTCCCAGCTACTTGGGAGGCTGAGGCAGGAGAATGGCGTGAAGCTGGGAGGTGGGGCTTGCAGTGAGCCGAGATCGCGCCACTGCATTCCAGCCTGGGCGGCCGAGCGAGACTCTGTCTCAAAATAAATAAATAAATAAATAAAACTTTTAAAAAAAGCTTGAAACCTAAAAAAAAAATTAAAAAAAAAAATGAAGATATGCTAACACCACCCCCCCCCCCCCCCGCCAAAAAATGCTCACAACTCCATTTAAGCGTACATCTGAGTTTCTTACGGAAGGGAATTACATCTCGAGGGGATAGTGGCACAATGCGGGGGACTGGGTCTATTTCGTAGGTAGGAGCCTTATTCTCCAAACTCCAAATCAGGACTTGCAGGCTGAAAACTACCGTTTACTCTGCAGACATCAGGGCAGGAGAGCAGCCCCCAGCTGATCACCTCTACACCCCAGGCCCCCACCTCTGTCGGCCAGTGGACTTCTCTGTCAATGTGCTCATTGCTTCAGGTGAAACCAGCACTGATTCATGTCCCCGTCAGCTCCTCAAGGCCCTCAGCTCTTCCTCAATGGAAACCAAAAACTATGTGAGTCTGGTCTCAATCACTTGAGAAGTTTATTGGCCGGGCCTGGTGGCTCACGCCTGTAATCCCAGCACTTTGGGAGGCCGAGGCGGGTGGATCACCTGAGGTCAGGAGTTCAAGGCCAGCCTGGCCAGGATACACACTGCCACATTACTACAATGCTATTGTTCTGGCTGAGAAAACAATACTCCAGAAGCAACCTCAGACACAAACGTTTTTCCTTGACCATCTCCTATCCTCCTGTCATTCAGCCCCATTCTTCCCTTGGGCTAGCCATAGAAACTAGAATCCCTCCTTTAAGGTGGGCGATAGAAACCAGAATGCCTTTTCCCCAAAGCCAGTTATAAAATCCAAAAATATTACTTTAATTTTCCATCCATCCTTCTGTTGAAAAACTGGCCATAAAGAAACCTGGCTGGGCGCCGGTGGCTCATGCCTGTAATCTCAGGATTTTGGGAGGCCGAGGCAGGCAGATCACTTGAGGCCAGCAGTTTGAGACCAACCTGGTCAACATGGTGAAACCCCGTCTCTACTAAAAATACAAAAATTAGCCAGGTGTGGTGGCTCATGCCTGTAACCCCAACTACTCAGGAGGCTGACACACGAGAATCCCTTGAGCCTGGGAGACAGAGGTTACAGCAAATGCTGAGATTGCGCCACTGTACTCCAGCCCAGGAGACAGAGCAAGACTCAGTCTCAAAAAAAATAAAAATAAAAAAATAAAAATAAAAAAAATGTCTGATCTACCTTGTCCGACTGTAGGTTACAAGACCCTCATTCCAGAGAGTGTCCCTGCACAAAGAGGCCAAGGAGAATCTAAGCAGACAAACCTCATGGGTTTCCCCACTCAGTCCACTAGCATTAAACCAGACCCTTAGCATCCAGTATTTCTACGTGGCTCTCCACACTTTGTAGAACCTAAGCATAAAAATGGGCAATTTCTCCCGTATCTTTGGGTGTTCATTCTTAAAGTTCCCATGCGTACATTTGTTTTTTTTTTTTTTTTTTTGAGGCAGGGTCTCGCTCTGTTGCCCAGGCTGGAGTGCAGTGGTGTGATCTCAGCTCACTGCAAACTCCACTTCCCGGGTTCAAGAGATTCTCCTGCCTCAGCCTCCCAAGTAGCTGGGATTACAGGTGCACACCACCACACCCATCTAAGTTTTGTATTTTTAGTAGAGATGGGGTTTTAGCATGTTGGCCAGGCTGGTCTCAAACTCCTGACCTCAGGTGATCTGCCCACCTTGGCCTCCCAAAGTGCTGGGATTACAAGGTTGAGCCACTGCGCCCGGCCTCCATATGTACGTGTTAAGTAAGCTTGTTATACCTTTTCTCCTATTAACCAATCTGCTTTATGTCACTGATTTTCAGTGAACCATCAGGAGGCCAAGGGCCTTGGCCCCTACACCATCCCATTGTTCCTATGGCTTTGAATTCTCATGGGAAATGTAATCCAGGCCTGTCTGATTCCTTGATTTGCCAGGCTGCCTACCCTGATTAACCCAGCGAAGGAATTTCAATGGCAAGTGTGCTTGGACTCCAGTGACCCGGGCTTGTCGAGATCGCCTCTAGCATAGGATCAGTTTAGAATTCTCAGAAGAGAAGGTAACATGTAGATTCCCAAGATTACAAATCCTAACTTTCATTATGTGGGTGATCATGGGCTAGACACCTCCCTTTTCTGAGCCTCATTTTCTTTTTTTTCTTTTTTCTTTGTTTGTTGTTGATGTTGTTTTGAGGCAGGGTTTCACTCTGTCACCCAGGCTAGACTGTAGTGGTGTGATCATGGCTCACTGCAGTCTTGACCTCCTGGGCTCAGGTGGTCCTCCCACCTCAGCCTCCTGAGTAGCTGGGACTACAGGTGAGTGCCACCATGCCGAGCTAATTTTTGTATTTTCTTGTAGATAGGGGGTTTTGCTATGTTGCTCAGGCTGGTCTTGAACTCCTGGGCCCAAGTGATCTACCCACCTCAGCCTTGCAAAGGGCTGGGATTACAAGTGTGAGCCAATGCGCCCAGACCCTCTGAGCCTCATTTGTTTTTACCTGTCAATGAGTGATAGACATGGGTAAAATTTTGACACAATGCCCAATACATTGTAAGCAATTAATAAATATTAGTTGGGTGTTTTTGTATTTCTAACATAATATAAAATACAATTTTAATTTAGTAATATGAGCCAATGAGTGTTAGAAATGGTAATTACCTTCTTTGTGATGTTTTCTCCATCCGCTGCTTTCACAATTGTTACAAGCTCCACCTCAACACTGTCATAATAATAGTGCTAGTAGGCCGGGTGTGGTTGGTCACGCCTGTAATCCCAGCACTTTGGGAGGCCAAGGCGGGTGGATCACAAGGTCAGGAGTTCGAGACCAGCCTGGCCAATATGGTGAAACCCCGTCTGTTCTAAAAAAATATAGAAATTAGCCGGGCGTGGTGGCAGGCGTCTGTAGTCCCAGCTACTAAGGAGGCTGAGGCAGGAGAATCGCTTGAACCCGGGAGGTGGAGGTTGCAGTGAGCCGAGATTGTGCCACCGCACTCCAGCCTGGGTAACAGAACGAGACTCTGTCTCATAATAATAATAATAATAATAATAATAGTGCTAGTACTCTTGTCCACATCTCTCATGGTGATGTAACTGACTGCCTGTTTCCCACACCACTCCATCAGAATTTGGGCTGTGTCCCTAAAACCTGTATTACCAGCATTTTGCACTTGTAAACCAGGTAAATAGTTCCCTGGTTAAGCACCTGATTTAAAAATCAGCACAGCCCAGCCATTGACCACGACCTGTCCATGGTTCTGAAAGGCACGTCGAGTCTATGGACTCACCAACTGGCAACGGAGATTGTTGATGCTAACTTGTGCAAAGGTGACCTCAAAGTATATTTCTGTAGGGTCCAGCCCCACAGGGTCGGTGGGTCTCTCCCCATGTGTGGAGACGAGAGAGTGTAGAAATAAAGACACAAGACAAAGAGATAAAAGAAAAGGCAGCTGGGCCAGGGGGACCACTACCACCAAGTCGTGGAGACTGGTAGAGGCCCTGAATGCCAGGCTGCACTGATAGTTATTGGATACAAGACAAAGGGGCAGGATAAGGAGAGTGAGCCATCTCCAATGATAGGTAAGGCCACGTGGGTCACGTGTCCACTGGACAGGGGGCCCTTCCCTGCCTGGCAGCCAAGGCAGAGAAAGAGAGGAGACAAAGAGAAAGACAGCTTGCGCCATTATTTCTGCATATCAGAGACTTTTAGTACTTTCACTAATTTACTACTGCTATCTAGAAGGCACAGCCAGGTGTACAGGATGGAACATGAAGGCGGACTAGGAGCGTGACCACTGAAGCACAGCATCACAGGGAGACGGTCAGGCCTCCGGATAACTGTGGGCGAGCCTGACTGATGTCAGGCCCTCCACAAGAGGTGGAGGAGCAGAGTCTTCTCTAAACTCCCCCGGGGAAAGGGAGACTCCCTTTCCCGGTCTGCTAAGTAGCGGGTGTTTTCCTTTGACACTTACGCTACCGCTAGACCACGGTCCGCCTGGCAACGGGCGGGCGTCTTCCCAGACACTGGCATTACCACTAGACCAAGGAGCCCTCTGGTGGCCCTGTCTGGGCATAACAGAAGGCTCGCACTCTTGTCTTCTGGTCACTTCCCACTATGTCCCCTCAGCTCCTATCTCTGTATGGCCTGGTTTTTCCTAGGTTATGATAATAGAGCGAGGATTATTATAATATTGGAATAAAGAGTAATTGCTACAAACTGATGATTAATGACATTCATATATAATCATATCTAAGATCTATATCTGGTATAACTATTCTTGTTTTATATTTTATTATACTGGAACGGCTGGTGTCCTTGGTCTCTTGCCTCGGCACCTGGGTGGCTTGCCACCCACGTATTTCAGGAATAAATAAAAGCCAAATTTTGTTGTGTTGTAACCAAGAAGAGAAAGCCCCAATTTGGTCATGTCCTGCCCACAGCCCCACATAAAGATGAGTTAGGTGTGTGTTTCTCACATCAACAGCCCCTTAGCATGTGCCATGTGTTATGGATACTGCTGGGATGGAGGAAAGATGGCAGAAATAGTGCATATATAATCCTGCATTCAAAACTCCTCACAGTCTGTGTGATAGAAAGAATGAATGGCAGGGCGCTGTAGCTCATGCCTGTAATCCCAGCACTTTGGGAGGCTGAGGTGGGGGATCACTTGAGGTCAGGAGTTCGAGACCAACCTGGCCAACATGGTGAAACCCCGTCTCTACTAAAAATACAAAAATTAGCCGGGCTTGGTGGTGGGTGCCTGTAGTCCCAGCTATTCAGGAGGCTGAGGCAGGAGAATCGCTTGAATCCGAGAGGTGCAGGTTGCAGTGAACCGAGATGGCGCCACTGCAATCCAGCCTGGGTGACAGAGCAAGACTCTGTCTCAAAAGAAAGAAAAGAAGAGAAAAGGAAAAGAAGAGGAAGAAAACAAAAGAAAAGAAAGGAAAGAAAAGGAAAGGAAAGAAAAAGAAAGGAAAGAAAAGAAAAGGAAAGAAAAGGAAGGAAAGAAAAGGAAAGGAAAGAAAATAACCCAAAATAATGGGCTTCTGAGGTTCCAGGTTGTTAATGGGGATTGAATAGGTCCAAAAAACCCACCAAAACAACTATATCTTCTTTCCTGTTGAACATTTAAAAATATTCTTTTAACATTTCTACTTTTGTATGGGAAATAGAAATCTGATGACAATGGGGAGAGAGTGTTGGAGGCTTCAGGATAGAAAGCCTGCAGTGGACTATGTATTCATTGGAGAAGAGAATGGAGGAGCTGGCCTGGTTGCCAAGCAACGCTCGGTGCCCCTGAGATTGGAGATGACTCACCAGGAAATTAGAGTGAGCGCAGGCAGTGAGGGAGAGGCTGTTGTGCCCCATCAAGAGCAGCTTCAGGACAAAGAAAAGTCATGTGAATGTCCTGCAGTTTCTCTAAAAAAATAGCCTGTTTGTTGTACATTCAGATGATCTCCATTTATAACTTTATGTCCATTACTTTTATATATCTTAGCCCACTAGTTCCAAAAATGTAGTTTAAAAACTTCTGGTGGGGCGGGGGCGGGAATCAACTTCCTTTTAAAGGGTCCAGAATTCCAAACTATTGTGCTAAGAACGTTAAGATTTTATTTTCCTATTTCCATCTCATTTTCTTCATGATGTAGTATTGTGAGTATTTGACTTACTGAATTTGAGAATCTGTCTTGTATTAAAGGGTTTTATTGCAAAAATATGAAGCAATGCTACCTATATTACTGTGTTTTGTTTGGAAAATATAATCGTTGTTCATAAAAAACATGTTTGTTAACAAATAATAGGTTTGTTACATTTTAGAGTTTTAAGTTTAGAATTTTCTGAGCTCCAATTTATAATATGGTAACTGGGTAAAAAATACAAATTATGCAAATAAAAATTATCTGAGGATCCCCAGTTACTTTGAAAAATATAAAAGTGGACTGAGATTTAAAAGTTTCATAATTGCTCTCTTAGGTTAAGTACCTAGGTATCATCTGATTGGGTGGAGTAAAGCACACCTTTAATGTTTTTGACACGTGAATTCTCGTTGCTGAAGTGATAGACAGCTGTTCCTCTAGCTCCAAATTCTCACGGGAAATGTAATCTAGGTCTGTCTGACTTTAATTAATTTGTCAAGTTATAAAATCAACCTAAGTGACCATCAACAGATGAAAAACGTGGTATATATATATGTGTGTATATATATATATATATATATATATATATATATATATACATACAATGGTTTATTATTCAGCCATGAAAAGAGTGAAATCTTGTCATTTGCAGCAGTGTGGATGGAACTGGAGGACATTATGTTAAGTGAAATGAGCCAGGCACAGGAAGGCAAATATCGCATCTTCTCACTCATACATGGGCGCTGAAAAAGTAGATCTAATGGAGGTAGAAAGTAGAGTGATGGTTTCCAGAGACTGAGAAGCAGGGAAGATTGGGCAATGGGTAAAAATGGTTAAACAGAAGGAATAATGTCTAGTGTTTCATAGCACAGTAGGGTGGCTATAGTTCCGAAGTATTTATAGTATATTTCAAAATACCTAGAAGAGAAGATGTGGAATGTTCCCAAGAAAAATAAATGAGAAATGTTTGGGTGATGGATAGCCTACTCACCCTGATTTGATCGTTACACATTGTATGAATGTATCAAAGTATCACATGTACCCTATCAATATGTACAACTATTATGTGTCAATTTAAAAAATCAGTGCAGTCCCATCACCGATAAGACCTGTCCATGGTGCTAAAAGGCACCTTGAGTCTTGAACTGATGGCATATGCCAAGTGTTTGGAACCATACTGGATACAGAGGAATGAATGCCTGTATGATCCATGCATTTAAACTTTTTTACAATACATGAGTATTCTGAAGGTACTAAGCTGGCTGTTACAAGGTTCATATTCTTATTTTTCCAATGGTCTAGAGAATTACCTGTACATAACGTGCTGATTGCTAATTAAATAGGATTCTGGAGACCCCAACAATATTAGACTATGTTGAAGGAAGGATAAAACAAAAATAAGAAAGAGAGGGGAAAATAGGGAGGGAGTAAAATGGAAGAAGGATGAAGATAACATCAAAGAGACAGAGCAGAGTCCATGCAGACAGAAGGTTTTCTAGGAGAGAAATAGGGAGAGGTAAACAGTTTGGCTCCAGCCACGTGGGCCACTCTCTTTTCTTGGAATGAATCATCCTCAGGACCTTTGCACATGCAGTTCCTTCCATGGCTCTGGGTCTTCATGTGGCTCCTTCCTGTCTCCATTCAGGATTCTGAGCAGAGTTCACCACCCAGGGGAGTCCTCACTGATTGCCACCCCGAAGTACTTGCTTTGGTTCCATTATGAGGCTGACACTTCCTTTTTAAAAAAAATACAGTCTCACTCTGTCACCCAGGCTGGAGTGCAGTGGCACGATCATAGCTCACTGCAGCCTCGAATTCCTGGGCTCAAGCAATCCTCCTAAGTAACTGAGACCACAGGTGCACACCACCACACCCAGCTGATTTTTTCTTTAAGACAGAGTCTACTCACTCTGATGCCCAGGCTGGAGTGCAATGCCACAATCTCAGCTCACTGCAACCTCTGCCTCCTGGGTTCAAGTGATTCTCTTGCTTCAGCCTCCCAAGTAGCTGGGATTAGAGGCATGTGCCATGAGGCTTGGCTAATTTTTGTATTCTTAGTAGAGATGGGGTTTTGATATATTGATCAAACTGCTCTCGAACTCCTGGCCCCAAATGATCTGCCTTCCTCGGCCTCCCAAAGTGCTGGGAATTACAGGCATGAGCCATTGCACTAAGCCCCAGCTGATTTTTTCTATTTTTAGAGATGGGGTTTTGCTATGTTGCCCAGGCTGGTCTCAAACTCCCGACCTCAAGCAATCCTCCTGTCTCAGCCTCCCAAAGCATGGGGATTACAGGCATAAGCCACTGCACCTAAACTGATGCTTCTTTTCCTTGCTTACTGTTTGTGCTCTTCCTTGCCTGGAATGTAAGCTCAGAGTGTGGTAGAAAAATATACCTAAAGTTGCAAGTATCTCAGGTTTTAGGTTTGTTACTGGAGATAGAAGAGGTTCAAAGGGCAAAAGTAAGAATTGTATCTCATTTCCTTTTGGACATCATTAAAAATATTATCTTAATCTTGTTACTTTTGTTTGGGAAATAGGAATAAGGTGGCAATGGGAATGAAAGAGTTGAAGTCTTAAGATCAGAAAAGTCTGCCGGGGGCAGTGGCTCACGCCTGTAATCTCAGCACTTTGGGAGGCTGAGGCAGGCAGATCACTTGAAGTCAGAAGTTCGAGACCAGCCTGGCCAACACGGTGAAACCCTGCCTCCACTAAAAATACAAAAAAATTAGCCAGGTGTGGTGGCGCGCACCTGTAATCCCAGCTACTCTGGAGGCTGAGGCAGGAGAATCCCTTGAACCTGGAAGGTGGAGGCTGCAGTGAGCTGAGATGGTGCCATTGTACTCCAGCCTGTGTGACAAGAGTGAAAAACTCTGTAAAAAAAAAAAGCCATTATGCAGTGGTCATGCATTGAAGTAGTGGTGTGCATAGAGGAGCTGGTCCTGCTTCCAGGCTGTGCTCAGAATCCTTGGAGGTGAGTCACCATGAAGTGAGGGTGAGAACAGCAACGGGGTAGCAGCTGTTCCTTTCTAGCCACCAGGAGTGAGGAGTAAGGGGGAGGGCAAGGGTAGTCAGAGCCCAACAGGGATGGGGTTTTCCAAGAGAATCACATGAAACAGACTATGAAAGTGGAGTGTGTGCAGAAAGAATCCATTTCACAGATTGACCCTAGAAGGTGACTTGGATGTGGGAGTGAAGTTTTGATAAAAATGGTGGAATCAATGGAGCATTGGTCCTTAAAGGATAAAAGAATGTTGGTATCAGGAGAGGAGGATAAGTCATCTGTTAGGTAGGATGTGATGTTGGAGATGGGAATGGGATGCTGGAAATGAGGGGAATGAATGATCTTGGTTATTGATAAGTCATCTGTTAGGTAGGATGTGATGTTGGAGATGGGAATGGGATGCTGGAAATGAGGGGATTGAGTGATCTTGGTTATTGATAAGTCATCTGTTAGGCAGGATGTGATGTTGGAGATGGGAATGAGATACTGGAAATGAGGGGATTGAGTGATCTTGGTTATTGATAAATCATCTGTTAGGTAGGATGTGATGTTAGAGATGGGAATGGGATGCTGGAAATGAGGGGATTGAGCGATCTTGGTTATTGATAATGACAAGGCAGGTAGGAGCGGGTGGCTTAGGGAGATTGAACAAAAGCCTTGGAGGAGAGGAGGTCAATATGGTGATGGTCAAACATGTTGGGAGGATCATCTGTATCATGTATTCTCTTCCAGGGTAACACTGAAAATTTGGTAGGATATTCTTTGTTGTGGCAGGGAGGGTTGTGCTAGGCAGTGTGGGTTGCTCAGGGGCATTCCTGGATTCTCAGCAGCTCTCCACTCCTGTGATGACTAAAAACTCCTTCAGACACTGCCAACTATCTCCTAGGGGCACGAGGGCTAGCCCAAGCCTGAGGGTGGAACAACACAGAAGCCCTGGAAACCCTGCTCTAGGAGGTGCCAGACCCCTCTCCTTGGATGTCCCGAGACAGGCTGGAGGAGCAGGTGATGGGGGTGTGGGCTCAGGAACAGGCAGCCTGGAGACCTCCCATCTCTGAGCCCAGTGCTTTCTGTAAAACATGGACACTCCTAGGAACTTGCTCACAGCCAAGGCTGCTGGGGATGGTTGTGTGTATTTTCCCCTGCAGTTAGATTCCTGTCCATAGAGCTGACCAGAATTTGAAATCCAGCCTGCACTCTCTCTACAGTTATGCCCACACCCTAGCTGAAGAATCTCACCAGAGCCATACCACTGAAACTGTCTTTGCAAAAATTACAACAGCAAAAATTATGACAGTGAAAGAGATCTGATCTAACCGATCCCCATCTTGCCTTTAACCTCCAAAGTGCCTAGATCAGTGCTGAGTTTAGGCCAAGTTAATCTGGGGAGAGGTTTTAATTCATAATTTAAGTGATAGTAGCCCTTCCCCCCAAAAACCAAAACTGCCTTTGTAAAGCTAAAGAAAGGCCACCAGGTTAGGAGGATGAGCCTGAATTCTGCTCAGGTGTAGACTTAAATGGTAACCAGGAGTCTGGAGGTCATAAGATTTGCCACTTCCACAATTACCTCTGCAGATAACATCGCTCTTGTAGAACCTAAGATTGGCCTTTTGAAATGTCTTTTCAGGTTTTTGCATTTCCGATGGCCAGTGGCTCCATTCGAATCTGTCAACCCACCAACTGGTCCTTTAGCCCCACCCAGAAGTGGAGTCCCTGGCCCACCAAACTAGCCTTGAAAAACCCTAACCTTTGAATTTTCAAGAAGATTGATTTGAGTAATAACTGTCTCCCACGCTGCGTGGCCAGCCTCATATCAATAAACTCTTTGTTGTAGTGTCATGGCCTCAGTGAATTGTTTTTTGCTTGTTTGTTTTGTTTTTTCGTTTTCATTTTTGTTTTTGAGATGGAGTCTTGCTTTGTCGCCGAGGCTGAAGTGCAATGGTGCGATTGCGGCTCACTGCAACCTCCGCCTCCTGGGTTCAAGCGATTCTCCTGCCTCAGCCTCTTGAGTAGATGGGATTAGAGGCACCCACCACCATGCCTGGCTAAGTTTGTATTTTTAGTAGAGATGGGGTTTCACCACATTGGTCACCTGCTCTCAAACTCCTGACCTCAGGTGATCCGCCTGCCTCAGCCTCCCAAAGCGCTGGGATTACAGGCATGAGCCACCGTGGCTGGTGTCTCGGTGAATTGCTTTTTTCTGTGCAGTCAGCAGGAAGAACCAGCCCATCAGGAGGTTACACCATTGCAGATCAATCCAAAGTCCTACAGCCTTCCGCGGCCACGTGCTCATTAATAAAATTTGGGGCACAAATTCTTTTCAAAGAACAAACAAGAAAGTGACACAGCAATTTTTAGGGTCTCATTTTTTTATCTTTCTTCTCATTTGATGCAATGCGTATGATTTTATCAAATGCTATCAAGCCCATTTGCCACAGCTAGATGGCACTGTGGAAGCATTCGAAAGTAAATAGGCATTCCTAGTTAAAAATCTGGCAAACTACACAGGATATAAAATTTACCATATACTCCATATTTTGCTAATATTAATTCATAAGCAAAGACTTTCAAGTTTGTTTTAAATTTTTGAATAAAAATGGGTTAAATTATTACATAATTCAATATTTATATTTTAATCATTTTTAAGTGTGTAATTCAGTGTCATTAATTGCATTCACATTATTCACAAACATCACCACCTTCCATACCCAGAGTAGTTTTCATATTGCAAAACCGGAATTCTGTACTCACGAAACACTAACTCTCCGTTCCTTCTCTCTTCGCCCCTGGGAACCGCCATTGTACTTTCTGTTTTTATAAATTAGACTAGCTTGGGTACCTTATGGAAGTGGAATCATAGAGAGTTGTCGCTTTGGGACTGGCTTATTCCCCTTGGCATCGTGCTCTAAAGTTCTTCCGTGTCGTAGCATGTGCCAGGGTTTTATTTCTTTGTAAGGCTCAGTAATATTCCATCGCATGCAAAAACCACAGTTTTTTTTTTTGACAGAGTCCTGCTCTTGTCGCCCAGGCACGACCTCAGTGTGGCATGATCATTCAGTGGCACATTCTCAGCTCACTGCAACCTCGAGATCGCTCAGTGGCACGAACTCGGCTCACTGCAGCCTCCGCCTCCCGGGTTCAAACGATTCTCCTGCCTCATCCTCCCGAGTAGCTGGGATTACAGGCGCCCGCCATCATGCCCGGCTAATTTTTGTATTTTTAGTAGAGACGGGGTTTCACCGTGTTGGCCAGGCTGGTCTCGAACTCCTGACCTCAGGTGATCCACCCCCATCAGCCTCCCGAAGTGAAAAACCACAGTTTGTTTACCCATTATCCACTCCTCCCTTGATGGACACTTCAGTTTCTCTACTTTTGACTATTATGAATAAAGCTGCTATAAACACGAGAGTACAAATATCTCTTTAAAACACTGTTTTCAATTTTTGGGGGTATATACCCAGATGAGGACACAGGTGGATCATCTGGTAACTTTATTAAGAATTTAACGGAAACCATCTCACTTCCAAAGCCCCTGTACCACATCACATTCCCAACAACAGGGCGGAAGGCTTCTTATTTTTCCATAGCCTGCCAACACTTGTTATATTCTGTTTTATGGATAATAGCCATGTTAATAATGTGTGGTGGTTCCTTCTTTCTCTTAAAATCTATTTTTTCGATTTTTCAACAATGACAATTATTGAATAATGGGATATGTGTGTCTGCTGGGCACCGTGCAATTTCTCGAACTTTCGAATCAGATGGGGCCATGCCACCCTCACTCCTCATTCTCACTGATTTTCACTGGGGGATTGCTTTTCTTCACAGCAAGCACTGACACCTCAGCTTCACAGAGACATTGTGTCAGCCCAGGAAATGTAGAGAGACCAAATGCAGAATCTGTGAACCATTGGAGCTGGTAGTTTCCGTGGCCTCGGATGCGGAATGTTGCTGTTCTCCCCTCAATTTTAATGTATCCAGGGATCCTCTGCAGACAATTGCAGGTATGAAGATAGAAGAGCAGGAAGGCAGTAGGTCTTCATTGCAGGGGGAGAGAATGGAGGAGCTGGTCTGGTTGCCAAGCAATGCTCAGTGTCTTTGGACATGAGTCACCATGGAAACTGAGTGACAACTGGCAGTGGGGGAGGGGCTGTTCTGCCCCAGCCAAATGCAGCTGCACAGAATTTAAAAAGTGATGTGGATATTTCACAGTTTCTTGAATCAATAACGTCTCATTTGTACACTCTGATGGTCTCCATTTGTAATTTCTTGTTCATTATTGGTGTATCTCTTAGGCCAGTAATTTCCAAATGTAGTAAATCAAGATCTTTGTAAGGGTTCCACAACTTCAAACTATTTTTCTAAAAACATTAATTTTATTTTATTTTATTGATTTTTTTGAGACAAGGTCTTACTCTGTTGCCCAGGCAGGAATGCAGTGGTGCCATCACAGCTTACTGCAACCGCGATCTCCTAGGCTCAAGTGATCCTCCCACTTCAGCTTCCTGAGTAGCTGGGACTATAGGCACACACCTCCATGCCCACCTGGTTTTTAATTTTTTAATTTTTAGTATTTTTTATTTTTAGTAGAGGTCTTGCTACATTGCCCAGGCTGGTCTCGAACTCCTGAGCTCAAGCGATCTGCCCTCCTTGGCCTCCCAAAGTGCTGGGATTACAGGTGTGAGCCACTATGCCCAACCAGAACATTAATATTTTATTTGGCTTTTTTCCTTCTCATTTTCTCTGCATGATATAATTTATGAGTAGATTGAGGAAATCTATCTCTCTTCTATTTAGGAGGAAATTAAAGGGATTTGCAAAAATGTAAAACAATACCACCTTTACCTTTACTAAGATTTTATTTGAAAAATATTAATGTTGTTCATAAAATGTGGGTTCTTTTAACATATAATAGATTTGTTGCTGTTTTTAAGTTTAAAATTGAACAATTTCTCTTCTTTTATTTATAACATGACTAATATAGGATATATAAACTGTAGAAAGAAACATTCTTCGGGGATTTCTCAATAATATTTAAGAGTATTGGGATTCTGTCGATGACACAAATGGAGGGAAAATCATTCCATGCTCAAGGATTGGAAGAATCAATATCATTAAAATGGCTATACAACACAAAGTAAACTACAGATTCAACGTTATTCCTATCAAATGACCAATGTAATTCTTCACATAATTGGAAAAAACAATCTGAAGCAGCAAGAACAAAGTTGGAGGTATCACATTACCCAACTTCAAACTGTAAGACTACAGTCGCCAAAACAGCAGGGTACTGGTACAAAAACACACGTAGACCAATGAAACAGAGCAGAGAACCCAGAAATAAAGCTACTCACCTACAGCCGTCTAATCTTTGACAAAGTTGACAAAAAAAAAAAAGCAATCCAAAAGGACTCTCTATTCAATAAATTGTGCTGGGATCACTGGCTAGCCATATGCAGAAGAATAAAACTGGACCCCTACATTTCACCATATACAAAAATTAACTCAAGGTGGAATAAAGATTTAAACGTAACACCTCAAGCTATACAAATCCTAGAAGAAAATCTAGAAAACACCATTCTGAACTTGGGCCTTGGGAAATAATTTATGACTAAATTCTCAAAAGCTATTGCAACAAAAACAAAAATTGACAAGTGGGACCTAATTAAACTAAAGAGCTTCTGCGCAAGAAAAAAACTTTCAACAGAGTAAACAGGCAACCTACAGAATGGGAGAAAATATTCACAAACTGCATCTGAAAAAGGTCTAATGTCAAAAAATCTGTAAGGAACTTAAACAACTAAACAAGGAAAAACCAAATAACCCCATTAAAAATTGGCAAAAGATATGAACAGACGCTTCTGAAAAGATGATATATAAGCAGCCAACAAATATATGAAAAAATGTTTATAATCGCTAATCATCAGAGTAATGCAAGTCAAAACCACAATGAGACATCATCTCACACGAATAAGAATGGCTATTAATAAAAAGTCAAAAAACAGTAATCGCTGGTGATGCTGTGGAGAAATGGAAACACTTACACACTGTTGGCAGGAATGTCAATTAGTTCAGTCACTGTGGAGAGCAGTTTAGAGATTTCTCAAAGAACTTCGAACAGAACTACCATTTGACCCAGCAATCCCATTACTGAGTATATACCCGGGCATGGTGGCTCACACCTATAATCCCAGCACTGTGGAAGGCTAAGGCTAGTGGATCACCTGAAGTCAGGAGCTCAAGACCAGCCTGGCCAACATGGTGAAACACCGCCTCTACTAAAAATACAAAAATTATCCAGGTGTGGCGGCGGGTGCCTGTAATCCCAGCTACTCGGGAGGCTGAGGCTGGAGAATCACTTGAACCCAGGAGGCAGAGGTTGCAGTGGAGATTGCGCCACTGCACTCCAGACTGGGCAAGAAGAATGAAACTCTGTCTCAAAAAGAAAAAGGAAATTGAGAATACAATGACTAAAATTTGAAATAGATAATGTAACCAACTTTTCCGTTATGTTTGGGGTCATTGCTATGGCAACAATAAAAGGGTTCCCTATTTCCCATCAGTCTTAAGCAAGATCTAGTGGCAACCTAACTGATACTGCTGGCACTTAAAAAGCAAAGACTAGGCGTGGTGGTGTATGCCTGTAATCCCAGCACTTTGGGAGGCTGAGGTGGGAGGATCACTTGAGCTCAGGAGTTTGAGACCAGCCTGAGCAATATAGCGAGACTAGATCCCTACAAAAGTTTTAAAAGTTCACTGTGCGTGGTGGCAAGGATCTGTGATTCCAGCTCCCACTCAGGAAGCTGAGATGGGAGGATCCCATTAGCCCAGGAGGTCAAGACTGCAGGGAGTCATGATCACACCACTGCATTCCAGCCTTAATGACAGAGTGAGATCCTGTCTCAAAAACAAACAAACAAAAGCCAAAACAGCATGGTAAAAATATTTTCATAGAAGAAAACAGTCGGCCAGGCGCGGTGGCTCACGCCTGTAATCCCAGCACTTTCGAGGTGGGCGGACAACAAGGTCAGGAGATCGTGACCAGCCTGGCCAACATGGTGAAACCCCATCTCTACTAAAAATACAAAAATTAGCCGGGCGTGGTGGTGCACACCTGTAGCTCCAGCTACTTGGGAGGCTGAGGCAGAATAATCGCTTGAACCCAGAAGGCAGAGGTTGCAGTGAGCCGAGATTGCACCACTGCACTCCAGCCTGGGTGACAGAGTGAGATTCTGTCAAAAAAAAAAAAAAAAAGAAAAGAAAAGAAAGTCGAAATTATTTGAGGTGTATAATTGTTTTCTTAGCCAGTATGCATGTTTTAAATTTAGGACAATTTATCATTAACTATAGAAATTATAAAGGTAATTAAACCCATATTACTCATGTTCTGAACCAAGAAAGCAGCATATTTGGCATTCTAAATACTTACAAAACATAAAAGACTGCTAGAGCAACAAGTCAGCCTTGTAATTAAATATGAAAAATCAACTTTTGGTTGTTGATAAGTTGTATCTCATGCTTACTTTCTGTTTCACTGATTTCTACTTTTAACTTTATTATTTCCTTCCATTCTTCCCCTTTCTTTCCTTTTTTTGAGACAGGGTCTCGCTCTGTTACTCAGGCTAGAATGCAGTGGTGCAATCTCGGCTCACTGCAGCCTCTGCCTCCTGGGCTCAAGCGATCCTCCCACCTCAGTCTCCTGAGTAGCTGGGACTACAGGTGCATGCCACCATGCCTGGCTACTTTTTGTAGAGATGGGGTCTCACTATGTTGCCCACGCTGGTCTCGGACTTCTGAGCTCAACTGAACCACCCACCTCAGCCTCCCAAAGAGCTGGGATTACGGGTGTGAGCTATTGCGCCTGGCCTTCCTTCCTTCTTGTTTCTTTAGACTCAATTTTGTTTATTTTTCACCTTTTTGAAATGGATGATTAAATAATCAATTTTCAGCTTTTCTTGTTTTCTATTATAGGTATTTAAGGCTGTACATTTCTATCTAAGCACAGCTTTATATAAGTATCATAAGTTTTGATAAATAATGTTTTCATTATTTTGCAGTCCAGATTTTTAAAATTTTTATTTTTTGACTGATGCATTATTTAGAAATATATTGCTTAATTTTCTAATATATGGATGTTTTTGAGTTTTCTTTTTGTTTTTGTTTGTAGTTAATTTATACCATGATCAGAAACCATACTCCGATTCAGTTCTTTGAAATTTGTTGAGAATTGCTTTGTGTTCTGTATTTGGTTAATTCATGGGTACTTTATATGATTGTCTCTTCTAGTTATTGGGTGCAGTGTTTTATGTACACCAGTTGGGCCAGGTTTGTAATCACGATGTTTAAATATTCTTGTTTAAAAATTCACAATGTTTAAAAATTCTTGTTTCTTGTTTATTTCGTTTTTCAGTTACTGAGGGAATTACGTTAAACTCTCCTACTAAGAATATGAATTCATTTATTTCTATTTCCAAAAAGAGCATGAGTGTTCTAAAATAAAAGGTTTGAGGATTACTCTCCTAGAATAAATTTCTAGATACAGTTTCACTGAATAGAAGGAAATACACCATTTGTGGTTTCTGATACATGATGTCAAATTGTGACAATGCTTTTCAGTAGTGTTCCTGGGCCCCGAATTCTCATGGGGAATGTAATCCAGCCTGTATGACTTTTCCCAATTTGCCAGCCTGCCTCCCATAATAGACCCAGTGATGGAATGTCTATGAGAAGCATGCTTGGGCTCCTGTTACCTGGACTTCAAAAGATATCTTCTAATATAAAAACTTTTAGAGTTGTCAAAAGAGATGGTAGATTGCATATACCTGGGTTTACCAACCACGGCCCCAACATTCATTACATGGATGATTATGAGCCAGACACGTGCCCTTTCTGAGCCTTGCTTCTTGCACCTGGAAATACAGGATGAGGTTGGTAAGAACTTGACAAAATACATTCTAGGTGCTTAAAAAATCATTGCTGGGATTTGTTTTTTTGTATTTTCACAATAAATATGAAAACAGTTTTAATTTAATGATTATGAACAAAAAAGGATGAAAACCAATAGTCAGTTTCTTTGTAAAATTTTCCCCAGCCAGTCTATCATCAAGTGTTTAAATAATTCCCTCCTTACAACTGTTGGAGTAGGTGTCACATCTCTTGATTTCCATAACTTCTGGTGCTGTAACTGGCTGTTTGCTGTTTTCCCTATCAGGCCATAAACTTCTTGAGAGTTTGTACTGTGTCTTGACAACCTGTTTCACTAGTGCTTTGCATCCAAGAAGCAGGTGAATATTTTTCTGGTGAAGCCCTTGATTAATCAGTACAGCCCCACCATTGGCTGAGATCTGTCCGTGGTCCTGAAGGTCACACTTGAGACTATTAACTCATTCACAGGAAAGGGAGGCAGCTGATTCTAGCTGACTTGTGCAAAGGTGATCTCCACATACATTCGTGGAATAAAGTGAGGACAAGCTTTATTGTTTAGTGAAAAGGGAAGGCCACAAATGAGTTCATGGCATGTCCACAATCCCACATAAAGTCTGGTTTTATGTTTATTCCATCACTCAACAGTCACTTAGCAAATGCTGTGTTAGGGAAAGTGTGGGGGCGGGGTGGAGGCAGAGGAAAAAAAACAGAAATAATGCATATGTGATTCCTGCATTCAAAATTTCTCACAGTCTGTTGGTATTCTGAAAGTACTAACCTGACTATTACATGTTCATATTCTTTTTGTTTTTTGAGACAGAGTCTCACTCTGTCACCCAAGCTGGAGTGCAGTGGCACAATTTCGGTTAACTGCAACCTCCACCTCCCAGGTTCAAGTGATTCTCCTGCCTCAGCCTCCTGAGTAGCTGAGATTACAGGCACGCACCACCATGCCCAGCTAATCTTTGTATTTTTAGTAGAGACGGGGTTTCACCATGTTAGCCAGGCTGGTCTTGAACACCTGACCTCTAGTGATCCACCTGCCTCAGCCTCCCAAAGTGCTGGGATTACAGGCGTGAGCCACCGCGCCCGGCCTTGTTCATATTCTTGTTTCTCCAATTGTCTGTAGCAATGCCTGTACGTAAAATGTGTTGACTGCTAAGTAATTGTGCTATCAGGAGACCCTGAAGAAATAAGACTATATTGAAGAATAGATAAGAAGAAATAGAAAAATATAAGAGAAAGAGAAAATATAGGGAGGTTGTAATATGAGAGAAAGGATGAGAAAGTGAAAGAGAGGAAGAAGAGCATATTCAGATAGAAGGAAATTCTAGGAGAGAAATAGAGGTGAATTATTTCTCTCTAGGAGAGAAATAGAGGTGACATGAGCCTCTGTGTGGGCCTTGAATGAGCCACCCCCAGGACCTTTGCACGTGCTGTTCCCACTGCCACCCGGGTCTTCACAAGATTCCTCCTGTCTTCACACAGGGCTCTGATCAGAGGTCACCTCTCATGGAAGCGGTCCCTGACTGCTGTCCCCAAAAGCCCTTCAAGCACCTCCTGCATTCCACTCATCATGAGGCTGACTTTTATTTCTCCCTGTTTCTGCCTGTACTTACAGTGGAATATAAACTCAATGAACAATGGTAGAAATAAGAAACTCCTGTTTTGAGATTCTTCTGGTGCCAGGAGATTGTTACTGGAGATGGAAAAGGCCCGAAGGACAAAAATAAAACTATACCTGATTTCCTGTTAATCATCATTCAAAATGTTCACTTCCTGGTGTGGCGTATGTGAAGGAACGAGGAATAAAATGCCAACGGGCAAAGGAGAGTTGGAGGTCTGAGCATAGAAAAGCAGGAGATCAGTGGGTATTCCTGGCAGGGAGAGTGAACAGAGGGGCTGGTCTTGTTTCCAGGCAGTGCTCAGCGTCCTTGGAGAGGGGCCACCGTGAAGTTAGGGTGAGAGCAGGCAGGATGAGGGCAAGGCTGTTCCTCCCCAGCCACCTGCAGCTGGAGGACTGAGGGATGGAGAAGGTAGTGTCAGAGCTCCGCGGGGATGGAGCTTTCCAAGGGAACCACATGAAGCAGAATATAAAAAGAGATTCAATTGTGTGCATAAAGTACTGATTCTACTGATTGACCATGAAAGGTGACCTAGAGGTAAGGTCAAGATCAGTGGAAGATGGTTGTATGAATGGCGTGTTGGTCCCCAAGAGATGAATGGATGTTGGCATCAGATGGGAAGGGGGGGTCCCCCGGAAGGCAGGACGTGATGCTCCAGATGGGATGCTTGAACGGAGGGGATGGTGTGATACTCTTTTTGTTTGTTTGTTTGTTTGTTTTGTTTTGAAAGTCTAAGTTTATTATGGGTCAACTTGATTCTTTTTTATTATTATTATACTTTAAGTTTTAGGATACATATGCACAACATGCAGGTTTGTTACATATGTATACATGTGCCATGTTGGTGTGCTGCACCCATTAACTCGTCATTTAGCATTAAGTATATCTCCTAATGCTATCCCTCCCCCCTCCCCCCACCCCACAACAGTCCCTAGTGTGTGATGTTCCCCTTCCTGTGTCCATGTGTTCTCATTGTTCAATTCCCACCTATGAGTGAGAACATGTGGTGTTTGGTTTTTTGTCCATGCGATAGTTTGCTGAGAATGATGGTTTCCAGCTTCATCCATGTCCCTACAAAGGACATGAACTCATCATTTTTTATGGCTGCATAGTATTCCATGGTATAAATGTGCCACATTTTCTTAATCAGTCTATCATTGTTTATTGGTAATGACAAGGTTGATGGGAAGTGGAAGGTTAAGGAAGTTTGGACAGGAAATTTGGGAGAGAGGAAATCAATGTGGAGATAGTGAAAAGTGGTGGGAGGATCACCTGTGTTAGTGTTCTTCCACCTCAGCATCATAGAAAATTTGGGCTGGAATGTTCTTTTATGCAGGATGGAGGAGGCCGTCCTGATTTTCTAGGGTGTTTGTCAGCATCCCTGCCTGCTACCCAGGGGATGTCAATAGTTCTCTTCAGTTGTGACCCCAAATGTTTATCCAAACTTGCCAAATGTCTCCTATGGGCAAAATACCCCTGGTTGGGAACCACAGATTACAATACACATAACATTCACCTGTAAATTAGCGGGAAGTAATATTGGTGAGGATGACAGTTCACACCCACAGAGGACTAAGATCACAAAGAGTAAGGGTTTCGTGAGGATCTATGCACCAACCCTGTCTGTCATTTTCTGTAATTCTGATCCATGACATCTGGGACCTTGCTGACTCCACAGGGATGATCTTGCCAGGTCTTGCCTATTCCGAAAGACAGCAGTCAGTTTCCTTGAGAGGGAGCCTTTCACGTGGAAATGAATCCAGAGCCCACACCCCAACCAGCTTCTATGGAGCTGTCACACTCAGGGCCACTGTGACCTGCCCTGTCACCCAGGGCCATAACCATGGACAGCCATGGGCTCTGCCCAGAGCCACTGAAATTATTCCAGGTAGTCAATCCTGAGCCTGCTCGTTTTGTCTCCCTTGTTTTTTCCTTCAGAAACCATAAGGAAGGCTCTTTGCCCACATGCTCCCCCATGAGCTTCTGCCTCTTGACAGACACTGGGGCTTCCCCTGCGGCCCCTCTTGGCCTGGTGTGCCCCCTCCTCTTGTGAATGTCACAAGCTATTTTTGTTTTAGTGACAGTCATTTCCTACTCTTTTTTTATTTTGTTTTGAGATGGAGGGAGTCTCGCTCTGTCGCCCAGGCTGGAGTGCAATGGCGCGATCTCGGCTCGCAACCTCCGCCTCCTGAGTTCGAACAATTCTCCTTCCTCAGCCTCCCAAGGAGCTGATATTACAGGCGCCAGCCACCACACTAGCTAATTTTTTTGTATTTTTAGTAGAGATAGGGTTTCATCATGTTGGCCAGGCTAGTCTTGAATTCCTGACCTCAAGCGATGTGCCCGCCTCAGCCTCCCAAAGTGCTTGGATTACAGGCGTGAGTCACTGCACCTGGCCCTCCTGTTCTCTTTAATTGTTTTGTGTGAAACTTTGTGATGCAGGGAATTGCTTCCCGCAAGAATTCCTAAATTCCATTTTGTGAGAGTCCTTCAAAACCCAGAGGCATTTTCTCATACTACGTGTGTGTGTATGTGTGTGTGTGTGTGTGATTGAAGGGGAATTGGGAGATGACTCTTGAGTCTCAGGTCATTTACTTGCCCCATATTTACCTTATTGGGACCCTCCCTAAACCCAAACACCTAATCTCAAGGCTACAGCAAGGCAGCAGCCCTGAAATCTCTCCTCTGGGAGGTACCAGCACCCGGCTGCTTGGATGCTCAGAGGCAGGATGGGAGCAGGTGACGGGGGTGTGGGCTTGGGACCAGACAGCCTGGAGACCTCCCCTCTGTGAGCCCACCATCCTCCTTTGTAAAATGCAGACACTCCTAGGACCTCGCTCACAGCCAGGGCTGCTGGGGATGGCTGTTTATGTTGTACCCTGCACTAGGGTCCTGTCCAAGGCAAGGGGAAAAATGTGAAACCCAGCCTGCTCTCCGCAGCTGTGTCCATGCAGAGCTGAGGGATTATTTTCAGGCATCCCACTGATCTATCCCACTTCCCACAGCCCACCCTGTACATAGGCACAGCCAGTGTAATTTGGGAAAAACTCATTTTAAACAAACAAAAAAATGTCCCAGCCAATACAACATACCCCTTTAAAAAGTACATTATTGTGTTTTTCTTTTCATTTGAAGCAATGTCTATGACATTGCAACGTATATATAACTTAATATTTAACATTTTAACCATATTTAATTGTACAGTTCCCATATTAGGTGCATTCACATTGTTTTACTATGATCTCCGTTGTTCATCTCCAATATTCTTTTCATCTTGAAAAACTGAAACTCTGTACCCACAAACAACTCCCTACTTCTCCCTCACACCTGTCCCTAACATCCACTTTCTTTCTTCTTTCTTTCTCTCTCTCTCCCTTTCTTCCTTCTTTCCTTCCTTCCTTCCTTCCTTCCTTCCTTCCTTTCTTTCCTTCTTTCTTTTTTTTCTGAGATGGAGTCTGGCTCTGTCGCCTAGGCTGGAGTGCAGTGACACGATCTCTGCTCACTGCAACCTCCGCCTCCTGGGTTCAAGTGATTCTCTGCCTCAACCTCCCGCGTAGCTGGGATTAAGGCTCCCACCACCATGCTCAACTAATTTTTGTATTTTTTTTAGTAGAGACAGGATTTCACCATGTTGACCAGGCTGGTCTCAAACTCCTGACCTCAGGAGATCCACCCGCTTCGGCCTCCCAAAGTGCTGGGATTACAGGCATGAGCCACTGCGCCCAGCCCACTTTCTACTTTCTGCTCTATTAGTTGGACAGCATTAGAGACACTAAATTATTGGAGTCATAGGGTACGTCTTCTTTTGTGCCTGGCTTGTTTCACTGAGCATAATGTCTCAGGGTTCATACAGACTGTAGCATGTGGCAGGATTTCCTTCCTTCGTAAGGATGAATAATATCCCATGGTATTGATAGAGGATATTGTGTTTATTCATTCATACTTTGATGGACCTTTGGGTTGCTTCTACTTCTTGCTGTCGTGAATGCTGCTACGAACACGGGTGGACACATATCTGCTCGAGTTCCTGCTTTCGATTATTCTGGGTCTATATCTCGAAGTGGTATTGATGCATCATATTGTTAGGGAAACAGGAGCATAGGAGAACCAGGGTGACACCGTTTTAAAATCTGTCCAAAAAAACTAGCAAGGCACATTCCTTGCCAGCCCTCCACCATGGCCATTAAGATGTGTATAGCTGAGGAAACAGCTTAATCAAGCCTGCAAGGACAAACTCCTATGAGAGCAAAATGTCTAGATACCCCAATATGGCATTATATGCTTTTAAGATGATTACAGTTATGCTTTGATGCATTTATGCACCAAAATGCCAAGGATAGCTTTCTTTAAATCAACAAAATAATAAATTTTGTCATGCTGCCAGCCCACCTGCACATACACATAACTTTGCTTAGCTATTACATAGATAAGACCCCCACATAAGTAAAACTTAAAACAAAGATGAGGCATTCCTCTCTTGGCTTTCTGAGGACACCCTACTCTGTATCTGAGTCACTTTCAGTAAATGATCTCTTCTTACTGCACTCTGCAGCTCACCTGGGAGCCCCTCCTGCAAGAGATCCAAGGACCCTCTCTTCGGGTCTGAATTGATAACTGTTTTCTGGCAACAATATGGTAACTCTACTTTTATTTGTCCAGAAACTATTGCACTGTTTTACAAGGCAGCTGCACCATGTGTCCATCCCACTGTCGAAAACCAAAATTTCCACCAGTTTATTTCCACTGTGATCAGATTCAGGATCAGCTGCTCGATGCTCGAAAGCCAGGCACGGGAGACAAGGGTTGGCAGAAGGAAAGACAGGTTCAATCAGAGAGCCAGAAAACCGAGAAGGTGGTGAACTAGCGTTCTAAAGCACCATCTTCAATTTTAGAATTCACCATGGGGGTTTCAAAAGGAAATTTGCTGTGGGAGACATGCGGAGTGTGCAGGGTGCAGGTCTGTGCCTTTGTTCTGGTGGCTATCATGGGTATCACCCACCCTGAGACCTGGCTGGCATTATCCTGACTTCAGAGGAAGAGATAAAGGGGTCAGATGGGAGGGAAAGGAAGTGGGTGATTAAAATATATTTTAAAAACGGAGGTCCCTGGCCTCACAATGATTGAATTGGCATTTGTTAGCGATTTATGGATCGGGCTGCATCCCATCTAGAAATACAAAGGCATTTTTGCCCTTATGGCAGAACAGTTGGCGCACTTTTTTGTCTTTTGTTTTTCTTTTGAAACGGATTCTCACTCGGTCACCCAAGATGGAGCGCAGTGCTGTGATCTCAGCTCACTGCAACCTCTGCCTCCCGGGTTCTAGCAATTCTCCTGCCTCAGCCTCCTGAGTAGCTGGGATTACAGGCGCCCACCACCACGCCCACCTAATTTTTTGTATTTTAGTTGAGACGGGGTTTCACCATGTTGCCCAGGCTTGTCTCAAACTCCTGAGCTCAGGCAATCCACCTGCCTCGGCCTCCCAAAGTGCTGGGATTACAGGCGTGAGCCACCGCACCCGGCCAACAGTTGGCTTTTGTAGGGCTTCTTGAGCAGGAACAAAGAAACAGCACCATACAAAAAGGCGGCTCTTTTAACGTCTGGTTATTTTAGGTTACTTTCCTTTTAAGGGTTAAAGCAGAGGGACTTCCTTCTCTTGGCAGCTCACGTTACTTGGGTCCTTTGAGATCAGATGCTGTGGATCTCTTGTGTTTTGAAAAAACCGGCCTGTTTAGGGATTTTCCTGTTTTTCCAAGTTTCAGTTTGACGACATGCACTTAACCTGAAAGACTCCATTTTTATTTGGTTTGTGAAGGGCTAGAGAAGGAGCTCCGTCCACAACAACAGTCTCCTATCAACTTCATTTAACCACTAAGTGCAGAAGGGTTCCAGTTTCCCCAAAGCCTACCACCATCCTTTATTTTCCATTTTATGGAGAGTAGCCATGTTAATAATGTGTGCTGGTTCTTTTTTTTCTTTTCAGTGGAAAAAATCATATTTATTTCATTTTTCAATAGTAATTATTTATTAGTGGTATGTGCGTGTCTGTTGGGCACTGCACAATTTCTCAAACCTTGGGATCAGACGGGACCATGCCACCTGACTTTCGAAACCTTGCTGATTTTCATGTGGTAATTGCCCTTCTTCACAGCAACCACGGATGCCCCAGCATCACAAAGACATGATGTCAGCAAAGGAAATGTAGAGAGACCGAATGTGAAATCTGTGAGCCACTGGAGCTGGTGTTTCACATGGTGTCAGAGGTGGAATGCTGCTGTGCTTCCCCTAATTTTAACATATCCAGGGTCCCTCTGTGGACAGCTGAAGCTGTGAGGATAGAACAGCAGGAATGCCGTAGGAATTAGTTGGAGGGGGCAGGTAATGGAAGAGCTGATCTGGTTGCTAAGCAGCTCAGAATCTCTGGAGATGAATCATAATGGAATTAGAGTAAGAGCAGACAGTGCAGAAGGGGCTACTCTGCTCCAGCCAAATGCAGCTGCAGAGAATAAGAAAAGTGATGTGGATGTTCCACAGTCTCCCCTTTTCTTTCCTCTCCCCTCTCCTCCCCTCTCCTCCCCTGCCTTCCCTTCCCTTCCCCTCCTCTCCCCTCTCCTCCCCTCTCCTCCCCTGCCTTCCCTTCCCTTCCCTTCCTCTCCCCTCTCCTCCCCTCTCCTCCCCTGCCTTCCCTTCCCTTCCCTTCCCTCCCCTCCCCTCCCCTCCCCTTCCCTTCCCTTCCTTCTTCCTTTCCCTTTTCTTTTATTTTCTTTCTTTCTATTTTTTTTTTGAGACAGAGTCTTGCTCTGTTGACCAGTGCAGTGGCACAATCTTAGCTCACTGCGACCTCCGCCTCCAGGCTCAAGTGATTCTTCTGCCTCAGTCTCCTGAGTAGCTGGGACTACAGGCACCCGCCACCATGCCCGGCTAATTTTTGTATTTTTAGTAGAGACGGGGTTTTGCCATATTGGCCAGGCTGGTCTCAAACTCCTGACCTCAAATGATCCGCCTGCCTTGGCCTCCCAAAGTGCTGGGATAACAGGCATGAGCCACCGCATCCAGCCCCAAGTTTCTTAATAAGTTCTCATTTGTTTATTCTGATGGTCTTCATTTGTAATTGTATGTCCATTGCCTGTATGTATATTTGGCCAGCAATCCCCTAATGCAGTTCAGGATCTGTGGGAAAAATCAAGACATTTCCAGGGGGTCCACAATTTCTAGACTATTTTTTTAAAGAACATTAATATTTTATTTGCTTATTTTCTTCTCTTTTTCTCTGCATGATGTGATATTATAATATTTGAAGTAAGAAGCAGATTGGAGAATCCATTTCTCTTCCATTAAGGAGGAAATTAAAGGAGTTTGCAAAAACTTCTAACAATATCACCTTTATTACTAAGTTTTTGTTTGGAAAATATAATTATTGTTCACAAAATGTGAGCTATGTTAATATACAATAGATTTGTTGTTGTCGTTAAGCTTAAAAAGTAACGTTTGACTATTTATAACATGATCTATATGAGATCATGTTATGTTTTATTTATATCTTATACCAAGAAACATCCTTTGGGAGTTTCCCAATAATTTTAAGAGGGTAAAATAGTTTGAGATGACAAACTTTGAGAATTACTGTCCTGGGTTAAATTCCTTGGTTCCGTTTTGCTGGATTGAAAGACACACACACTTAATGTTTCTGAGACATGATGCCACATTGCTATGATGTTCCACAGCTGTTTCTCTGGCTCTATTTTCTCACGGGAAATGTAACCCAGGTCTGTCGGACTCTTACCAATTTTCCAGTCTGCCTCCTCTCATAAATTCAGTGAAGGAATTTCTTTCTCTTTCTCTTTCTTTCTTTCTTTCTTTCTTTCTTTCTTTCTTTCTTTCTTTCTTTCCTTCTTTCTTTCCTTCTTTCTTTCTTTCTTTCTTTCTTTCTTTCTTTCTTTCTTTCTTTCCTTCTTTCTTTCTGCCTTTCTGCCTTTCTTTCTTTTTCTTTCTTTTTTCTTTCTTTCTCTTTTTCCTTCCTTCCTTCCTTCCTTCTTTCTTTCCTTCTTTGTTTCTTTTTCTTTTTTTTTTTCGTCTTTTTCAGAATCTCGCTCTGTCGCCCAGGCTGGAGTGCAGTGGCATGATCTCGGCTCACTGCAAGCTCCGCCTCCCGGGTTCATGCCATTCTCCTGCCTCAGCCTCCCGAGTAGCTGGGACTACAGGCGCCTACCACCACGTCTGGCTAATTTTTGTATTTTTAGTAGAGACGGGGTTTCACCGTGTTAGCCAGGGTGGTCTCAACCTCCTGACTTCGTGATCTGCGCGCCTCAGCTTCCCAAGGTGCTGGGATTACAGGCATGAGCCTCGTGCCTGGCCCAGTGAAGGAATTTCTATGGGAAGCGCACGTGGCCTCCAGTTACATGGATGTTCAGAGATCTCCCCTCATGTGGGGTATGATTAGATATCTCAGAAGATAATGTTCAAGGTATAGTCTTCAGTTTATAAACCCCAGTCCCGACATGGGGTGTCGTGGGTGATCGTGGGCCAGACATGTGCCCCTTCTGAACCTCATTTCCTTTACCTGTAAGTGGAGGATGGGCTGGGTAAAAACTCAACAAAATGGCCAACACATTATAGGCATTTAATACGTTATAACTAGGTTTTTCTGAATTTTTACACTAAATAGGAATAAGAGTTTTAATAATTATGAGCAAAAGAGGATGAGAACAAACACAGAGTCGGTGTCTGTAAAATTTCTCTCAATAGGCCAGGTGCGGTGGCTCACACCTGTAATCCCAGCGACTTGGGAGGCTGAGGCAGGAGAATCACTGGAACTCGAGAGAAGGAGGCTGCAGTGAGCCGAGGTCATGCCACTGCACTCCAGCCTGGGTAACAGAGAGAGATTCCGTCTCAAAGAAAGAAAAAAAAAAAAGGAATGGATATAGAAGAAAAGGAAAAAAGAAAAAATATAGAAGGAAAAGAACATAGGGAAACTCATAATTTGGGATAATAAGCATAATAAAGTCAAACTCAGGCAGAAGAATGTGATTCTAGGAGACAGAGAGAGGCAAATTATTTGGCATGAGGCCTCTGTGTTTCCCTTAAATGAGCCGCCCCAGGCCCTTTGCACGTGTTGCTCCTGCCATCACTGGGTCTTCATGTGGTGCCTTCCTGTCTCCATTCAGGACTCTGACCAGAGGTCACCTCTCAGGGATGCCTTCTTTGATTCCTGTCCCCAGAAGCTTGTCATGCACCTCTACCTTCCAACCACCATGGGGTTGATTTTTTTTATTTCTTCCATATGTATAAAAAAACAGGATACATGTGCAGAATGTGCCAGTTTGTTACATAGGTATCCATGTGCCATGGTGGTTTGCTGCACCTATTGACCTGTCCTCTAAACTCCCTCCCCTCACCGCCTACCCACCAACAGGCTCTGGTGTGTGTTGTTCCCCTCTCTGTGTCCATGTGTGCTCATTGCTGAACTCCCACTTATGAGTGAGAATATGTGGTGTTTGGTTTTCTGTTCCTGTGTTAGTTTGCTGAGGATGATGGCTTCCAGCTTCATCCATGTCCCTGCAAAGGACATGATTTCATTCCTTTTTTTGGCTGCACAGTAGTCCATGATGTATATGTACCACATTTTCTTTATCTAGTCTATCATTGATGGGCATTTGGGTTGGTTCCATGCCTTTGCTATTGTAAATAGTGCTGTGATAAACATACGTGTGCATGTGTCTTTATAGCAGAATGATTTATATTCCTTTGGGTACATACCCAGTAATGGGATTGCTGGGTCAAATGGTATTTCTGGTTCTAGATCCTTGAGGAATCACCATACCGAATCACCATACCATCTTCCACAATGGTTGAACTAATTTACATTCCCACCAACAGTGTAAAAGCATTCCCATTTCTCCACAGCCTCACCAGCATCTATTGTTTCCTGACTTTTTAATAATTGCCATTCATACAGAATCAAAGAAGACTTCGTATAGCCAAGACAATCCTAAGCAAAAAGAATAAAGCTGGAGGCATCACGCCACCCGACTTCAAACTATACTACAAGGCTACAGTAACCAAAGCAGCATGGTACTGGTACCAAGACAGATATATAGACCAATGGAGCAGAACAGAGACCTCACAAATAACACTACACATCTACAACCATCTGATCTTCGACAAACCTACCAAAAACAAGCAATGGGGAAAGGACCTCCTATTCAGTAAATGGTACTTGGAAAACTGGCTAGCCATATGCAGAAAACTGAAACTGGATCCCTTCCTTACACTTTGTACAAAAATTAATTCAAGGTGGATTAAAGACTTAATTGTGAAACTGAAAACCATAAAAACCGTAGAAGAAAACCTAGGCAATACCATTCAGGACATAGGCATGGACAAAGACTTCATGACAAAAATGCCAAAAGCAATGGCAACAAAGGCCAAAATTGACAAATGGGATCTAATTAAACTAAAGAGCTTCTGCACAGCAAAAGAAACTATCGTCAGAGTGAACAGGCGACCCACAGAATGGGAGGAAATTTTTGCAAGCCAAAGAAACTATCATCAGAGTGAACAGGCGACCCACAGAATGGGAGGAAATTTTTGCAAGCAAAAGAAACCATCGTCAGAGTGAACAGGCGACCCACAGAATGGGAGGAAATTTTTGCAAGCAAAAGAAACCATCGTCAGAGTGAACAGGCGACCCACAGAATGGGAGGAAATTTTTGCAAGCAAAAGAAACCATCGTCAGAGTGAACAGGCGACCCACAGAATGGGAGGAAATTTTTGCAAGCAAAAGAAACCATCGTCAGAGTGAACAGGCGACCCACAGAATGGGAGAAAATTTTTGCAAGCAAAAGAAACTACCGTCAGAGTGAACAGGCGACCCACAGAATGGGAGGAAATTTTTGCAAGCAAAAGAAACTATCGTCAGAGTGAACAGGCGACCCACAGAATGGGAGGAAATTTTTGCAAGCAAAAGAAACTATCGTCAGAGTGAACAGGCGACCCACAGAATGGGAGAAAATTTTTGCAAGCAAAAGAAACTATCGTCAGAGTGAACAGGCGACCCACAGAATGGGAGGAAATTTTTGCAAGCCAAAGAAACTATCATCAGAGTGAACAGGCGACCCACAGAATGGGAGGAAATTTTTGCAAGCCAAAGAAACTATCGTCAGAGTGAACAGGCGACCCACAGAATGGGAGGAAATTTTTGCAAGCCAAAGAAACTATCGTCAGAGTGAACAGGCGACCCACAGAATGGGAGGAAATTTTTGCAAGCAAAAGAAACCATCGTCAGAGTGAACAGGCGACCCACAGAATGGGAGGAAATTTTTGCAAGCCAAAGAAACCATCGTCAGAGTGAACAGGCGACCCACAGAATGGGAGGAAATTTTTGCAAGCCAAAGAAACCATCGTCAGAGTGAACAGGCGACCCACAGAATGGGAGGAAATTTTTGCAAGCCAAAGAAACTATCATCAGAGTGAACAGGCGACCCACAGAATGGGAGGAAATTTTTTGCAATCTACCCATCTGACAAAGGTCTGATATCTAGAATTTACAAGGAACTTAAGCAAATTTACAAGAAAAAAAACAAACAACCCCATCAAAAATTGGGCAAAGGATATGAACAGACACTTCTCAAAAGAAGACATGTACGCGGCCAACAAACATATGAAAAAAAGCTCAATATCACTGATCATCAGAGAAATGCAAATCAAAACCACAATGAGATACCATCTCACGCCAGTCAGAGAGGCTGACTTTTTTGGTTTACTTCCTGTTTTGTAAGATATTGATCAATAGGATGCTGTCTGCTACCCAGCTGATGCCTTATATTCTCCCTCTAGTGGAATATAAGCTCCTTTGAGGATGGTAGAAATAATGAACCCCTGGTTTGCATTACTGATTGTGCCAGAAGATTGCTACTGTGAATGAAAAGCTCCGAAGGACAAAAATAGATCCATACCTGATTTCCTGCTCATTATCATGAAAAATATTCATTTCTCAATGCTGCTTATACCAAGGAAATAGGAATAAAGTAACAATGCACACAAAAGAGTTGGAGGTTTGAGTATAGAAAAGCAGTCATGCAGTAGTACTGGACACAAAGTGAATGGAGAAGCTGGTCCTATTTCCAGGCAGTGCTCAGTGTCCTTAGGGATGAGTCACCACGAGGTTAGAGTGAGAATAGGCAGTGGGGCAGGGGCTGTTCCTCCCCAGCCACGTGTACCTGCAGGAGTGAGGATGAGGAATGACATGGAGGGAGTCATGGCTCATCAGGGTTGAGGGTTTCCAAGAGAATCACATGAAGCAGAGTATGAAAAGGAGATTTGAGTTTGTGCAGAAGAAACTGGTTCTAACAATTGACCATAGACAGTGATCTGAAGGTGGGATGAAGATTAGCGGGAAATGGGTGAATCAATACTATGTTTTTCCTAAAGAAAAGGAAAATTGGCATCAGGTGAGCAGAAGTCACCTGGAAGATAGGCAGTGATGTTGCAGATGGGAGGCTTGAGCTGAGGAGATGGGCTGACAGCCTCTATTGGTAACAACAAGGCTGATGGCAATCGATGGCTAAAGGAGTTTAGATAGGAAATTTGGGAGAGAGGAGATCAATTTTCAGATAGTGAAGTGTTGGGAGGGTCAGCTATGTTAGTGTTCCTCCACATCAGCACTATTGAAAATTTGGGCTTGAAAGTTCTTTTTTTGCAGGGTGGGGAAGCCTGTCCTGTTTTTGTAAGATATTGATCAATAGGATGCTGTCTGCTACACAGCTGATGCCTACAGCCCTCCTCCAGTTGTGACAGCCAAACATGTTTCCAAAAATTGGCAGATGTCTCCTCATGGCAAAATCTTCCCTGGTGGAGAACCACAGATATTAACGTGTAGGATATTCCCCAGGATTATAGAGGAAAGTGATGTTGGTGAGGACAACAGTCCACATCCACAGAGAATTGAGATCACACAGAAATCGGGGCTTTTCATGAGGCTATGTGTCCCAACCTTGCATGTTATTTTCTGTAATTCTGATGGGCCACATCTTGGATCTTGCTGACCCTGGAGGGATGATCCTGCTGGGTCTTGTCAATTCCTGAAGATAGTAAACAGCTCCCTTGAAAGGCAGCCTTTCATGTGGAAACCAATCCAGATCCCACTCCCCAATCATCTCCTCTATGGAGCATTCACACTGACAGCCACGAATCACTCAGCTCTCCTAATCACCCCAGGACCAGGCATCAGACAGCTCGGGGACAACCCCTATGCCCAGAGCCACTGAAATTCTTCAGAGAAGCCAATCTTGTTTACCTGCTCATTTACCCCCACTTGTTCTTTCCCTTGGAAACCATAATTAAGGCTCTTCACTCACAAGTCCTTCCATCCCCTTCCTCTTGCCAGATACTTGTCCTTCCTGTGTGACTACCTGGTGTGGTGTGCCCCTCCTCTTGGGAATGTGAGCAAACAGCTATATTTGCAGTAACAACTTGTCCCTCAGTCTGTTTTACCGTTGTGTGTGAAACTTGGTAATTTCTGGTCTTGATTCATGCAATTATGAGCCTCATTTTGTGGGAGTCCCTCGAGTACCCTGATGCATTTCCCCATCGTGTGTGTGTGTGTGCGAGCACGCACGTGTGTGTAGTTGAAGGGGAGTTTGGGAGACACGGCATTCTCAAGCAAATTGGAGATGCAGACCACTTTCCCTGCCTCTTATCTATATTATTAGAATCTTGCCCAACCCTAAATGTCCAGTCCCAAAGATGGAGCAAGACAGGGGCCCTGGACTCCCTCTTCTGGGAGGGGCCAGGGCACTTTTCTTTGGATGCTCAGACGTGGGATGGGAGCAGGTGATGGAGGCGTGGGCTCAGGGCCAGAGAGCTTGGAGACTTCCCTCTCTGAGCCCAGTATTTTCCGCCATAAAATGCAGGCACTTGTAGGTCTCACTCACAACCAGGGCTGTGGGGATGGCCATGCGTATGTTCCTCAGCATTGAGGCTTCTGTCCAAGAAGCTGAGGGGAGGTGAAATCTAGCCTGCACTCTTTCCAAGTTGTGCTTAGTTCGAGGATAAATAATCCCACCAGCGCCACTCCCTCATTGATCTCTGCAAAGCCCCTTAGCCCACCACCGTGGCCTTGGGTTCACTCATGAAATTTGAGAAACAAATTAGTTCAAGGAACAAGAGAGCAAATAAATAGTGACACAGCCATTTTCAGGATCTCATTTTTTTCCTGTTTCTTCTCACATGAGGCAATGGTAATGCTACTGTAAAGTGCCTTTGCCATCACTAGGTGGCACTCTTGAAGCAATAGAAAGTATACAGACGTTTAACACTTTTTATCTTTTCATTTTTAATTGTGGCAAAATACACAGAACATAAACTTTACCGTATAATCCATTTTTTACTAATATTAATTGAAAAACAAAGGCTGGCAAGTTTAATTTTTTTTTTTGAGACCAAGTCTCGCTTTGTTGCCCAGGCTGGAGTGCAGTGGCGTGATCTCGGCTCACTGCAAGCTCCACCTCCCGGGTTCAAGTGATTCTCCTGCCTCAGCCTCCTGAGTAGCTGAGATTACAGGCCTGCACTATCACACCCGGCTAATTTTTGTATTTTTAGTAGAGACGGGGTTTTACCATGTTGACCAGGCTGGTCTCAAACTGTTGACCTCAGGTGATCACCTGCCTCAGCCTCCCGAGGTGCTGAAATTACAGACGTGATCCACCGCGCCCATCCTCTAATTTTTTTTTTTTTTTTTTTTTTTTGAGACGGAGTCTCGCTCTGTCGCTCAGGCTGGAGTGCAGTGGCAGGATCTCGGCTCACTACAAGCTCCGCCTCCCGAGTTCACCCCATTCTCCTGCCTCAGCCTCCACAGTACCACAGTAGCTGGGACTACAGGCGCCCACCATCATGCCCGGCTAATTTTTTGTGTTTTTAGTAGAGACGGGGTTTCACCGTGTTAGTCAGGATGGTCTCGATCTCCTGACCTCGTGATCTGCCCGCCTCCGCCTCCCAAAGTGCTGGGATTACAGGCCTGAGCCACCACGCCCGACCTAAAAATTTTTTTAATTGTAAAAAATGATGTAGGCCAGGCACAGTGGCTCACGCTTGTAATCCCAGCACTTTGGGAGGCTGAGGTAGGAGCATCGTGTGAGCCCAGGAATTCGAGACCAACCTGGGCAACAAGGCAAAACCCTGTCGCTACAAAAAATAAAAATAAATTAGCTGGGCATGGTGGTGCAGGCCTGTAATCCCAGCTACTCAGGAGGCTGAGGTGGGAGGATGGCCTGAGGTCTGCTGTGAGCTGTGATCGTGCTGCTGCACTCCAACCTGGGTGACAGAGCAAGATCTTTTCTTTAAAAATGGTGTAAATTATTACATAGTTTAACGTTGATATTTTCATCATCTTTTAAGTGTGCAGTTTGTTGGCTTCCATTACATTCGGGTTATTTGCAAACATCACTACCTTCCACGCCCAGAACAGTCTTCATCTTGCAAAACTGGAATTCTGAGCTGATTGTACATGAGCTCTGCATTTCTCCTCTCTAAGCCCCCATGAGCCACCATTCTACTTTCTGGGTCTATGAATTAGGCTAGTCTGGGGCCTGACCTAAGTGGAATCATGCAACAGTGTCCCTCTGGGGCTGACTTATTCCACTCGGCATCATGTCCTCAGGGTTCCTCCGTGTTGTAGCATCTGTCTGGGTTTCCTTTCTTTGTAAGACTCAGTAATATTCCATTGTATGTGAACACTACAGCTTGTTTACCAATATCCACTCATCCTTTGATGGACACTTGCGGTTTTCCACCTTTGACTATTATGAATAATGCATCGTGTCACATTTCCATCAACAAGGCAGAAGTTTCCTACTTTTCCAAAGCCTGCCAGCACTTGTTATTTTCAGGCTGGGCGTGGTGGCTCATGCCTGTAATCCCAGAACTTTGGGAGGCTGAGGTGGGCAGATAACCTGAGGTCAGGAGTTCGAGAGCAGCCTGGCCAACATGGTGAAAACATGTCTCTACTAAAAATACAAAAATTAGCCAGAAATCTCTTGAACCCTGGAGGTGGAGGTTGCAGTGAGCCGAGATCATGCCACTGCACTCCAGCCTGGGCAACAGAGTGAGACTCCGTCTCCAAACAAACAAACAAAAAACCACTTGTTATTTTCTGTTTTATGGATCATAGCAATGTTAATAAATGTGTGGTGGTTTCTTCTTTCTCTTAAAAATAATTTTTCTTTTCAAACAAAAACTATTTTATTTAGAAAAGCCATGTTGAATCATGGCCCAGCTTGGAAAGTTATTTATTTATTAAAATTAATTAATTTTTATTAAAACTTTTTTAAAATGTAGATACAGGCTTGTTACAAGGACATCTTGCCTGATGTGGAGTTTGGCTTCTAATGGCCCCGTGGCCCGCGTAGTGAACGTGGCGTGAGACAGGCGGTACCTTCCCTTCTGCTGTTGACAGTGTCTACTGTTCTCATATCCTTGTGCCTGTGTACCCAATGACAGGCGGTACCTTCCCTTCCGGTGTTGACAGTGTCTACTGTTCTCATATCCGTGTGCCTGTGTACCCAATGTTTAACTCCCACTTATAATGGAGAATGCATGGTAAAAATCATTCTTTATTCTTCAATCATGGCAAGTCCTTCATCATGGGACGCACGTGCCTGTTGGGGACTGCAAACCTCTTATCCCTTGGCATCAGCCTGGACTGCACCACTCTCATTTCCTTATCTATGTTAATTTTTGGGTGGTGATTGCTTCTCTTCACAGCAGCCACTGACACCCCCGCATCACAGAGATGTGATGTCAGCAAAGGAAATGTTGAAACTGTGAACCCCTGGAGCTGGCAGGTTCTGTGGTGTCAGATTTCGAATACAGCTGTATCCGATGCCTTCAATGTTAAGGTACCTAGGATCTCTCTGCAGAGATCGTCACAGCGGTGAGGATAGAACAGCAGGAATGCAGTCGGTGTTCACTGCAGGGGAGAGAGTGGAGGAGCTGGCCTGATTGGCAGGCAATGCTCAGTGTCCTTGTTGGAGAGAGTCACCATGGAAACAGAGTGGAAACAGGCAGTGGGGGAGGGGCTGTTCCTCCCCAGCCAAATGCAGCTGCAGAGAAGAAGGAAAGTGATGTGGGGCCGGTGCAGTGGCTCAGGCCTGTAATCCCAGCACTTTGGGAGGCTGAGGCAGGTGGATCACTTGAAGTCAAGAGTTCGAGACCAGCCTGGCCAACATGGTGAAACCCCGTCTCTACTAAAAGTACAAAATTATACAAAATACAAAAATACAAAAAATACAAAAATTAGCTGGGCATGGTGATGCACACCTGTAATCCCAGCTACTTGGAGGCTGAGGCAGGAGAATCACTTGAACCCGAGAGGTGGAGGTTGCAGTGAGCCAAGATAGTGCCATTGCACTCCAGCCTGGGTAATTCAAAGTGAAACTCCATCTCAAAAAAAAAAAAAAAAAAGAGAAAGAAAGAAAAAAAGGAAAGTGATGTGAATGTCCTGTAGTTTCTTTCATGGATAACCTCTCATTTGTATGTTCAGATGATCTTATAATTTCATATCCACTATTTGAATATATCTTACATCAATGTTGTCCCAAAAGGTAGTTCAAGGACCTTGTGAAAATCAAGACCATTTGAAAGAGTTCACAAGTTCTATATGTTCTTAAGAACACTGTTTTATTTGCCTTTTTCCTTCCCATTTTCTCTTCACGATGTAATATTGTATGTTTGAATTAATTAGCTGAAATGAGAATTCGGCTGCTTTGTATTAAGAAAAGATTTCTTTTTGTAGAGACAAAGTCTTGCCTTTGTCGCCCAGGCTAGAGTACAGTGGTGCAATCATAGCTCACTGAAACTTCAAACTCCTTGGCTCAAGGAATTCTCCCACCATAGCTTCCAGAGTAGCTAGGACTACAGGCACATGCCATTCAACTGGACTAATTAAAAAAAAATTTTTTTTTTTTGTAGAGGGGGAGTCTCACTATGATGACCACGCTGGTCTTGAACTCCTGGCCTCAAGCAGTCCTTCTGCCTTGGCCTCCCAGCATGCTTTGATGACAGGCATGAACCATAGCACCTGGTTATTAAGAAGAGTATTGGCTGGGAGGAGTGGCTCATGCCTGTAATCCCAGCACTTTGGAAGGCCAAGGCGGGTGGATCACAAGGTCAAGAGATCAAGACCATCCTGGCCAACATGGTGAAACTCCGTCTCTACTAAAATTACAAAAATTAGCTGGATGTGGTCACGCACACCTGTAATCCCAGCTACTTGGGAGGCTGAGGCAGGAAAATTGCTTGAACCTGGGAGGCGGAGGTTGCAGTGAGCCAAGATCACGCCACTGCCCTCCAGCCTGGGTAACAGAGTGAGACTCTGTCTCAAAAAAAAAAAAAAAAAAAAAAAAAGAAGAGTATTAAAGGGATTTATAAAAAAGTGAAACAGTGCTCCCTTTATAACTAATTTTTTGTTTGGAAAAAGTAATTATTGTTGATAAAATGTGGGTTCTGTTAATATGTGATAGGGTTGTTACTTTTTTATGTTTTAAATTTAAAAATTTCTCAGCTTCAATTTATAATATGGTAAATACTCCTAGATATAAACCATGCAAAGAAAAATTCTTTAGAGATTCTCAATTATCTTGACAAGTATACGGGCCTTCTGACTTTTAAAAGTTTGAGAAATACTATTTTAGGCTAAATTTCTAGGTATAATTTTGTGGGGTTGAAGAAGACACATGCTTAATGTGTCTGATCCACGATGCCCTATACTTTCAGAGTAAGTGAAAGAAAGTATAGAGCTGTTTTCTGGCTCTGAAAGTATAGAGCTGTTTTCTGGCTCTAAATTCTCATGGGAGTGTGATTTATATGTGTCAGGCTTATTGATTTGCCAAGCCGCCTACCATTATAAACCCAGTGGGGAGATTTCTCCAGGAAGTATGCTCTGACTCCTATTACCCAGGCTTTCAGAGATCTCTCATATAAGTTTAGAATTCCCAGAAGAGAAGGTAGAATGTATATTCTCAAGTTTATAAATCCCAGGCTAACATTCATTACTGGGTGATCATGGGCCAGACACCTGCCTCTTTTGAGCCTCGCTGCCTTTGCCTGTAAATGAGGATTGGGGGTGTATAAGGATTTGGCACAATGCCCAATACATTGTACAAATTCAATAAATAATAGTTGTACATTTTGCATTTCTACCATAAATAAGAAATACAGTAGTAATTTAATGATGTGAGCAAATGATAGTTAGAAAGAATAGAGAGGCATTTTCTTTGTGAAAGTTTCTCCAACGACTGTATCCACAATGGTTAAAGCTCTTCTCTCCCCAATTCTGGTATGATAGGTGTGCCACTTCTCCTGTTCCTTGTCTCTCTTGGTGATATAACTGTTTACCCATTTCCTTCACTGGGCCATGAACTCTTAGTGTTCGGGTCGTGTCTCTAAAACCTGTATCAATAGCACTTTGAACTTAAAAAGCAGGTAAATAGTTTCCTGGCTTAGCCCTTGATTTAAGAATCAGGACAGAGGCCAGGCGCGGTGGCTCACGGCTATAATATCGGCACTTTGAGAGGCCGAGGCAAGCGGATCACGAGGTCAAGAGATGGAGACTAGCCTGGCCAACATGGTGAAACCCCGTCTCTACTAAAAATAACAAATACCGGGCATGGTGGCACACACCTGCAATCCCAGCTACTCGGGAGGCTGAGGCAGGAGAATCACTTGAACCCGGGAGGCGGAGGTTGCAGTGAGCCAAGATCGTGCCACTGCACTCCAGCCTTGATGACAGAGTGAGACTCCATCTCAAAAAAAAAAAAAAAAAAAAAAAGAAAAAGAAAAAAGAAAAGAAAGAATCAGAACAGTACCATCAATGACTAAAAGCTATCCTTGGGGCTGAAGGACAATGAGACTATGGACTCATTGATAAGGGAAGTAGTTGATGCTAACCAACTTATTCAAAGGTGACCTCAAAGTATATTTGTGGGATAAATTGAAAATTTATTATTTTACAAATAAGAAGACAGGGCCCCAATTGGGTCTTCTGCCTACAGCTCCACATAAAGACTGGTTATGTGTTTATTTCATTATTCAACAGTCACCAGCACATGCCATGTGTTAGGCACAGTGCTAGGGACAGAGGGAAGAGTAGTGCATATATGATACCAGCATTCAAATTCTTCACAGTCTGTGGGTTCACTGAAGGTCCTACGTAACCATTCCAATGTTTGTATTCTTGTTTCTCTAATAATCTAGAGCAATACCCGTACATGAAATATGTTGACTGGTTAATAAGTAGGCTTTCTGGAGAACCTGAAAAAAAAAATCAAACTATAGTCCGGCGTGGTGGCTCATGCCTGTAATCCCAGCACTTTGAGAGGTCAGGAGTTCAAGACCAACCTGGCCAACACAGTGAAACCCCATCTCTACTAAAAATACAAAAATAAAATAAAATACACCAGGCATAGTGGCACAGGCTTGTAGTCCAAGCTACTCAGGAGGCTGAGGCAGGAGGATCTCTTGAATCCAGGGGGCGGAGGTCACGGTAAGCCAAGATGACACGACTGCACTCCAGCCTGGGTGATAGGGTGAGACTCCATCTTAAAAAAAAAAAATCAAACTGTATTGAAGGATGAGTAAGAAGAAAGAGGAAAGGGGAAAATGAAGGAGAAAGGGGGAAAATGAAAGAGAAAGAGAGAAAATAGGTAGTTTGCGATATGGAAGGATGAAGAGAAAGCAGAGAGGGAAGAGAGAGCATTCAGACCAAAGGAGATTCTAAGGGAGAAATAGAGGCAAAATGTTTAGCTCCAGCCACATGGTTATATCTTATACCCTGGAATTAATCAGCCTCAGGACCTTTTCATGTGCAGCTCTTTCCATCACCCTAGGTCTTAATGTTGCCTTTCTCTGACTCCAGTTAAGGTTCTGATAAAAGTTAACCACCCAAGAAAGCCCCCCCTATATTTCTATTTCCTTAATAGAAAGCAGCCGAATTCTCATTTCAGCTAATTAATTCAAACATACAATATTACATCTATTTCCTTCTTTCTTTCTTTCCTTCCTTTCTTCATTCCTTCCTTCCTTCCTTTCTTTCTTTCTTTCTCTCTCTCTCTTTCTTTCTTTCTCTTTTTTTTTTCGGAGTCTTGCTCTGTCACCAGGCTGGAGTGCAGTGGTGCAATCTCAGCTCACTGCAACCTCCACCTCCTGGGTTCAAGTGATTCTCCTGCCTCAGCCTCCTGAGTAGCTGGGATTACAGGCGCGCACCACCACGCCCGGCTAACTTTTTTTTGTATTTTAGTAGAGACAGGGTTTCACCATGTTGGCCAGGCTGGTCTCGAACTCCTGACCTTGTGATCCACCCGCCTCAGCCTCCCAAAGTGCTGGGATTACAGACGTGAGCCACCGCGCCCGGCTGCAGATGCTTCTTTTATTTGCTTGCTTTTCACTGCTTTCGATCCACTGGAATGTAAACTCCATGGATAATGTTTGAAAATGAACCTAGCGTTGTGAGTTTCTGCTAGTTTCAGGTTTGTTACTGGGAATAGAATAAGTCCAATGAGCAACAATAGTAACTATATCTCATTTTCTTTTGAGACATCATGAAAATATTCACTCTGTGATGCTACTTGTATTTGGGAAATATAAATCAAGTGAAAATGGGGATGACAGGCTTGGAAGTTTAAGGATAGAAAAGCTGGCATGCAGCAAGCATTCATCGGAGGGGGATTGAATGGAGAAAGTGGTCTTGTGTTCAGGACGCCCTCGGCCTTCTTGACAGCGAGTCTCCATGAAAGCAGAGTGAGAACAGGCGGTGGCCGAGGGTCTGTTGCTCCTCAGCTATGTCCAGCTGCATGAGTGAAGGACAGAGCAGGCAGATTCATAGTCCAGCAAGCATTTATTTTTCTAAGAGACTAACAAAAAGTAGAATATGAAAAATTGCTTCATATGTGTGCATAAAAATTTTGTTTTAAACAGAGATCATAGAAGGTGACCTTGAGGTGAAAGTTAAGATCAATGAAAAATGGGCAAGTCAATGGAGCATTGGTCCCTAATGAATGAAGTGATGTTGGCATCTTGTGACAAGTTACCTGAAATGTAGGAAGTAATGTTGGAGATGGGGTGCTTTAGGTAAATGGATGGAGGGGTTTGGGTTATTGGTAATGAGAAGGCTAATGGGAATGGATTGCTAAGAGGCATTGGACAGAAGCACTGAAGAAGAGGAAGTCAATATATTGATAGTCAAGAGGTTGGGAGAACCATCCATATTAGGTATTATCTACCTTAGCAACGTAGAAAATTTGAGCTGGATAATTCTTTATGTCAGGGGGGTTCTGTTCTGACATTATAGAATGAGGAACAGCATCCCTGACTACTATCCACCAAAAAGCTCACTCGTCATAATCAATTGGGTTATTCCAGGGATGCAAGGATGTTTCATCATATGTAAGTCAATAAATGTGATACATCATATCAATAGAATGAAGGACAAAAATCATATAATAATTTCAGCAGACACAAAAAAAGCATTTCACAAAATTTAATATCCTTTCAGAGTAAAAATTCTCAGCAAACTAGGTGTGGACAGAATGTACTCAATATAATAAAGACCATATATGGCAAACCCACAGCTAATGTCATGCTTAATGAGAAAATGTTGAAAGCCTTTTCTCTAAGATCTGGGACAAGAACAAGTATGCCTATTCCCACCACTTCTATTGAGTATAGTACTGCACATTCTATCCAGAGTAATTAGGCAAGAGAAAGAAATGAAGGCATCCAAGTTGGAAAGAAAGAAGTTAAATTGTACCTGTTTAGAGTGACTTGACCTTACATATAGAAAATCTTAAAGGTTCCATTAAAAAGTGTTATAACTAATAAACAAATTCAGTAAAGTTGTAAGATACAAAATCAACATGTAAAAAGTAGTAGCATCTCGATACACTAATGGCAAAATATCTGAAAAGGAAATTAAGAAAGCAGTTTCATTTACAATAAGCTTCAATAAAATAAAATTCTTAGGAATGAATTAAACCTAGATGGTGAAAGATCACTACACTGAAAACTATACAACCCTGAGGAAAGAAATTGAAGAAGATACAAGTAAATGGAAAAATATCTTGTGTTTATAGATCAGAATAATGAATATAGTGTTAAAATGTCCATACTACGCAAAGTGGTTCAATGCAACCTCTCTAAAATCACAAATGGCATTCTTCATAGAAATAGAAAACAATCCTGAAATTCATATGAAACCATAAAAGACCCAGAGTAGCCAAAGCAATCTTAAGCAAAAAGAATAAAGCTGGAGGTCTTACACTACCTGACTTCAAAATATACCACAAAGCTATAGGAACTAAAACAGGGTGATTCTGTCATAAAAACACACACATAGACCACTGTAACAGAATAAAAATCCCAGAAATAAATCCACACATTCACAGCCAACTGTTTTTTACTTTTGACAAAGATACCAAGAACACATAATAAGGAAAGGACAATCTCTTCAACATATTGTGTTGGGAAAACTGGATATCTATATGCAAAGGAATGAAGTTAGACCCTTATCTCACCTTACATACAAACATCAACTCAAAATGAATTAAAGACATAGAGGGAAGCCTCAAAACTATAAAACTAATAGACGAATACATAAGGGAATATCCCCATGAAATATAAAGGAAAAGTCATTCACCTGGGCAATGACTTTTTGGATATAACCTCAAAAGTACTGGCAAGAAAAGCAAAAATAGCCAAATGGGATTGCATCAAACTAAAATGATACTGCACAGCAACGAAAACAATCAACAGAGTGAAGAGACACTGCACAATGAGAGAAAATATTTGCAAACTATATATATCTGATGAGGGGCCAACTCACACTCACACTCCTCATCCACGCTGATTTCAGGTGGTGATCTTTTCTCTTCACAGCAACCACTGCCAATCCAGTATCACAAAGGTAGGATGTTAGCAAAAGTAATGTAGAGAGAGCTAATGTTGAGTCTGTGAATTGCTGGAGCTGGTAGTTCATGGTGTGTCAGATGTGGAACATTGCTGTTCTTCCCTTAAGTTTAAAGCATGGGGATACCCCAGCAGACAGTTGCAGCTGTGAGGACAGAAAAGCAGGAATGCAGTAGGTTTTCACTGCAGTCGGAGAGAATGAAGGAGCGGGTCCTGTTTCCAGGCAGCTGTCAGCATCCTTGGAGATGAGTTGCCATGAGATAAGAGTGAAAACAGGCAGTGGGAGAGGAGCTTTTTCTCCCCAGCCACGTGCAGCCACAGGAGTGAGGGGCAGAGCAGAAAAGGGTCAGAGTCCAGCAGCGATGGGATATTCCACAAGAATTGCATGAAGAATATAAAAAAGAGATTTGCATGTGTGCAGAAGGAATTGATTCTGAGGATTAGCCATGGAAGGTGGCCGGGTGTAAAGGTGAATCTCAGTGTAAAATGGTAGAATTCCTGGAGCGCTGGTCACCAAGGAACGGGGGGACATTGGTGTCAGGTGGGGAAGGGGTCGCCTGGAAGTCAGGGAGCTGATGTAGGAGATGGGATGCTGATCTGATGGGATAAAGTGATTTTGGTTATTGGTAATGAGAAGTTCAATGGGAGTGGAAGGCTGAGGGAGGATTGGAGAAGAGGTCAATATATGGATCGTCGAGAGGGTTTGGAGGATCATTATAATGGGTTTTCCACCTTGGTGGTGTGGAATATTTGGATTGGATAACGTGTCGTGTGGGGACAGGGACTTCCTGTGCATTGGAGGATGTTGAACTGTATTCCTGGCTTCACAGGACCCTTTCAGAGGTGAAAATTAAAAATGTCTCTAGATATTGACAAGTGTCCCCAGTGGGCAAAATCACCCTGGCTTGGAACTACTGATCTAAGTGGGTTATAATAGTCAACCACAGTGTGGATCGAAGTATTTTGGGGTCGTCACTCCACATCCACAGAGAACTCAGAACAACAGGAAGTGGGGAGTTCCCTGAGGATGCGGGCACCAAACCATCTTTAACTTCCTGTATTCTGATGCTTTGACATCTGGGACTGGCTGACCCTGGAGACATTTCCCCTCTCAGCTGTCTTCAACCGCTGGAGATAGTCACAACTTTCCTGCAAGTGTGCCTTTCATGGGTAAACCAACCAGTCCTAGCTTACACCCCCAGCCACACCTTATGGAGCTCTGAGCCACAATCCACGTGCACAGTCACCCAAGGTCAGGTATCAGAAACAACGAAGGACGTCCCATAACCCACAGCTACTAAAATGACCTAAATGAGCCTGTCGTCAGCCTGCTTATCCTGCATGACCTGTTTCTTCCAAAGGGAACTTCAGTGGCTTTGTCCACATTTCCTCCTGCATCTCTCTGGGTTTTTGCTGACCAGGTGATTCCCCGTGTAGCTCCCCTGGCTGTGCTGTGCCCTCGACTTGTGATTATGAGCAACAAACTTTCCTTTTAATGGCAGGTATCTCCTGATCTGTTTAACTCCTGTGTGTGAAACTTTGTGATTCATGCAATGAGAACAAGGCTTTACGTGAACAGACCAGAGCCCAGGTGCAGGGCGGTCATTCCAGAGCCCAGGTGCAGCAGGTGCAGGGCGGTCATTCTGCCCACACAGGTATGTGTTGGGGGAGGGCAAGTTGAAACAGAGCCTGAGAGATGAATTCATTAATGAACAAATTTGAGCCCCAAGCCACATTTCCTCCTTTACAGCCACCTTGGTAGGACCCTACCCAAGCCCCAAATGCCAAGCCAGAATGCAGAGCAAGACAGCAGCCCTCAAATCCCCCCTCTGGGAGGTGCCAGGACTCCCCTCCTTGGATGCTCAGAGACAGGATGGGAGCAGGTGACGGAGGCGTGGGTTCAGGGCCAGGCAGCCTGGAGACCTCCCCTCCCTGCGCCCAGTGCCCTGCTCTGTAAAATGCAGACACTCCTAAGACCTCACGCACAGCCAGGGCCGCTGGGGATGGCCGTGCGTATTCTACCCCGCACTTAGGCTCCTGTCTGAGGAGATGAGAGGATGTGAAATGCAGCCTGCACTCTCTCCACAGCTGTGTCCATGCCAGGGCTCAAGATCCCACACCTCAGCCTAGCATTGCTCTGTCCAAAGGCAGACAGCCTGGTACAGCCATGTGTGCAGTTATTTTCACTTCAAAAAAAACCTTATTAAACAAAAACCAAATATATGTAAACACACCAGTTTTTTAAGTATCTCATTTTTTTTTCTAATTTGAGGCAATGCCTATTGTCAAGTATCTTTGCTGTCATTAGACGGAACTCTTGAAGAATGGAAAAGTAAATAGGTATTCTTTCTTAATATTTAGTTGTAGCAAGATACACATAATACAAAATTTGCAGCCACACACGGTGGCTCATGCCTGTAATCCCAGCACTTTGCGAGGCCGAAGTGGGAGGATCACCTGAAGTCAGGAGTTCAAGAGCAGCCTGGCCAACATGGTGAAACTTCATCTCTACTGAAAATAGAAAAAAATTAGCCAGGCTAATTTGATTCATGTCTGGCTCCCCCACTCAACTGACAGCAGGCCCCAGGACAGCCAGTGGCTGTGTCATCATGATCTGCTTTGCCCTCACTGTCCTCTCTTACATCCGCATCTTGGCCACAGTGGTTCAGATCCGTTCAGCAGCCAGCCGCCGGAAGGCCTTCTCCACCTGTTCTTCCCACCTGGGCATGGTGCTCCTGTTCTATGGCACCGGCAGCTCCACCTACATGCGACCCACCACCCGCTACTCCCCGCTGGAAGGGCGCTTGGCTGCTGTCTTCTACTCCATCCTCATACCCACCCTGAATCCGCTCATCTACAGCCTGAGGAACCAGGACATGAAGAGAGCCCTGTGGAAGCTCTATCTCCAGGTGCCATACTAGGGTCTGCCATCTGGATGCGGGAGGGACCCAAAAATCCACCTTCCCAAGATTTTCCTTGTGGTCGTGGTGGAAGTGTTAGTGCCTCCAGAGACCCCCAGGAACACACCTATTCGCCAAAGTTGTCAACAAAGTTGAATTGCAATGAATCATGCAGGAGAACCCTGATGGATGTCTGGATAAAATGGAGACAAATCCAATGTGCATTTAATTTAGGCAAATAGTATTAAATGTACACAGGGGAGGAGAGAAAGAGGAGGAGCAAATAATTTAAATAGGGTGGGTGATTCCACCCAAGAGCTCACTCAATAAATTTATGACCTGGACTACGAATCCAATAGGAGACTGTCCTCTCAGCCTGCCTCGGTTTCCATGCACTTCCCCATGTGGACATGTTTTATCCTGCTCAATGTGGTTCTAATGTTTAGTGGTACACATTTTTTCATCTAGTGTTTGTCCTAAATGCAAGCCAAAGCCTTCATCACAAGCAGCAGCATCTATTCCAGAAGAAAAATAGGCCATATTGGACGTGCAGAGAAATGGTTGGTAGTCTTCACGCGGCTGCTTCCTAAGGGAAAGTCAAGGGTACCTTTATCTTTCTGCAATGTTTCTCTGATAGCAAACCCTGTATTTGTTGTATTTCTGGTTCAGCTGCTTTAACAGAAACAAAATAACAGCAACCTAAGTCATACAGAAGGCTTGTTTCTCTTTTGTGTAATCATTTGTGCTTGGAGGTGACCCTGGGTGTCTCTATGCCACAGTCATCCTGAGGCCAGGTTCCTTCTATCTCGTTGCTCTACCATCCCTGAAGGTTTCCTTATTCCTATGGTGGGAGTTGGATCACTAGCACCTCATTCACAATCCAGCTGCTGGAAGAGGGACAGAGGAAATGGAGGGCAAGCTACATGGTTTTAAGATGTGACCCAGAAGTTATACGCTTCACTTCTGCTAACATCTTATTGGCTGGTGTTTAGCCACATGGTCACACTGACCGCAAAGGAGGCTGGGAAATGTTGTCTCCAGCTGAGAGCCCAGATAAAACTCATGAAAGGAGAGAATGTTATTTACTAATTTGTAATCAGTCCCTCACATCTGATCTCTTGATGAGCCACCATTTATCTTCTTACTCAATCCTACCATTATGCTTCCAATGGCCACCTGTACTAATGTTTAGTGGCACTAAAACTTTACATACATTGTCACTTTTATGTACATTATCTCTAATATTCAAAACACCTCTGTGAGGTAGTTGTAATTTTCCTCATTTTTTAGATAAGCAAAATAAAATTCTGATAAGTTAGGCAGTTTACCCGGAGTTAAGAAGGTTGAGAAAGGCTTGATATTTTTAGATTGATATTTTTAGGTTTGATATTTCAGAATCACTCAGGATTCTTTTTTTTTTTTTTTGAGATAGGGTCTTGCTCTATTGCCCAGACATGAGTACAGTGGCATGATCATAGCTCACTGTAGCCTCAACCTCCTGGGCTCAAGTGATCCTCCAACCTCAGCCTCCCAAATAGCTGGGACTACAGGCATGCACCACCACACCCTGCTAACATTTAATTTTTTTTTTTTTTTTTTTTTTTTGTAGAGATGGGAGTCTCATTATGTTGCCTAGGCTGGTCTTGAACTCCTGGGCTCAAGCGATCCTCCCACCTAGGCCTTCCAAAGCGCTGGGATTACAGGCATGAGCTACCATGCCCAGCCTCTACTTCTTTTAATGATAGAGATTGAATTATATGTGTCTAGGGCTTTAAAAAATCTTACCTTACAGAGGCATTTCTCAGAAGTTTTAGGAGTCCGTTGCAGTCCTACCAACATATCCCTGAGGATTGAACAATTCTGCTCTACCTGGGACCACCCTTTGATCAAAGACATAACCCTTAGGGGAGACATAAATTGGCCAAAGAGAGAGAAAATGGGTAGGTGACCAGCCAGCTTGATCAAGTCTCTGGTGACTACTGGGGCATGGCAGATGCACACAAAGGTGACCACCAATTAGTCACTTTCTTGTATAAACCCTTCCCCTTGAGTGTGGTAGGAACCTGGGATTTGCCTTCAGCCAATAGAATATGGCAAAGGTAAGGGTTGGTCACTTCCACAGTTATCTGAGAGCTCCTCTCTGAGGTGAAAAACACCTCATTCTGTTTTACTATCTCCATTACATTTACCACCCTTATGAAATTATATAAATTATTGAGTGTGTTTGTTCTACCCCAACCACCCCATTCCTCTGAATATAATATCCATGAAGGCACGGTCTTGTTTTCTTCAATGCCGTATCCCCTGTGCATAGCGTAGTACCTGACACATATTAGGTGTTAAATATGTATTTTTATGAAGAAATAAATGTGAAGCAGAACAACAAAAAACAAAAACCAGAGCTGTTCTTGTGTAAACGAGGGTGAGAGGGCTGGGATCCTTGTCTATTTGGTGTTTTCCCAACCCCTCAGCACAGTCATTTCTGCAACACCTACATGGGATCTTTGAGCTCCACAAACCTGGTTGAGACACCTCTTCTCTAATCAGATTAATACATGCTATTGAATAGAAACCACCATTGATTGTAAGATACTCCACTATCTTGCATTCCATTAAGAAAGAAAAAGACACTGCCAATCAAATTGTGACACTCCATCAATAAAACATCTTGATTTTCCATGCTAAAATGTGCTCCTCAGCCTTCAGATCACAGCTGAAATGTCACTTCCTGATCACCCCTGCTGGCCAACCTGTGTCATTTCTCCTTCTATACTCTCAGCGAACACACACTGCAATTTTAATTAATTATGTAATTATTTGTTTAAAATGTCTTCTGAAGCAAAAATGAAAACAGAATGAAGGTTAGAATTATGTCTGCTTGCATACTATTATCCAGTGGTATGTTGATAAACTTGCTCTCTCAAAAAAAATTATAAATAGCATTTGACAGTTTCTATGGTGTAAATATTCTCACCACAGCTGATGTCAAGCTATCAATAGTTCAACAACTTATTTCCAACATTCCTGAATATTTATAATTGGCTCTTGTGAGCTGACATCAGCTTGCTCCAGCACAGTTCACCCAGGACCAAACACTGTATCTGTACATAATAATGGCTTAATAAATGATTGGTTAGTGAATGAATAAATGGTTGTGAGTCACACTGAATGAATATGTAGCAGGTATTTCAAAGTTAACAGTTCAAAATACAGCCCTTTATGTCTCCTTCATACCTGTGGTTTTTCCGTTTTCACCTCAGTTAGCAGCACTGACATCTGCTGGTCACTCAGGGCAAAAATCTCTAGGCATATTGATTTCTCTCTCTCCCTCACCTCTTCCCAGCACTCTTCTCATTATATCCATGAGTCCTGTCAATTCTATCCTCAATGTGTATTCTATTCTATTCCAAACCCATCCCTCACACCATCCCCATGGCCACCATGCTAACCCAGCACATCATGGCCTGGCCACAACAGCCTCCTGCCTGGATTCCCTCCCTTCAGTCTTACCTTTCAAAGCTCATCCTCCCTCCACCTTAACTCCCCACACCCTGCCTATGCGAAAGCCACAGGGTGTTGCTGAAAAGATAAGTCAGGTCCCATCATCCTCCCGCTGCGGCCCTCCAGGTCCTCCACGATCGGACCCCACCCAGCTCTGCAGCCTCCTCTATCACGCTCTCTCCTGCAGCTTTTATTCCCAGCTATGCTGGCCTTAGCTCAGTTCTTCAAGCAAACCATTCTTCTCCCTACCTCGGGGCTCTGCACTTGCTCTTCCGTCAGCTGAAATACCCTTCCCCAAATCTGAGCATCACCGCCTCTGCATATCTGAGCTTCATTCTAGACGTCGTCTCTTTGGAAAGACCTCTCCTAACCACTTCTTTAAGTGGCATCATCCCCTCCCCCTCTCGCACATCCCCCCGTTTTATTGCTTTCTGAGCCCTTATCACTGTTGGAAATCACCGTGTTGCATAACTTTGCAGAGCCTGAGACAAGGACTTGGGAAGGGTGGTTTATGCCTGGGAAAAGGCAGGCCGGGTGCCGGGATGTAGTGCGCCTGCACGCCGTCTCCAGACTACAACTCCCAGAATGCGCGGCGCCCCGAGCGTATTTCCGCTTCCGGTGGCGTTTTAGCGGGAGATCCGAGCGTCTCGGCTGGTGGAAGGGGCGAGGAGCTTTGCAGTTGTGTGCGAGTGTGTACAGGTGAGTTTGTCCGTACGCGTGATTAAGTGTGTGCGTGTGATCAAGTGTGGGGGCGAGTGTTGCGTGAGCAAACCTGTGAGAGGGTGAGAGTCCGTCCGTGTAGGTGAGGGAGCTAGCAAGAGTGTGAGCGAGTGCGAATGTCCCTACAAGTGTGGGCGCGTGATGTGTTTGAAGGTGTGTTTGTTCGAGAGGGTGTGTGTTGGGGTCAACGAGGGTGCATGTGTGTGAGTGAGGAAGCCTGAGTGTGTGGTGTGTGCGCGAGCCAGCAAGCTGGAATGGCTCTCGCGTGCTTGTAGATCATGAGCGTGACTTGGTGGCTTTCTGTGATGGTATTGGGTGTGTATGGCTTTTTGCTGTCCATGCATGATTGTGTTAGCTTGACTCGTGTTGGTGTTGTTTATGTGGGAATGTGAGGGATTTAGTTCATGAGATTACGTGTGTGTTGCTCTGCAGTCTCAAGCTTGCTGGGTTAGCTGTTTCTGAATAGGATTTGACCCAAGTTCAGCGTCAGCTTTTCAAACAGCCTAAAAACTCTGGCCTTGGGCATTGAGAAATCAGAAAGTTTTTTTTTCTCTCTGTCCCTCTGACTATAACAGTTGTGGAAGAATTAGACAATTCTAAGAAAGAAAGTTTCCTGAATTAGCATTAGGAAAACTAGACACAAAAATCCCACTTTCTGAAAAAATGAGAAACTTCCTAATTGTAACTAAAATGATCAGTAAACAAGCCACTTGCTGGTTTGGAAGAAAGGAAACACACCTATGTGTTCTCTTTCTGCCAACACTTGAATTCTCTGGTCCAACTGTTACGCCGTCTACGTGACTTCCATTAAGAACAAGCAGCACCCTTAAATGCATCTCAAGTGTTGTATGTCGCTAAAGGCCATGACCGGTTCTTGGTTTTCCTTATCTCCAAGCTAAGCCTCAGTTTCTGCATGCACAAAATTAGGAAGATAATATCCACCCATCTACAACTCAATGCATTGAGTCACATGAAAGTTTTGTAGACAGGAAAAGTTCTGTGGCACTCGGCCTGATCAAGTCAGCTTTCCTGGGTGTTGCTGAGTTAACTATAAGGATTATATGGAAGGACCATCCCTAGACTAATTCTAGACCTGGCTCCTAATGTGCAGGTCAGCAGTTCTTTCCGTGACTGGCAAGTCTGAGGTCATTTGCAAGTTAAGGAAGATAAATGTACTGATATCTGACTTGGTTTGCGCCAGAGATGATTTTTTCAAAAGATGTATTAACTGGGTTGGATGCAGTGGCTCACCCCTGTAATACCAACACTTTGGGAGGCTAAAGCAGGAGGATCGCTTGACCCTGGAGTTCAAGACCAGATTGGGCAACATATCAAGACCCTATCTCTACAAAAATAAAAAATAAATAAAAAATTAGCTGGGCATGGTGGCACTTGCCTGTAGTCCTAGCTGCTTGAGAAGATGAAGTGTGAGGATTGCTTGGGCCCAGGAGCTGGAGGGTGCAGTGAGATGTGATCACATCACTGCACTCCAGCCTGGGCAACCGAGCAAGAACCTGGCTCTTAAAACAAAAATTTATTAACTGGAAAATTAGGCTTCTTCAACAGTTATTTCAAACTTAAGAGCCGGATGCCCCCACATAATATTAAAGCTGATTTTCAAGGATCTCTTTTCTCAATGTAAGAATGAGTCCCAAAAGTGAGAAAAGATCTGTGAAGGCTGTGGTGGAGCAGTGAAAAGCATTGTAATTTTCTTGACTCTTTGGTCCAAACATACAGGAGGGACTTCTTTCCAGTAAACAGGAGTGAGGAAAAGACAAGGAATTTAAATATATCTATGTATGATCTGCAAAATACACGAGCTGTGGCGTATAAGTTAGAAAGATCCAGCCATCTTTCATGGTTTGCAGCAGTAGATGGACACAGCTTTGCAGAATTGCAGAACTTGGGTGATTGAGATACCTAAACCTGGAGTTTTGAATCCCAGCTTTGTCATTACTAGTTGTGTGGCCTTAAACAAGTCACATCACCTCCCTGTGCCTTAGTGTCTCTGTATGTAAGATGGGGTGTTGTTACCCATCTCACAGTAATGGTGTGAGTGACCGATGTGAATCTCCCAGCATCCAGAAAGGCCCTCCAGTCTAGGAGGGGCCCTGAGACTATCAACAGTAGCCAGTTAGGACAAACCAAACTGAAAATAGCAATTATCAAGCCTCTATTCACTGACTTCAATAGCATAAACAGAGGCCAAAAAGAAAAAAGTGCCAGCTTCTCTGTTCTTTTTCCCACGTAGCAGCACCGGGCGAGGGTCAGATGAATCTATACAGGAGGTAGGGCTCATCTCCCTGCCAGGGAACCCTGAACAAAGGGCCCCAGATCAGACTTCTCAAGTCGGGATGATTTTACCTCCCAGATAAAATGTCGAATGACATTTTTGCTTGTCACAATTGGAGAAGCGGGTGCTCCTGGCATCCACTGAACAGAGGCCAGGGATACTACTAAACACCCTACAATGCACTGGATGGTCCACAGGAGTTGCCCAACACCAAATGTCAACTGCACCAGTGGAGAAATCAGTCCTGGTGCTGCTCCCACATCTGATCCTATCACTCTCCCTCTCACTCGCAACCCTTCTACTGTCTCCTCCACCAACATACAAAGCTATTTTCTGACCAAAGAGCTTCGCTCATGCTGTTTCCTCTGCCCGGACACTCTCTTCTCCAGGGTCCCAGGCTGACTTCTCATCTGATGGTCTTTGCTTAAAGGCCATCTCTTCAGAGAGCCTTTTTTGGACCAACCTGTCTTAAATTAGCCCTCCCACTTCCATGGTAACTCTCTACCCTCTTTCCTGGTTTTATTTTTCTTCATAGCATTTACCACCTTATTTTGCTTATTGCCTGTCTCCCCCATATTGCACATTAAAGTTTGAGAAATACTGGTTTCAAGAAAGGATTGAAAACTGAGGATCCTACAGGGGCCAGCAGAGATGATCTTGGGTGACTTTATTTTTTTATTTTATTTTATTTTATTTTTTATTTTTTTTAATTTTATTTATTTATTTTTTTTTGAGACGGAGTCTCGCTCTGTCGCCCAGGCGGGACTGCGGACTGCAGTGGCGCAATCTCGGCTCACTGCAAGCTCCGCTTCCCGGGTTCACGCCATTCTCCTGCCTCAGCCTCCCGAGTAGCTGGGACTACAGGCGCCCGCCACCGCGCCCGGCTAATTTTTTTTGTATTTTTAGTAGAGACGGGGTTTCACCTTGTTAGCCAGGATGGTCTCGATCTGCTGACCTCATGATCCACCCGCCTCGGCCTCCCAAAGTGCTGGGATTACAGGCGTGAGCCACCGCGCCCGGCCTGGGTGACTTTAATAAAGCAGCCAAATGTAGTTAGTCTGGTTCTAAAATTTCAGAATTCCTTGGCAATGCCGAAGTGACCCTATTCTTGAGATGCTGGCTTTTTAGAAGAAATATAAGAAAAACTCTATAGAAGAAAACTCACAACTGCAAAAACATGCAGAAATAACTAAGGAAAACTTGTGACATTTTGATAAGAAAACTATAAAGCTTTACTGATTGATACAAAAGCTTGAATGAATGAAAACACAGTATCATATTCCTGGATGTTAAGATTAAATGTAACAATGTTAATCCTTCCTAACTTATAAGTTCATTGCAATAATAATCAGAAGGTTGGTTTTTGATTACTAAAGATAAATTTTAATCTGGAATAACGGAAACTTATATATAACTTCACATAAATTTATGCATACATGTACATATACTTTTTAAAGGCACAATGATGGAAAACATTAAATATAGCCATAAAAATTAAGAAGAATATAGATCTAGGATAAAACAGGGCAACAAGCCAATAAAAGCAAGTAGATGGTCCAAATATAGAACCTACATTATAAAATATAACAATTTATAATTTACTAATAATGTTGGGGCAATTAACAATGAGGAAGAATAAATTTAATTCTCTTTTCATACAATATGCCCAAGTAAATTCAATAATCACTAAAGCATATTTTTAAAACTCCAGAATAAAACACTAATGTTTACAGAGGGTTAGATTTTGTAGGGTTGGAAGAAAATAGAAGGATTGAAATATATAAAAATTGAAACATTTTCAAAAAATAAAGAAAATACCAAAGAGGGAAAATCATTTGCAGCCAAGATGACAACAAAGAATTAATATCTTTATTATGCAAAGAGATGGTTCAAACTGATAGGAAGCTATTAAAGTCACATAGACAAATGATTAAAAGACAGACAATGTGAAGAGAGGAAACAATGGCTTAAGAAGCTTACAGGAGAAAGTTCAACATCCTTAAAAATCAAAGACAATTAAAATGAGATGCCCTTTCCCCTATTAGCAAAGTTGCTACTAAACACCCTACAATGAAAAGTGCTGTTATTACATAATGCCAGCTGGGCGGGAGGTGTGGGGGGTAGTGGGTGTGTGTGAGGAACACGTATCCCCAAGCATTACTAGCAGTAGCAGCAGTGCAAACTGATGTAATGTTTCCAAAAGGAACTTGGATATATCAAAAATCTTAAAAGCAATTATACACCTTCTGATGCAGCAATTCCTCTTTGGCAAATATGTATCGTAAAGAAATTTTACATTTGGAAAAAGGTTTAAGCACCGAAATGTTGATTATAGTATGTTCATAACTATGAAAAATTGAAACTGAATTTTACCTCCTAACAACAGAGGAGGAGCCATCCACAGAAAGCACTGGGTTTGCTGTGCCACTGGTAAGGCGGTGATAACCACAGACGAGTGAGTGATGACAGCAGTTTTGTAAGGTATAAGATTGGGTAGAAAAACAAGGTATACTATCGCACACATGGAATAGTCACAGCTATATGACAACTATCTATAAATACCTTAAAAATAGGTAATACAGGGTTGGGTGCGGTGGCTCACACCTGTAATCCTAGCACTTTGGGAGGCCAAGGCAGGCAGATCACCTGAGGTTAGGAGTTCCAGACCAGCCTGGCCAACATGGCAAAACCCCATCTCTACTAAAAATAGAAAAAAAAAAAAGCCGGGCAGGGTGGTGCATGCCTGTAGTCCCAGCTACTTGGGAGGCTGAGGCAGGAGAACTGCTTGAACCTGGAAGGCAGAGGCTGCAGTGAGCCACGATCGCGCCCCTGCACTGCAGCCTGGGCAACAGAGCGTAATACAGTCATGAGGGTAACAAAGTGGACAGGTATAGACCATGAAAATGAGATCTTTACTTCAGCCACTCCCCAGAGGCGACTACCTTCATAAATCTAGTCATTAATTTTAAGTTACAAGAAAACAGACTAAAAATGTTAGTGGTGTTCATAGTGTATTTTTCTGTTTCGGGGCAGAGGGAGGGAGAGAGATCTACATTTCTGTAAAGTAGTTGCCTTTAATGAGTCAAATATTGCTTTAAAAAGAAAAATAAACATTAATCCATCAGAAATGTGTACTTAAAAGGAAACTGAGTTCACACAAATTAGTAAGAAAAAGCATAAAGACAAAAAAGCTAAAGAGGTAAAGGGCCTAGGTTATACATAAAGAAGTTTTTAAAACTTATTTGGAAAAAATGCATAATAATAATGCAAAAATGGATTAATTATTGTTAATAATAATCTTTTTATTACCAAATAGGTGAAGATTTTTATCTTTTTATTACCAAAAAGATTTATCTTTTTATTACCAAATAGGTGAAGATTTTTATTTATCTTTTTATTACCAAAAAGATTTATCTTTTTATTACCAAATAGGTGAAGATTTTTTGGTTGTTAAGTGAATAAATACCCAGTGCAGGCAAAGTTATTTAAAGGGAGTATTTATTTGGTACCAGGGTGACAAAGGCAGTTCTTTGCACATACAAAAACTGCTTAGTGTGTCTTGTTTGCCTTGGGTGCTGTGCTGAGAAAGATCCAACCCTGTCCTCAGGTTCACTGGAACCAGAGAGTGCATAACTGGTTAACAACGCCTGCCAGGGACTCGAGAGGGAGGATTGTAAGTTTACCACCTATTTCATACCTCTGGCCCTCCCTATGCTGAGGGCTACAAATGGCAGAGCCCCTCCACAAACAAATCCAGCAGGATCTTTCGAGAGCCTTAGAAATGTTCATCACATGTCATCTAGTGAAACCACTTTTTGGAAATCGATTCTAAACTGTAAATACAGTAATTTATGCTTTGTTAATCAGACTTTTATATAAATTAAAAATTGTCACAAAATCAGAAAAGAACTTTAAACTTGTAATATTATTTTTAAAAACCTACACATAGAAAAAAATATTTGTAGAAAAAATACTAAAATATGATAAAATGTGGTTGCGTTTTGATGTGTTAACTATGGTTTACAACTCTAGTTTATTGCTGCTAATAAAACATTTTAAAAAATAAATTTTAGGCCGGGTGCAGTGGCTCACGCCTGTAATCCCAGCACTTTGGGAGGCTGAGGTGGGCACATCACGAGGTCAGGAGTTTGAGACCAGCCTGACCAACATGAGGAAACCCTGTCTCTACTAAAAATACAAAAATTAGCTGAGTGTGATGGCACGCACCTATAATCCCAGCTACTCAGGAGGCTGAGGCAGGAGAATCGCTTGAACCCGGGAGGCAGAGGTTGCAGTGAGCCGAGATCATACCACTGCACTCCAGCCTGGGTGACAGAGCGAGACTCCATCTCAAAAAAAAAAAATAATAATAAAATAAAATTTAAAATACTCCCTAATTGCAACTACTTGTTACTGAGTGCCTTCTAAATACCAGGCACTATTAGGCTCTTTTCTATAGATGAACTCTAGACCTTTTAATGGTTCTCCCAGGGGAGGATCCCCATTTCCTAAGAAAACGAGGTATAATCAGCCTCTAAGGAGGACCTTGAAATTTGACCTCAGCTCTCCCTGGCTCCAAAGCCCACCCTCTCTCTTCTCTGCCAAGGGTCTCTTCTACTTGTGAATATAACTACCTCCCTGGACTTGTACTAGTTGCATACCTAGAACTATTAGGAAGTTTATTAGCCTTCTCTGTTTTGCAAAATTTTCTTTAATATGCTCAATATTATTTGTATAGTGAGGAAACAATACCTAATAAAACTATGTTAAAAATCATAGTTCAGGCCAGGCACGGTGGCTCCACACCTGCAATCCCAGCACTTTGGGAGGCCAAGGTGGGGCGGGTCACAAGGTCAGGAGATCAAGACCATCCTGGCTAACACAGTGAAACTCCGTCTCTACTAAAAAAAAAAAAAAAAAAAAAAAAAAAAAAAAAAAAAAAAAAAAAAAATTTGCCAGGCATGGTGACGGGTGCCTGTAGTCCCAGCTACTTGGGAGGCTGAGGCAGGAGAATGGCATGAACCCGGAAGGCGGAGCTTGCAGTGAGCTGAGATCGCGCCACTGCACTCCAGCCTGGGTGACAGAGTGACACTCCATCTGAAAAAAAAAAAAAAAAAAAAAAAAAAAAAAGAGAAATTATAAGCAACCCCAGTTTCCAACCATGAAAGGCCAGATGAAATAAATTAGGACACATCCATGCAACCAAGTACTAAAAGGAAATTTAGGAATGTATTTCTGTATATGGAAAGATGTTCATAATATATGAGAATGAAAATGACAGCCCTCAAAACAGTGTTTATGGTAGTATATTTCAATTCATAAAAATATAACTTTTTTTTTCTGAGATGGAGTCTCATTCTGTTGTCCAGGCTGGAGTGCAATGGTGCAATCTCAGCTCAGTGTAACCTCTGCCTCCCAGGTTCAAGCGATTCTTGTGCTTCAGCCTCCCAGGTAGCTGGGACTATAGGCGAGCGCCACCATGCCCGGCTATTTTTTCATATTTTTAGTAGAGACAGGATTTCATCATTTTGGCCAGGCTGGTCTCAAACTCCTGACCTCAGGTGATCTGCCTGCCTCGGACTCCCAAAGTGCCAGGATTACAGGCATGAGCCACCATACCCAGCCTAAAAATATAATTTTTAAAAGCTATACAGGTTTATGCATAAGAAAAAATGGGCATAAACTTTTAGCAGCAAGTATATTTGGGAGGGGGAAATACAAATATTCAAAGAAAAAACAAACTTTTTCTAGTTTTCTTCAGGGAATGTATATTACTTGCATCACCACTAAAAAACTTAAAACATGAGTGTTTCTAAATTTATAGGCGCGAGCCACCGTGCCCGGCCTACAATGTGAATATACTTAACATTACTGAACTGTATGCTTAAAAACGGTTAAGACACTAAGCTTTATGTGGTTTTTACCACAATGAAATATAAGAATTTTTAAATGAGTTCTTCTAAATTTAAAAATGTAAACATGAAGAGGAGTCTCTAAACTGTTAGACATATCACGAACTGGGTAGGAACAGGAGGGAAGTTCTATATTAACCTCAGGGTTGCACAGGCCTTAAAAACGTGAGAGGGGATTGCTTTAGATTAAGAGACTTAAGAGATTAAACAACCAAATGCAATCTGTGGACCACATTTAGATCCAGATTGAAACAAGCCAACTGTCAAAGGACATCTTGGAGATAATCAGGGAAGTCTGGTTATCGTGTGAGTAAAACCCTTTGTCTGAGGTGATTTAAAAATTTCCTTTTTAAGTAGAGGTACTGAAGTTTAAAAAACATAAATGAGTCCATTAAAAATATGTCAAGTAAATAACAGTTCAAGCAGAATACAGATTTAGCAAAAACTGCAACGGGAGAAGTGAAATAAAAGACTGATCAGGCTATGAGCCTTCTGACCATGAGGAAAGAAGCAGATTTCATGAGAGTGAATGAGGTAGAAACTACCTTAAAGACATGATAGGGTTTTCCTGGAGGTGAAGGGAGAAAAATTATGGAAGATATAGAAAGGAAGTGGTTCCTGAAAAGGATGGGAGCTTATTGAAAAGGCACAGGAGCCGACTGAAAGAGCTCCCAATGGCCAAAGCTGTAGCCATTTGAACAACAAAATAAATGACAGTACTGAATTACAGCCTGTAGAATACATATCCACGAATCCAATCTGATATAAAGGAGGGCAATCCTCCCTCACGATGAGTATCACTGAAAAAGGCAAAATCTATTAGCTACTTTCCTATGCAACAAAAATATTCTTTGTAAGCTTTTCACCTGTGTGACGTGAGGAATCCCCTCTTCGAAAAATTGCAACTTTTTTTTTTTTTTTACCACACTTTGATGAATGTTCAAGTTGTTAACAAGGTGGGGCTAGTGAAAGGCCTTCTCACACTCACAACACTCTAGGAGGAAGCCAATAATGTTGAGAAAAGTGTGTGCTGTGACTAAAGGTTTCTCAACAGTGATCGCACTCAACAGTTTTCTCTTGAGAATGGAGTTGATAATGTTGAGTGAGGTATGAGGGTCGGCCGAAACATTTCCCACATAGCTGACACTGGTAAGGCCTCTCTTGAGTGTGAGTTCTATAATGCTGAATGAGATATGAATTCCGACTGAAGACTCTGCCACAGTCACAACACTGGCAGGCTCTCTCTCCAACGTAGTCATGTTTCCGCTGATAACGAATTAAGTATGTCTTGCTGTGGGACAACCCAGGAGGAAGGACTCTTGCTGCCTCATGGGCTTTGAGATGTTGAAGAAGATGCACATTCTGGAGAAAAGCTTTGCCGCACTGAAAACATTCAAAGTAGTCCTCCTGACTGTGAATTCTTACACGTTCACAGAGATTCGCACACTGGACGGAAGGCTTTCTACCTTCATTGCAGCCAGAAGTCTTCCTACCAGAATGGGTCTTCTGATGTCTGTTGAGGTGTGGCATGAGATAGAAGGCTTCAGCACACTGTTTACATTCATAGGGTTTCTTCCCAGTATGGATCCGTTCGTGTCTCCTAAGGGCTACTTGCGTACTAAAGGTTCGTTTGCAAAATTCACATCTGTTGTGTTTGTTCTCTTGGGATGCTGACTGGGGACTCGTACATATTCCAGGAGCAGTGCCTTCCTGGGGATCCTTTCCTAGAGGATCCTTTGATTGTTTACTAAGATTAGAGCTTCTCTCAAATTCATCACTGCCATAGCTTCTTTCCGGAGTGAGGGTCTTGGGGTCATTCATTGTTATAGGAGTCAAAAGTTTCTCTTGGTTGCCCTGGTGTGGTTCCAATGGATCATCATGAGACTCTCCTGCAGAGACAATGCCAGAAGTTACCTACCGCCCAATTATCCAATCCTGCCCCCCAATAATGATATTTCTATAGGCAGGCTTTGCCCTGGAGTTAGTGCTTTGGTTTCAGGTCTCTTTTCCTAATCTGAAAAAAAAAAAGTAAAAATTCCTCTATTCTTTTTACTCAGAGAGACATACCAATATAATAGAAATAAAGAGACCAAGGATAACAAACAGATCTTATGGAGGTTGAGAGAGTTTTCTGAAAACCTAAAGAGAAAATGGAAAAAGGATAGAAAGGACAGTAAGTGGCCGGGCACAGTGGCTCATACCTGTAATCCCAGCACCTTGGGAGGCCGAGATGGGCGGATCACAAGGTCAAGAGATTGAGATCATTCTGGCCAACATGGTGAAACCCTGTCTCTACTAAAAATACAAAAAATTAACTGGGCATGGTGGCGCGTGCCTGTAGTCCCAACTACTCAGGAGGATGAGGCAGGAGAATCGCTTGAACCCGGGAGGTGGAGGTTGCAGTGAGCAGAGATCGCACCACTGCACTGCAGCCTGGATGACAGAGTGAGACTCTGTCTCAAAAAAAAAAAAAAAAAAAAAAGGAAAAGACAGTAAGCAAGGAAGAGTGAGGAAGAAACAGAAAAAATATCATCTAGGAGGATGGCGTGTCAAAAAGATGCCACAATTGTACAGAGTAGAATGAGCAGAAATCAGAGAAAGAGCTGGGGTTGGGGTTTGTCAGCATTTTCCAAACCATGTTTGGCAGATCGCTAATATTCTGAAAAACAAATAGCTGTTACCATGAAGGGGGCTCCACTGTCAAGTTAATTTGGGAAATGTTGTATGACACAAATCAAGCAGGTTTCATTCCTGTAGGATTCAGAACTTTTAATATGCACCTTGAACCCTAAAGAGGGAAGGTACAGAATGTGGCATTTCTTAAAGTGATCTTGCTATGAAACATTTTTTTTAGAACATCTATTACTATGGTTCTTCAGGACTACTGAGGAAACACTGGAGCAAACAGGTCAACAACCTCTTGTTCAGAATTAAACAAAGATTCTCCTTTCTTAGCTCTGAATCTCTTGTTTTACCCCAATCTACACTGTCAACCAATCCTCTTTAATTCAATATTTATTAAATGCCTGTTTTGTGCAAGGCATTATCTAACCAGATGGGTCAGAGGTCTGTAAAAGGGACTCTAATCAGACTGTAAGTGACGACAGGAGCAGAGATGGGGGAACTGACTCCACTTAGGAACAGAAAATGATTAGTGGAGGGGACAGCATTTGGCGTCAGTAAACGGGGAAGGGGGGCGAGTTTATATAAAACAGCCTGAGTTAAGCTATAGAACTGTGAAAATATACAGTCCTGGGGAGCTAGAAACACAGGATCTTAGTTGCAAGATCTGTAGATGAGGCTGGGATGCAAATTTCAGGCCAGAATGGGAGGAACTTCAGTGTTTTGCTAAAAGTTTGAATTTTATCTTGACGGAGGTAAGAAGCTGATAAAAAGTCTGTGCTTTATAAAGGCAACTCTCTGGTTGGAAAAATACTGAAGCCAAGGAAGTCAAGTATAAGACTGTGGTTTGGAAGAGAGGTGATGAACACAGTGGTTGCATCCTGGCAGACACTTGAAGTATGTGAACAGAGTACAGGTAAAACAGCAGAGCCAGAACATGGCTTAGGAAGTCATCAGGAAAAGAGGGATAGCTGGGCCCATCACAATGGATTGACTCTTTTAGGAAGTGGTCTTTGAAGAGAACACTCAAGAACGGAAGAGTAAGAGAACACCTAGTCCTCACTGGCTCTTCTGTTTTCCTTACCCTGCTGTATATCCAATATTTCAGCATGTTCTGTCAGTTCTTCTTTCAGGGAATACCTCCAACCTGACCCCTCTACAACCACGGCCTCAGCCTCCATCATCTTTAGCCTGGTGGACTTCAATGGCCTCTTGAACTGGTTTCTCTGGCTTTTCCTCTTAAAGCCCGTTCTCCATAGGACAGCCAGATGGATCTTTCTAGAATAGCACTGCCCAGTAGAACTCCCAGTGATGATGGAAATGGTCTACATTTTTGCTGTCCAGCACAGTAGCCATTAGCCACATGTTGCTATCAAATACTTGCAATGTGGCTTGTGTGACTGAGGAACTAAATTTTAAATTTTATGTAATTCTTACTAGTGTAAATGTAAGTAGCCACATGTGCCTACTGTCTAGCATATTGGACAGCAAAGTTCTAAAATATCAATAACACTACTTCATGCCCCTGCTCAAAACCTCCCCCCATCTTTGCATCTCACTTATAATAAAATTCTTTAACATATTCCTAAGCGGGCTGGCCCTTGACTATCTCTGTGATCTCATCTTCTATCTTCCACTTAACTCAGACCATATTGCCCTTCCTACTGTTTTTGGAACACCCAAGCTCATTCCAATCTCAGGGCCCTGGCACTTGCTGTTCGCTCTGCCTGTAACACTCTTCCTCAAGATTTCTACATTGGTCAGCCCCCCATCTCATTCAAGTCTTCCACAGTGAGGCCTTCTCTGACTATTCCATCTCAAGCAACCTCCCATATCTCATTCTCTATCCACTTTACGCTCCGTTATTATTTGTCTATTTTTTAAAACTACTGCCCCCATTAGAATGCAAGCTCTATGAAGGAAGAGATTTGTCTGTCTTATTCATTATTGTATCCACAGATACTAGGACAGTATCTGGCCCACCACAGAAGCCTGATAAATATCTATGAGATGACTGAATAATGAAGAAACCAGAGTAGGGAAAGAAAAGAAGACAATGAAAGAAACAGAGAGGAGTCTTCCTGGTAACTTCTTGAATTTTGTTTGGACATCCACTTTTCCACTCACACAGACAAACGTGGAGGAGGGCTGTGTCAATCAGCACTGTACTGGACACAGCTGCTAGTTCAGGAAAGGGATATAACCCGATATGGAACAATGAAAAATCAGGAGAGCTGGAAAAGATGCTTCCTCTCTCTTGAGAATGCTTCTTGGACACACCAGCTCTTTCTTGCTCCTTTTTTGTACAGGAACAAAAAAATGCATCTAGGATTTATTGTCAGAGTCGAAGGCAGAGTAGAAGGAGAAAATGAAACTAGGTCTTCGATGACTTCACTGGGTCCCTGAATACAGCCCAGCTGATCAGTATTATAGGCTAATAATCCCTCTATGACTTTAGCCAGTTTGGGTGTGGGTTTTCTGTTAACTACAACTGAAGGACAACAGTGATCCAGCCGCTGCACATGGTGACCCATTTCATGAAGATGGTAAGCGTTATTAGACTGTAGCCATAGAGTTTGGAGGAGGTGAAGTCTATGGTTCCAGAACTATAAGGACGCTAGTGGGAACCTTTTGTGGAAGTTTCAGAAAAGAGCGTATATGTGTGTCTGAGTTGGCATAAGTAGGGGGATGGAAACCAGAGGGTGGGGATTAAGAAGAAAAGGGAAGGGAGCGTCTAGGTGTCAACAAGTCTGAGGAGCTGATGTGAGGGAAAGTGGGAGGGCAGTGAGAAAGACAAGTGGTATCAGGCCAGGATTTTTTGTTTGTCTCAGTTAAAGAGGAGAGATGTATGATGTTTAGCTGCAAGGAGAAAGGCATGAGTGGACGGAAGGGCTGGAACACGAGGGTGAAAGGACACTGGCCTCCCTGGAGCTAAGCAGGAGAGGAGCTCATGCTGCATGAAGAGATGGGCTTCAGAAAGGAGACCAAGGGGAGTACTGAGGAGAAAGGGCACCTACCAGACTTCTCCTGGCCCAGGGGACTTTGAGGAAAGCTCTCTGACTAGCATTTACTGGTTCCCCCTCCTACACCCCGGGCTTCCCCCTCACTACTCACCTTGACAAATCACTGTATGTCTGCTGTCTGTCTCCATTGCATATGATTCCTCCTCTTCCAGGCGTGAGATAATGTCAGGTTTAGAGAACTGGTGCCCTGTTGGAGAGGAAGACTGAGAACTCAGGGTTTCAGTAACTCCCAACCTTAGGTCCCAAAGACTCTGGAATAATAAGGAAGGAACAAACTCTCGCAGGAGTAAAATGAAGCCTGTTTCCAGCCTACAGAGATTTTACCCCCTAAGGGACATCTAAAATGTATGGAGATATCTTTGGTTGTCATAACTGTGGGAGCAGAGGGAGGGGTTCCTAGTGTCTAGTATGGCTGGAGGCAGGGACACTGCTCAACATTCTGCAAGACAGCCCCACAACCCGGGACGATCTGGTTCCATGTCAAGAGTGCCAAGGTTGAACAACCCTGCTATGAAGACTAAAAAGGGGGCATGAGGGCAGTGTGCTGAGCTCTACACTTCAGCACCAAGAATCTGACATAGCTGCTCAAAAAGTCAACATTATGGTTCTTTTCCCTCCTGGGATAACGTCCACTGCCCCTTTGTCTTGAAGTGCTGCTCCTCCCCCTCCCTTAGTTCCTTGTTTCCCAAACTTTTATCATTTGCATACCAAATTATTATCTATTTGTTTACTGTCTGACTCCACTGAAATGTAACATCCATGAGAAGGGGAAATGTCATCTATTTTGTAACCAAAATGCCTATACCAGGCCTTGTATGTCTGAATTCACTGACGAGTTAATGAATGACCCTTGCATTTTGGCATTTCTACGTGCCATTTATAGTCATATTCAGTATTTATTTAATGTTTTTCTTTAGATCACCTTTCTTTTTAACTTAGATATGCTTATTTTCTTTTTTCTTTTTTTTTTTTTTTGAGACAGAGTCTCACTCTGTCTCCCAGGCTAGAGTGCAGTGGCACGATCTTGGCTTACTGCAGCCTCTGCCTCCCAGATGCAAGTGATTCTTCTGCCTCAGCCTCCTGAGTAGCTGGGAATACAGGCGCCCGCCACCATACCCAGCTAATTTTTCGTAGTTTTAGTAGAGACGGGGTTTCACCATGTTGGCCAGGCTGGTCTCAAACTCCTGACCTCAAATGAACCACCTGCCTCAGCCTCCCAAAGTGTTGGGATTACAGGCGTGAGCCACTGCGCCTGGCCAATACGCTTATTTTCAATGGAAGCTTTATATCAACCCTATAAATGGAAACCAATGTCACTCACACACACACACAAAAATGGAAGGTAACATCATGATAAATATAACAGAAACTAAGGTTATTGAGTGCTAGCTAGCTTCTGTTGCCTATCTAACATTCAGGGTTTGATGTCTGCTCTCACTTTACTAAAATGGAAGAATAACAAGATAGACATGCTAACACCAAACTGATATTCTCTACGTGATACCATCAGAAGGCTTAAAGGAAAATTGAAGAACTTCTTTTTCACCAACAGATTGAAGGATTATGTCATGCTGTCCATGTACTGCCTAAAATAATCTTCTATTTAGCCCACTGTACTCATTCCACACTTAGGAAGACAATGTCCCAGGTGATATATAAGATCTCTATTAACACAAAACCTTCAGTGTTAAAGAAGCCAAGGGCTCACAAGATAGAAATGCTCCAGGTCACTGCATGAGAGCTGGAATGATACAATTAATTTATTTCCTCTATTTTGATACTATTCCCTCTATTTTAAGTCATAAAATGTGGTAAGCTAGAGAAGAGTGTAAAATATGCTGGAAAATGTACTTCCTTGTAACCGATAAGAACCAGAGTTAAACATATGCATCCCTGTGCTAGGTTTGGGGTAGGATGTGTGTTTTCCCACTAGGTCCCTGACTTGCCAGTGGAACAGTGTTTGTTTTGGATTCTGTTTTTCAGGAGACCTCAAGCCCCCAAAAAAGCCACTGAAAAAGGAGCTTGGCACTGGCAACGTAAACTTTTCACTTTTCACTTTCAACTTTACCTGTGAGAACAGGTAAAACAATTTTGCCTCCGCACGTAAAGAGAGATTGGCAATCTCTGTTTCTTCAAACTCAAGCCAGTAGAAGTCTTTGGAGCTCCTGGAATTTTTAGCAATTCCTTCGCTCATTCAGTAAACATCATTTTGAGCCTTCCATTGTGCTGAGAACTGGTGGAGCAAACCCCTGTCTGGTAGCACATCAGAGTTTAAAAGAGCAGATTCTGGAGTCTGCTTGGGGTTAAATCCCAGCTTTCGACAAGTACTTTAGCCTTTCAATGACTCAGGTTCCTCAAAGTTAAAAATGTCAATAATAACAACAACAATAAGTATACCTCCCCCTCACAGGCCTAGTGTGAGGATTAAAGGAGTTGAAATATGCTAAACACTTACACAAGTGCCTGACACATATGTCGTGCTCAAGAAATGTTAGCTATGTTATAATTAACAGTGAATTTGATATTCAAATATTAAAATATTGCCTCTGACCTGGGTTGAGACTCACTGACATGGTGAACCACCATTACTGATGAGAGGACACGAAGGAGTTGAGAGCTACTGCCCTAGTGGGAAGAAACCAAGTCCTGTGGAGAAGGCATACTTACCCAGGGAGACCAGGTTCCGGTAATTCTCCAGCATCACCTCCCTGTAGAGGTTTCTCTGAGCAGCACTAAGGGAACTAAGTTCCTCTGGGCTGAAGTCCACAAGCACATCCTCGAAGGTCACCAACTCCTCAAACACCAGAAATGTTCCTAAGTGTTTGAAGTCCGGGAACTATCCCAGAGAGAGGAGAAGGGACGTGATTAGAGAGGACTGAACATGATGCAGGCATTCAGACCAGCAGAGAGCTTCCACGTGCTCTAATCCAGAGCCACAGGCACCTGGCATTGCATCTTTCTTTGTCTTATCGAGTCTGAGAGAAGTGGGAACATTACTGAAACAGTTCCTATTGCTAATTACTACAGATTTGGGTTGAGGGGGAAATATCCTTTTAAGCCACTTTATAAAGACAGAATGCAAGCATGCAAATACTTAAAAGCTCAGCAGTATACCTCAGCCTCAGGAATCAGAGTCCTGGCTCTGGTTCTTTGTGAGTTTGGGTAGGTTAAGCCTCAGGGTCCCACCTGTAAAACAAAGTGCTCATAACATGAAGAAATATTCAATCTTGTTAATAAACAAGGAGATGAAAATCAAAATGACAAAATACCATTTTATACCCATTCAATTAAGTATTGGGTAAAAATTAAGTAATTGAGTGAAAATTAAGAAGTGGGACAATACCAACTATTATATAAAACATGGATCCACTGGCGATGCTAAGGGAAATGTAAATTAGAAAATCACTTTTGATCCAGAAATTCTTTTTTTAATTTTTAAAAATTTTTGTGGGTACATAGTACTTGTATATACTTACGGGGTACATGAGATGCTTTGATACAGGCAGGCAATGTGGAATAAGCACATCGTGGGGAATGGGGTATCCATCCCCTTAGGCATTTATCCTTTGAGTTACAAAGGATAATAAAGAGTTACACTCTTTATTTTAAAATGTACAATTAAGTTATTATTGACTATAGACTCCCTATTGTGCTATCAATAGTAGGTCTTATTCATTCTTTCTACTTTTTTTTTGTACTTGCTAACCATCTCCACCTCCCTCCAGCCCCCCAACTACCCTTCCCAGCCTCTGAGAACCACCCTTCTAATCTCTATTTGACCCCAAAATTCTATTCCTAGGTATATTTACTCATGTGTACTTAAAGACATGGATGGGCATGTTTATTATAGCATGTTTGGAACATCCAAAATCTGGAAATAACCCAAACATTCATTAACAGTAGAAGAGATAAATATAGTATAGCCATACAATGAAATAGTATTCTAGCAATAGAAATCAATTAACTACAGTTATATACAACAATCTTAGTAGCCTAAGGTTGAATTTAAAAGGCAGATACCATATACCCAAAGGAAAATAAGCTGTCCTACCAAAAAGACACATGCACTCATATGTTCATCACAGCACTGTTCACAGAAGCAAAGACATGGAATCAACCCAAGTGCCCATCTACAGTGAACTGGATAAAGAAAATGAGGTGTGTATACACCATTGAATACTATGCAGCCAAAAAAAGAACAAAATCGTGTCCTCTGCAGCAACCGGAATGCAACCGGAAACCTCAGATGCAACGGGAAACCATTATCCTAAGCGAACTAACGCAGAAACAGAAAACCAAATACCACGTGTTCTCACTTATTAGTGGGAGCTAAACACTGGGTATACATGGTCATTAAAATGGGACAACAGACACTAGGGAATACAAGAGGAGGCAGGGAGGGAGGAGAATAAGGATTGGAAAAGGCCATTTATTGGGTACTATGCTTACTATCTGAGGTGACATACTCATTCATGCTCCAAATCTTAGCATTGTGCAATACACCTTTGTAACAAACCTGCACATGTGTGCCCTGATTCTAAAATAAAAGTGAAAAAAAAAGATAGACTGACCTCTTCAAATCTAACATTATCCTGAGGCAATAGGATACTTACCTTCCTTAGCAAATCTGAATATAGAAAATTGTAACACGTGTAAGAAAATGCATAGGATCTCCCCACTCAAATATGCTAATCCAATAAGTCTTTATAAACAGTTAATGACAAAAATTGAAAATTAAAACTTACTAGCCATTTTGCTCAAAATGTTGTAGCAGTTAATGATTTTTCTGTCTGTTTCCAGTCATACTTTGGCAATAAAAAAAATGATTCAAAACCAAAGGTACATTGTTGTTAGGCTGAGGTCTTAACCTGGCAATCACAGATTCTTAAGGCTGAGCTTTGTAGTGCATGTGCACCTTTCTGGAAGATAAAAATTCCGTTTCTCAAAGGAGTCTGTGACTCAAAATATTTAGCATAGAGAGCAATCTCAGTTTTTCATAACCTTTTTTCTTGTGCTTTATTTTACTTAATACAGTTAATATGCTACAATACCTTGAATATAATGGATAATCAATATTATTATATTAAAAAAAGATTGTTAAAAGAGAAATGTTACCTGATTCAGTATAAGAAAATTGAATTTAGTTGTAGAAAAGGTATCTATTTCAAGTAAGAATCACTGTATGGTAGGTCATGATTTCTCAGTCACAGTGTCATATTTAAACGATGGTGGTCATGTGGTAGTCAGAGCATTTTTAAGACTGCTATCTTACTGTTCCCAAATGTTTTCCTACTGTTAACTGTCCATTGACCCTCCTTTCTTTTTTCCATCTCATACTCTGTAACTATTAGAGAAAATCATGGGAACAAACCTACACTGGAATAAGGAGTTTTGAGTTCTGCTATTAGCTAGTTGTAAGGCATGGGTTAATTAATCTCTTTGATTCTCATTGTCTCATCTTTAAAATAAAGAGATCCATTACATTATCTCTAAAGTCATTTACACTCTAAAATTTTATAATAAAACACATAAGATCCCTTGATACTATAAAAATAAAAAGGCAGATACCAGAACATTACATAAGACTCTGATATCCATTTTATTAATATACATCTTTTGTGTTTTAAGTGAAACTTTCTAAAACTTTTTATGCAAATCAACAAACACTGGATTAAATTAGGGATCATATACTGGCTGCCCAGCTCCTTCAGATGGGTTTATTTGGCTCACGTGGTCCTATTGTTTTTTAAAAATTTGTATTAGCTGCCAATACCAAAAAAAAAAATTAGGAAATGTCATTCTTAACTGGTTTTGTGGCTTCTGATTAAAAGCATTAGAAAATCTGGGGACTGGGTCCACATTCTCACATGGCACCATCAGCAAAAGCTGAGTCACAGCTGCCCCTATATATGGGACAGGCACTCCCCCTGTTTCTCATAATCCACCCAGACCAATTCCTTATTTATATTCCCTTGGTAGTCCCTCCAGGGCATCTTTGCTTGGAATCCCTGGCACAGACAAGGTAGGGACAGAGGGCTACTCTCAGGAGCAGATATTCTAGAACAGTGTTTCTCAACCTTTTTTCCTTACCTCGCTCCCCCCACCCCAGTAATCTTTATACGTCATTTTTTCTAATCACAACCCCCATGAATTTTTTTCTGGTTCTAAAGAAAGCAGAGTATATTAATTTCATTATTGTCTTTTAGGTTTCTAAAACATGACTTAACAAGAACACTGGAGAACATTTTTGAAACAAAAAATCAGAAAACCTCATAACAGTATCATGTCCCTATAAGAGCTGCCATTTGTTAAAGGCCTACAATAAGCCACACCCTTTGTGTGGGTAGAAGGGGTTGTCTTCATTTACACTATTTTCATTGTTGCAAAGTACATTCCAGCCCTTGACATGGATATACTTTTTCAAACAATTATAAATTAGCATTGATTCACATACACAGGTATTGGATGGTTCCAATTTTAATGTGCACACAAATCACCTGGGGATCTTGTTAAACACAGATTCTAATTCAGTTGGTGGAAGTGGGGCCACAGATGCTGTATGTCTATTTTTTTAAATAACAGCTTTATTGAGATTTAATTTACGTATTATAAAAGTCACCTAAAGTATACAATTTAATGAGTTTTTAAGCATATTCACAGAGTTGTGCAACCATCACCCCAATAAATTTCAGAACATTTCATCGCCCCAAAAGAAACCCTGCACCTTCTAGCAGTCACTCTCCATTTCCCTCCAACATCTTCCCACGCCCTACCCCAAGCCCTAGGCAACCACTAACATACTTTATGTCTCCATGGATTTGCTGATTCTGGATATTTCATAAAAATGGAATCGCACGGTACCCCATACATTTTAATATCGCAAATATACTGTGTATGTACTGTATGTATGTCTGTGCTGTACACATAAGAAGAATAGTATGTGTTCACCCTCAAGAACCAATTTTCTTCCCCTTGAAGGCAATATCCTCCTTAAGAATGCGTGTTCCAGGACATGACTTTCAAGGAAAAGGCCCTTTTCAATTGCTCTGTGACTTTTTGGCACCCCCATATGGTTCTAAGAACACTTTTTTCCCTCAAACAGAGCCTGACACCGGTAGACGTTGGTGAATAAACAAACAGATGATGACACTACCAGAATCATTTGTATAATCTTGTACAACCTGAAAAAAGTTTTATGTTTGATGATTTCATTAAACTATTATTCATTATTTTGGAGGAAATACATGGTAGGACATAACTACCTTTCCTTTTTTTAAAATTCTGGACTATTCTAGCCTATCCATGCTTCCCAGTGGACCCCATTGTCTCAAATCCCCAAATCCAAAAATTTAGTTGAAATAGGACGGCCAGATAAAATTCAGCATGCCCAGTTAAATTTGAATTTCACTAAGTTTTAAGGGGCTGAGTTTTTTTAAATCTTTGACAATTTCATTCATGGATAGTGTGTTGGGTGGGAAGAGCACTGGGCTGGCAGTTCAGAGACCTGGGTTCAAGTACTGTACTGTTTTATTGTTTTTTGTTTTGTTTTGTTTTTCTTGTTTGTTTTTTGAGATAGAGTCTCACTCTGTTGCCCAGGCTGGAGTGCAGTGGTGCAATCTCAGCTCCCTGCAACCTCCACCTCCTGGGTTCAAGCAATTCTCGTGCCTCAGCCTCCCAAGTAGCTGGGATTACAGGTGTGTGTCACCACGCCCAGCTAATTTTTGTATTTTTAGTAGAGATGCGGTTTCGCATGTTGGCCAGGCTCGTCTTCAACTCCTGACCTAAGGTGATCCGCCTGCCTTGGCCTCCCAAAGTGCTGGGGTTACAGGTATGAGCCACTGCACCCGGTCTGTACTGTTATTTAATTTCATTGGACAAGACAGGTAACATCTCTGATCTGGACCTTGATCTATAAATGGTCATTGTACTTTTTGTATCATAGGGTTTTGTGAAGAACAAATTTTGTTATGTGTCTATTAAAAATCTTTTTTGGTTTTGTTTTTGTTTTTTGAGATGGAGTCTCACTCTCACTCAGGCTGGAGTGCAGCGACATGATCTTGGCTCACTGCAACCTCTGCCTCCCAGGTTCAAGTGAGTCTCCCACCTCAGCCTCCCAAGTAGCTGGGATTACAGGCATGTGCCACCACGCCCAGCTAATTTTTGTATTTTTAGTAGAGACGGGGTTTCACCATGTTGGTCAGGCTGGTCTCGAACTCCTGACCTCAGGTGATCCTCCCACCTTGGGAGGGATATTGGCCTGAAATTTTCTTTTTTTGTTGTCTCTGCCAGGTTTTGCTATCAGGATGATGCTGGCCTCATAAAATGAGCCTCTTTTTCTATTGTTTGGAATAGTTTCAGAAGGAATGGTACAAGCTCCTCTTTGTACCTCTGGTAGAATTCGGCTGTCAATCTGTCTGGTCCTGGGTTTTTTTTTTTTTTTTTTTGGTTGGTAGGCTATTAATTACTGCCTCAATTTCAGAACTTGTTATTGGTCTATTCAGGGATTCGACTTCTTCCTGGTTTAGTCTTGGGAGGGTGTATGTGTCCAGGAATTTATCCATTTCTTCTAGATTTTCTAGTTTATTTGTGTAGAGGTGTTTATAGTATTCTCTCATGGTAGTTTGTATTTCTGTGGGATCAGTGATGATATCATTTTTTATTGTGTCTTTTTGATTTTTTATTGTGTCTATTTGATTCTTCTCTCTTTTCTCCTTTATTAGTCTGGTAAGCAGTCTATCTGTTTTGCTGATCTTTTCAAAAAACCAGCTCCTGGAGTCATTGATTTTTTTTGAAGGGTTTTTTTTTTTGTCTGTATCTCCTTCAGTTCTGCTCTGATCTTAGTTATTTCTTGTCTTCTGTTAACTTTTGAATTTGTTTGCTCTTGCTTCTCTAGTTATTTTAATTGTGATGTTAGGGTGTCAATTTTAGATCTTTCCTGCTTTCTCCTGTGGGCATTTAGTGCTATAAATTTCCCTGTAAACACTGCTTTAGCTGTGTCCCAGAGATTCTGGTACGTTGTGTCTTTGTTCTCATTGGTTTCAAAGAATTTATTTATTTCTGCCTTAATTTCGTTATTTACTGAGTCATTCGGGAGCAGGTTGTTCAGTTTCCATATAATCGTGCGGTTTTGAGTGAGTTTCTTAATCCTGAGTTCTAAATTCTTTTCCTTAAGAATGTTGATATTGACCTCCACTCTCTTCTGGCTTGTAGGGTTTCTGCAGAGAGATCTGCTGTTAGTCTGATGGGCTTCCCTTTGTGGGTAACCCGACCTTTCTCTCTGACTGCACTTAACATTTTTTCCTTCATTTTAACCTTGGTGAATCTGATGATTATATGTGTCTTGGAGTTGCTCTTCTCAAGGAGTATTTTTGTGGTGGTCTCTGTATTTCCTGAATTTGCATGTTGGCCTGTCTTGCTAGGTTGGGGAAGTTCTCCTGGATAATATCCTGAAGAGTGTTTTCCAACTTGTTTTATTCTCCCCGTCACTTTCAGGTACACCAATCAAACGTAGGTTTTGGTCTTTTCACATAGTCCCATATTTCTTGGAGGCTTTGTTCATTTCTTTTCATTCTTTTCTCTCTAATCTTGTTTTCATGCTTTATTTCATTAAATTGATCTCCAGTCTCTGATATCCTTTCTTCTGCTTGATCGATTCGCTATTGATACTTATGTATGCTTCATGAAGTTCTCATGCTGTGTTTTTCAGCTCCATCAGGTCATTTATGTTCGTCTCTAAACTGGTTATTCTAGTTAGCAATTCCTCTAACCTTTTTTCAAGGTTCTTAGCTTCCTTGCATTGGGTTAAAACATGCTCCTTTAGCTTGGAGGAGTTTGGATAAACAACAGTTTTTTACATAAGTATGTCTTAAATATGAAACATTGCATCCTTATGCAAAAAATTGTCTATCTGAAATTCAAACTTCATAGTTATGCTAAAAATTTATTTATACTTATGCTAAAAATTTATTTGTAGTTCATCTAAAATTCAAATTTAATTTGGATGTTGTGTATATTTACTTGCTAAATCCGGCCAGCCGAAGTTGCAGTAACTGCACTACCTTAGGCAGCAATAACTAAGTGGTTATGAATGTGGACTCTAAAGCCAGACTGCCTGGGTTCATATCTCAATCGTATTATTTAACAGCTGTGTTACCCTTCAGCATATTATTTAGTCTTTCTGCCTCCACTCCCTCATATATAAAAAGGGGAACAATAATAATGCAAACCACACAAGGGTTTTTCTGAATAAAATAGAATACTAAAAAAATAAGTAAACAATTAATTCAAAAGACAGAAAAAAAGGAAAAATATTAAATATATAGTATGTGGGATGGTGATAAGTACAACAGAGAAAAGTAAAGCACGGAAGGAGGATAAAAGAGTCAGAAGGATTTTTCTTGGAGAAATAAGAAAAAAAAGAATCATAAGCAAATGTCAGATTAGTCAGAAAAAAGGCTCAGTAAAGTGATATTTATATAAAAACTTAATGGAAATGAGTATGTGGTTTAATTAAATAAGGAAGTCCACAAATTAGGAAGATAAGATCCCCATATTTGATAACCATGTCAGAGGAAAGCCTGACTCACCTGGGACCCAGCAGATGGCAGATTGTCTAACATCTCTGTGTTCCTCTTTTCTGCAGGGACAGAGTCCTGAGCAAGGAAACCTAGAAGGGAGAGAGGAATACCATGGAATTGAGTCCTGTCTGGTAGCACTGACAGACACAGTGGCCAGCCACCCTCATGCCACCCTGTCCTGCCATGGGAAGGAACAGCAGCTCTAGAGTTCCTATGGTGAGAAAGTCAGATATCATTTCTCAACTCAAAATAACAAGTTCCAAAAGAGAGCTCTGGTTATTTCCCAGCTCTAAATGCTTCAATGGCTCCCACTGCCTTCCAAATAAAGTGAAAGTTCCCTCCATATCAGTCATTTCGGGCCTCACTGTCCAGTCAAGATCACCACAGAACCTCTGTTTCTCAACTGTAAAGCAGAAATAATGACAATACCTATACAGTAGTCCCCACTTATCTGAGGTTTTGTTTTCTGCAGTTTCAGTTACCCATGGTCAATTGGGGGTCAAAAATATTTAATGGAAAATTCCAGAAATAAATAATTCATATGTTATAAATTGTGTGCCATTCTGGTGATGAAATCTCACACTTTCCTGCTCTGTCCCACCTGGGACATGAATCATCCCTTTGTCCAGTGTATCCACTCTGTATACACTACCCCTTAGTCACTTATTAGCTGTCTTGGTCATCAGATCAACTATCACGGTATCACAGTGCTTGTGTTCATGTAGACCTTATTTTACTTAATAATGCCCCCAAAGCACATGAGTAGTGATGCTAACCTACTGTTATAATTGTTCCATTTTATAACTAGTTGTTAATATCGTACTGTGCCTAATTAATAAACTTCGTCACAGATATGTATGTAGAGGAAAAGACATAGTATATATAGGGTTTGATAATATCCACACTTTCAAGTGTGTTAGAATGTATGCCCCTCAGATAAGGGGAGTATACTATACCTCTAAGGGCTCTTGTGAGAATTAAACATTACATATGTAAGGCACACAGTAGGTATTTTTTTGGTAAATGGCAGCTCTTATGATTAAGCCTTTCCTACATATTTTTCACTCGTTGATCTAAAAGACAACCACCCCTTTCCCTCCAGGAGCCTTAACCTTGATGGCCTTCCTTGCCTATATATTCTCTTTTCTCGGTAAACCCTTCATTAATCTGTTTTTTCTTTCTGGTACCCTAGGGAACTCTCTTTCCTTCTCACTGAACTCTAGCTTCATCAATAACTCAGTGCCTCTGGCCAAGTTTTTAGCCTCTGGGACAACATCCACTATATCCATATGAGGCACTCATGTAACACGGTGATTAAGAGTACAGATGCTGAAGCCAGCAGCCTAAGTCTGAATCCTGACTGCCAATTATTAATATAAGTTGTGGAACCATGGTCAAGTTACTCAACCTCTTTATGCCTCTGTCTCCTGGTCTACGAAATGAAGGTAATACCTATTTCACAGAGCTATTAATAGAAGAAAATGAATTAACATGAAAGAACACCTATGATAATACATTAAAACATTCTAAGTGCTCAAGTGTTCACTATTAGCATTTTAAAAATTCTTTTAAGTAATGTGGGAGCACAGAATGGGATTAATCATAATCCTTAGTTCATGATATGCTATCTTTATTGAGCCATGCATGGCTCTCATGGTTATTTTAAATTCATTTGTTTATATTTTTAAGTATAATTAAGGCCTGTGAATGTACTATCCAACCCAAAAGTATAACATTCCCAATAACTTACATCTGCCTGTGTGCTTCTTTCATGTCCATACTCGAGCCTTCCCTCTAGAGATAAGTATGCCCTGAGGTCTGGTGTTAGTATTCATTGTTCCCTTGCTATATATATGCCCCAAACAATACTTTGCTTTTAGTTAGTATTATTTGTTTCAAAGCACTATAAGGACCCAGTGGCTTTCTTCTCTCATTCTTGAAATGCCTCCTTAGCTCTAATCTAATAACTTGAGTTTCTAAGATACCAGTCAAATTTTGGCAGAAGTTGAACTTCCAGTCTTTGTATCTCCCACATTTTATGCCCCCTTGCATCTAAAATTTAGCTAATCATTCTTGTTCTTGAATAGAAAGACTAAATAATGTAAAGACCAATTTTCCCAAATTTACACTTAATATATTAATGCCACAAGCAATCCCAGGAGTTTTTTTTTTTTTTTTGTAGTGTGTCTGTCTTGTTTTATGTTGCAACTAAGGTTTACACTGGATAAGAAATGTGAGGCAAGGTGAACAAAGCTGATACACTCAGAGAAATAGTATATGTTAAAAGCAAAAGCCAAACCCACATAGGCATAAAAAGGAATGAAATCATGTCCTCTGCAGCAACATGGGTGCAGCTGAAGCCATTAACCTAAGCAAATTAACACAGAATCTGCGGTGGCTCTTGTCTATAATTCCAGCATTTTGGGAGGCTGAGGTGATCCACCCGGATCACAAGGTCAGGAGTTCGAGACCAGCCCTACCAACATGGTGAAACCCCGTCTTTACTAAAAATACAAAAATTAGCCAGGCGTGGTGGTGGGCCCCTGGAATTCTAGCTACTCGGGAGGCTGAGGCAGGAGAATTGCTTGAACCCGGGAGGTGGAGGTTGCAGTGAGCTGAGATCATGCCACTGCACTCTACCCTGGGCGACAGAGCAAGACTCTGTCTCAAAAAAAAAAAAAAAAAAAAAAAAAAAGAGAAAACCAAATACTACATGTTTCCGCCTTTAAGTGGGAGCTAAACACTGGGTATACATGGACTCTAAGACGGGAACAATAAACACGGAAAATTCCAAAAGGGGGTAATGAGGAAGGAGGGCAAAGGTTGAAAAACTGCCTATCCAGTACTATGTTCACTACTTGGGTGACAGAATCATTAGAAGCCCAAACTTCAGCAGCATCCAATATACCCATGTAATAAACTTGCAAATGCACCCCTGAACTTAAAATAAAAATTTTAAAATAACCCAAACACCAAATTTCTTTCATCTCACATGAGATTAGGCAGATCAGACTGAATGTATAAAATGCATTCTTTCATTCATTCACTCAACAAAATTTCTATTTAGCTCCTATTACGTGCCAGGCATACAGCAGATATTCAATAAACAGAAGCAGCCAGTTGCTTCCTCCTTCTCACCTTCCTTCTCACATGCCTGAATAAAGTTTGCCACCATGGTTCCTGCCTCTTTGCTGTTCTTGGGCTGTTTTGACCTCACCCATGTCTGAATCTCCTCTGGCAGGGTGCTCAGAAACTGTGTCAGCACTAGTTGCTCTATCATCTGCTCCTTGGTGAGGATCTCTGGCTGCAGCCATTGCAAACAGAGCTCCTGGATTTGGCTCACAGCTTGATGAGGCCCATTCACTGACAGGTACTGAAAATCCCCAAACTTTTGATGAGAAACTTTCAGTGTCTCTGTTTCTAGTTTCTTCTCTTGACCACACACACAAAAGATGTAGGGATTCCTCAAGATATCTGAAACCCCTGTCACATCCAGCATCTCTACACCTTGGCCCTTTACAGGACAGAGCTACTCTTAAAGGCAGGCTGCTCCAGTACACAATGTTGTGGAAGACGGTAGGCAGGGCTGTATCAGCTGAAAGGATACAGAAACCTCAGGACCTGCAGAAATTACATACAGACTTACAACTAGCCTGCATAGTTATGATTGGACAGTGGAGTGAAGGTGATCTGAACAAGTATTACACAAAAGATGACAGCTATAAATAGCCAATCAACATAAAACAAGGCTAAACTTCATTAGTTATCAGAGATATAGGAATTAAAACCCCAATAGGATAACACTATGCACCCTCCAAAATGTCCAAAATGAAAAAGTCAGACAATACCAAGTGTTGACAAGGATAATAGAGCCACAGTAGGATGATATATTTGTATATTGGAATGCTAAACAGAAAATATGAATGTTAAGTTGCTGTTGAATGAAAGAAACCAGGCTCAAAAAAAAAAGGTCTGTATTATATGATTCCATTTATATAAAGGTCAAAAACAGGCAAAATAAACCTAAAGTGTTTGAAGTCAGAATAGTGGCTGCTGTTGGGGGGAAGGGTGGTAATGACTGGAACCAGGCATTAGGGCTTCTGGAAAGCTAGGAATGATGTGGACACAGTGTATTCACTTTCTGAAAACTGAGCTACACATTTGTGGTTTGTGCCCTTTTCCATATGTATATTTTGCTAAACATTTATTAGCTGTATTATAGTTGTAGGAAAACATCTAGTCATAATATCAAGCGGAAAAAGGAAACCTGTACATAACAATATATGCTTACCCATATAAAGCAGAGAAAAGGTGGTAAACCAAAATACTGTGCCAGTGGGTTAAGTACGAACGGTAATATTATAAGTGATTTTTATAGGTGATTTTGTACTTTCTCTCAAAACTATTTTCTAGCTTCAAGATGTTCTACAACAAACCTTCATTTCTTCTGTAATCACAGAAATAAAACATACCTTCCATAAAGGCTACACTCACTCTAAGAAACCATGAACAAAGATGCCACTTGGGGAAAACATTTTTTTCTTTTCTTATCCCCACTAAAACTTACGCCTTTTATTTCTATAATTTAACAGTTTTTCCATTTGAAAGCATTTATTTTTGTTTTCCATTAGAAATCATAACGTAATGAACATCACTGAAACTAAGTATTTGCTCCCAAATTACATAGACAAAAGGGATAAACTGTTTTTAAAAGTTCTTGACACAATCTGCCAAATTTTCCTTTCAACGGCTACCAACTTCTTCTTCCAAACTCAATGTATAAGATTACATGTCTCACTCAGTCCACCTTACAAGCCAATAGTGCCATCTTCATGGGCTTGTAATCAGGGCAGTCACAAGAGCCCCATTCTCATAAAGCCCACAGGCCTAGTTTAATGCTTTACTGTCACTCTCTTGAAATTTTTCACAATTTTTTGGACAAGGAGCCCCACATTTTCATTTTGCCCTAGGCCCTGCAAATTATGTAACTGGTTCTGCCAATCAAGAGCATTATCATCCCTCAAAATCTGTTGTCAATTAGACAGATTGAAAAATATATCATTTTATTCTTTAATTTTACATTTCTTTTGATTAATAATACGGCTTTCTCTTTGTTTCAGATTTACAAGCCAATTATAAATTGTTCACGCCCTTTGTGCTTCTTTACATTGGGGTGTTTCTTTTTTTTCTTTTCTTTTTTTTCTTTTTTTGAGGCAGAGTCTCGCTCAGTCGCCCAGGCTGGAGTGCAGTGGCGCAATCTTGGCTCACTGCAACCCCTGCCTCCTGGGCTCAAGTGATTCTCAAGCCTCAGCCTCCGGCCTTGGGGTGGGCTCCAGGCCCACCAGCGCAGAGCCGTCCTGGGTCCCTCCCTGCAGGGGCACCGATTTTAGGGCAGTCAGACGCAGCCCTCGCCTCTGGGGTGGCTTTTCCACCACAAGGCCCCAGTAGGGCCCGCCGCGGAGTCTTCCTCACGAAGCCGCGCGCTGCCCCGCGCTGGATGCCTCTTGCGCCCTCAAGTCCACTGGGGCCCCAGCCCCGCCCAGGCCCCTGGCTGGGCTACCCGCTCGCCGGCCGCTATCCTACCCCGGGCCCAGCGAACTTACCTCGCACGCCTCACGCCCTGGCCTGGCTGAACGTCTCCACGCCCTGACCAAAACCAGCAGCGCATGCGCCGTGGCTGGCTTGCGCGTGCGCTCTGCGGTGGACGGGCTGAGGAACCACAGCCGCTCCTGGCCAAGTGCCCTGTGAGACACGAGGATAGGGTTGGTACGGCGAGGAGAAGGGCGGCGACGTAGGAGGGCGCTCCTGTGACCTTCCTTCTTAAAACTAACGCCTTCTGTTGGTGGTGGGCGCCTGTAACCCCAGCTACTCGAGAGGCTGAGGCAGGAGAATTGCTTGAACCTGGGAGGCAGAGGTTACAGTGAGCCGAGATCGCGCCACTGCACTCCAGCCTGGGCGACAGAGCGAGACTCCACCTCAAAAAAACAAAAACAAAACAAAACAACAAAAAAACTAATGCCTTATGTAAGTTTTGGAGAGTTAATATGTTACTTAGAACTTGAGGATAAGTGGTAAAAATAAAAAATAACAAACTAATTTCAAAAATTTGAAAATAAGCGGTAGTCAGTGAAAACCCTTCCTCACACCACGTGTGCACCATTCACCAAAATTTTACCCCCAAAACATACGTAACCACTGTAACTGATCTGAAGTGCCCCACCAATGTTTCTTTATACTTGTAGAAGAAATGTATATGTATATGTGTGTAAGGCTTCCCTCAGTATTCCTGGGGGATTTGTTTTAGGACCCCCCAGGGTATCAAATTTTGTGGACGCTGAAGCCTCATGTAAAATGGCATAGTATTTGCATATAATCTATGCACATGCTTAGGCATACTTTAAATCATCTCTAGATTACTTACATTACCTAGTACAGTACCTACACATCATTCTTGCGGATTTGACAGTACGCAGCACACATGGCAAATTTAAGTTGTGGTTTTTGGAACTTGGTGGAATTTTCTTCCAAATTTTTCTTTTTCTTTTTTTTTAACTTTGTTAGAGATGATGTCTCACTCTGTCACCCAGGCTAGAGTGACAGAACAGTGGCATCCCCGAAGCTGGATGCCACTGCTGCAGGTTGGCTCCACTCATGCCCGAACCTCTAAGCTGGAGGCTGATCCCCGCTGGAGAGCGGGTCAGTCCTCTAGGCCCAGAAATGACCAAGCAAAGCTTACCCTCTGGCTGCTCACCCATGGACAACTGGGGTGAGCTTGCTCAGTGAGTCCACTAAAGGTCCCCCAGGCAGTGGGGGGTGGGGAGGCTGACCATATGCCCAGAATGAGTGGGACAAAGAGCAGGCAAATGAAAGCGTTGCCAGAAAAGGGTCTTGATCCAAACCCCAAAAGAGGGTTCTTGGATCTCACACAGGAAGGAATTCAAGGCAAGTCACAGAGCATGGTGAAAAAGGCAAGTTTATTAGAAGCTATTCCATTACAGAGTAGGGTGTCGTCAGAAAGCAAGCAGACAAACACACCATCTTTGTTTTAAGTTTTTAGGGGTCTTGTCTACGTAAAGACTAAACTAAGCTGTGACTACGTGAGGGTGAGCTGAAAGCATGACAAAATTTATTATTCTATTGATTTAAAGAGGCCAGGCACGGTGGCTCAGCCAGGCTTGGTGGTTCACACCTGTAATCCCAGCACTTTGGGAGGCTGAGGCAGGCAGATGACCTGAGGTCAAGAGTTTGAGACCAGCCTAATCAACATGGTGAGACCCCCTCTCTACTAAAAATATTTTTAAAAAATAGCTGGGTGTGGTGGTGCACACTTGTAGTCCTAGCTACTCAGGAGGCTGAGGCATGAGAATGGCTTGAACTCGTGAAGTGCAGTGAGCTGCCCACTGCACTCCAGCCTGGGCAACAGAGTGAGACTATGTCTCAAATAAATAAATAAACAAATAAATAAATAAATAAGCTGTGACTATGTGAGGGTGAGCTGAAAGCATGACAAAATTTATTATTATATTGATTTAAAGAAAACCATCCTTAGAAAGGTGAGAGAGGAATTGAAGGGTTGACAGTGTAGACTACAGAACCAGGAAATGACCTACCAGCAAGTCTTTTATGTGTGTGTGTTCTTTTCTATTTCTTTCTGTTTATTCCTGTTAGTGTTTGTTCTCTTATGCCTGTGAAAACCTCCTACATGTCAATTTCCATGCACTGGAGGAACTTGGATTTCTCCCCGTCTTAAAAGTACCTCTTTCTTCTTCTCCTCCTTCTTCCCCTCCTCCTCCTCCTCTTCCTCCTCCCTGAGGCCCTAAAAACAAGGTGGCCTTGGCTGCTCTACCAAAAGGAGGATGATTCAGAGGCTGTGAGTTTAAGGGACCACTTTTGGGGGATTGGAAGAAATCTCCATTATGAGGTTAAGGTACCTATGGGAGACTACCTGAGACAGGGTGCCAGTGATGCCCACTAGCCTCAATAAGACACCAGGGATGCCTGAGTGCAATGGCCAATATCGGTTTTGTGCACAGTAAGGAAAATTTAGAGCTTAAATGGTTAATCTGCTGCTACAGAGTTAAGTAGAATCCTCTAAAGCTCCATATCTTCCTTTCTTTTCTTCTCTGCCAGCTTTGAATCTGCTGTTATTAAGTTGCTGGTGCTGAAATAACACTTATTATTTATGATCTAACTGAAATGGGAACACTGGAAACTTCTTTGAAACTGAAGAAAAAAATGAAAAAGAAGTTTTTACAATCAAAACTGCCATGAAGACTGCTTTACCCAAAATTTTGGTCCACAGCTTTCATTGAATTACTTATCAGGGCAAACAAAGTTTAGCCATGTGAACACGTTCCAATTTTGTTGGAAATAATTTGGATCCAGCTATCTTTATACAATGGTGAGTTCGTATTGCATCTCATGGCTAAAATACTGAGGTAAAGGCTTTTGGATCTTTGTGTGTGTGTGTGTGCATGTGACAAAAACAAGCAATGGGGAAAGGAGTCCCTATTTAATAAATGGTGTTGGGAGAACTGGCTAGCCATATGCAGAAAGTTGAAACTGGAGCCCCTCCTTATACCATATACAAAAATCAACTCAAGATGAATTAAAGACTTAAATGTAAAAACCCAAACTATAAAAACCCTAGAAGAAAATCTAGGCAATACCATTCAGGACATGGGCACAGGCAAATATTTCATGACAAAGATGCCAAAAGCAGTAGCAACAAAAGCAAAAATTGACAAATGGAATCTAATTAAACTAAAGAGCTTCTGTACAGCAAAGAAATTATCATCAGAGTGAACAGACAGCTTACAGCATGGGAGAAAATTTTTGCAGTATATCCATCTGACAAAGGTCTAATATTCAGCATCTACAAGGAACTTAAACAAATTTACAAGAAAAAAAAACAACGCCATTAAAAAATGGGCAAAGGACGTGGACAGACACTTCTCAAAAGAAGAAATTTATGTGGGCAATGAACATTTTTTTTAAAAAAGCTCAACACCACTGATCATTAGAGAAATGCACATGAAAACCACAATGAGATACCATCTCACACCAGTCAGAATGGCTATTACTTAAAGGTCAAAAAACAACAGATGATAGCAAGGTTGTGAAGAAAAATGAACACTTTTATACGTTGGTTGGAGTATAAATTAGTTCTACCCTTGTCGAAGACAGTGTGGTGATTCCTCAAAGACCTAGGGGAAGAAATATCATTTGACCCAGCAATCTCATTACTGGGTATATACCCAGAGGAATATAAATCATTCTATTATAAAGATACATGTGCATGTTCATTGCAAAATAGCAAAAACATGGAATCAACCTAAATGCTCATCAATGACAGACTTGATAAAGGAAATATGGTACGTATACACCAAGGAATACCATGCAGCCATAAAAAGGAACAAGATAATGTCTTTTGCAGGGACCTGGATGGAACCAGAAGCCATTATCCTCAGCAAATTAATGCAGGAACAGAAAAGCAAATACCACATGTTCTCACTTGTAAGTGGTAGCTGAATGATGAGAACACATGGACACATGGTGGGGAACAATACACACTGGGGCCTGTTGCAGGGTGCGGAGTGGGAGGGAGAGCATCGGGAAGAATAGCTAATGCATGCTGGGCTTAATACCTAGGGGATGGAATGATCTGTGCTGCAAACCACTATGGCACACATTTACCTATGTAACAAACCTACACATCCTGCACATGTACCCCTGACCTTAAAATAAAAGTTGGAAATAAAAAAAACCCTAAACATATACCTACTACCTGATCCAGTGATTTCATTTTTAAGTATTTACCCAAGAGAAATAAAAACATATGGCCACACATGCAAAAGAAATACTTGTACATGAATGTTCTTAGCAGCTATATTCATAATAGCCAAAAATCTGGAAACAGCCCAGGTGTCAATCAATAGTAGAATAAATAACCAAAGTATGCTAGGTTCATGCGATGGAATACTACACTCAGCAAAAAAGGAACAAACTGCCTATACATGCGATAAAATGGATGAATATAGAAAAACATGCTGAGTGAAAGAAGAGTTACACAACGAATGCATGCTGTGTCATTCCATTCATGCTAATTCTACAACAAGCAAAACTAATGTGTGGTGAAAATAAATTGGTGGTTGCCCCTAAGGAGACAGAGTTGGAGACTGATTGATGAGGAGCAAGAGGGAATTTTGGGATTGACAATATTGTTTTGTATATTAATAGAGATTTGAGTTACACAGGTGTACATATTTTCCAAAACTCATTGAATAATATCCTTAAGATCTGTATGTTTTGATGTATGTAAATTTGACCTCACAATAGAAAAAAAAGAATCCTTAAAAAAATGAAAGAACTAAGTACATATAAATGGGAAAAATGCTTGTAGACAGACTTTTCATGTAATTTAAAATCTTATAATTATCTTGAATAATAAATACTCATTAGATGTTGGGTGTTTTCCAATTAAAAATGGGTTATAATATGAAAAAAACATGTTTCTAAAAATTACAGAATGGTTTCAGCTATAAAATGCTAACATCTGATAAACAGTTCAAGATTTATTGCTTCCTGAGTTTTCACTAAAATTTAAGGTTACTAAAAGTAAGAATTGCAATAATATATAACTCTGTAAGTTGTATTCTTATTGAGAAAACAATAATTTTATGTAGTTTAGAGGTTATTTAAAAGTTATTTATTTAAAAAGGTAGAAAGGAACCAGTAAGTAAGAGAGAGAAAGAGAGAAAAGATTTTTAGACATAAAGATGTATTTTTGGTAAGAAAAGAAATAATTTTATATAAGAAAAGGATTTCATGTGGTAAAGTTTTGTCCTAAAATAAAATGACCGATTATTTTAAAAGAGGTATGATAGAACAAATCAAAAGGTCCAAGCATGTCATAGATGGTCTGTGTAAGTTCATGATCAAGTCTGTGGAAGAAAATTTATAAAAGGAATTTTGTATATGATTAAGTTGGCTATAATTAATAAGAAATTATTCATAATAGTCTTTCTGAGATTGGTCCCCTATGTTAAAACAAGGTTTCTTGATGGTATTACTTTTTTTTTTTTTTTTTTTGAGACAGAGTCTTGCTCAGTCACCCAGGCTGGAGTGCAGTGGCACGATCTCGGCTCACTGCAACCTCCGCCTCCCAGGTTCAAGCAATTCTCTGCCTCAGCCTCCCGAGTAGCTGGGATTACAGGTGCCCACCACCATGCCCGGCTAATTTTTTTGTGTTTTTAGTAGAGACAGGGCATTCATCATGTTGGCCAGGCTGGTCTTGAACTCCTGACCTCGTGATCCACCTGCCTCGCCCTCCCAAAGTGCTGGGATTACAGGTGTGAGCCACCTCTCCCGGTCTCTTTATGGTATTAATTTACTATTAATGAGATTGTAAGAGGTTTTGATTTTTAATTCTATAATCTTTGACCTATAGCTCCCTTATCCTCAGTGGCCTCTGCAGGCAACACACTCCCTCCTTACCAATCCCCTTCAGACTCTGCTGAGGGACTCAGCCCAGCCACTACCTGGAGCAGGACATTTACCAGCCTTACTCTATGATGCCCCTTCCAGCAGATCCCCAGTGCGGAAATAGAGATGTTTGCTGTACATTTTCCCTTCACAACTTCAGAGCTTTATAACGGAAAGTCTCATTCTAAAGGACTAAGGGAAGATCCTGAGGGGTTTCAAAACCTCATTCAGAATAGTTTCAGACCCATGACCTCAACTGGGCAGACGTCCAGTCCCTTTTAATATTCTCCTCAGTGAAACAGAAAAATACCTCTGCTCTCAAAAGGGCAAGGGAGGAAGTGGACCAATCCCATAGAGAAGAGACAAACAATCCTATTGTAGCTCTCAGAGCACAGCAGACATTAGACATAAACTCCAAAAAGTAAAATTAGAGCTCGATGCTCTCATCTCAAGACTAGTAGACCTGGCCAATAAGGTGTCCAACAACCGGGATAGGGATGAAGAACATAAAGAAGACAGAGAGGACAAATGGCAAGCCCACCTACTGGCTGTTGCCCTCAAGTGCCAGCTGGATAACTCACAGGATACCTATCCATAAAGTACCACAGCTGAAGAGAGTGATCCCAGGTCCCCTAACTAACAGAAAGGATCCTAAAGACCTAAGGGACTAGGACCAAACCAACATGCCCTCTATAAGGGGGAGGATCACTGGAAAAGGGACTGTCTCCTTCATGTCTGAAGGGAGGGGGAAGAGGGCAGGTTCCACCAGGTGCCTCACAGAGGCAGATGGTCCAAGTAGTAAAAATGACAGGTCCTGGGGACTCCTCAATTGGCCCTCCAGGTGTCCATCCCCCAGGAGCCCAGGCTGACACTGGGCATGAGGAACAAGCCTGTTGACTTCTTGGTCAACACAGGGGGCCACCTACTTGGTTTTGAATACCCTCAAGGATAAAATTACCCACCAAAATTGACTATGGAAACGTGAGGGAAGGCAAAAGATAGCCCCTTTATTGAGCTCCTAAAATATAAACTAGATCAAACGAGATGCACTAAAAGGGATGGCCCCAATGATTAAAAAGCTTAGAAAACAGGGACTTCTGAGGGCCTGTCAATCCCCTTGCAGTACTCCTATCCTCCGTGTTAAGAAATCAAATGGAAAATACCAATTAGTGTAAGATTTAAGGACAATTAATGAGGTCACAGAAAACAGAAACCCAGGGTACCTAATCCTTATACTCTATGGTCCACTCTGCCTCCAAGTTGTACATGGTACTCAGTCCTGGATCTAAAAGATGACTTTTTCTGCATTCCACTGGCCACAGACTCTCAGCCTCTCTTCACTTTCAAATGGCAGGATCCTCAGACAGGCAGGAAACAGCAACTGACATTTACTGTGTTGACCCAGGTGTTCAAAAAACTTCCCCAAAATATCTGGAGAGGCCCTAGCCATGAAGCTGGAGGATCTGACCATTTCGAATGGATGGGAGAATGTGACCAAGCATTCCAAAAGCTAAAAACCCAGCTCACGAGAGACCCAGAATTAGCCCTACCTGATTTAAGCAAACCTTTCCATGTTTATGTTCATGAGAGGGGAAGAATTGCCCTAGGAATACATATTCAAAGGTTGGACCCACTGACCTGGGTAATGATCTACTTTTCCAAGCAGCTGGACTCAGTTGCTAAAGGATGGCCACCTTGCCTTTGGTTGGGGATGGCCATGGCCACCCTTTCAAAAGAGACAAAAAAGTTAACTGTCTGGACTCCCCACCATACCCAGACCCTCATAAAAGAAAGGGGGCAGAAGGGCTGTCCCCAGGCAAGGCTCTCCAGTTACAGGTAATGCTTATTGATGACCCCCACATAACTTTGAAGGTGTGTAACAGCTTGAACCCTGCCACCCTCTTTCCATCTGAAGATGGTTACCTATCTCACAACTGCTTAGAGGTGATGGTGAAGTGTACTCCAGTAGCCCAGACCTTAAAAGTGAACCTACTGAAAATGTGGAAGTCCAATGGTTCACTGGTAGGAGCAGCTATCTGCAAGAGGAACAGAGGAGGGCAGATGTGCTATGTTCTCTCCCACTGAAGTTATACAAGCCAGCGCTCTCTTGCCAGGATGCTCTTCACAGAAAGCAGAGCTTGTTGCTCTAACCCAGGCGTTAGAGTTTGGGGAAGGGAAAGTCCTCACCGTATACACTGATTCCAGGCACGTGTATTCCATCTTACACCCACATGGGGCTATTTGGAAGGAAAGGGGCAGGTTAAACTCTTAAACGTTAGTGCCATCATTTTAAGATTATTGGAAGCTGGAAGAAAACCAGCCCACATGGCAATAGTCCGTTGCTGAAGCCACCAGAAGTGGGACATTGAGGTAATTAAAGAAAATAATAAAGCCAACCTAGGGTCAAAACAGGCAGCTTTAGGGAAGGTCACATTCCAAATGCCACTTTTGCCTTTCCTCCTGGGTCCTGCTCTTTTAACCCCAGTTTTCTCTCAAAAGGAATGGAAAAAGGCGACCAAATGGGGTTATACCAAAAATCCTGACCATCCAGGATGGCTAATAAACCCTCGTGGACAATTTCTTTTCCTAAAAACAGTTGCACTGCAGGCCATTAAAAAGGCTCACTCTAACACCCACTTTGGTGAAGAAATCCTTTATAACTGATTTTGTGAAAGCATGACTGTCCCAAACTTCAGGGAGTCAATCAAAAAGGTGGCTGGGACTCATCCCACCTACTATGTTAATAACCCCTGATACCCACCCCACGTGGGGATAGCAGGGGTGAGAGGAACTCAGAGAGGGCTCCTCAGCTGGTCCAGTTCCAAGGTAGATGTCCAGGGGAAGATGAGAAAGTTTTCATAGTTATGCCCAGAGGCCTGGGAAACTTTAAATACCTCCTGATCTTCACTGACACCTTTTCAGGGTGGATAGAAGCCTTTGCCACCTGCACTGACACTGCACATCAGGTGGCAAAGGTGCTATTAAAGAAAGTTGTCCCAAGAATTGGGCTGCCTCAGTCAATCCAACTGAGGGACCAGCATTCATATCTTCCATTACTGAAGCTACTTCTCAAAGCCTAGAAACAAGATAGCACCCACATGCTACCTGGAGACCGCAGTCTTCAGGTAAGCAATGAGTAGGTGTAGCGATTTCTGTCAAGACTATTATTCCTACCTAATGGTTATTTCCTCTTCTACATGCTTGACGTACTATGATCTCATGTAACCCTCACAAGGTAGCCTCTGTTGTTATTTCTCCATTTTACAGAAGAGGAAACTGAGACAAGAAAGCTTCACTAACTTGTCCCACTCAGTATGATTAGAATGGGACAGGCAGAGGGTTAGGATTAGAAGTGTGCATCTAACCTTCTTCAAGGGTGGAAATTTCCAATCAGTTATGTTACAAACATTTGTAAAATAGGCATGTTCCAAGAATGGTACAAGTAATGCACTCACTTAAACCTTATAGTAACCCCGTAACGGGGGTACTAACACCAGCCCCATTTTACAGATGAGGAAACTGAGGCACAGAATAGTTAAGGAAATAACCCAAGATTGACAGCTGTTAGTGGCAGAGGCAATATTTGTGACCAGGCAGTTAGACCCCAGAGTCTGGGCTTTCAGCTTCACCAGGCTGGCATTTTCAGCTGCGAGGCATCAGAGTAGACTGGAGGGTTGGGTCTCTGCTCTGTCCCCCTTCCTTTGCAGAACCATCCTTCCTCTGCTCCAGGGTTTTTCAGCCTTGGCTCTACTGACATTTTGGGTCGGTTCATTCTGTGTCCTGGGGGTGGGGACACTGTCGTGTGCATTATAGGGTATTGAGCAGCTTCCACCTATGAGATGCTGGTAGCATCACCCCTTCAGTTGTGACAACCAGAAATGTTTCCAGACATTGCCACATGTCCCCTGGAGGGCAAATCGTTCAATCCCATTTGAGAACCACAGACTTACTCCACAATTTCATTGTTTAACTTTAGGGAGAGTCTGGGACCTTCCACTGGGAAGGGCCAGGCACGCAACTCAGGCTGGGCCAATAAGAGTCCTACATCCCCCAGTTGTGGATTGGTTCTGCAGTAGACATGTGACCCATCATGGACCAATCAAAATATTCCCCAATCCTTCCTTACTTGCTTTATCTAAGTGTCTCCCACTGATTGTTTATTAGTTGCAAGGAGGGAAACCAGAAAGTATTCAGTGGGTAAATCAGGCAACCACCTTGACTGGGTGGATCAAAACTAGCATCACCAGTGATGGCATATGGATCTCTTGTGGGTTAAAACGTGAGGTCCTGAAAGGACACAGAATCACTTATGTGGTATTCCAGGAACGACTGCATAACCTGAATCTAATTCATAGGAAAATGGCCCCCCAAACCCCAAAGTGTGTCAGAGTGTGACTTAGAAACCAAAGAAAGGCTGAGGAGGTTTTCCAGATTAAAGGAGGCTACTTTACAACTGCTAAACACAGGCCTGGTCCTAGCCCTAGAAAGGATACTGTACTGGAGAAAAAAAGAATATTTAAATGGAGGGTATTTAGCAAGTTGATAAAATTGGAATATTGACAGATTTGATAAAAGCACTGTGTCAATATTAAATGTGCAAAGGTTATAATAGTACCTCAGTTATGTAAGAGAAAATTCTTATTCTTAGGTGACACAGACTGAAGTATTCAGAGGTGAGCTTTGTGATGTGTGAAATCTATGCCCAGTGGTTATAAAAATAATGTATTAGGTATATATATAATAGAGTGTGCAAATGACAAAACAAATAGGAGAAATGTTACCAATCAGTGAAGATGGGTGATCTTTGTACTATTCTTGCAACTTTCCCATGAGCTTTAAATTATTTCCCAATATTTGTTTGTTTCATTCCTGTAATGAAGAGCCCCCAATTAATAGATGCTTAAATATGACAGATGTTTATTTCTCATGTAAAAGCCTGGATAGGTAGTCAAGAATCATCAGACATAAGCTCTTATCTCATTACTCTGACATCTTCAATACATGGCTTCCCTTTTTTGATCCAAGATGGTTGCTCCAGTTCCTACCATTATTTCTACATTCCAGCCTGTGGGGAAGGGGGAGGAGAGAGTAGAAGGCTGGTTGTGACCTGGAAATCACACATACCTTTACTGTGCTCATCCCATGGACCAGACATTAGTCACATGCCTACTTCTAGCTGCAAGGGAAGCTGAGAAAATATTTACTTCTTCTAAATAGCCACATAACCAGTCAACATTTAGCAAGAACAGGAGAATGTATATTGGGAGATATATTGTTACTGCCTTCCTCCCCGTACATACTGCTGTGGTCTGAATGTTTGTGTCCCCACAAAACTCATATGTTGATGTTCAAACCCCAATCCAACAGTACTAAGAGGTGGGGCCTTTAGGAGGTGATTAGGTCATGAGGGCTAAGCCCTCATGAATGGGATTAGTGCCCTTATAAAAGATGTGCAAGGGAGCTACCTAGCCTCTTTTGCCATGTGAGGATGCAGCAAGAAGTCATCATCTTTGAAGCAGAAAGCAAGCCCTCATCAGACTCCATATTTGCTGGCACCTTGATCTTGGACTTCCCAGCCTCCAGAACTGTGAGCAGTAAATTTCTGTTGTTTATAAATTCCCCAGTCTAAGATATTTTGTTATGGCAGCCCAAATATACACATACTCTTGGTTCCATGAGGGCAGGGACCATGTCTGATTTGTCCCCCACAGAATGCCAAATGCCCCAAACAGTACCTGACACTTACAAATGGCCCATCAATTATTGAATGAATTAAGGTGGCTTGGGAGTTCAGAGTCAGAGAAATTTTAAGAAGACCTTGCATGGAGAAGAGACCTCATGGTTCTTGAATAAAAGGCAAAACGTGGTTATAAACCAAAATGAAAATTGACTTCTTTCCCAGTGATCCCTGAAGACTAATTCAAGATGACAGGCAAATGACCAACGTATCCCTTTATGCGCTTCCTCATGATGGGATGAGGGAAAAAATAGAATAAAGAACTTAAATCAGAATTTTTTGAGAAAGTGAGTTCCCATTTGTATCATGTTATGATTATACAGACAGAAACTTTCCATATGTTCAGCTGTGATAGGATAGATTCCCTTGAAAATAAGTCTTCTTGAGTTTGGAATGGTCATCAATATCTCTGACAGGGCAACAACAACAAAAAAACATGTCTAGGCCAGGCACAGTGGCTCACGCCTGTAATCCCAGGATTTTGGGAGGCCAAGGCAAGAGGGTCACTTGAGCCCTGGGCACCATATTGAGATCCTGTCTCTACAAAAAATTAAAAAATTGGCTGGGTGTGGTGGCACCTGCCTGTGATCCCAGCTACACAAGAAGGTGAGGCCAGAGGATCACTCGAGCCCAGGAGGTTGAGGCTGCAGTGAGCTGTGTTTGTGCCACTGCACTTCAGGCTGGGCAACAGAGTGAGACCTTGTCTCAAAAAAAAAAAAGAAAATTAAAAAGAAAACACATTTGTGCTAGAATTCTCTGCTTGCAAGTAACTTAAATTCATTCAGGTTAATTTAAGGGGGAAACTGGATCTTACTGGAATAATATTGTGTAGCTTAAAATAGTGAGTAAAGAGTTATCAGTCCTTCTAGTAGGACAGCAATCAAAGAAGACTTGTTAATCTCACTAGGGGGAAATAATAGACTGCCTTTTCTCAGTGTGGCCATAAGAATGACTGGGCTTTGAACACCTTCAATCCATGTATTGCTCTACTGAAAATTCAAATTCTTGGGTGAGGAAGTCTGACTGGTCTACCCCAAACCATGTAATTAGTCCTTTGCTGGCATGAGGGAGGGGCAGGGATGGTGATCAGAAGGAATGGGGTCAGGATAGTCCACCAAAACCATGCAGTGTGCTGTTATTTAACGGATGCTGGGCATACAGAAGAGCTATCCTGGACAATTCACCCTTTGGCTTTGTGGAAGAAACCATGCAATTATCACGGGGAACCTTCTTGAACTACTTTGGTTTGAGAGTAGTCTCCCCAGATTTTTTCTGTACTCCTTGCTGCTTCATATGGTATATAAGTGGTACGAGGCATGCAGTAAGTCAGCAGACATTCCTGAGAGGCTGGTGGGCAGGAAAAGTCAAGTCTAAGTCCAGAATGAATCTCTATTCCATGAGGCTACAAAACTGCCCTTTCTGTGGTTAAAAGGGCTTGGTATGATCAATCAATCTGCTGTCTGGCTGGTGGGGAGATATGGTACCAGTCCTGGCTTCTTCATCACTCCTGCCTTTCTAGGGGAGGAGTGACTTAAACTCGAGAGCTGGCTAGCCTGCAGACAGTGTATGTTCATTGCTCTTCACCCTGCAATGTTCTGATCCCCAACAATTAGTGTTTAGATTCAACATCCACTAATCCTTGAGAGGTTTGTCAAAAAATGGATTAACCATGTAAAAGAAACCAAGGGCAGGCAGTTCAGCCAGACTCCACAAGGCACTGGGGTGGATGAGGCACCAGGAACCAGGATTCCCTCTGGCTTTATGGTCTATTTCCTTCTAGGCCTGTTTATTCACAAGTATACCCAGCCCCAACCCATATGACCACCTAGGTAGCCCTCACTCTGAGTCTGACTGGACACGGGGAACCTATGGGCATCAATCAACTGACACCAGGGAGAGGTCAAGTCTAACAGAATAAGCATAGCAGTAGGGAAGTTAGTTACCCCTTCAACTGGGTTGTGGGGTGGAGGAAGGAATTGCCCAAGAGTATAAGGATTGGTCAAACAACCCCTAATGACACCTACTTCATTCCCTTCCTTTACAGCCTCTTGTAACACATTATTTAGGAAATCCATCCTTAAAAAGTCCCAATCCTCCCACCCTGACCTATGCTGATGCTCGTCACAGAATGACCATGGAAGCTGTGACCAAATAGTCAGATGCCACAAGATATAAAGTTCTAAGAACATGAAAGAATGCAGGACTCTGTCAAATCCTAGTTAGAATTAGTGGCAAGTACACTTTTATATCTTAAGAACAAAATCCAATCATGTGACATGAAGGATATTAGACGGGCATGAAGTACACAATCATCTCCTCCTCCGACTTATGGAATCAGGGACACAGCAGCCGCAAATTGGGTATGGTGCTATCCACTGTGGTCGCCAACAGGGTTCCAGTTAGCAAGCTGGTTGAAAAGCTCTGATCATTATGGAATCACAGGCATGTTTAAAAATTACTCTCAGGGATGACAATCTACTGAATTGCATGGGATGTTTCTCGTGGGGAAGTCAGGTTAAAGTATGGTTAATGAACTTGGGGGAAAAACAGTACAGAGATGACCCACTCAGGATAATTACCTTTTAACCTCAGGCAAGAGTCAGGAATAAACACTTGAGATTCTATAACATAGTATCAACACTTTTATGTTAAGGGTTTATTATTGTCTGTGATTTTTTATGTTTGAGACAATCTCACATTTCCAATTAAAAATGCCCACTCAAGTAACTAAGATGTACTTGCGGTCATTATCAACTTTAAAAAAATTGTTGGAACATATGTTTTAGTTTCATAAGGGCAGTTACAAATGTGAAATCAAACAGTATTTAAAAATCCCTTAGAAGTAATTGTTGAAATAGATAATACTTAAAAATAGAGTAAGATTTGCAAACCAAACTTTTTAGGCTAAAGGAGGAACTAAGCTTTTGGATTTATAACTCTAACAAAATAACATATTTAAAGCCCCAAAAACAAAACAGACAAAAGAGACTGAGAAATATTTATTTTTAACTTTATTTTTATTGTTGACACTATTACAGATAGAATGACCACAACCATATTAACAAACCAAAAACCTGTGCACAGAAACAAGATGAAGAAAATATATCAAGATGTTAACCACACTCTTTGGATGGTGAAAACATGGGTGAGTTTCTCTTCTACATTTCTGTAACTTCAAAGTTTCTATAATGAACACATTTCATATATAATGGAAATATATGTAGTAAAGGTGGACTACCAAAACACTAGAATGATGACCTTTCAAGGAAACCGAAACAAAATAACCATAATCCCACAACAACCACACAACTATTTCTTGTTTTTCATCTTTCTTCCCATCTTTGACATTTATGCATACTTATCACTAACACCCTAATAATCACAGACTAGTGCACAGATCAAGATGTTAACAGTTAATTGTTGTTGGGTGTTGGGAATATGTGTGAATTTTCTTTACTGAATTTCCAAAGTTTTGTATGAGTATGTATTATATTTGTAATGGAAAATACATACATAAAATTTATTACCAAAACACCAAAGATTATTTAAGGAATTTGAGACAAAATATTTAACCAAATTCCCACAATGACAACACTATTTTAGTTATTTTCCACATCTTTTCATTTAAGACTTTATGCACACATATTTAACACTGTTATCACAAGCGTGTGCACTGAAACAAGATAGAGGAAACAGATCAAGATGTTAGCAGTAGTTGTTAGGTGTTGGGAATATAGGTAATTTTTTAAAATAATTTACTTTATTTTCTAATTTTTCCTCTGGGTATGTATTATGCACACCAATGGAGACACACATAATACACTGTTATCAGGACATTATTATAGGGAACATTTGAAAAAATTAAAGTGAAAGTATTTAACCATAATTCCACAAAGGTAATGTAACAGCTATTTTGAATATACATTTTGACACAGTTATAATCATAAACCTGTGCACAGAAACAAGAATGAACAAGATAAGAGGAGAGTATATGTCTTTGGATGGTGGGGATATGATTTTTTTTCCTCCACTTTTCTGTATTTTCCAAGTGTGTGATAATGAGTTCAAATTATGTTCACAATGAAAATGTGATCATAAACTTTTTAGTAACACTACCATAAAGAACATTCAAGAAATTTAAGAAAATAATGCTCAACTATAAGCCTACAACAACAACACCACAACAGCTTTTGACTATAAGCATATATATTTTTAAACAGTTATAATGAACTGTTTAAATGAACTGTTAAATGAACAGCATATAAATGAACTGTTGAGTTATAACTGTAGTATAAATATACTTTCGTGTCCTGCTTTCTCCACTTAATGTTCTGTAAATATATTTCCACGTTGCTACATAACTCGTGATTATCATTTTTAAACAGTTGCATTAAGTGTCCACAGATAGGTTTAAACAATCATTCTCTTGTTTACCATTTGTTACTACCTTTTCACTAGCTGAAGGTTGGAACGGACACCCTGACTTACAGCAAGTTGCTTTCTGAAAAGGGGCTACCACTGCCAACAATGTTAACACCAAGTAATGTACCCACAAAGTTCACCCCGACATCAACACTGATTCTCGTTTCAAGAGTCCTTTTCCCATGTAGTAAACCTCACTGCCCCTCAGCTTTCCCGATGTCCGTTCCAACCTCAGTCCTTCCTATGCAGCCAGCCCTCACCTACACCATACCATCAAAAACTCCTTTTCCAAACTGCTCAGGACACCCCGCTCAATTCATTCTCAGAAACCTGGCCTTCTACAGTTCTTGCCTCTGGTGTTTTCTTCTGTCTGTCTCCTCTCCCCTCCTAGATCTGGTGATATATTAGGACTCCCTTCTTTGACTCACTCATTTCTGCTTCTTGCTCTCAGCTCTACAATCTTCCTAAACTTTGACACTCCCTGCATCTTTGACATACTTCCAAGCCCTAATCCTGCAGATCCAGAAGAGTAAGATTCAGACACATTTCCCCCAGTGGGTACTTTAATTTTGCTTGTTCAAATGATCTACACTTACATTTTGCAAATCTTTTTTTTTAAATTTTTTAAATTTTATATTTTTTTTCCAGCCAACTCAAGGCCAAAAAAAATTTCTTAATATAGTTATTATGCGAGGGGAGGGGAAGCAAAGGAGCACAGGTAGTCCACAGAATAGGACACAAGAAACCTCAAGCTGTGAGGTCAATTTGTAATTAAAAGAATACTAAGATTAGATGAACACAACACTCAGAAATACTCTAGGAGAGCTGAAAAAGAAGGAACAGATGTTAACAAAACAAATTAAGGCTGCTGGGGAACCTGAGTCCATGTTAAGCTTGGGTTGACTGTAAAGAATTTTTTTTTTTTTAATGCAAGTTAGACATGGAGTTAGAGGGTCAGATAAATAACGAAGAGAATTAAGTTAGCGATAGAAAGATCTAAGGATACTAGCTCCTGGGCACCTAGGGTGCAAACTGACTTGTGGCAGCATAAGCTGATGCTGCACAGGGGACCCAAGCCATGTTGCTACTTGTCACTTAAGGCAGGAAGCGCACAAAGGAAGTGATGAAAGGTTATTAGCCTGCAACATTATTTACAGCATGAGAGCCTCTCCTACGGTTCTCAACCTTCATTAGGCACTACTGTGATCTAGTGATGGTTGTAACCCATTCTTTAAAGGCAAAGATGTAAGATTTACAGGGAAAAGCTTCGGGTTTTATCAATTCACTATCATCAAACACATATTGAGTTGGTTAAAAAAAAAAAAAACCCAGAACACAAATGTGTAATATTTTTGCATGAGAACCACTTCAACAAACATAACATGTGGCAACCAATCAATCTGGGTCACAAAAAGCCAATCCGTATATTGTAAAGCCTTACACAGTATTAGGTTCCAAAGTGTTGGCGCAGATGAAATGGCTGCAGAAAGAAGCTAAAGTACTTATCTTTTCAAACAGTAAGGAGTAAAAGCCATGTTATCTATCATGCCTACAGCTTCACAAGACTATTTAAGGGTAAGAAACAAAACAATTACTCAAAAAGATATTGACAGGGTTCAAATAATGCACAATAAATCTTTCTCAGGATCTAAGACACTTAAAAATATAATCAAATTTGTTGCTCTCTTCCTCCTCCAAAAAAAAAAAAAATTCAAAGAATACCAGGTAAGGTACCTCTGCAGAGTAAACTGTAACTGTATATCATATAAATCCAAATATATGTGATCACTGTTCTGTCATAATTTGCTATTTTATATACACCTCATGAAACACTATATATACGTTACACAAGTGTCATTTACAGTTGATTTGGGCAAACTCTGTAGTCTGGAATACTCATAGGGTTTTCTCAATCTGATTACTTGGAAAGGTAAGATGTGTGCTATGGCTTTCCCACATGCAGACACTGACATCTGAAGGGGAAAGCTTAAGACTGTGGAATCTGCACATTCGGTCTCTTTTCAATCTGAGTTTAGAGATGTTAAGTCAGGTGTGTAACACACTAAGGTTAAGTCTCCTACTGACATTATCATGGATTGGTTTGGATTCTCTGTGGTTTGGTAAGGGTCAAGTCCTAGGTGAAGGTTTTCTAACCTTTACCCCATGCCCTCAGCCAGTGTGGGTATTCTGGTGTCTGGCGAGGGACAGGCGGTCATTGAAGAGCTGCCCACAGACGTCACATTTGAAGTACTTCTCATCAGCTTGATTGGCACCACCTGTGCTGGTGCTGGCACGTTCGATGTAGCCTGAGCACTCCCCAAAGGCATTTGCAGGCTCAAATATGATCATGCTGGCATGAGTTTTCAGGTGTTCACTGAATGCTGTGCTGGAAGTGAAGGTTTCTGTGCATTCATGGCAGTCATAGTATGGTTCTTCTACCTGAATCTCTTGATCTTCACCTTCTTCTGGGTCTTCAATTCCCACACCGTCAGGCTCGTCGGCATCTCCCTCTGGCTCTTCAGCTTTTCCCTCTGGCTCTTCAGCTCTTTCTTCTGGGTCTTCAATACCTGCACCATCTGGCTCATCAGCATCCCCATTTGGCTGCTCGGCCTCTCCATTTGGCTGTCCAGCCTCTCCAATGGGCTCTGCAGCCTCTCCATCTGGCCCTTCAGCCTCTCCGTTTGGCTCAGCAGCCTCCACTTCTGGCTCAGCAGCCTCCACTTCTGGCTCGGCAGCCTCCACTTCTGGCTCAGCAGCCTCTACGTTTAAGCCCTGAATCCTCAGAACTACTTGTGGAACATGGACATTGGCTTCAACTTCCTGGGCTGCTGCTGCTGCAGCTGCTGCTGCTTCATCTTCTTCTTCTTCTTCCAGATGAAGCTCCTTATGTTTAGTGAGGACTGTGCTATGAATAAAGGACTTACCACAATCCTTGCATTCATAGAATGGTATAGCTCCTTTGAGGGGCTCAGTAAGAAATGAGGTGTGAGTATAGGAGGACCCGTACTCATAGGGCTCATTCTTATGAACAGTTACGTGATCTGCAAGTTCTGCTGGGTTGACGAAAGATTCTCCACAGACTGCACATTCAAAGAGTCTCTCTTCGGTCTGACTTCTCTGAAACTCAGTGAGGGCTAAGCCTGGAATGATAGCTTCCTCAGCCATCTGGCTCTGCTCCAGTAAATCATCTTCCCTATGAAGTCTCATATGCTCATTAAGGGCAGAGCTATGAATGAAGCCTTGTCCACACAAAAGGCATCGAATGGCCGACCCAGCAAGAGCAGGATTCCTCTCTGCAGCACGATTCCTCCGTGGCTTCATGGGCAAGAGGGCAATAAAACCATCATCACACCCCTTCATGGAATACAACTGGTCTTGTTCATGGATTCTCTGATGCTCGAAAAGGAATGAGCTATGAATAAAAGATTCCCCACACTTTGGACATTCATACAGCTGCTCTCCAGTGTAATCTCTCTGATACTCGCTGATGGAATGGGTGTGAATTACAGAATGTGTGTACTCCCGACTGTCAACCAGGCACTTCCTGCTGTGGACTTTCTGATGGTCTGTGAGGTCTGTGAGATCCACAAAGCCCAGGCCACAGTCCTCACATTCATAGATTTTGTCATCAGGGTCATCCTTCTGAGGGTCTTCCATGTCTGAGCCTTGAATGACAGGGTCTTCAATTGTCTCCTGACCATGGGTCTCCTCGCTGTGGGTCTCCTCCCCATCAGTATTCTCGCCTTGAGACTCCTCGCCATGAGACTTCTCTTGGTCATAGATTTTCTGGTTTGTGTTGAGGTCTTCGCTGGTAGCAAAAAATTGTCTGAAGTCCTTACATTTGTTCCGCGCTTGCTCTTTAGCATACTGCTCTTGGGCGTAACTTGTTTGAGGGTCAGTAGGGGCCAAGCTGCGAATGACAGACCATTCATAGTTTCTGCTTCCAGAGGGCTTCTCCCTATCATGAATCTTCTGGTGCTCAGTGAGGTCAGAGCTATGAGCAAAGCACTCCCCACACTCCTGACATTCATAGAGCATCCCTCGAGGGCGAAATGTTTGTTCACCAAAAGGCAGAGAGTGAATTACAGAGGTCTCATTGCTCCTATGCTCAATGTATTTCTTTTTAGCACGAGCCTTCTGGTATTCACGGACATTTGAGCTGGGAACAGAGAATTCGCCATCCTTCTTAAACTCACCAGATCCCTCTCCAGGAACACTTTTCTGAGGTTTGGCACGGAATACACTCTGTATGACAGAGTCTTCATAGTTGCGATTCTTACTGCCCCCTTCACAAGGGTTCTCTCTGGCAGGAATCTTCTGTCGCTTATCATTAAGGTCTGAGATATAAATGGAGGATTCTCCCTTCTCATTAGATTCCACCAATTCATTTCCATTGTGACTTCTTGGAGGTTTGGAAGCCACTAAGCTATGGATAACAGACCTACTGTATTCCCTTCCTTCAGAGGTGTTCCCTCCAGCACGAACTCTCTGATGGTTGATAGCATCGAAGCTCTGAATGGTAGACTCTGCCATTACTTTTGGTTTACTGGGCCCTGCTACACTGTGACTTTTCTGAGCTTCCACAGAGGCTAAGCTATGAATAACAGACCTCTCATATGATTTTGCCTCATAGACATTTTCCTTAGTGGGAATCTTCTGGTTTTCATAGGGGTTAGAGCTAATGGTGAACGCCTTTTCGTCCTCATCACTTTCAAGAGGTCTTGTTATAGTATGACTCTTCTGAGATTCAGTGAATGGCCCACTATGAATGACAGATTTCTCATACCCTCTGCCTTCAAAGAGGTTCTTTCGAGAATGAATTTTCTGATGCTCACTGAGCTCTGAGCTTTGCATGAAGGCATCCCGGCCATCTGTAAAGTCACAGAGCTTCTCCTTATTGTAAGTTTTCTGACGCCTTTTAAGGGACTGACCAGGAATAAAGGTTTCCTCACACACTTTACCCTTGTTTTCAAATGGGTTCCCTCTAGTATGGATTTTCTGATGTTCTTTCAGGGATGAGCTATGAAGGAAAGTCTCCCCACACACCTTACATTCGTACATTTTCTCTTTACCATACATTTTCTGAAACTCATTAAGGGCTGGGCTGGGCCTAAAGGTTTCCCCGCGCTCACGTTCACGTTCACGTTCATGTTCACGCTCATTATCTTTGTCATCCCCAAAGTGGATTTTCTGGTGCTCAATCAGGGCAGAACTATGAAGGAAGGTTTCCTTACACACCCTGCACTCGTAGAATTTGTCTTTGCCATATATTTTCTGAAGCTCACTAAAGGTGGGGCTAGGCATGAAGGCTTCCTCACATTCCTGATTCTTACATTCCACAAGATAACCTCTAGCATGAATCTTCCGATGTTCAGCCAAGGCGGCACTCTTATTGAAGGTCTCTCCACAGTCCTTACATTCAAAACGTTTCCCTCCAACCTGACTTTTCTGAACTTCACTGACAGCCACACTGTGGATAAAGGACTCACCATACTCATAGAGGTTCTCTCTAGTATGCATGATCTGGTGCTCAACAAATTCTGAGATGACACTGAACGACCTCCCACACTCATCACATACATATGGCATTGCCCCAAAATCAATTGGCTGTGACTCGGTAAAGGAGGGGGAGCTGAGGCTGCTCAGGCTGCTCACGCTCATGGCTTTTCTCATCTCACTACCACATTCAAAGGGCTTCTTCCTGGGACAGCCTTTTTGATCGTGAATCGAGCCCTTCCCATCTGTGTCAAAATGATAGCGCCTCTTTCTTTCAAGAACTCTCTTTCTGGAAACAAGGGTTGAATTAAACCTAAAGCCTCCCCTAAATGCATTCCCTTCATAAACCCGCTGCTGGATCACTGACTCCCTCTTGTTCAATGAAATGTCCTTCCAGTTATCATCTGACATTCTGGGGAATCTCTGTGACCGGTCGCTTGACTCCCTTGCTCTTCCCGATTTGGAACTGCGTGACACATCCTTGATGAATTTTTCCATTATCACTCCGTGGGAAGATTCATCTTCACAAATCCCCCGCCGGTGGGTTGATTTTTTGGCTTCAGGCATAGTTTTTAGACCTGGAAAGAAACCCCAAATGTAAATACTCCCTAGTCCCCATAAGAAGGACAGTGGGACTTGGAGGGGTGCACCCTTCTGTGATGTTTAGGAATGCAAAGTGTAGAAGTTCCTTGATAGCATCTCACTGGTTGTGTGGCTCCTCTGTGGGATGTGCCTCCTGCTTACCTCGACTGGTGCTTGGGTAGGCACTTCTCTTGGATCTTGATGAGTGGCCCTGCGTCATGTGGGAGTGGCCATCGTCTTCAGCAAGCTGCACTCCTGGTCACAAGGACAATATGATGCCTCAAATTCAAGTTGAGGACCAAGACTCATCACCATAAATTGATCTTCATCTTTCACTGAGCCACTAAATATGAGGTGGCCCACATCTGATTCCTTGGATGTCAGAAGACATTTGCTGTCTCATTTCCCTACTATCTATTCCCTAATCCATTCTAATCTACATGTAATTCTTCTGACTCCACTCAGAAATGTGTACAAAGACCCCACATGTCCCTGAAATCAGTGCATTGTCTTTTAGTCTTCACCTTCTTGTAACCACTTTTTAAGTCCTCTTTTCCACTGGCCTTCTTCCTCTTACCTCGCGACTGCTCTTCCTCCACCCACTCCCTTGAGGCCCCATGGCCTTACAGACCTGCAGCACAGCCAACTGCCCACTACCAACTTGGGCTAGATGTCTTCCAGGAAAGTCCACATGGGAACTCAGGATCCCATCCTGAATGTCTACTTAAAAACCTCCAGTGCTACCACTCTGGAAAAAAGTATCAACTCTTGTGGCAAGAAGCATCTCCCTGCTTGTCCCCACCCTGTACAATGTATCTTTACCCAAAGCCAGAGGCATTTCTTAAAAACACAAATTTTATCATTTACTCCCTCATTTGAAATCTTTCAAAGATTTCTTATTACCCTTGAAGTCCAAATATATTAATGTGGACTCTAACATCCAGCTTAAAAAGGAGCAAGATGACAAAATGCTCCAATGACTGGACTGGGAGTGACTGAGAGAAGCAGCTGCTTACCGAGGGAGAGCAGCTTCCTGTAGTTTTCCATGTTGTCCTGGATTGTGTTGTGAGGTTTCCTGTCCTCAGCGAGGTCCACCACATTTTGGTATGATTCAGCATCCTAAAACAGCAAACACAGACCTCTCAATGGAGTCTGTCCCCACCGATGTTCAAAGACAGAATAATGTTGGCAACATGGGAGTTACATATATGAAGTTATATAGGAAGTGCTCACGGTATTGGGGTTCTGAGTGATCCAAGTCAAGTGTTACTAGGGACCTACGTCGTACCTACCTTGGTGCTACACTCTGAGGCAGATCCCAAAGACGCATGACACATATTCCTTGCCCTCATGCAGCTTATAATTTGGTTGGAGAGAAAAGACTCATGAAACAATTAGAGAACAATAAACAATAAATCGGGGTACAGATAGTAAGTGCTAAACGGGTTTTGTAGAGGGACAGTTCAGGGTGGGCCTGAACAGTGTGCAAAGGTTTGTGGAGGGCAGGTGGGGCCTTAAGTGGTAAGTGAGATTATGACACATATAGAAAGGGATTGGTGGGAAAACTTAGACTAAATATCAAACAGGCACGGAGTACTCAGGGAACAGAAAGAAGACACACACATTCAGGAAGACATCTGGTCAGGATGTGACTTAAACCTCCCTCCCGGTTTCTCCATGGCATAGCATGGCTACATTGAGGGAGTCTCCAGTTTGCACAATTTCCAAATCACCCAGGAATAACTGTAAGCCCTGAGGGCATTTTTATAATTGCCTTTTCTGTCTTAATGGATATTTACCTAAAAAGGAATTTTAAAATTCCTCACATTACTGAGGAGAACCTTCTACCAGGATTCTAAAGGACCTTTGCTTATTGCCAGAGGGCTGACTAGAACTGGTTTCAGGGAGTCATGGTCCCAGGAAGAATGGCACTGAGGCTGGAGAGAGACTTGAGGAGGGAGATGGTGCTGTGGGAAGCCCACAGGCTTTGGAGCTGGACAGAGATCTGGGTCAAAGAAGGATTGCACCAATTATGAGCTATGCAGCCTTGGGAACGGAAATCTTTTTGAACCTTTCTTTCAGGTTCTTCACCTGTAAAATGGGGAGAAGAGTATCTATCTGCTTTGCAATACTGTGGGTGAGGATTTTCTGCAGTGTGATGTCTTGCTTAAATATTAAGAAAATTATGTAAAGGAAATACAAATGTCTTGATATTAAATCTACCATAGTTCTATTGCTGGGAAGAGGCATGGAGCAACATGAAAAATGTAGCAAAAAAAAGAGGACTTGCTGAGTAAGCAAAGACAAAGAGGTACGGGTATCTGGGTTTAAGAGGGAAGCCTTATCCATGAACTGCCTGTGTCCTGCCACAAAAAAGCAGAAACAACAACAAAAACTAAGTAGGGCAAGGAAACACAGCAGAGCTTCACAGATAAAATTCTTTTTTCACATGAAAGAAAAAGCACGCTTTGATTGAAAATTAAAATCTAGGCCAGTGGGCAGCCCTAAATTGGTTGTTCGCTTTGTGTTTGTAATCAACAATGACATCTTAATGCATACAAACTGCAATCAAGTTCAATGGAAGAGATGCTGTTCTGAAAACAATGCTAGTATGGCTCAATGTAGTTTTCACAACATGATCTATACATGTGAACAATTAAGAAATTTACACATGAAGCTAAAAGATGAGAGAATTTTCTGTTGTGTACACCTTCAAAATGTAATTTGTGTCATTTGCTGCTGGTGTTACCACCATACTGAGTCAGTAGGAATCAGTAGCTTCCAGACTTTTAATTATGCAGACATGGGGCTCGGATGCCAATTCTTCACACATTGTCAAGGAAGGGCATTTAAAAAGCAAAACAAGACAAAGCCCAACTACCAAGACACCAGTGGCCAGGCCCACACATGCCTCCAGCCTTCTTCCTATATCCCAGCCACCTGGCCCTTGGTTTGGTTCCCATCCCACAACTTTAGCTGAGCTCTCCCTAATGCCTGGGGTCCCCTCCCCCAACACCTGACCCGGCGTGCTCCTGGCTCTAAATGGCAACTGTTAATGCCTCCAAGACATTTCCCTTCAATCCAAATCAAGGCCCTTGTTACAATTTCTTGTTAACTCTCTATTTTTCCTTGAGGACACTGAGAATGATGAGCAGTTATATACAACATTTGTGTCAATACTTATTTGTGCAACTGTCAAAAGCTTCTCAGGGCAGGGCCCCTCTCTGTGTTGCTCACTGCTGTGCCCCCCAGGGCCTAGGCCTGCTTTCTGACATGGGATGGGTACTGATATGTGAAGGAAAGGAAGGCTCAGCCCAATGGCTTCTCCCTTCTTTGAGTCCAGTCAGTGCTGGGGTCCTCCTCCACACTCCACCATGTATAAGTGACCCCTCTCCTCCTTCCTAAAAAACAAGCTCAAGTTCCACATTTTTTTTCCCTTCATGAATCTCCCCGGCACATGCTGCCTCTTAAACCACAACTGCCATAATTGTTAACATTTAACGGTGTGCCTACCATGTGCCAGGTACTTTATGTATGTGTGTGAGTGACTTTTCACAGCAGCCCTGGGAGCAATCACCATATTCATTTTACAGATGAGGAAACTTAAATTCAGCTTATGAGTAAATGGCCCAAGGCCACACAGCTAGCAAGTGGCAGAGCCAGGCTTTAAACCCAGCTCCTGTCAGCTCCAGAGCCTTTGTGCTCCCTGGCCAGTCTACTCTGCAGACCCACAGCTTTCCTGGCTCCCTCCTGAGGACCAGAAACATCTCCAGAGTCACTCTGCTTCCCTGGCCCTGTAGGGAACGGCCAATGTGACCAACCTACCAAGTGACACACATGCTGAGGGGGCAGGAGCTCCTCTGACCACATGAACGACAAAGAAACAGCCAGCAGCAACCTGGGCTACTTGTCACCTAAGGGATGGGCCCGGGCTCCTCCTGGAGCGCTGGGACTCTCACCCCAGCTGGACTCTAGGGGGCAGATAAACACACCATCTGGGGAAAGAAAGGCGTCTCTGCCATGAAATGAAGATGGCCTTTCTAGAAAGAGAGGAAACCTGAGCATACCTGAGATCGGGACTCATAAGCCCTGGAGTCCCTGTCGTCCTCTCTGTCCATTTCAAAGCTTGTTTTCGCCACCACAGGAAGGGAAAGATCCCGCGGAGGCATCCCTGGGAAGAAAAAAGGCATCAACAAGAAGCAGGGCCCAGTCCATCCTGCAGGTCCCAGGTTTGTCCCACTCAACTATGAAGCCAGCTGGGGTGTGAGTGTATGAGAGCAAGTGCCTTTCTCTTCTCTGCATTCTGTGGCAGCCTCTGAGGAGTCCCATAAAACCAGTGGCCCTACAACAACCCAGACCCAGGGCAGGGCCAGGGGCCCTGCCTCATCCTTCTGCTCCCAGTCTCGGAGGTGGTTCAGATTGTGCCCAAGCTGTGTGGGTCCAGGTACAGTGTCCACTAGCCTCATCCTTCGGGCACAACCTCTGGGTCTCCCCAGCTGCAATGTGTGACAGGGAGATGGCATCAGAGACCGTCCCACAGGGTCATGGCTCTGAACAATGCCTATTGTGTTGTGAACCGTCACTAAATGTCACTCACTCCTGATATCCTTCTCCTGATCAATTTTAGGGTGCCCTGCTGCCCACAGCAGTGTTCTCCAAGTCCAGGAAGAAGAGGAAATGATTTCCAGCAGTATGGACACCAACAATACACTGGTGTGATGATTGATTCCCTTCCAAATCTCAGGCCTGGTGCTCAGATGTGGCACTTCCCTAACACTGCAGGAAGTCATGGCAGACATTCCTAGTTAACAATATTGTTACAATGTGTTTTTCATTCTCGCCTTCTGCCTATGGCACTTCATACTAGTTTTCAATTTTTGCAGTGGCATAGTCTTTCATACAGAAACTTCCAGTTTTTTTTTTTTTAATGCACCAGCTTAAGAATACTGAGCAAATAGTTTAGGTGGCAACAGGTCTATGTGGTGAAACCTGTGCTGGTGGTACCGAGTGGAACTTCAAAAATACGAGCCTTGGACTAAACTTTTGGGGAAGCGGAATATACTCCAAATGGAGCAGCAGAAACTTCGAGGCCCTGGCACTTTCCCCTTGAACCTGTGCACAGCACATGCTCTATATCTCCTACTGGGAAAGAAAGTGGTTAAGACTCACTGCTTCTTGGGTTCCTGGTGTGGGACCAGCGGTCTCGTGGCTCCATGTCTCTGCTTCTGCCCCTCCGGTCCCAGTCCCGGTCACCTAAGCAGGTGAGACATTCCAGTGGTTAACAAAGCTCTTTGACACACCTGTTTTCCCTGCATGTGCACAAACACCCCTCTGGAAAGAGATGCTACCCTCTTCCCACAAGGAGATGGATCCAAAACAGAGAGCTCCAGGTTCCCAGGCTCATCTGGCCCCTTCTTTATCATATACCCGCAACATGGTTTCTGCAGGCTTTGCCCAAGTGGGGCTTGCTTCCAAGCAAGTTCCAAAGCTCAGTCCAGTAGCTAACCCCCACTTCAGACTCTTTGCTGGCTTCCCAGTTCCTAAGGGGCTGAGTCCACATTCAGGAGAATGGACTGCAGACCCCCTACTGTCTGGCAGCCGATCTTAAAGTACACGTTATTCTACTACAAAAAAAACAAAACCCAAGAAAACAACACACACACCCTCCCTGAAAGCAGTGCTCCCTATAAAAGCTCACTGAAGCATCTTTAATGAACCTTCCTGAGGAGGCTGGGGGTACAGCTGGAAGCAGCCTGTTGCAAATTCCAAATAGCTTTATATACTTTATCGTTGAATAAAACGGTATTAAGTATTTAAGGTGTCTGTTTAGATATAAAAATGTCTCATTATGACATCAATTAATTTACCCTCTCCTCAGATCTCTGAGTGAAGCTGACCACTCGGGGATGGCGGGTCATCTTCATGGAGGCCCCAACCCACTGTGTCTCCATCTGGAAGCATCTGGCAGCGCCTGCCCATGGGTGACCAGTGGGGATGGGTACTCACCACTGAAAGAATGGACTGAGTGAGGTGGTGAGGACTCTCTTCTGTTCCGGGTCATGTCGTCGTCGCTGGTCACGTCACTGTTGTTGTCGTCTAAGAGGACACCGGTCGCCAAGTTACTATCTCTGGCCCACATTCTCACAATAGTTCCCCCCAATCCCTGAGCCGCATCTCCCTGTCACAGACACACATGGTTGGAATGACCTGATCCTGACATTTCTGAGTTCAAAACCCTTCAGCGGCTTCCAACCACTCCTGGCATACTAAAAACTGGGTGGGGGGAGCATGGTGGCTGTGACCACCCCGACCTCACCCCCAGACACAAACAGCCAGAAGGCAACCTCCTAGCACACCACACCAAAAAGGCAGGAGCCATAGGAGGTTTTCTCCCTTCTACAGAAGTGTCTCCTTTCCCTCTCCTGACTCAGGATGGTGGTTCTGCACTAGGGAGGTTTTGGCGACCAGGGGATACCTGGGCATGTGTGGAGACACTTTTGGTGGCCACACCCAGAAAATCATGATGCAGCTCAATATCCCACAGTACACAGGACATCCCCACCGCTGCCCAGGACAGAGAGTTATCCAGTCCAGACCATGTCAGAAGTGTGGAGGCTGAGAGCCCCAGGGGACACCTGAGGCCTGCACTGACCACCAACACCCCGTGGAGACTCTCACCTTCTGGTTGGTACATCTCCTTGTAATTCTCCAGCAGAGTGACGAGCTTCTCACAGTTCTCCGGCTTTTTTGCTCGCACCCAAGGCTTGAGCTTTTCAGGGATGATGGTCAGGTACTGCTCAAGGACCAAGAGCTCGATGATCTCCTCCTTGGTGCGGGTCTCCGGCTGCAACCAATCGAGGCAGAGGTTTCGGAGTTTGATCAGGGTCTTCCGAGGCCCAACAAATTCCACATAGATTAGGTTCCGAAACCTCTGATGAAAAAACTCAGAGTCAGTTGGACCTTCTCCTATGATGACATCCGGCTCCTTAGTCAAGTCACTGTCTAGCTCATACAGATTTGGGGCCCAGGACTTCTTAGGTTTGGTGGCAGACAAGTGCTTTGGAGGCAGCATTTCTCTAAGTAAAATTTTCACTGGAGGAACCAAACATGAGTCAACAGGAAAGACGCGGCAGCCTGTGACCGTCAGTACTCAGGGACCTGTGGATCGTAAGGAGATATACACATGTCCCAGAAGTTGAAGACCAGGCAGCAGTGGAGGCCACCTTACCAGAGGCATCGACAATGCTTTTGGGATATGGGAGTCCCCAGTAAATAGGCAAACAACCGCACAAAGTTGGCCTCAGCACAGCAGTTACAAGCATGACCTCTGGGCTTCACAGAGACCTACTCGAGGAGTTAGCTCGGCTACTAACTTGGGCTACTAACTTGGGACTGTGGGCAACTTGTCTAATGCCCTAGAAGTCTCTCTGTAATCTGAGAAATAAGAATAACAGCACCTCCATCCCTTTCAGAATTGTGAAGCTTAAATAAACTAAGATACCTAAAAAGACTTAACTGCCCAATGCAAGGCACAAGAGAAATGTTCAAGGCCCTAGCCAGTACTAAAATCAGACGTCAGCACGTTTATTAGCAAAAATGAAAAGGGGAAGTAGGAGTTGGGGCAAATCCTCCCCTAACATTTCTTCCCTTAACACAATTATTAAAACACAGTATACAACATGTAAAAAATGGAAGACCATTCAAAAATATTAAAAGTACTCAACTCTAGGTAATATGACATTATTCCCTCACACAGTGAGAAGTGACCATTGAGCCTCTTGATGCTACTGCACGTTCTTTTGCCTTCATCAATCTTGACAAAGGTCTAATCTGTCTAAAAGAACCGGCTTTCTGTTTTGACATTCCTTTCTTACTGTTTCTTTACTTAGTTCATTTATTTCCTTCTCTTTATTTTATTATCTGCCCCCTTCCATTTTTTAAACTTTTGAGATTGGACATAAATGTAAAGATTTTCAATCTCTCCTTTTTTTTATGTAACCAAGTAAAGCTATACATTTCCTTAAAGCATTTTTGCTATTATTTGCATTTTATTGCGTATTTTAATGACTGGTCAGCACATCTGGTGCAACTAAGTAAGGCAATATGGGAAAGAAATCTAGGTCTGGGAGCATAAACTACCTACTGGCTTTACTTCCAGAGAAGAAAAAAAACCATATGCAACAGAAATTTTCTCCCTTTGTTTTAAAAGGAAAGCAAGTTTAAATTTTTTAATTTGGAAAAAGTCTAAAGGAAAACTGAAGGTGTTTCCATTATTCAGAGTCTCTCATTAGACATTATCACTTGCAAATCAATGTGGTAATCACGGTAAACTCATGTTTACTCGTCTCAGTGATGGGCTCCCACTTCCCTCCCTATGCAAACTGCCCTCCCACGCTCTCTCCTGCATATTATCATCCCATGGAGCTTGGGCACCATCCAATGCAAATGCCTCGATCCTGAAGACCTTAGCGACTGGACTATTTCCTTGCTGCCTTCCTTCATAGGACTGAGAAACCACGGAGAGCACAACATAGATAATGCTCTGCTGGGCAGAAGAATCCCAAAGCAAGGGAAGGCAACAGACCAGAGAGTCCAGGCTCCAGATGATTGGTGTGACATTTCAGACATGGTCACTCTAACCCAGGACAGGGCAAGAGCAGAGGTCTGTGCCTGTGAGGGAGACAGGCAAGGGCAGACGGCCCAACTCTGTTATGTGGCAGACAGACTCAGGAGAACACTCTGGTACCTGAAATGATACTAGCCCTCATCCTCAGGCAACAAGATACCCTCAGATATGTAATCACCTGTCTGGGAACAGGATCCTTTCTGGAACTTCAGACCAAGCAGCTATCCACAGGAACAGAGTCAAAACACAGGTATCTGCAGAAGTTTTAAAGGAAGAAATACACAGACTAAGAATATGAAAGACATGTAGAAGGAGTGTCAGAGAATTAACTCCCCAAACAACTGGGGACTCAAATAGCACTGGGGTGATGCCTTCTATACCTTCGGGGAAAGGCCATTCCCATGCTATATAAACCATGCCAGACAGGAGAAATAAAAAGCTTTCAAACTGTCTTTATGAAACCAGAACAAGTCAAAAACGCAAGACAAAGATATCACTAAGAAACCACGAACCAAAACTCATGAAAGCAGAAATAAAAGTCTTAATGCTGCTATTATTGAACATTATTCTATGCAGTTCTACTCAATTACAATAAGACAAGAAAAACACATCTGAGGCACAGAGAGATAAAACTAACATTCCCTTATGTAAGATCTATACACATATATATGCTTCTATTCTGTGAATTTCTCTCCCTAACAGACATGAATTGAAGCATAAAGTACCCTAGGTGAAAGCTATATATCAGAATGGCAGGCTTATAGAGTTCAATAGGAAACCAATAATTTTTTTAAAGAAAATACAAATAGCCCAACCTGACTCAAGAAGCAGAGAAAAATATGACCACTAGGGAAGAAATCTAAAAAGCTGAAATAATGTAAAGAGCAACTTCCCAAGTAAACTTTCTGTGAATAAAATATTTACCGTGTTATAAAAACCATTCCAGAGCACAGAAAAGAGATGGAGGACTTCCTACAATTAATTTTGTGACCACTTGAATGCCCATATGTATCTTGTCACAAGGTGGATGCCAACTTCTGTGCCAAAAAAAATAAAACACATTGCTTTTCCTCAAGAAATTCAGGATTAAACATACACAATCTTCCCTTAACATGCTCAAGATTTTCTGACCAGGCCAATAGAACTTGGCCCTTGGTCAATAGAAGCCATTGAAAAATGGAAGTTATTTTTTTAACAGAAAAACCTTAAAAAAAAAAATCAGATCTGAGCTACTTCCCACCATGGCAGAGGAAACTCATTTGGGAGTAAAGAAAGGCTTTGGAAACAAAACAATCAATCATAAAGCCGGGCAACATATGTTTGTATGCACGGGAAGAAACAAGTACACTCATATACTGCCTGTGGCAATGCAAATTTTATCAAAATTAAAAGTGCACATATCCTCCTCTCCTACAAATTCTACTTCTATGAATTTACCTCAGAGATATGTAATGACCTATGTGCAAGAATATATTCATTGAAGTGTTGTTAATAGACAAGATATGTTATGTTTGTATAATGAATTACTATGAAACCCTTTAAAATAAGGCAACTCTAAATAAATGAGTATGAAATGATCTCCAAGATAGTTAAGTGCAAAACCGGACACAGCACTGTATACAGCATTCTCAGAAACTAAAAAAAGATGTGCTTAGACAGATGATTTCTAGAAGGATATATAAGAGACTATTAATGATGACTAATCGCAATTGCCTCTGGGGAAGGGAACTAGGGGTCAGGAAAGGGAGGGCAACTTACTTTTTCATTGTATATTCTCCTTTTGTTTTTTGTTTTTATTTTTATTTTACCATGAGCATGTATTACCTAGTCAAAAAAATAAATTCAAAGTTAAAACAAAACAATAAACAAAACTACCAGTAGAGGCCTTTAGAGGTTGTGCTACTCACAGAGCAGGTGCAGGCAGCCGTAACATCTTTACACTGATGCTGAGCCCAGGCTCTCCCCGCATCGCCTCCCTATCACCATCCACAGCTTGAATCCATAGTCATACCCTAACCTGGCCATTAGCAGGTACATGAAAGTCAATTTAGAAAACCCTAAAGAATCAACTTTGAAACCTGTTAGACCCAATAAATACTTATGATATTGCAGTTGCAATCTGAATATACCCCTCAATTACACCCAACAACTGTCAGTACATAAATACAATGCCATCCCCTATCTTGGCAATTCCACTTCTGAAATCTAACTCACAGACCCATCTGCCCATGTGCACAAAGATATACAGTTCAAAAGTGTGTTCACAGAAGCACTGTTTACAACAGCAGAGAACAGGGACAGTCAAACAAATGCTCAAGCGTAATTCCAATGGCAGAGACCACTGAAAGGCCACCACGTGGGAGACAGGAAAATAAAGATGGGTCCAACTTTTCTGCACTATAAAAACCAACCAAAATAAAAACCAAGCAAAAAGGGAGGGGGAAAAGTATTTTATAACACAGATGACAGTTAATGTTTGAAATGTAAAAGGCTTTTGGCATTAGGAAAAATAGCCCAATATGAAAATAAACAACACTAATACACAGAGTTCCTAAAATTAGTGATAATAAAGGCCGGTTACTTAACATCAAAAATCAAAGAAATGTAAAATATTACAATAAACCTTTTTTGACCTGTCGAATGGGCAAATGTTTAAAAGATGAAAATTGATGCTAGTGAGGGTGTAGAGAAGCTAGCTGGTGCAGGCATGAACCACATTTCTGGATCCCATTTTGGCCACTGTTTAAAGATACTAAAAAAAACACCTACTTCTTTTGAACCAGCAATTCTCCATTTAAGAACAAATATAGCCAAGTAGATAAAATGATAATAAGAAAAAAAAGCTAAAAAGTCAGCTGCAGCTGGGCGCAGTGGCTCACGCCTGTAATCCCAGCACTTTGGGAGGCCGAGGCGGGTAGATTACCTGAGGTCAGGAGTTCGAGACCAGCCTGGCCAACGTGGTGAAACTCCATCTCTACTAAAAATACAAAAATTAGCTGGGCGTGGTGGCAGTAATCCCAGCTACTCAGGAGGCTGAGGCAGGAGAATCACTTGGACCCAGGAGGCAGAGGTTGCAGTGAGCCAAAATCGCACCACTGCGCTCCAGCCTGGGCAACAGAGCGAGACTCCATCTCAAAAAAAAAAAAAAAAAAGTCAGCTGCACACTATGGTTTAACCTTTGTATGTACAGCTAATTTCTGGTTTGTAAAAGGTAAAACCTTGAACACAAAATAATGGCAGGTAACACATTTTACACATGGAATGGTGGGAAGGGACGAGCACCACTGACAGGGAAACGTGTTCTGTTGTGTTACTGCTATGTAACCACAGTCCTAACACAAGTCACATTAGAGCAACCCAGAGCCAAAGGCAGGAAGAGGAAGTGCTGGTCAACCTTCTCCTGCAGGGCTACCTGACACAAGGTGGGCCATATGCAATGAGGTTAGCTGCCTTCCTGGCCGAGTGGCCCAACCCTTAGCCTTGGATTCAACCCGTCCTCTACTTGCTGCCCAAAGGGCAACTAGCAGTGGGGCCAGATGCTGAAATTTGCACCTGCCAGGGCCACATACTTACCTCACCCTGACTGGGGAAGACCAGATCCCACGTGACCTTCTGTGACAGCGAGTCTGGCCAATCAAAAGCATAACTGCTCTGCCCACTTGGCCCCCACTTCCCCAGGCCAGCTTCTCCATGGCAACAGCCACGCCTACCACTGAAGAAAACAGAAGATACGTGTTTGCAGGTGCTGAGAGGAAGAAAGGTCTAAAGGCTTGCCTGATGCTATCAAATGAAATATTAAAGCTGAGGAGTTAATCTGCCTGAGGATGGCCTAAACGGGCCATCAATAAAAACGTAGCTTATTAATCAGAGCTGTGCTTGAAGATGTATGAATCCAACAGAACAACAGAGCACCTGTATTTATACCCTACCGCAAGGCTCCATGGGCAAAGACTCTGTTACCTTTTTCATCTCTATATTTTTATAGGTGTTCAATAAACATTATTTGCATATAGATGCAAAAACATTTAATAAACCCAAACTAACAAAGTCCAAATAATAGCCCATGATCTTGAAAGGCTATTCCAGGAATACAAGGAGGATGTCCCATCAGGGTAAACTGTTACATAAAGGATGAAAGGGGAAGGGGAGCCCACAAGCAGTATTTCAAGTTAAAAAACATTTGCAAACTTCAACAGCCTTTCCTCATAAATTCTTAGCAGAGTAAAAGCAGGAGACCATCTAAGCATTATAAAGACTTATCTCAAATACATGCAAACAAGCATGTTATTAAACATTAAAGATGTTCCTCTGGAAGTGGGGACAAGGAAGGGACAGCTATACCACAACTACAATTTAACATGACCCTGGAAGTCCTAGCTAGTGCAACTGAAGAAAAAGAAAAGTATAAATATGGGGCAAGCATTATTTTGAACTACAAAACCTTATGAGTAAATACAGCAAGAGAAATAATTCCCATTAATAGCAAAACAAATAAATAAATCTCCATAAATAAATTTAACAAAGTTACCTGCAACTTCAAACAAAATTTCAAAAATTTACAGAAGGAACACAAAAATTAGCCGGGTGTGGTGGCATGAGCCTGTAATCCAAACTACTCAAGAGGCTGATGCAGGGGGGCCCTGGGAGGTGGAGGGGGCAGTGGGCTAAGATCATGCCCCTGCATTCCAGCCTGGGTGACAGAACTAGACTGAATCACCAAAAAAATAAAAAACAATAAAAAATAAAATAAAATAAAATAAATGACAGAAGGGCAATAAGTCTGAAATAAATACATAAAGACACGTGTATCACATTTAAAAAGCTCCTTTTTATTTTGAGGTGGGGAGTTTTGACAAACTGATAATCCAGTTCTTCTGGAAGAATAAATGTACAAGAATATCAAGACAACCCTGCATAAGGTCTATTTGGAGTGGGAGGTGGTTTGTCTGTAAAATGACTCCAACACACAAAAATAAAGTGTTTTTTCCAATATAAGGATATAAGCACTAGGACAAATATACCACTGGGACATAACAGAGTCCAGAATTCAACTGTGTAAAAGTCTATAGACACATGGGGACTTAATTTATAATAAAGGACTGGAAATGGATTCCTTATTTAAATATAAACTAGGAACTTTCTTACAGCTAAATGGCAAAGGATAACTTTAACAAAAAGGCCATGACAGGACCGCTAATACCTCAGTGTTTGGTTACTCAAGCATGCATTTCTAGAATTAGGGTTGGCCTTTGACGTTAGGAAAGGCCAATATAACCACTGCTGGCATGGAGCCTCCCCTAAGAAATTAGGTATTTCAGCTACACATCTCTGGAAGGCTAAGGCCACTAGGGCCAGTGACAAACATACTTTGTTCTAAGTAAGTTACTGCATCCAAAAATCAGCATCTCTCCTGAGTTTTCATTAAACAAGGAATGAAAACAAAGTATTTAGCAAAATGTTACATAACCATTAAGTCGTGTTGTCAAGGAATGTTACAGCTTTATTTTCTGATTATAAAAATAAAACACAGCACTACATGCAGGTATTGCAAAACATTCACCATAGAAACTGCAAGCCACACCCACTGGTTAACTTTGTTGCTATTAATAAATCTTAAAATCTATACTTATGTTGTTCTTACTGCAAATATTCCCATTTACGTGTACACAGAGAATGAGAATGTCCACACAATGGAATATAATGCAGTTTTCAGAAAGCAAAGCTATAGATGGAGACCTTGAGTGTGAACTGTTTAATAAATGGCATGATCTCATGTATGTAAAAAATAATCAAACATATGGCAGTACATACAAACTAAACTGGAAGAAAACTCACATAAACTTGTATTAAGACTATTCATAAAATAGAGGAAATCTATCAGAATAAATGATTAATAATAACAAGTCTCTGTTTCTTTTTCCATCTCTATTTAAAATGTTATTTTAACTTCGCAATCAGGAAAAAAACTGAATATAAAAATGTAAGTAAATGCAATTACTGTTTCCTAGCGTGTTTGTTTTCCTTCCTGCCCAGCTTGTTACAGCACATCAGGCCCTGCCCTTTCTCTGCTGGGTTCCCCATAATACAATCTCCCTCTGACCCTTAAGCACTCCCACCGACAGTACCCTGTGGTCACCATCTGTACCTCCCCTCTCCAGTGACTGTACCACAGAGGGGGCTAACACGCATCAAGCTCCACACCCAAATCCTCACTTCATTGACAGCTGTCTAGCCGTCATATGGCTCAAGACTGAACTCTGGCCCACAGGGCAAACCCATATCCTTCCTGGCTTGAAGGTGGGCTCCCACACACCCCTCATTACTAAAGCTTCCATATCTCCCTCTGCTCTCTCTTCAGAGCAGGACTCAGTGTTAAGTAGTAGCCAACAGCAGTTAGGGGCACACAAGGGCTAGCTGACTCTGGGCCAGGGGACAAAGAAAGGTCACCAACTTCAAGGGGAGGGAGGAGAGGCGCCAAGTGATGGGGCCACTAATAAAGGATCCCTCTACACAGCCAGGCAGGAAGGGTGCTTCTGGGAGTCTGGCGTTCTTTGATCTCCAAAGGATGTTTTCTTTACACTAGATGTCTAAACATGAAACCTCTCTGTATACAGAACAAGCCTGGCGCTGCCTGCTGCATGACAGCATTGCCATTGAAGTCTGGATGGTGGTACTGATGCCATTCTTTGGATATTTTATGACACTTTACTTCTATTCCATTAAAATGAGTAGGAAATAAAAGCATGGCTCTTACAATTAATATAACACATAATAAAGATGAAACTCATCAGGCATCCTTGCCAGAAGTCAGGGAAGATCCATGGCTTTAATCAGAGAAATGATGGGTCAGTGTTCAACTGAGCAGGGAAGAACTTAATGAAAGAACACATCATGCACTAGAAAGCGTCTGGGACCATGTGTGAGAAGAAATCCTGTGACTCCGGTTTGGCCTCAGGCTCCCACATCCCATCTGATGCAGGAGAAAATCCACCGAGTCTCCTTCAGTCCCATTTCTATTTACTTACTTTGGTCCCTCACCATGGTGCACCTAGATTCAGCCCCCTAACTCGTTCTACCTACCTCATTAAAAGGGGGCTGGAATTGAGAACTTTAAAGTCAGGAACCGAGGAGGTTACTCTCTTCGTCTCCCAGGGACAGCGTGGTGTGTGGTCTCGTCTCTCTTCTTGTTTGCTCCATTCTCCTGCCTCTCTCTGCAGACCGACATTCTCTACTTCAGCACGCACATGGAGTAAGATGCTGTCCCAGCCCAGGCCTACGTCACCTCCCAGTTTAAATGCCCGACACTCAGTGTCCCTTCATCCAAATTCTCAGTATTAAAGTGCATGCTACAGCCTGATTCCTTCTAGGGCAGTGGTTCTCAAACTCAGATGTGCAGAAGAGTTGCCTAGGGTGCTTATGAAATACGGAGCTACCTTTCCAGGTGGGATGACTCAGGAGGTCTGTGGTTCCCCAGGAAAGAAGCATTCCTACAATCACTCCAGGAGCTGTTCTTTGAGAACCACTGCTCTAAGGTATCCAGTCTGGTCCAATCACCTATGAATAAGGTACATATGGGACATAGGGACTTTAGAGGGAAAATTTTATATAGGAGCAAGGAGTAAATGACCACCAACTCCATCTCACAGGCCACAACCTCCACCCTCTGGTCTGTTGGCTGGCTTCTCTCAGATAATCTCAACATCCTGGGCTTATTTCTACCACATTAAGCTTAGCACTTACCACACTGCAGCAAAATCTCCTTGTTGTTGTCCATCCTTGAGAGATTTCCCCAAAAGTTTAGAAAGAGAGGAAATAATATCTAAGAGTTCAGTCTTATGACCAGCACAAAATGGTTCAAGACAAATAAAGCTACTTTAAAGAGACAAAATGTCTTCCAGAACAGTATGAGTTATTTGACTATATTCTAATAACAATAATTGGCTCATCTGATTTTTTTAAGGGGAGGGAGTACTAAAAAGTAGGCCACAAAGCTTGGTCCATCCAACCATCTACAGGATAGTGAACAACTCTCATCAGACCTAACTTGAATGGAGTTTGGGGAGGACAAGGGTGTTAGATAAGGGGCTTCCGATATCTTGGTAACCCTAAGCAAGGGTTTCACTGTGACAACATGGCTGTACCAGGCTATGTGACAAACCAGCGCTATTAAAGCTCACCCACATCCTCTTGGTTCTGATTCCGTACTCACCAAGCAACCTTCTCATTATGGTTGTGTTTCCCATGTAGGTCTGCCTACAGGGAGAGAATTTGCTGATCATACACACTGCTGAGTACTTGGGTCCCTGCTATTGTACTCCTACCATGAATTAATAAACCAGAATTGTGGGAACAGGAACATCCTATTTCAAGTCACATGTCAGTACGGTTTTAAGTCTCCTGAGCTTAGTTAAATGTGGATCTACCAACATGAGCCCTCGGGCAAAGGAGGTTTCCAAGTCTCCACAGGGTTAAGCACCATAATGCATATCTTGAGCACTGAGGCCAGGAATACACCAACCCATCCCAAGGGCTCACCTGGTCATGTCAGCTTCTCCCTAAGCAGTATTCCACCACCACCATAGCCACCTATCTTGGTAAACACATTCTTACTCTTCTTGTGATGGGAGTTTCCATTCAGTAGACACTGAGGCCAGGGATTATGTCATTCACTTCTGGAGACTCTAAGCCTGGCATGATCCTGTCCTGGATCAGGCCCAGTATCAATGCTTGCTAACAAATGAACAAACAGACAACCTCTAGCTATGTGCTTGCTTCCCCACATCATGTGACTCACTGTGCCTCCTCTGAATCAGTCAGCAGGCCATGAACAGAGAAAGTGAGGAGTCTCCCTCCTCAACACCTCTCAAATAATCTACCCACTTCACTCCTCCCTGTGATATGACCACAAACCAAGCCACCATCTCTCACCCAGGCCCAAGTTGGTCTCCCCACACCCACTGCGTCCACCCTCCCCTTCTGCACCCTGAAACCAGATGATCTTTTTAAAACCACAAATCTGATTATCATGATACTCCCATGGTTAAAAGCACTTCCCGCTGCACTTAAGGTCAAGCCCAGTTACTCACCACAGATTACAAGTCTTTTCACAATGAAACCACAACTTACCTTCTTCCTACCTCAATCAGATGCCACTCAACGATTCCCTTGCTCTAGGAATCCTGGATTTTCAGCTCCTCTCTCTGCATCTCTCAACAACAACCCTATCCCCTCTGCTGAGACTACTCTCCCCATGACACACACCATTCACACTCCTTCAGGGCTCAGCTTTAATGTTCTTTACCATCTCAGGGAGGCCCCTATGTGGCCTCTCTAAGATTAAGTCAGCTGTTGCTAGCAGATGTTCTCTTGCAAAAGTATAAATCAAACAATTATGTTTTCCACAGCTTTAATTCCCAAATAGACTAAAAACTCTTTGAAAACACTTCCTTTCCCCCATTGGGGCTATGTCCCAGTACCTGGCACAAAGTACACACTTGATCAATATTCACAAATGAGTGGATGAATCTCTCATGCTTCTTTAATCACCAGGCAAGAGAAAAAGAGTAGCCCTGAAGGAGTAGCTGAGTATGAGAAAAAGAGGGAGGATACTGAAATGGATGGTGTGAGGCCAAGGAGAATTTTTAGAGAATACACAATCCACCAGAAGAGTCTGGGTGTTCTCAGAGGGCACAAATGGTGCTGGGGTGGCTATGTGGAACACATATGCAGTAGGAAAGTGTCAGAGTAAGGAAGTGCGGTGGTCACTCCAAAGATGAATGTGGCACTGTGAGGAGGAAATTCAACTCACCTGGACCCAGCCACCTAGCGTTTGGACCTAGTCCCTCTTCCTCTCGCCAGTCGTCTCCAAGAAGGACGGAAGATCAAGAAGGCAAAGCTGTAGAGGAAAAGAAAATGTGAGACGCCAAGTTTATTTTGCAGTTACTGGGTTCCTCAGGGGGGAACAATACCACAACAGTTCCACATTTATCTTCTATGATGGCACAGGTCAAATGAGACCATGAAAAGCATCCCATCCAGGATGAATGGCCACGGGTATAGCTCCCTTAGACCACCTCACACCCTGGGATGTACTCATAGACTTTCTCCAACAAGGTTACATCAAAGGCATTCAAGTCAATTTCTGGGGTGTCTTACAACCTTCTCTGGGGCTCTAGATTAAGGAATCAATTCAAGAACCCCATTTTTGGCGCTGGCCGTCCCCATGTTAGGACCGCTATCCTATCGTTATTATTAGGTAATAGTACCCTTTATCACGTAAAATATTTTAGGGTTTATCAACATGTTCTCAGTGGACTAATAGGACATAGTCCAAGTCCCACTGCACCTCAGAGTATGTGTTCAATCAATTAGAGGTCCCTGGGGGAAGGACCTTCATGATTATGAGACTGGTTTATATTCCAAGAGTCAGGTGGGCATATTTTGGTGAGGTTAAAGAGCTTATTAAAAACTATTCAAAGGATGGGCGCAGTGACTCGCGCCTGTAATCCCAGCACTTTGGGAGGCCAAGGCGGGCAGATCACCTGAGGTCAGGAGTTCGAGACCACCCTGGCCAAAATGGCGAAACCCCTGGTCTACTAAAAATATAAAATTAGATGGGCATGGTGGCGCGCGCCTGTATTCCCAGCTACTCTGAAGAGGCTGGGGTGGGAGAATCACTTGAACCCGGGAGGCAGAGGCTGCAGTGAGCCAAGATCACGCCACCACACTCCAGCCTGGGTGAGAGGGCCAGACTCTGTCTCAAAAAAAAAAAAAAAAAAAAAAAAAAAAAAAAAATTATGACAGGCTAGGAAGGAAGCGTCATATGTGTCACTTTCCCTACCTCAAACAAAACAAAAGGGCTGACTTAAGATCTCCTTGGGTGGAGCCAGGGCTAGGTAAGTGAGCTCTAGGACTCCGTAGGAGAGCTAGGGCTGGGAGGGCCACACCCAAACGAACTAAGCTTTGGAAGCTGGGCAGCCCTCTAGCGGCTCTGCTCATGAACAGTTTCTCCAGAGGCCCCACCCTACCTATGGGGCAGCCCCTTTAAACACACCCCCACCTGCCCAGGGCAGCCTCCTAGTTCCCATGCACTGCCCCTCTCAGGACCACCCGCAGCCCTGAATTTTTCCACCTCCAGCTGTACGATTTTGAGTGAAAATCCTTCACCAACAGAGTCTCCAAATCACCTAGACCCCAAATCTTACACCCACAGCCCACTTCCTCCATTTTCTCACTTAAAATCCCACCTTTCCCCAAATCTCTTAAAACGTCTGAGTTTGGCCTTGGATTCCACTTTTCTGCTCACTGACCCAAGGCTGCACAGCTGAACCCGCCCGCTTCCCGAGGCCTGGCTTTGGCGCCCCCTGGAGGAAGTAAGGCGCCACCAGCCATGAGGGCACGCTGCCCAAGATAGCGGGGGTAGGGCTCAGCTGGCACGCCAGTGCAGCCCGCGGTCACTCAGGAAGGCTCCAGTGCAGGCCCCACCCATGAACCGGCAAAGATGGCACAGAATGAATGAACACGGCTCTACGGCCCTGCCTACCTTGAAATCCCCTCAGCCCCCTCCAACAGCCCTGCTGTCACTCAAGATGGCGCCTGCGCAGTACACCTCTGCTGCCCCCGCCACCGGCCAACACACGTGGTACTAGGATGGACGGGGCTCACGCTCACTCCTACAGCGCAGCTGTCATTCAGTAATGGTGCCTCCGCACTGCACCCGCCACATTGAATGCCGGCTGCTCTATCAGACAAGACACACATGCTATGGCCCCCCTCAGTCACTCAAGACAAAGCAGACCCTCCCTCAGAACCGCACCTGCAGCCAGCCCAGCTGTCATTCAGGATGGCACCTGCACAGTACACCGTGGCTGCCACCTAATGGCCAGCAAAGATGATGCCACAGAGTGGGCGGGGCCATGCAGACCCCGTCAGTCACTCAGTCCTCTGCACCCGGCCCTACAGCCAACCCAGCAGTCATTCAAACCAGTGCCTGTGTAACTGCCCTCACGTGCCCCATTACAGCCAAAGATTGCACCACAGTGGACCAGGCTCGGCAGCCCCTAGTCACTGAGAAAGCCCTCCCTCATGCCCGCCCCTGGGGCCGACCCAGGTGTCACTCAAGATGGCGCCTGCGCAATCAACCTCGGGCGCCACCCTGTGGCTAGCACAGACAGTACCGTAGAGGCGGTGAGGGGCAGTGGAGGTGAGGGTGCTCTCAGCCCTATCAGTCCCGAGGAACGGTCCCGGGCCCCAGCCCTTAGCCCCGCCAGCAGGGCGCCTGCACAACCCGCCTCGCAGCTCCCCCACTAAGCCGCCCCCATACACAAGATGGAACCACACGCATCCTGTGGTGAACAAAGTCTTGGTCAGGCAACAACAGGGGAAGGGGTGAGCCTCTGCCACCGTTAGCCAAAAACACAGCGAGCGCGGTGATAACCCGTCACCCTGTCCTTAAGCATAAATGGCTCCGCGGCCGCTAAGGCAAACTCTTTAGGCACGTCTCCCGGCTCCCCCAGATGCGGGGACTGAGCCAGTCCCACTGGCAAAACAGCCTGGCGACCAGCACACACAGCCCAAGGAGCGCGGCACTCCACAGCTTTCCATCACCGCAAGGCAGGCAAGCACAGCAACCGTGGCCCCGCCCCTCCCTGTGGACAACCCCACACCTATGCGGCAAACCGCAGCCGCCCCGATCAAAGATGGCACCCAGGTGGGCGGGGCTTGAACAGACCGTCCCGCCCATGCCACCTGCAGCCACTTCAGCCTTGCCCCGCCGCATCTGCCGCCAACCAATCCGGGCAACGCCTGCGCGGCAAACCTCAGCTGCCCCCATCAAAGATGGCGCCCAGGCGGGCGGGCCTTGTCTCGCCCAACCAACTAGGACAGCGCCTGCGCAGCAAATCTCAAGCACTTTCATTAAAGATGGCGCCCAGGTGGGTGGGGCTTGAACAAACCACTAGGTCCAATGCCACCCTGTCACTTCAGCCTTGCCCCGCCCCATCTGCCACCAACCAACCAGGACAGCACCTGCGCAGCAAACTCCAGCAGCCCCCATCAAACATGGCATCTAGGTGGGCGGGGCCTGAGCAGATCGTCATATCCAATGCTACACAGTCACTTCAGCCTTGCCCCGCCCCCTCTGCTACCAACCAACCAGGGCAGCACCTGCACAGCAAACCTCAGCAGCCCCCATCAAACATGGCGTCCAAGCGGGCAGGGCCTGAACAGATCGTCACATCTAATGCTACCCAGTCACTTCAGCCTTGCCCCGCCCCATATGCCACCAACCAACCAGGGGAGCACCTGCGCAGCAAACCTCAGCAGCCCCCATCAAACATGGCGTCAAAGCGGGCGGGGCCTGAGTGGATAGTTACCCAATCACTTCAGCCTTGCCCCGCCCCACTTGCCGCCAATCAACTAGAACAGCGCCTACTCGGCAAACCTCAGCCACCCTCATAAAAGATGGCACCCAATGGGTGGGGCTGGAACAGACCATTACATCCAATGCAACCCACAGTCATTCAGCTTTGCCTCGCCCCATCTGCCACCAATCAACCAGAACAGCGCCTGCGCGGCAAACCTCAGCCACCCTCATAAAAGATGGCACCCAGTGGGTGGGGCTTGAGCAGACGATTACGTCCAATGCCACCCAGTCACTTGAGCCTTGCCCCGCCCCATCTGCCGCCAACCAACCAAGGCAGCTCCTGCGCAGCAAGCCTCAGCCGCCCTTATTTAAGATACCGCCCGAGAGGGCGGGGAAAGAAAACCCCTACAGGCAGGACAGCCCTTCGCCCCTCCCACCACCACTGCGGCAAACAAGCCCCGCCCCCAGAGGGTAGCCGGGCACGCCGGCGCCGCGAGGCCGATGGCACCCCGCAGGAAGGGGCATTTTCGCAGCCCCCAGACCCAGCCCAGGAGGCCCAGGGCTCCCGAGAGCCGCATTCCGCCGTGGCAACAGGGATAGCATTGGTGTCGACCTTGCTGGACTTGCCGTGGCAGAGCCCCCGGCTGTCTGCCCTAATGCCCCCGGTTTGCTGCGGTGGCCCCCGGCCAGTCAGAAAGGCGCGGAGACCCTGCAGCAGCCCCTCAGACCCCGGACTGCAAGATGGCGGCACCAACGCAGCAGCCCGGGCTGCGCCCACCCCTGCCCCAAAAAGGCACCAACCATCCACAGCCTGGCCGCCACTGTGCCCACTCTCGGACTGGGCAGCGGGCGGCCAAGTACCATGTCCGCCAGCCCGCCCTGCCACAAGGGTCGCTGGCTTGCCGCGGGGTCTTGGGCTTGCGGCAAGACGGCCACTCTGGCCCAGAGCCGTCGCGACACCAAGGTCCCGCGGGCAGGAGGCGCGCGGGGCGGCCGAAGGCGCACTCACCTCACCTCAGTGCTGCGCAGCCTCGGGCACGAACAGCCGCCTAGCGCACCCTCATGGCGCCCGGCGCCCGGCGGCGCCACCAGCCCAGGGTGGACATCTCCCGCGCCTCCCAAACCTCTCCTCCCGCAGCTGCCCAGACTTCTGCACCGAGGTGCAGCTCGACGCCTCCTTGTCAGGGCTTCTCCGCAGAGGCGGGGCTTCTGTGCTAGCCAATCAGCAGCCTCACCGCCCTCTCCGGGCCCCCTCACCACAGCCCTGTGACGTGCCAATCAGGCTGCGGTTGCCACAGCAACAGTTTGGCGCGAAGGCTGGGGGCTGACGTCAGGGAGTGGCCGTGAGGGACCCCAAAGCCAGGTCTGGAAAAGGGGGGTGGGTTGGGTGGTGGGGGTGCAGCCCCCAAAGAAATGGGGGTCGAAATGGAGGAAACCCCACTGAGATGCTCAAATGTAAAACCGCTGAAGAATAAAGGGACAAATGTACACATCTGTCTAAATGAAAAAAATGAAAATCCTGGCCGCAAAAACACATACATTAACGTCTAAAGACCTGCAGGGAAGACAAGACTTTTCCGCCTGGGACACATGAAAGACATCGAGCTAATTTCCTTAATAAATGAAGAGCTCTTGGAAACCAACGAGATAAAGACCAAACCAAGACAGAAAAATGGGCAAAAGGGATAAAACTGGCAATTCGCAAGAAAATCCAAACGGCTGGCCGACCTGCGAAGGAAACATCACGACCTGTTTGCATAAAGAAATGCAAACCTGAAACACCGGGCACGTGCGGTTTAGGGGAGCGGGCAGTCTCACACACTACTGAGTTGTTTCCCAGCAGCCGTCAATACAGACCTTCCACTGCGTAAGCCCACTGCATTGCCATTTAATAAAACAGCAAGAAAATGAGAGAGAAAAATAATGAGGTAGAATTGTATGGGATTATTAAGGATTGAATTCTCAGTAGATTTAGTGAAATATACAAGTTACTGAAGTTTGTAGAAACGAACTGGTAAGTGTTTTCTCATTTATTTGTTTTTTAAGGATAAACCCAAATATAGGTAAAACTGTTGGAAAGGTAGGCAAGAAATTGTTGATGAGTTACTTCTAGGGACAAGGAATGTGGGGTGGAAGAGGGATTTTTCCCTTCTGCCATCCATACTGTGAATTTCCTTGGCAGAAATACGTATTTCTTCTCTGGCAGTAAAATCAATGAATTACTAAAAGTTCACTAATGTACTCTTTGGTCCAACTATTCCACTCTCAAGGAACTAAAAAAGCAAAGGAAATACAGGGATATACAGAAGATTCTATACAGGGATATTCACGGAGCATCATTTTTATCACCAAAAATGTGCTCCACAGAAAAGAATTAAACTGTATTCTGGTAAATTTACACAGCGCGATTTTAACTGACTAATAAAAATGCTGTATGATTTTAACTTTAAAGGAAAAAATCTGTAAGATGTGGTTAATTACCAAAAGGTGTTTACCTAAGGAGCACACAGACTTTAATACCCCAAATTAAACTTTATATTATACTCAAGGAGTTATCAGTGGTTGCTTGCTACACTGAGAAGCTGCTTTATGTGTTTTAGACTCCCTAGACCATCAACAGTCTCTTTTTGCCCAGCAGTGCCACATAAACATAATATACGAATGAAAACACTGTGCTTCTTATGAAAATACACGTTCAAAACAAATTCCCCAGCAGGAATATTGAAGGTGAATGTGGTAGTACCCTGACTTAGGTTACAGATTTTCAAATCTGGCTACTCTCATTAGGCTCACCTGGAGAGCTGTTAAACAATGCAGATTCCCAGTGTCCCACAGAGATCTTTGTTTTTCAGGTTCCCAAGGGATCCTAATGTCTAGTTAAGGTTTTGTAGGTGATTTTAATATATTTTAAAGACTCCATCATCCCCCTGTCTCCTCAAAGGCCTCTATCTGCAATACCAGTTTCTCTCCGGATCCTGAATCATTAATTTCCACAAGACACCACATGCTCTCAGAGCTCCTGCAGTTACCACCCCCTTGCTCAGCACCTCTTGGCCCTGAAAATGCCTCTTGATAGAGCAGTCTACTGTCACTAACTCAATGGTTTTACCATACATTCTCTCCTGCTAACATATATGCCCCACAGGCTTCCATCCCTTCCAAACCCACTGAAATTGCTTGACAATTTCAGCAATTCCTTATGTGGCCAAGAAACTTGCTCTTAATCTCACTTTATCTCTCAGTAATATTCAACATCCTCATTAAAACAAGCAAACAAAAACAAAATCCCATGCATGCTATCTTATTTTTGGTGACAATTACATGGTCCTGGTTTCCGCTCCCCTGCCATCAGTGGTCTCTTCTCAGTCATAAATGGCTTCTGCTCTGCTTGCCATCTACACGCTGGAGGGTCTTGCCTCAGAACTTAGTCACTAGTCTTCTCCATCAATGTCCACTCCCTAGGTAACAACCCTTCCCTCCTCACCTAGTCACATAATTTAAATGCCACCTACATGCCAATGGCTCCCAAATTCCAATCCTCTGCCACAGGACTGTCCACAAAAGCGCAGTCTTTTGCTTAGAAACTGACTGCTCCCCTTGGATGTCTATCAGGCAACTCAAAGCATTTTAAACAAATATTAATTTCCCCTTTCCCCATTTCTATAAACAGTACCAGTTGCTGAAGCCAAAAAACAAAAACAAAAAACGACAAAAAAAACCCTCACGATTGTTCTCGTTCCTTTTTTCCTTACCACCAACATCCAATTTATCAGCAAGTCTTGCTGACCCTATCTAAGGCAAATCCCAAATTTGTCCCATGATTTCCCTTTCCATGGTAGTCCTAAGAAACATTATCTTCCTACAAAAACCCTTCTTCCATTCCAAACCCTTCCTCCAGTATTCTCCACACAGTATTAAGGGTGATCTTGCAAAGCAAAAAAGATGTCAATGTTCCAGCTTGAATGACCTCCTGCCCCCATCCCAATTGCATTTAAAGTCCAAAAGCCCAAAATTAGAAGAGCCAACATTATCTTTTGTCTTAGAGGACAATTAAATATAGGTGTTGTAAAATTTCACAATCTCTTCCTTCAATGCCTAATTTAAGAAATTCTTCCCCACACTGATGTCATAAAGATATTCAAATAGCTGTGCATTTTAGTTTTCTTTATGGTTATTTTTGCCTATGTTCTGTGTTAGGGATCTAATTTTCCCCTGACTTTGTATCATATTTCTCTATATGAGCAGGTCTGTGCTTGAACTCTCTTGTTGGTCCCCTGATCCATTTCTCTATCTCTGTGCATTAACGCACCATATTATTACAGCTTTACAGTATCTTGGTATTTGAAAGGGCGACGGCCCTACCTTGTTTTTCAAAAGTGTCTGGCCCTACCTTGTCTTTCAAAATTATCTGACTCTTAGCCCACCATCTTTCAAATAATTTTTAGAAGCAGCTTTTAAAGTTTGATGAACTATCCTATTGAGATTCTGACATTTTATTAAATCCACACAGCAATTTAGAGAAATTGAAAACATTATATCAAGATCTCTCATCTTTGACCACTGTCTATATCTCTTACGGCTGTCAATGATACACTGTAATTTTTTTTCCCTATAAAGGCCTTATTTGACTTTAGGAGGTCCTTTTTTTCCCCCATTAATTGTATAATTGGTTATTTAATAGTTTCAGAATTACAAAAAAGTTGCAAAGATAGTACAAAACTTCCCCACCCTGTTTTCCCTGATGTTAATACCTTACATAACCTTGCTACTTTGTCAAAAAGAAGAGATAATATTAACACTAAACAAACTACAGACTTTGTTTTGATTTCACCCATTTTTCCATTACTATCTTCCTTCTGTTCCAGGATCTCATCCCAGACACAGCATTACATTTAGTGATTACATCTCCTTAGGCTCCCCAAGGCTGTGACAGCTTCTCAGTATTTTGTAGAATACTCAGTTTGTTTGATATTTTCTCACAACTTGATTTGGGTTATGAATTTTTGAGAAGAGTATCTGCTATTGCCTTTTTTTTTTTTTTTTTTTTTTTTTGAGACAGAGTCCGGCTGTGTCGCCCAGGCTGGCGATGCAATGGCTCAATCTCAGCTCACTGCAACCTCCACCTCCCGGGTTCAAGCAATTCTCCTCCCTCAGCCTCCTGGGTAGCTGGGATTACAATCATTTGCCATCATGCCCAGCTAATTTTTGTATTTTTAGTAGCGATGGAGTTTCACCATGTTGGCCAGGCTGGTCTCGAACTCCTGACCTTGTGATCAGCATACCCTGGTCTCCCAAAGTGCTGGGATTACACCGCACCCGGCCTGCTATTGCTTTTTATACGCTGACTTTGGATCCAGTGAACTTGTTGACTTTTTTTTTCTACACAAAAAAAAGTTCCTGTATTTTTAAAATGTTAACATGCTAATTAATGACTTCATTTTTACTTTCGGAGTTTCACCATGTTGGCCAGGCTGGTCTCGAACTCCTGACCTTGTGATCAGCATACCCTGGTCTCCCAAAGTGCTGGGATTACACTGCACCCGGCCTGCTATTGCTTTTTATACGCTGACTTTGGATCCAGTGAACTTGTTGACTTTTTTTTCTACAGAAAAAAATGTTCCTGTATTTTTAAAATATTAACATGCTAATTAATGACTTCATTTTTACTCTCATTGACAATCATACCTCACTTCATTAACATAATGCATTGGCTAGGACTTCTGGGGTGATATTGAACAAGTCTTGTCCTATATTTGAAAGGGGATACTCTTATCTTTACTATGAAAGGGGATACTCTTATCTTTACTATGAAGTAAAAACATTCACTGCAGGCTTGTTTTGTACAGCCTCTTTATTGGGGGTTAAGGAAATTGCCTTAAGTTCTAGTTTTTTAAAAAAATTTATCATAAGTTTAATTTTATATAATGACTTCTCTGCATTCATTGGGAAGATTGTATTATTTAACATCATCTGATGATTGGTGAATAAAGCAGGTTTTATGTTGAAAACTGTATTCCTAAACCCTGCTTGATCATGATTATGTGTATCTGATTCGTATACACATGCAGCTGGGTACTACTGAGTTATACTTTTTTATTACACTATCCTTGTCTGGTTTTGCTACCAAGGTTGTAACAGCCTTATAGAATGATTTGGATTGTTATCTCACTTCTTATATTCTCTACCATAGTTTATAAACTCCTCTCCATTGGAAATTATGTCCCTTTTTCTATTACTAATATTATTAATCTCTCCATGTTTCTCCATCAGTTTTGCTAAAGATTTGACAGTTTTGTCTTTTTAAAATGACTTGATTTTGTTGACCATATTCTTCCTTCTTTTCCATGTAATTAATTTCTGTTCTTTTTGTAGTTCTTTCTTGTTCAGTTCTGTATTTCATTGTTTCCATTAGATTTCCTCTTTGCGACATGAAGAAACGTCTTTAGGGGTCAAAGATCTTGGGGAAAAAAACTATCTTTTGAATACAGATTTCCAAATTAATTGCATTATACTCATATAGCATGGCCCATATGCTACTATTTCACATTTGTCAAAGCATCCTTGGTGATCTTAAGATATGGTTAATTTTAATTGTTCAATATATTAGAAAAGAATGAGTATTGTCTAATTGTTAGGTATCAATTTCTATTTATGTTCATAGGATCAACTTGTTAACTGTGTTCAGATTTTTAGTATTCTTGGTAATTTTTTGTCTGCCTGATCTATCTGTTCTAGATATAATAAAATCTCCCAATATTCCTATGGTTTTATCCACCACTCCTTATAATTAATAGTTTTTGCTTTATATATATATATTTCAAGGCTATGTTTTTAGGTGCAAACAAGGCCATGACTCTTTGTTGAGAAACACAGGGAAGTTAATCTGCTTACATTTTTAATTATTGATGTATTTGTTTAATATGCTTTTGGTCATTTATTTTCTCCTTTCCTGCATTCTACTAAATTGATCAAGTTTTCTTTAGTCCCCTTTCTTCCTTCTGCTTATTTGGGAGGTTTCAATTATATTTATTACTTCACTGTCTATCTTTAAGTTCCTAATTTCTACATAAGCATATATTTTTTTAACAGACTATAAAGTACTAAAGCAAACATGTTGGCACACGTTAGCAATTCACTGGATTTCCCATTCCCACCTTCATTAATATTGTCTAGAATTTTAATTATACCTGTTTTAAACAAATGAAAACATTTTTACAGTCAATGATTAATTATATTTACTGGTATTTCAAGAATTTATTCACTCATTCTTGTTTCTTGAATCTCACTCCTCGTCCCTCGAGGTTTACTTTTTCTCATTGCAATAAATCCTTAAATGTGTCTTTAAATAAGTGTATAAGGTAGTCTATTTGTATTTCTAAAAATGTCTTTATGAGACATTTTTGAATGACATTTTAGCCAGGTATGGAATTCTTAGGTAACCTTTATCTTCTCTCCTTATTTTGAAGATATTATTCCATTGTCTTCTAACAAACCTGATGAGGAGGTCTGCATCAGCGTAATGTTCCTTTCTAATAACGTCTAGTTTTTCCCGCGGTAGCTTTCAGAATAGATGTTATGTATAGATTTTTGTTTATCCTGCTCAGGATTGATGTGACCAATGAAGGTCTTTCTTCCATTCTGGAGAATTCTTGGGCCAGTGTTTCTTTAAATAGAACTTTTCTGCCATTCCATTTCTACTCTTTTCAACCTATAAAGTATAATGACCCGTCTTAATCCATCCTCCATTTGTCTCAATCTTTCTGTTTTTCATACTGTTTTCTGTGCTTTCTGAGTAACTTCTCTTTTTAACTGCATCTGGTAATAGCATTTCCCTAGATGTTTTAAATACAGTAACTATGTTTTCTGTTCTATGATTTCCAATTGGTACTTTTTTTATATCTACCTTTCTCAAATGGATGAACATTTTATGGACACTATTCTTTATTTCTTCAAAAATCGTAAAGTCACACTAACACTATTTGAATTGCATTTTGAAAGGACTGAATTCATGTCTTGATTGCTAGTTTTGCTGTCTTGTTCATTTTAAGATTTCCTAACTTTAACCCAGTGCTTTGCAAGTTTAGTTTCTAAGTGTTTTTCCTATGGGTTATCTTTTCCCCTCCTCTCTGAACTTTTCTTCCCTCCATGTCTTTTTGGCTGTCTCTACCTCACCCATGAGAAGCACAGTCCAGAGACAATCTTGTATTGTCAACTGGGGATTTTGTGCCATGTGACAAAAGGGGTGTATTAGTCACTGAGCAAGATTAAAGCTTAGGCTGGGTCCTCTCTGCATGGCTTTGTTTTTTCACCCCCTGCCACCACTCGTAAGTAAAAAACCTGGGTATCCATCACTGTTTGTTGTTGTTGTTGTTTTTCCAGGCTCCTTTTATGTCAGGAGAGTCCAAATCCAGTACCTGTTTGCCACAATGAGCCTGGGACCTCAACATGCATGGAGTGCTTCCGGACCTCATTACCCAAGAGCAGTCAGATTTTTAATTTCCTCTGCCTTTTTCAAGATCATTAGTTCAGAAGGTTTATGTTTTCAATTCCACATATCCTTGCATTTTTCTTTCAAGTTTTGACCCATATGGATATCTTAAATATTCCTATTATTGCAAGTTTATATTAAAAGGAGGTTAAATTGTGAACTCACAAACTCATAGCATCATAGCACCATCTCAATCAAAAGTATTATCTTCTGTGAACTACAACAGTTTTCACTTCTTTCGCAAGTGTGGAGTGACGTTTGCCTGAGGCTGTATGACCTGTGATATCATGACAAATTGAAGGCCAAAGCAGATGCGAATCCAGCTGTTTTCTATTAAGTCAAATGCCAAGGAGATTTACAAAGATGTAAAATAATGCGCCTCTTCTCAATAACCTTTGGTTTTGAAAATTGTTATTTTTCATAAAAAATGTTGCTTCCATTAACCTGTAATAGGTTTACTACCATTATTTTAAATAAAATACACATTTCAAATGGCTTAATTTTTTCTTAAGATATAATTGATAAGTAAAAATTGTATATATAGTGTACAACATGGTGTTTCAATATACATATACATTGTAAAAGGATATCAAGCTAATTAACATATCTATCACCTCACTATTTTTGTGTGTGAAGAACACTTAAGATCTACTCTGTTAGCAATTTTCAAGTATAAACTATAGTCACCATACTGTGCAACAGATCACCAGGACTTTTTAATCCCATCTAACCGAAATTTTGCACCCTTTGGCCAACATCAGCTCATCTCCTCTGACCCCTGACAACCACCATTCTACTCTCTACTTGTATGAGTTCAACTTTTTTAGATTCCAAATATAAATGAGATCATGCAGTGTTTGTCTTACCGTAATGTCCTCCAGGTTTATCCATGTTGTCATAAGTGACAGCATTTCCTTCTTTTTAAAGGCTGGAAAAGTATGCCATTGTACATATATTCATTTTATTTATCCATTCATCAATCCATGGACAATTAGGTTGATTCCACATCTTGGCTAATGTGAATAATGCTGCAATGAACATAGAAGTGTATACTGATTTTGTTTAGATATGTAGCCAGAAGTGAGATTGCTGGGTCATACGGTAGTTTTACTTTTTTTAAATGAATTTCCATACTGTTTTCCATAATGGCTATATTAATTTACGTTCCCACCAACAATGTACACAGGTTCCCTTTCTCCATATCTTTGCCAACACTTGAAGCTTTTTAGTTTGATTCAATCCCTTTTGTCTATTTTTGCTTTTTCTGCCTGTGCTTTTAAAGTCTTATCCAAAAATCATTGGTCAGACCAATGACAAGAAGTTTCTTCCGTTACGTTTTCTCCCATTAGTTTCACAGTTTCAGCTCTTAAGTCTTTAATCCATTTTGAGTTGATTTTGTAATATGGTGTGTCTAATTTCATTCCTTCATATATGGATATCTAGTTTTCCCCACCCACTTATTTAAAAAAAAGTCCTTTCCCTGTTGTGTGTTCTTGACACTTTTGTCAAAGATTGACTGACTATAAATTACGGGATCTATTTCTGGGCTATTTTGTTCTATTGGTCTCTATGTCTGGTTTTATGCCAGTATCATGCTGTTTTTATTACTGTAGCTTTATACTCAATTTTGAAATCAGGTAGTGTGATGCCTTTCCAGCTTTGTTCTTTTTGCTGAAAGTTTGGTTATTTGGGGTATTCTGTGGTTTCTTATGAGTTTTAGGAGTATTTTTCTATTTCTGTGAAAAATGACACTGGAATTTTTTTATGGAAATTGCGCTGAATCTACACATCACTTTGGGTAGTATGGAGATTTTAACAATAGTTTCTAATCCATGAACACCAGATATTTTTCTATTTGTGTCTTCAACTTCTTTCATCAAAGTCTTATAGTTTTCAGTGAACAGGTTAATTTTATTTTATTATATTATATATATTATAAATTCTGGTTAAATTTATTCTTAAATAATTTGATGGTACTGTAATAATTTGATGGTACTGTAAATGGAATTGTTTTCTTGATTTCTTTTTCAGATGGTAGTAGTACCTGGAAACAATATTGGTTTTTACTGCAACTTTACTGAATTTGTTTATTAGTTTAACAAGTTTTTGGTGGCATCTTTAGGGTCTTCTATATATAAGACCACATCATCAGCAGAGACAATTTCACTTCTTCTGTTCGAATTTGTATGCCTTTCGTTTTTCCTTATCTTGCTCCTGATCTTAAAGGAAAACCTTTCTGTCTTCTACCACTGATAGTGATGTTAGCTGTGGGCCTGTCATATATGACCTTTAATATTTCGAGGTATGTGCCTTCTATACATAATTTGTTGAGTTTTTATCATGAAAGGAAGTTAAATTTTGTCAGATGCTTTTTCTGCATCAATTGAAATTATCACATTTTCTATGCTTAATTTTGTTAATGTGGTGTATCACATTTACTTATTTGTGTATGTTGAACCATCCTTACATCCCAGTGATTAATCTCACTTAATCATAGCGTATGATCCTTTCAATGAGCTGTTGAATTTAGTTTGCTAGTTATTGTGTTAAGGATTTTTGCGTGTATGCTCATCAGAGATATTGGCCTGTAATTTTCTATTTTTGTAGTGTCTTTGCCTGGCTGTGGTATCAGGGTAATGCTGACCTCATAAAATGAGTTTAAAAGTTTTCCCTCCTCTTTAATTTTTGGAAGAGTTTGAGATGGCTGGGTGTTAATTCTTCCTTAAATATTTGGTAGAATTCACCAGTGAAGCAATCAGGTACCAGGCTTTTCTTTGTTGGGAGGTTTTTGATTATAGATTCAATCTCCTTACTCTTTATTGATCTGCTCAGAACTTCTATTTCTTCATGATTCAGTTTTGGTAGCTTGTATGTTTCTAATAATTTGTTCACTTCTAGGTTATCCAATTTGTTGGTGCATACTTGTTCATAGTAGTATCTTATGATCCTTTGCATTTCTGTGCTATGTCTCCTCTTCCATTTATAATTTTATAATTTATAATTTATTTTATAATTTATAATTTATAATTTTATAATTTTGAGTTTTTTCTTAGCCTAGCTAAAGGTTTGTCAATTTTATCTTTTCAAAAAACCAGATTTCACTATTATGATCATAGTTTCGTTGATTTTTTCTATTGTTTTTCTATTCTCTATTTCATTTATTTTTGCTCTGATCTTTATCTTTCCCTCTTTCTCTAGATTTTGGGCTTAATTTGTTCATCTTTTTCTAGTTTCTTGAGGTGTAAAGTTAGGTTCTTTGAGATCTTTGTTTTTCTTAATATAGAATTTAACACTATAAACTTCCCTTTTAGAATTGCTTTCTCTGCATCCCACGTTCTGGCATGTTGTGTTTCCATTTTCATTTGTCTCAAGATATTTTTTATTTCCCTTATGATTTTTTCTTTGACCTACTGGTTGTTCAGGAGTGAGTGTGTTAATTTCCACATGTTGTTTTCCAATTTTCCTCATTATTGATTTCTAGTTTCATACCATTATAGTCAGAAAAGATACTTCATATAGACATCAATCTTCTTAAATTTGTTAAGGCTTGTTTTGTGGCCTAACATATGATTTGTCCTGGAGAATGTTCCTTGTGTGCTTGAAAAGAATGTATATTCTTCTGCAGTTAGATGGAATGTTCTGTATATGTGTGAGGTCCATTTGGCCTACAGTATTGTTCAAATCTTATTGTTTTCTGCTTACTCTATACATTACTAAAAGTGAGGTACTGATGTGGTTTCGCTCTGTGTCCCTATCCAAATCACATCTTGTGGCTCCCACAATTCCCAAGTGCTGTGGGAGGGACCCAGTGGGAGATAGCTGAATCTTGGGGGCAGGTCTTTCCCATGCTGTTCTCATGATGGTAAATAAGTCTCACAAGATCTGATGGTTTTGAAAATGGTAGTTTCTCTGCACAAGTTCTCTTTGCCTGCCACCATCCACATAAGACTTGACTTGTTCCTCCTTGCCTTCTGACATGATTGTGAGGCCTCCCCAGCCATGTGGAACTGTAAGTCCATTAAACCTCTTTTTCTTCCCAGTCTTGGGTATGTCTTTATCAGCAGCTTGAAAACAGACTAATACAATAAATTGTACCACTAGAGTGGGGCGCTGAAGAGATACCCAAAGATGTGAAAGCAACTTTGGAACTAGGTTAACAGGCAGAGGTTGGAATAGTTTGGAGGGATCAGAAGAAGACAGGAAAATGTGGGAAAGTTTGGAACTTCCTAGAGACTTGTTGAATGGCTTTGAAAAAAATGCTGGTAAGTGATATGAACAATAAGGTCCAGGCTGAGGTGGTCTCAGATGGAGATGAGGAACATGTTGGCAACTGGAGCAAAAGTGACTCTTCTTATGTTTTAGCAAAGAGACTGGCAGAATTTTGTCCCTGCCCCAGAGACCTGTAGAACTTTGAACTTGAAAGAGATGATTTAGGGCATCTGGCGGAAGAATTTTCTAAGCAGCAAAGCATTCAAGAGGTGACTTGGGTGCTGTTAAAGGCATTCAGTTTTATAAGGGAAGCAGAGCACAGGGAATGCTTCCAGTTTTTGCCCATTCAGTATGATATTGGCTGTGGGTTTGTCATAGATAGCTCTTATTATTTTGAGATACGTCCCATCAATACCTAATTTATTGAGAGCTTTTTAGCATGAAGGTTGTTGAATTTTATCAAAGGCCTTTTCTGCATCTATTGAGATAATCATATGGTTTTTGTTGTTGGTTCTGTTTATATGCTGGATTATGTTTACTGATTTGCATATGTTGAACCAGCCTTGCATCCCAGGGATGAAGCACACTTGATCATGGTGGATAAGCTTCTTGATGTGCTGCTGGATTCGGTTTGCTAGTATTTTATTAAGGATTTTTGCATCAATGTTCATCAGGGATATTGGTCTAAAATTCTCTTTTTTTGTTGTGTCTCTGCCAGGCTTTGGTATCAGGATGATGCTGGCCTCATAAAATGAGTTAGGGAGGATTCCCTCTTTTTCTATTGATTGGAATAGTTTCAGAAGGAATGGTACCAGCTCCTCCTTGTACCTCTGGTAGAATTCGGCTGTGAATCTGTCTGGTCCTGGACTTTTTTTGGTTGGTAAGCTATTAATTATTGCCTCAATTTCAGAGCCTGTTATTGGTCTATTCAGAGATTCAACTTCTTCCTGGTTTAATCTTGGGAGGGTGTATGTGTTGAGGAATTTATCCATTTCTTCTAGATTTTCTAGTTTATTTACGTAGAGGTGTTTATAGTATTCTCTGATGGTAGTTTGTATTTCTTTGGGATCGGTGGTGATATCCCCTTTATCATTTTTTATTGCATCTATTTGATTCTTCTCTCTTTTCTTCTTTATTAGTCTTGCTAGCGGTCTATCAGTTTTGTTGATCTTTTCAAAAAACCAGCTCCTGGATAAAAGTTCGAAAAATTTGCAGCCTGACAATGCGATAGAAAAGAAAATCCCATTTTCTGAGGAGAAATTCAAGCCTGCTGCAGAAATGTGCATAAGTAAGGAGGAGCCAAATTTTAATCCTCAAGACAATGGGGAAAATGTCTCCAGGGCATATCAGAGGTCTTCACAGCAGCCCCTCCCATCACAGGCCTGGAGGCATAGGAAGAAAAAATGGTTTTGGGGGCTGCGCCCAGGGTCCCCGTGCTGTGTGCAGCCTAGGCACTTGGTGTCCTGCATCCCAGCTGCTCTAGCCATGACTAAAAAGGGCCAAGACACAGCTTGGCCCATGGCTTCAGAGAGTACAAGTCCCAAGCCTTGGCAGCTTCCACGTAGTGTTGAGCCTGCGGGTGCACAGAAGTCAAGAATTGAGGTTTGGGAACCTCCACCTAGATTTCAGAGGATGTACGGAAACACCTGAATGTCCAGGCAGAAGTCTGCTGCAGGGGTAGGGCTCTCATGGAGAACCTCTGCTAGGGCAGTGCAGATGGGAAATGTGGGGTCAGAGCCCCCAAACAGAGTCCCTACTGGGGCACTGCCTAGTGGAGCTGTGAGAAGAGGGCCACCATCCTCCAGACCCTAGAATGGTAGATCCACCTACAGCTTGCACTGGGCACCTGGCAAAGCTGCAGACACTCAATGCCAGCCCATGAAAGCAGCCTGGAGGGAGGATGTACCCTGGCAAAGCCACAGGGGCAGAGCTGCCCAAGACCATGGGAACCCACCTCTTACATCAGCATGACCTGGATGTGAGACATGGAGCCAAAGAAGATCATTTTGGAACTTTAAGATTTGATTGCCCAGCTGGATTTTGGACTTGCATGGGCCCTGTAGCCCCTTTGTTTTGGCCATTTCTCCCATTTGGAACAGCTATATTTACCCAATACCTGTACCCCCATTGTGTCTAGGAAGTAACTAGCTTGCTTTTGATTTTACAGGCTCATAGGCAGAAGGGACTTGCCTTGTCTCATATGAGACTTTGGACTGTGGACTTCTGAGTTAATCCTGATATGAGTGAAGACTTTAGGGGACTGTTTGGATGGCATGATTGGTTTTAAAATGTGAAAACATGAGATTTGGGAGGGGCCAGGGGAGGAATGATGTGGTTTGGCTCTGTGTCCCCATCCAAATTTCATCCTGTGGCTCCCATAATTCCCACGTGCTGTGGGAGGGACTCAGTGGGAGATAGCTGAATCATGGGGGTGGGTCTTTCCTGTGCTGTTCTCATGATGGTGTATAAGTCTCATGAGATCTGATGGTTTTGAAAATGGTAGTTTCCTTGCACAAGCTCTCTTTCTTTGGTGCCATCCATGTAAGACTTGACTTGCTCCTCCTTGCCTTCTGCCATGACTGTGAGGCCCCCCAGCCATGTGGAACAGTAAGTCCGTTAAACCTCTTTTTCTTCCCAGTCTTGGGTATGTCTTTATCAGCAGTGTGAAATTGGACTAATACAGGTACTGAAATCCTCTGACTTTATTTCTAGGTGTTTGTTTGTTTGTTTGTTTTTGAGACAGAGTCTCACTCTGTAGCACAGGCTGGAGTGTAGTAGCATGATCTCGGCTCACTGCAACCTCTGCCTCCCGGATCCCGGTTAAGCAATTCTCCTGCCTCAGCCTCCTGAGTAGCTGGGATTACAGGCGCGTGCTGGAGATGGCATGGTGGGGTTCCACCATGTTGGAACCCCATGAGACTTTGGACTGTGGACTTCTGAGTTAATCCTGATATGAGTGAAGACTTTAGGGGACTGTTTGGATGGCATGATTGGTTTTAAAATGTGAAAACATGAGATTTGGGAGGGGCCAGGGGAGGAATGATGTGGTTTGGCTCTGTGTCCCCATCCAAATTTCATCCTGATGGGGTTCCACCATGTTGGCCAGGCTGGTCTCGAACTCCTGACCTAGTTATCCGCCCACCTCAGCCTCCCAAAGTGCTGGGATTACCGGCATGAGCCACCACACCCGGCCATATTTCTAGTTTTTAAAATACCTAAAACTATACATATTGATAGGTATAAGCCACATAAGCAAAAGTTCTTTAGGGTCCTCATTTTCATGAGTGTAAATGGGTTTTGAGACCAAAAAGCTTGAGAATCTCTGGTCTACAGTAAATCTGTAACAGTCTGGGTTATTTGAGCAGATTGGATGGAAATCTGTCTTTTTCACTATTATGATCTCAAGGCCTAGCACAAAGCTTAATACACAGAAGTCTCTCGATAAATGATTATTCAGCTATTGTTTCAGCAAATATTTGAGTACCTACTATCTTATTAGGTTGGTCAAAAGTAATAGTGGTTTTCGCAATTACTTTTAATATAAGACCCAATGCTAGGTCAACTTCATGGTTCATTGTAAATCAAATTGAAATGGCCCCTGCCATAACTTATTTATTTAATATGTCTTCAGAGTTTCAGTCCAGCTGGGAAGAGACATTCAATAAACCTTTAAAGATTATGGTAAATGCTTTAAACAAACAAACAAACAAAAAACCCAGGATGCCGAAATGAGGATGGTTATGTTTGTATGGTAGATACAGAATAGTCAGGGATCTCTGAGGAAGAGAAACTAAGACTAAATTTTGAAAAAGCCAGCCTGGGGAAGAAGAAGGGAAGAACATTTCAAAAAGACAAAACAGGCAGGGCGTGGTGACTCACGCCTGTAATCCCAGCACTTTGGGAGGCTGAGGCGGAGGATCACTCGAGGTCAGGAGCTTGAGACCAGCCTGGCCAACATGGTGAAACCCCGTCTCTACTAAATATACATAAATTAGCCAGGCATGGTAGTGCATACCTGTAATCCCAGCTACTACTCGGGAGGCTGAGGTGGGGGAATCGCTTGAACCCAGGAGGCAGAGGTTGCAGTGAGCCGAGATCGCACCACTTAACTCCAGCCTGAGCAACAGAGCGAGACTCCATCTCAAAACATAAAAAAATAAAAAGAACAAAACAGCAATATACAAAGATAATAAAGGAAAAAAAACAGAAAAGACATCAGAGTGGCTAGAGGATAATGAGGGGTGTAAAATGAGGTTGTACAGGTATTCAAAAGCCAGCTCTTTTGGAACTGTAGATTAAGAGGAAGATCTTGAACTTAATCCTAAATGTAATGGAGGCCATTAAAGATTTTTAAATAAGGCCTGACACAGTGCATTTTAAGATGATTCATGTTGCTCTGTGGAGAACTAGGGGACTAGAGATACTTAACAGAGGAAGCAGGAAGACCAGTTAAGGGGCAGCAAAGGATGGCAGGGCTCCAAACTAGTATGGTGGCAGTAGAGATACGCAGAAGTGAACAAATACAAGATGTACTTTGGAAACAATATAGAGAAATCTTGCTGATGATTTGTGTATGTGTGGCAAAGAAAAAAGAATCAGAAATGAGTTCCACATTTCTGGTTTGGACAACTGGGTGCACAGGAGTGTTATTTGGTGAGTAACTGAGACACAGGTTTCAGGGTAAGAGCATAACATCAAAAGCTATGTGGGACATGTAATATTTAAAATGCTTACACTAAAGCAAGTGGAGACACTGAGCAGGGATTCTGGAGAGGTCTCTGCCAGGGCTCTGAAGTCCTCCACACATAGCTGATTTGTTGCATGGTCAGATTAAAATAAACACTACTTTACAAGATAAATAAATAAACCAGTTCTTAAGTATTTCGAATTCATGTGTATATATTCGGTGCTGCTGGATAAATATCTTCAGATACAAATTTGTACACCGTTCCTCAGTAGTGCAAATCTAACAAATTTTCCTTAAGGAAAACTTTTATTTTTTAACTTTCTCAAGTAGGAGTTTCAGGACAGTATAAAGCCAAACATTCATATTAAAGTAACCAACCCTTTCACAAAAAGTACCACTAAGTCCAAATATTAAAAGAACAGTTCCCAAAAGCAATTAATTACATACAGGATTAAAGACAGGCAAAAGACCACCTCCATCATGAATCAGATATTATAAAAGGAAAATATGTCAAGTCTGGCAGACAGTGTTAAGGTTCAGAACTAAAGTTCAGCTTATATGTCCCTGTCCAAAAGGGCACTGGACACCATTTCTCATGAGAAGCTAAAACATTCAGAAGTCAAGCTATAACATGGTAACCAAAGTAGTACATGTAGAAAATGCAGGGTTACTCATCCACTTTTTGCTCAAGTTGGCTTACCAGCCAGAAAGCTCTAACCCTGAACTGGCAAAATGGTAGATGTTCATTTATCCAACCATCTAATAAACAGGTAATGCGTATCAACTACATTCAGACACTAGAGACACAGTGATAAACAATGGAGACACAGTCTCTGCCTTCATGGGGCTTATAGCTCACTGATGAAGCCAAACAATCAAATAAGCATATAAATAACATAAGTAACAAGCAATAAATGTGATGAAAGAAATATTGTGCTATAACACATATATCAGAGAGCCTGACCCAGACTAGGTAATAAAGAAAGACATTCCATGCCTAGTTAACGGTGTGCACAAGGCTTATGAGGCTGGAGGAGTACAGAAACCTGTGTAGCTAGAATACAGAATGGCATAAGATAAAGGCTACAGAAGCACAGAAGAGTCAGACCCTGCAAGACCTGTAGGCCATTTAACGACTGGAGATCCCATACAACCCGCAACTGTAGCACACTACAAGAATTTCTCCCAGGTGAGATCGGCACTCACATCTCAAGCAGGTCCCCTGAAAAACAGCATGATTTCCACACATACTCACATGTCAATGCCTAAGAACATGACCAGAATGATAAGGAGAGCTACTCTGGCTTCCACAATGCAGATCATCGTGCAGGTAGAGAAAATCATTTTTATCTGGTTCATTTTAAAGGCCCATCATGAGATAAACCTAAGAAGAATGGAGAAAAAGGCAATAATTGATATAAAAGTAAAACATGAATCAGAAAGCAGAAAAACATCTGGAGCTAAGAGATACAGATTTAACAAAGTCTAACAATAAGTAAAATGTTCACAAAGAGGAGACTGGATGAATAAATTATGGCACATACATTTAATAGAAAAATCTACAATGATAAAAAAGCATGCAAAAACTCTTATGGAACAATCGCCAAGATACATTGTTAAATGAAAAGCCAAGGTGTTGAACAGTAAACACAGTATACTTCATTTATTAAATAAAAAGAGAAACACACTGTATACATATTTGCTTCTATATGCATGGAATAACACTGGAAGGATATTCACAAAACTATTGACATTGGTTATCTTTTTTTTTTTCTTTTTCTGACTCAAACACATCTTCTGAGACACTGGTTATCTATAGAGAGGGAAAGATGGGAGGAGGAATTTTCTCCTTTTTGAATTTCAAACCACACAAATATATTACCTATTAAAAGTTTAAAAAAGTTAATATTCAATATGATTTTAGATGAGTACATATGAAAATTTTAATGAAAAGGAACATTTTCAAGGAAAATAAAAATTAGCAAACTGACTGCCAAATGGGGGGGAAAAAAGGTAAGAAAAGCCTTCTTACAAAGAATCCTGTATGTTAAAACTTTCTGGTACATTTTAATAATCTAGCCCCCACAGGCTCCATGAGATAAAACTAATATTTATTGAATATTTCCCGTGTGCTATATACTGCATCAAGCATTACATGTATTTGCAGCTCATCCTCACAATTCCTGAGATAGGTGTTCTCATCACCTCTATTTTACATATAAGGAAACTGAAGCATATCCAGTAAGTAACTCCAGAGGTCAGACTCTGCAACCACTATCCTACATTAATTCTGTATTAATAAACTGGAAAACCTTAAAGAAATGCATAATTTTCTAGGGAAACAAAATTACTTGAAATCTGTTTGACTGTAAGTGTTCTTCCAATGCCTAAGGAACAAATTATTCTTAGTCTGCACAGATAGTTCCCAGGACATTAAGAAGAAAAAGACGAGGGCTTGCCAATTCATTGAACTAAATTAGAAGAGTGGCTTTCAAGAACATATTTCCTACAATGAAAATGTGTTACAAGAATAGCTATCTTGTATGGGATACTTACCCTGTGCCAGGCACTGGAGTAAGTGCTTTATAAAAGATCTGGGTGCCACTTGGAAAACAATCTGGCAGTTCTTCAAAACGTTAAACATAGAGTTACCACATGACCCAGTAATTCTACTGGTAGGTAAAATTAAAACACATGTTCACACAAAAACTTGCACATCAATGTTCTTAACAGCATTATTCATAACATAGCCAAAAAGGGGAAAAAACCCAAATGGCCATTAGCTGATGAACAGATAAATAATGTATAGCCAAACAACAGAATATTATTTGGCAATAGAAAAGAACAACGTTCTAATACATGCTACAGCATAGATGAACTTTGAAAACAGTAGGCTAAGTAAAAAAAGGCAGTCACAAAAGCTCACACCTTGTATGATTCCATTTATATGAAATGTCCAGAATAGGCAAATCTATAGACAGAAAATAGGTGAATGGTTCCCTACGGTTGGAGGAAGAGGGGAATGAGGAGTGAAGAGTTTTTTTTTAGGGTAATTAAAATGTTCTCAGATTGAGGGCAGTGATGGCCATACAACTCTGAATATTACTAAACACCACTGAACTGTACACACTGTAAATAGGTGAATTGTATGGCAGACGAATTATATCTTGGTAAGGCTGTTATTAAAAATACATATCTAGGTGTATTTTCCTAACAACCTTAATGAAACTGAAACTAATATACTTATTTTGTAGACGAGAAATCTGCAGCTCAGAGGGGACACTATCTACTCATGGTCATAATCTAAATAGTTGAGAAAGCCAGAATTCAAATACGAGTTTTTCTGTCTATACTGCTTACTATCTCCCAACACAATCCTATGCAAATGCACTGAAAATCTTCAAGAAACGGCCCCCCTTTTTCTTAGAAAACAAACTTATGGGTTGGGCGTGGTGGCTCACGCTTGTAATCCCAGCACTTTGGCAGGCCGAGGTGGGCGGATCACCTGAGGTCAGGAGTTCGAGACCAGCCTGACCAACATGGAGAAACCCCATCTCTACTAAAAATACAAAAAAAAAAAAAATTAGCCAGGCGTGATGGTGCATGCCTGTAATCCCAGCTACTAGGGAGGCTGAGGCGAGAGAATTGCTTGAACCTGGGAGGTGGAGGTTGCGGTGAGCCGAGATTGCGCCATTGCACTCCAGCCTGGGCAACAAGAGCAAAAGTCCGTCTAAAAAAAAAAAAAAAAAAAAAAAAAAAGAAAACAAACTTATGACTAACAGGTTCATGAAGGCAGCCTCCTAAGAACAAATAATTCATATACAGTTGAAAATCCCAAATCCAAAAAAATCAGAAATCCAAAACACTTCTGGTGTCAAGCATTTCAGATAAGGAATACTCAACCTACAATGCTATTAAGCATTTCAAACCTACAATAAGAGGGAAGCTGTCCATTTAAGAAGCTAGCAGATGGCTTCCAAGTGCATCTTAATTCAAGAGTGCCCTGGAGAATAATAAAAATAATAGCTATAATTTATTAAACTTTTACAATGGGTAAGGCCTGGCACCAAGCACCTTATGTGAATGATTATGTTTAATTATCATAACAACTTAATAAGGTAGATGCCATTATTACCCAGGTTTTACAGATGAGAGGCAAGCCTTAAGAGGTATTTTTTCCCAGGTTACAAGCTAAAGGGTGGCAGAGCTAGAAATCAAACTCAAATCTGTTAGATTCCTGAGCCTCAGCCCTCAACCACCACTCAGTACATTTCTAGGCTATTAAATTTGAAAGCCATAATGAAATGGAACGTTCTTGAAAGGAAGGGAGATAATAAACACTTGGCAGACGTCAGGGGAGTACTTTCCTCAAAAAGTTCTCCAAGCCTTTGCCATTTATAGGCAACTTTCTTCACATTTCCAAAGAACAAATAATTCTTATGCTTTATAAATTGTGTAAATTTCAGCAAAAAGAGACAAAAGTGTTTCATTTGAAGAAAGCACATGGATTTTCAACCCCAAATATACCTTATTTTGACATAATAAGAATGTGTATGTACCAGGAATGTGTCTGAGCACTTTATAATTGTTAGCTTCTCAAATCTTCATGACAACTATCTAAGGTAGGTACTATTAATAATCCCTATTTTACAGATGAGGAAGGGGAAGCACAGAGAGGGTAGATGACTGGCACAAAGTCACATGGCTAGAAAGTGGCTAGGATTAAAAACCAAGTCATCTAGCTCTACCCTCCAGCACTTAGTCTACTCAACCAACTCTCAAAAAAGAATATGCTATAGCTAATATATGATTCACTGGACTCCTAGCACTGTGGATTATCACACTGACTCCCTTCACATGTATTATCCCAACTGACAACCAAGAAGGTAGGTAAGTTTACTGCCTATTGCAAGATGAAGACCATGAGGCTGAGTGATGTGCTAATTTGCCCAAATACACCCAATTAACACATATCAGAACCAAAATTTTATTAAACCCACGTCTTTCTGACTCTACATCACACCACTAGTCACTGTGTCATGAAATACTATGGTAGGGGTCAGCAAATTACAGCAAGCAGGCCAAGTCCAGTCTGCTGTGTTTTTATACAGTTCACACAGCCAAAATACAAAAATTCGGTTGAATCAAAAATAGATGGGCCAGGCACAGTGGCTCATGCCTGTAATCCCAGCATGTTGGGAGGCCGAGGTGGGTGGATCACGAGGTCAGGAGATCGAGACCATCCTGACTAACAAGGTGAAACTCCGTCTCCACTAAAAATACAAAAAATTAGCCAGGCGTGGTGGCACACACCTGTAGTCCCAGCTACTCAGGAGGGTGAGGCAGGAGAATCGCATGAACCTGGGAGGCGGAGGTTGCAGTGAGCCGAGATCGCACCACTGCACTCCAGCCTGGGCGACAGAGCAAGACTCCGTCTCAAAAAAAAACAAAAAAAACTTGATGGTTGAAAAAAACAAAATATTTCATGAGAAAATTAAATGAAACCTAAATTTCAATGTTCATAAATAACATTGGCTGTGTTTTACTGGACCCAGACACACCCATTTATTTACAGCTGCTTTCACACTACAAGGACAGAACTGAGTAATTTTGACAAGACATCGGTATATCGAACAAAGCCTGAAATATTCTCTGTTTGGCCATTTACAGAAAAGATTTGCTGACCCTCTTTGTTATTATATTTAAAACTCTTATTAAAAGGGAGGAGTAGTGCACAAAAAGTACCCCCCAACCCCCGAAAAAAGGAAGAAAAAGCATGGCCTCAAAAGGTGACTGGAGTAGGAATGGAAACTAACCTCCAACTTTCAAGGAACAAATAATGTCTCTGTTCCATAAAGTGTTCCAAGGCCTAGAAAACAGTGGAGGGCTTCCCAGTTCATTTTAATTAACTGGTTCACAGAGGTTTACAATCCCTAAGCTGTTTTAATTGGAAAGAACGCTGCAGAATGGAAATAACAACAGCTGGCAGTTATGGAACTTTCCCTGTGCTGCCAGGTGCTGTGGTTAAATAGAAGATTTCCATTTAATCTTCCTGACAACCAGGAAGGTAGGGTGCCATTGTTATCCAATTCCACGGATGAACCTGGGTCCTCGGGATGTTAAACAAATTGCCGTATGTTCCACATAGAGCTCAGCACTCTAACCCTCATTTCTGCCCTCCAGAGATTAGTCTTAACACCCCACCATTTACTTTTATTAATAAATCTGCAAACATAAGGAAATACATAATTTCCTGAAAAAATATAACGTACCAAAAGTAACTATCAAAATAATCTTGGTGAGCTGTATAAATTTCCTACCAACTCCCAGGAAGCAAATAAGTATGTGCCACAAATTGATCTGGGTCATAAGAAAACAGACAAGTTTTAATACCCTAGCTCACTGGGTTGCAATAGCACTCATCTCTAACTCATCACCACTAAAAAAAAAAAAAAAAAAGCACAATTAAAAAAAAAACCATGCAAGATAATGATAGCTAACATTTTTAGCTGAACTATGTGCCAGACACTAAACACTCCTCATGCAATAACTCATTTAAACTAGGAATAAATATCCCCTGCAGACTAAGACATAAGGAGGTTAAATGGTTGTCCAAAATCACACAAGCGAGAGGGCCTGGATCCAAATCCAAGCCAGCAAGTGAACAAACCCGGCATCCTTAACAGACTTTCAGCTAATAAGTCTGAGAATCCTAATTATACATGCTCAATCCAGGGAAAAAAGAAATTGACAAAACTGAGCCAAACTTAAGGGCATAAAGGGGTGCGTGGTACACCTACAGCTTTCAAGCAATGTCAACAGTCTCTACGATTCACTCAGCAAAGCAGTTCTGAACCAAAACTAGCTTCCTCTAAAAGAGACCAAACTCCACATAAACGTTACAATATGGATGAACTTCAAAAGTGTTCTGCTAAAGGTAAGAAGAAAACATCATAAACTGTACAATTCAGTTTTCATGGAACGTCCAGAAAAGGGAAATCTCAAGAGCCATAAAGTGGATTAGTGCTTGCCTGGGGCTGATCCTCAAATGGGCTCGAGGGAACTGGGGATGGTGGGATTGGTTGACGTAAACATTCTAAAAGTGGGTTGCGGTGATGGCTGTACAACTCATACATTTACCAAAAAATATTCAGTTGTACACTGGGTACATTTTGACGTAATCTGCATCTCCACAGAACTGTGTAAAAGAGGCTGAGTACCCCAGCAACTGCTTCTTGTCGAAAGCCATTTCCTATCCTCCGCGCTAGGCGTCTCACAGGCTTTTCCCCCAGTCAAATCAATGCTAATAATCGGAAATAGCAAGTTCTGAGAAACGCTAGCGTAGAATGGGCGCACTAGGGGTAAGGGGATGGGCCCCAGACTTCAGCAGCCGTTCTGGGAAGTTGCTCGCCTTTTTCGAAGACTCTAGCTGCAAAACTGGAAGCCGTCGGTGGGGCAAGGCAGAGAAGAGACCACGTCTGGCGGATGAGTCCTGTGATTATCAGGTCACCTGGGTAACGCCCAACCACGACGGGCTGGGTCTCAGCGCGAGGCCTGCAGCCCGGCGCCGACTGGAATCCCCAGCACTGCCGTCTGGAGGACATCGGCGGTATCTCCCCAAGAGACGGGAAGTCTGTGTGTCGAAGAGGCGCGGGACGCAAGCCCACCAACCTGGCCGACCCCAGGGAAAGGCCGAGCGTCCAGCCCGCGGGGGCCCAAGATGGTGCCAGAGTTCGAGGCCCTCTGTGCATGCACCCCGCCCGCCTTCGAATCTAGCCTGTTCGCCGTTGTGGTTTGTCCTCCCGGTTCCTCTGAAGGAGTTGGTCAGTAGAACCATGGCCTCCATTGACTACGTCCTCAGAGTCGCAGCTCTCTTCAGTCGAGCTCCAGTCACAGAGGACGGTTGTGGTGAGACCCAGGCAGAAGTATTTCCGGTCAACGAGGTCGCGGGTAGTGCGCATGCGCTTCGTGCAGGGCCCTGCGCAAGGGCGCCTGGGAAACCTTGCGAGAAGTGACACACGCCCTGTCCTCAGGGAGCCCACGGCCGACTGGGAAACAGGAGAACGGGTCAAACGTGGGACGTCCGTCAGCTATACCGAAAGGTCTGTGATAGAGCTTGGAGAAATGTGCATTTGGACACATTATTTTTACATTGTGATCTAGACAGTGAGGTAATCTTTTAAAAAATAAGTTTTAGAATTCTATTAAATTTCAGTTTTAGAATTATATTTAATCATATTTTGAATATTTTGAAATATTTTGAAATTTCATACGGTTTTTTTGTTTTTCCGGTTTTTTTGAGACAGGGTCTCGCTCTATCATCCAGGCTGGAGTGTAGTGATGTGATCACAGCTCACTTCACCTCAACTTCCCAGGCTCAAGTGATCCTCCCTCCTCAGCCTCCTGAGTAGCTGGGACTACAGGCACGCACCATTACACACAGCTAATTTTTTTTTTTTTTTTGGTATTTTTGTAGAAATGGGGTTTCACCACGTTGCCCAGACTGATCTCGAACTTCTGGGCTCAAGAGATCCGCCTGCCTCGGCCTCCCAAGATTTCGTTATGTTGTGGGGAAAAGATGTATGATTCTATGATCAGAATGAAAGCTCTGAGAGGGCAGCCACTGATGAGTGTAGGTGCAGTATCCTCTACACCTTGCATGGTACTTGGCATGGAATGGATGCTCCTTGAGTATTTCTCAAATGACTGACTGGAGTCTTTGAAAAAGGCACCCTGAGTTACTGTTAACAGACAGATTCGCTAATAATTAGCTACTGTTAATCGGATAGATTAGCTAATAACACCAACTTTTGATTTGTCTCAGAGTGACCTAGTGTGAAAAGTAGGGTTGCAGATTTAGTAAATAAAAAATGTAGGATAACCCTGTCAAATGTGATTTTCAGATAAACTAAGCAAATAATTTGTTAGCATAAGTATGTCCCGTTTGGATATGCTGGGTGTCCTATATTTTATCTAGCAACTTAGAAGACATGTTAAGGTGGGGGGGAAAAATGATTGTGTTCCTCTTAGAAAAAGAACTGGAGGAGAAAAGAAAACGGTATCCGGAATTTGTAAATAAGTACTTCCAAACAATTCTAAAGCAGGTCAGAAAACTACACTTGAGAAACTGTGATTTATAAAGTTCGTGGTAAGTGTTGTATTTATATCATCTTAATTGAAACCTCTTACACAGTAGAACGATTATTTTTATTTTATAAGTGCAAACAGAAGCTCAGAGATAGGAGGTTACTTGTCCAAGTTCTAATATTTTCACTGTCACCCCAAAAAATATGTATTGAGGCCTCTCGGTGGCTCATGCCTGTAATCCTAGCACTTTGGGAGACTGAGGCAGGCAGATTGCCTGAGCTCAGGAGTTCGAGACCAGCCTGGCCAACATGGTGAAACCCTGCCACTACTAAAAGTACAAAACATTAGCCAGGTGTGGTGGCGCTACCCTGTAGTCCCAGCTACTTGGGAAGCTGAGGCAGGAGGATCGCTTGAACCCGGGAGGGGGTGGTTACAGGGAGCAGAGATCACACCACTTCACTCCAGCCTGGGAGACAGAGTGAGACTCCATGTCAAAAATAAATAAATAAATAAATAAAATAATAATTATTATTTATTGAGAGCTGACTGTGTGCTGCTGGTCTCGGATTTCTATTCCACATAATCTGCCTCCAGAGCTGGAAAATTCCAGTGTCTGACCATTCCTCAGCCTCCCTCCCCTTCCCCACTCCAGCTGCAGTTTCCATGGTAACAAACTGAACCTGCTTCTGTAGCTAACAAGAGCTAAGAGTTTTTGAGAGGGAATAAGCCAGAACAACTGACGTCAGCATACCCTGGCTGGGGGATGGGAAGGACTGCTTGAAGCCCTAAAGCCTTCTATTCCTCCATCAATGGTTTATGCAAGAATTTTGTATGTGTCAACATCTGTCCTTGGATGGAGTCTCTGCAAAAGAACAAAAATTGTCTATGTAAACCTCTGCAGACCCCATGAATTCATAAGTTTTCACTTCAGGAATTGCTTCAAACACTGGTGACATAAACTTTATGCATCCTTACCATATTAAAATGTATTTAGTCATTATTCAACCAATAATGATGGGGGGCACTTCTACATATCAAACAGTGCTAGATCCCAAGGATATAATTACTATCAAAACATACACAGTCTCTATTTTCCTGTTTCTTAGAGTTCAGTGGAAGAGACATTTGTTTATTCTTCAGTGTATTCTAAGGACCCTTATGTGTGAGACATGTATTAGGGACTGGGAGATACACAGATGAGTTCAAAACAAATCGTTGAGCTGCATGGAAATGATCCTGGTGGGATTGGGGTCAGACATTAAATAGATAATCACAAAACAGCAGATATTTACTGAGCAGCTACTGTGGTGCCAGGCACTGTTTTAGGCAAGGGGAGGACAGCAGGGAACAAAATAGACTTGGTGTCTGTTCTCATGGAACTTACATTCTGATGGAGAGGGAAAATATATAAATGAATTCATTTGCTTTTAGTTAGAAGAAAAAGGATATTAAACTCAAATTGACTTAAATAAAAAGGAGAATTTATTGGCCTAAGTAACTGAAAATGCCAGAGATAGAACTGATCTCATCAGTATTCATGAACATAATTTATGTTGTTGCAGATCTCTGTAGTTTTTCTGCCCAACACTCCTTCCCCAGGCTTCCTGCCACAGAAGCCTTCTTTCCTATGGAGAACTGGTTAGCATCTGACCTAGGCCTGGTCACTTCATGCTGTTGCTATGCCCACAGTGATTGGTTCAGGAATGGGCACATGACTCCAATGGGCCAGTCAGAGACTTACTGACCTGGGACTTTTCCTTGGGAATTATGAGAAATATCGTTCCCTTTGCTGTGATGCTAAACTGGTCTGAAGTGTGCCTGGCCTATAGCCATCTTTTTTGCCTATCTGAATAAGTCAAGAAAGAGCATCCCACTGTGTGTTTTTAAGCTTCTACTAGATAATGCATGTAATGTGCTTAACACAGAGTAAATTCTCAATAAATGTTAGCCAGTGTTGTTAGTGATTTACAAAGGAATGAGTGAGAAGAAATTATTTGCAGGAACTGAAAGATTGTGCTTCAAAATGAAGGTAAATCAGGAGGGTTTTTGGAGTGCATGGAATGAAAACATGGAGGTCCACAGTATAGAGCAATGTTTCCTCTGAGCCACGATGAGGTTTTATGAGCTGTCCAGGGTTCACTGAAGAATATACTTGCCTGGATTCAAAATGCTTGGACCAACCCATTCAGACATTCACTGACCCCTTCCCTGGGTAAGATTCTGTAAAAGAGAAGATGCACAAGGCATGATCATAGCCATTGAGGACCTTATACTCAACTGGAGTAGCAGGGAGGTGAACAACCAGTAACAGTAAGGCCAGAGGAGTACGGGGCAAGCTTCAGCTCCACATTCATTTACATAAGAAATACACAGGAACATATCTAACATGCCAGCCATGGTGCGAGGTGTAAGAGATATTGTATTGAACCAAACTGATGCCTTTTTTATTGGAACTTATAATCAAGTGCAGTGGTTAGCAAAACTTCAGGAACAGACCAGACAATAACTATTTTAGGCTTGTGGGCTGTACAGTCTCTGTTGTAACTATGCAACTCTACCATTTTGTGTAAAATCTGCCATGGACAATATGTACGTGAATGAACATGGCTATGTTCCACATTATTTTGGGACACTGAAATTTGAATTTCAGATGATTTTGTCACATCAAAAATACTCTTCTTTGGATTTGTTTTCAACCATTTAAAAATACTGAAACCATTCTTAGCTCATGAGCCATACAAAAACAGGCAGTGGGGCCAGTTGTAGTTGCTCATGCCTATAATCCCAGCACTTTAGGAGGCCAAAGCAGGAGGATCGCTTGAGCCCAGGAGTTCCAGACTAGCCTGGGCAACATAGAGAGACCCTATCTCTACTAAAAATAGAAAAATTAGCTAGGCATGGTGGCACATGTCTGTAATCCTAGCACTTTGGGAGGCCAAGGAGGTAGGATCGCTTTAGCCCAGGAGTTCAAGATCAGCTTGTGCAATGTATCAAAACTTCACCTCTACATAAATATTAAGGCTTAAACAGCAGAAATGTGTTGTCTCACAGTTCTGAAGGCCAGAAACCCAGCAGGGCTGGTTCCTTCTGACAACAGGGAAGAAGGATCTGTTCCAGGCCTCTCCCCTAGCTGCTGGGGGTTTGCTGGCAGTCATTGGCCATCATTGGCCTCCATTGGCCATTGCCCTGATCTCTGTCCTCATCTTCACATTGTCTTCTCCTGTGTACACATCTGTGTCCAAATTCCTCCTTTTCATAAGGACCCCAGTCGTACTGGATTAGGGCCTGTCATACTCCAGTGTGACCTCGTCTTAATGTCTTACATCTGCAACAACCCTATTTCTACATAAGGCCACATCCTTAGGTAGTCTGGGGGCTCAGACTTTAACATATGAATTTCTGGGGTGGGGTTGGGGATCCCACAGCAGCAAGTGTGCCAGCCTCTTTGCTGGTCTCCCTGCTTCCACTTTTTCCCACTTCCTTTCATTTCCCCAGCCTAGGCAAGGGTGACCTTTCTAAAATGCAGACAGGACCAGGAGCCTGCTGTGAGTCATGGGGCTCACTGAGGCCTTGTTTTTTGGTTTTTTGCTTTTTGGGATTTTTGTTTGTTTGTTTGTTTTTGAGACACAGTTTCGCTCTTATTGCCCAGGCTGGAGTGCAGTGACGAGGTCTCAGCTCAGGAATCAAGGGAGGATTCCTAGGTGTCGTGGGCCAGCGTCCCCTCTGCACGTTCAGCCCATGTGGATGTTTTGAAGCTTCCTCTCCTCGGGGGGCACAAGCTTCAGCCAGAAAATTCATCCCATTTGTCTCAACATTTCTGTAACTCTCCAAAGAAATTTGATCATCTCCCACTATCAGCACTGTCAGTTGGGGTCTGTCCCCAGGACTCCATCCATGTTGCCACCATCTCTCCCTGGGCATCTGCTGTGGCCTCCTAAACGTTCTTCCTTTTCTATCTAGTCACCTTCCACCCGTTCCACACACACACAGTGGCCAAAAAGAAAGCCTCACTGTGTAATCTCCTGCCCCTGCTCCGGGTACCCCAGGGCTGCCGCCCATCAGGGTAAAGTCCAAGTGGCCAACATGATGCCTCGGGCCCTCCAAACCCAACCTTGCCAGCTGGCCCAGCTTCACCTCTCTCTGCTCCCATCCTGGGTCTCCATGCTGCGGCAGTAATGACAATCTTCCAGTTCCCTGCGGAGGCCACGTGCCCTCTGAGGAGCTGGCTGTACTCACTGTCCCCATAGACTCATTTCTCCCCTCCCATTTTCTCCTCAGTTCACTCCAACCAGGATTTGCTGCCACTCTACAAAATCTTCTCAAGATCAACAATACCCTCTGCCTGACCAACATGGTGAAACCCCGTCTCTACTAAATACAAAAAATTAGCTGGGCCTGGTGGCTCTTGCCTGTAATTCCAGCTACTTGGGAGGCTGAGGCAGGAGAATCGCTTGAACCTGGGAGGCAGAGGTTGCAGTGAGCCGAGATTGCGCCCCTGCACTCCAACCTGGACAACACAGCGAGATTCCGTCTCAAAAAAAAAAAAAAAAGAAAAAAGAAAAAACACACACACAAGAAAACAAAAAACAAACAAAAACTACATCAGACACTTTCTAAGGATTAGGAATGTATTGGTTAAAAATCAGGTGAGGCAGTTGTCTCTGGAGATGATGTCTTAAAATTAAAACATGAATGGAAACCCAATATGGTCTACCCATACAATGGAATATTGTTCAGCCTTAAAAAGGAAGGAAACTCGGGCACTTCTTACAACATCGATGAACATTATGACATTATGTTAGATGGAAGAAGCCAGTCACAAAAGGACAAATACTGTATGATTCCACATGAGGTACTTAGAGTAGTCAAATTCATAGAGATAGAAAGTAGAATGGTAAGTGCCAGGGGCTGAGCCACAGGAAATGGGGAGCTGTTGTTTAATGGGTACAAAGTTTCAGTTTTTCAAGTAGAAAAGAGTTCTGGGGCTGGATGGTGGTGATGGTTGCACAAAGATGTGAATGTATTTAATGTCACTGAACTTGAGGATTAAGCTCTGATTCTTTTATCTTGCCCAAATTCCTATGTAAGGGGTCTGGGAAGTCATGCCCTACAAACCATAAATTCTCATCAGATAGGTTTTGTTTAACCCTATATATTGTAACTTACTTTCTCATCTGACTCCGGCATAACGTTACGTGATGAAGAAGAAAGTCAAAATATTTTACCCCAAACATGTTTCTTTGCCATGTTTTGAAATGGCCATTGAAAGCTGTCCTTTGTGGGGGAAAATTCGCATCTGTAAAGAATCTCTATAAACATAGCTAGATCTTTTTCTTCTAGGCCTTCCCAATCCTGAGGAGATTAACTAAGAGTCTAGCACCTTTTAAAGGTCTGAATATGAAACATTTGTCATCTATTGTGTCTAAGAGCAGCCACTATAAGACTTCAAAAGAACCCTGGGGCCAGGCGCGGTGTCTCACACCTGTAATCCCAACACTTTGGGAGGCTGAGGCAGGCAGATCACCTGAGGTCGGGAGTTCGAGACCAGCCTGACCAACATGGAAAAACCCCATCTCTACTAAAAATACAAAAATTAGCTGAGCGTGGTGGCGTGTGCCTATAATCCCAGCTACTTGAGGGGCTGAGGCAGGAGAATCGCTTGAATCCGGGAGGCAGAGGTTGCAGTGAGCCAAGATCATGCCATTGCATTCCAGCCTGGGCAACAAGAGCCAAACTCCATCTCAAAACAAACAAACAAACAAAAAAAACCTTGTCCACAATCTTTTATCTTAACCTGAACATTTTCTTTCTGTAGATTCCAACTATTTAGACAAACTCAACCAATTGTCAACCGGAAAATATTTAAATTTACCTATAGCCTGGAAGCACCGCCCCCATCTCATGCCTCCCTAAAATGTATAAAACCAAGCTGTACCCCGACCGCCTGGGGCACATGTTCTCAGGATCTCCTGAGGGCTGTGTCACGGGCCATAGTCACTCATATTTGGCTCAGAATAAATCTCTTCAAATATTTTACAGCATTGGACTCTTTTTGTTGACAAACTGTACACTTAAAAATGGTTAAGACAGGGCCAGGCGTGGTGGCTCATGCCTGGAATCCCACCACTTTGAGAGGCTGCAGCAATAGGATCACTGGAGCCCAGGAGTTCAAGACCAGCCTGGGCAGCATAGTGAGGCCCCATCTCTACAGAAAATTGAAACCTGAGACAGGCATGATGGTGTGTGCCTCTCTAGTCCCAGCTACACTCAGAGGCAGCGAGAAGATTGCTTGAGCACAGGAGTTTGAGGCTACAGTGAGCTGTGATCACACCACTGAACTCCAGCCTGAGTAACGAGCGAGATCCTGTCTCCAACACTTTTTAAAAGCAAGGGTTAAGATGGTAAATTTTATGTTATATATCTTTTTTTTTTTTTTTTTTTTTTTTTTTTTGAGACAGAGTCTTGCTCTGTCACCCAGGCTGGAGTGTGGTGGAGTGCAGTGGCACAATCTCAGCTCACTGCAACCTCCACCTCCCGGGTTCAAGCAATTCTCCTGTCTCAGCCTCCCAAGTAGCTGGAATTACAGGCACGTGCCACCATGCCCAGCTAATTTTTGTATTTTTAGGAGAGATGGGGTTTCACCATGTTGGCCAGGCTGGTCTTGAACTCCTGAGCTCAGGTGATCTGCCCACCTCAGCCTCCCAAAATGCTGGGATTATAGGCATGAGCCACTGTACCCAGCCTGTGTTATATATCTTTTGCCACAATTAAAAATAATTTTTAAAAATTAACACATAAATAGGCCGGGCACCATGGCTCATGCCTGTAATCCCAGCACTTTGGGAGGTCGAGGCAGGTGGATCACCTGAAGTCAGGAGTTCGAGACCAGCCCGTCCAACATGGTGAAACCCCATCTCTACTAAAAACACAAAAAATTAGACAGGTGTGGTGGTGGGTGCCTGTAGTCTCAGCTACTTGGGAGGCTGAGACAGGAAAATTGCTTGAACCTGGGAGGCGGAGGTTGCAGTGAGCTGAGATCACGCCATTGCACTCAGGCTTGGGCAACAAGAGCAAAACCCTGTCTCAAAACAAAAACCAAAAAAACAGAAAAAAAAACACGTAAATAAATGACACCTACCTTGTAAGCTCATCCTCCATGCTGGGAACACGTTTTTGCCTCTTGGCTTGGCTTCCCAAAGAGTATATTACCCCAGAGTTTCAGAGATACACACATTCTAGTCCTCACCTAAGCTAATTCCATTCCAGTCCAACTCTTCCACTTTTAAATGGCCCCCTTGTAGGAACATCCACATCACTCATCTGGGAATATCATCATTTGGCAATTTAATGATCTCTAGGCAAAGACACAGTAGAGATTTTACCCACTGGTGTGGCTTGGAATGCTGCCTGTGGTGGCTCAGTGCTGTGCTCAACTTGGCAGAACCAGAGTGATGTTTCACAGAGTCCACTTTCTGTTATGGTTCTCGGCTGGGCTTGGCCACCAGAGGTGTTTGCCTGGGATGGAGAACGCATGGGTGGAGCGGCAGCTGTGTGTGCCCTGTGTGTGTGCGTGTGTGTGTGTGTGTGTGTGTGTGTAGAGGTTACAGTTGGGCCAGGTGCTATGCAGCTCATGCACGTCCCTGCCAGCTGCTGGCTCACCTTGTGTATGTGTGTGTGTCTGTGTCTGTGTGTGTTTAGAGGTTACAGTTGGACCAGGTGCTATGTGTGTGTGTATGTGTGTGTTTAGAGGTTACAGTTGGACCAGGTGCTGTGTGTGTGTGTGTGTGTGTGTGTGTGTGTTTAGAGGTTACAGTTGGGCCAGGTGCTGTGTGTGTGTGTGTTTAGAGGTTACAGTTGGACCAGGTGCTGTGTGTGTGTGTGTGTGTGTGTGTGTGTGTGTGTGTGTGTATTTAGAGGTTACAGTTGGGCCAGGTGCCGTGTGTGTGTGTATGTGTGTGTATTTAGAGGTTACAGTTGGGCCAGGTGCTATGCAGCTCATGCACGTCCCTGCCAGCTGCCGCCTCACCTTGTGGCTCATGGGGGCATTCCCAGCTCCCACTGAAACCACCTTTGCAAAAATTATATCAGTGAGAAAATGTTGGCATGGAGGAGAGCTGATCTAGCCAATCTTCCTCTTGCCTTTAGCTTTCAAGTTACCTTAATTATCACTGGGCTTAGGCTGAGCTAACTTTGAGAGATATTTAGGTTATAGTTTAAGTAATAACATCCCTTCCCCAAAACTCAACCGCCTTTGGAAAGCCAATGAGAGACCACCAGAGTAAGGGAGGGGGGAAGACTGAATTCTGCTAAGGTGTAGACTTAAAGATTGCCAGCCATTATTCTGGAGGTCCTGCAGGTAACATTGCTATTGTGGACTGGCCTTTTGAGATATGTTTTCAGGTTTTTTGCATGTCTGACACCCATGACTCCACCTGGACCCATCCACGATGGCTCCTGTGGCCCTACCCAGAACCAACTCAACATAAGAGGATGGTTTCAACTCCCTATAATTTCACCTCTGACCTAACCAATCAGCAGCAACCATTGCATAACCACCCCCGCCCCTTATCCCAAACTACTTTTGAAAAACCCCCAACCTACAAGCCTTTGATGAGATTGATTTGAGTAATAACTCCATCTTTTGTATGGCGTGGCTGGCCTCACGTCAATTAAATTGTTTCTTTACTGCCATAACATGGTCTTTATTTGTGCAGCAGACAGGAAGAAACTTTTGGGTGGTTACACCACTAGCTTCTCCTGGGCTGTTTGCATGTTTTTAGCTCACACTGAAGGGCTCCAGGGTCTCCTGCAAAATGCCCCATCCCCACAGGCCATGAGAGACTGATGGAGGTTCCAATTCATCTCCGTGGGTGCTGGCAAGACCTCCCAGATCCATTTGCACTTGTTCTTCTTCACTTTCCTTTCTCAACGGCAGCACCAGCACCAAACATAGGTTCCAGGGCTAAGCTCGACTGTCGAGCCACCTCCACGGTTGCAGAAGGTCAAGTCCCTATTTTAAAACAAAAGCAGAAGAAATCCTCATGCCACATCACTCCTAGTGATTCCAACACCTCGGATTGGACCCTGTGCCAGATCCACCATCTTTTTCTCAATGTGTCCTGTACGTCCAGTCCAGGTCTCTGGTCACGCATGAATCCTGCTTTCACTGGACGTTTCCACTTCGGTCTGGTTCCAGTTGGTCTCAGTCCCTTGACTCCAAATTCTGAATTGTTTCTTTTTCAGTGTTAATCAGATGTGCTCGGGATGCCAGCACCCACCCACTCACCAGGTCAGAAGTCTGGGACGTCTTGGGTCCTTCTGCCCCCCTCAAATCCATCACTTGCATCTCCAACAGAAACCTTGGTTTGTCCACACCTGTCTCTCACTGCCTCCATCCCCATGCCACCCTCCTTAGCTGCCGAGCTTCTGTTATCTCTTCCCTGTTCAAGAATGACCATTTCCTTGTTGTATCTGCTTCCTCACTGCCCCTTTCCCATACGTTCATCACATACAGCCAAGGTCACCTTTCCAAAAAACATACTGGCCATGAGTACATTGGGCTGCCTGGGAAGAGCCAGACCCCAGCAGGAAGCTGCAGAAACTGTCAAGGCAGGCAAGACACAGACCTCCTCTGTCCCCACTCTGAGTAGGAGTAAGGAGGGAGGCCACAGAAGGTGAGTCAGGGTGTTGCCAGGGGAGGCTGCATCTGCTTGTCCCCCTCTCTCTCCTCTGTCTGCCTCTCTAAAGACCTCACCCTTCTCAGGGAGTAGGTGCGGCAAGGGGAGAAGGCCCCTGAGATGCTCGTGACCCTGACCTGCTGGGTCAGCCTTTTTTCCCTCTCTGGAATTGCCTTTTTTCTTCTCAGAGGGTGGAGGCCCTTGGCTTTGCCTGAAATTCTTTGCTTAGTCACTGAACACATAAACCTGTTCCCTGTCAGTCACCCCAGGCAGAGACAAAGCTATAGTTCTTAAGTGCTCCTGTCTGCCCCAAGTTCAGCCAGTCAGCTTCCTATCGCTGCCAATTTTACCTCATTTTTCTTTTTTCTTTATTTTATTATTATTATTGTTTTTTGCGATGGAGTCTCACTCTGTCACCCAGGCTGGAGTGCAATGGCCCAGTCTCAGCTCACTGCAACCTCCGCCTCCCCGGTTCAAATGATTCTCTGGCCTCAGCCTCCCGAGTAGCTGGGACTACAGGCGCCCACCACCATGCCCAGCTAATTTTTGTATTTTTAGTAGAGATGGGGTTTCACTATGTTGGCCAGGGTGGTCTCAAACTCCTGACTTTGTGATCTGCCCGCCTCGGCATCCCACAGTGCTGAGATTACAGGCATGAGCCACTGCGCCCCGGCTGTTTTTCTTTTTTGTGATGAGAAGCTTTATTTATAATAACCGCAAACTGACAACAACCCAAATGTTCATCAGTTGATTAAAGAAGTTGTTTTGTATTTTTACAATCAATATTCCTCAACAATAAAGAGTAAACTATTGGCAGATGCATCATTATGCTTAAATCCCCAAAAGCTGGGTGTGGTGGCTCACATCTATCATCCCAGCACTTTGGGAGGCTGAAGTGGGAGGATCACTTGAGCCCAGGGGTTTGAGACCAGCCTGGGCAACACAGGGAGACCCCATCTCTACAAAAATATTTAAAAATTAGCTGGGTGTGGTGGAGCATGCCTGTAGTCCCAGCCACTTGGGAGGCTGAGGTGAGAGGATGGTGTGAGCCCAGGAGATTAAGGCTGCAGTGAGCCATGATTGCTCCACTGCACTCCAGCCTGGGCGACAGAGCAAGACTCCATGTCAAAAGAAAAAAAAAAACAAAACATTAAAATGAGGTCATTATGGTGGGTGCTGATCCAATAGGACTGCTATTCTTATTAGAAGAAGAGGTTAGGGCATGAAAAGATCACATTCTTTCACCACTTTCTTCTAAACAGGCTTCCTCCCTCCCACCCATGACACAGCTGTGCTCAAAATCTACTATGTTGTCAGATCCAACAGTCACTCCTCTGTCCTCAGGTTATGTGGCTTCACTGTGGCAATCAAGAGAGTTGACCTCTTCCTCCTTCTCAAAAACGCTTTCTTCTTGTGCCTTCATAGACCCTCTATCCTGATTGTCCTGGCCCCACCTTCTTCCAGCTCTCCTTCTTCTGCTTGTAGGTACTAAAGCTGAAAGCGTGCACACCCTCTGACCCCGCCATTCTTATTCAGGGAGCCCAGATGACCACTCCACAAATGTGCACTGAGCGCGGAATAATAATAATTGCCAATATGCATCGAGTGCCCACATTAGGCCAGTCACGCGCCCTGTCCAGGAATGCATTTAGACGAACAATTTATATCTCCTTCACGTTTCACAGAGCTGACAGTCTCATGGGGCCCCAATTGTCAAAAAAGTTGAGAATAAGCAAGTTCTCACAAGCTTGGGAAAAGATGGATTAGTCAGCAGCCAGGGAAACGGAGCTATCAGAATCAGTTTTAAAGTCGTACAACTGACCCGTGGCAGCCTGCCTCAGTGAACGCGCCTTTGCACGCCAAACAATCATTTGGTTAGGAGGGACTCACTCTGATACACACGTCTCTGAGTGCCAACCAATCCACAAGGGTCCCACTCGAGAAATCACGGTCCTGCAGATGATGTCAGCCCCTTGATGTCTATGAAAGCCCCACAACCTCTGAACTCCACATTGCCCCGAAACCCTCCATAAAACCAGACCGTTCTGCACAGAGAGACTGTCTGGTTAGCAGAGCTCTCTCTCCTTTATTATGGTAAGAAATCAATTCAGGATTGTTCTTTTATTTCAGATATTGAATTGTGTTAGCTTGGGCTGCCATGACAAAGTACCACAGACCGAGTAGCTTAAACAACAGAAATGTATTTTCTGACAGTTCTGGAGGCAAAAAGTATAAGGTCCGGGTGTTGCTGGGGTTGGCTCCTTCTGAGGCCTCTCTTTGGCTGATATCTGGCTGCCTTTCCCCCATGTCCTTACAGGGTTGTCCCTCTGTGTGTGTGTCTGTGTCCTGGCCTCCTCTTCTTAAAAGGATAGCAGCATATGGATTAGGACTCACCCTAATGACCACATTTTATTTACCTCTTTAAAGATCCTATCTCTGGCCAGGCACAGTGGCTCACACCTGTAATCCCAGCACTTTGGGAGGCTGAGGCGGGCGGATCACAATGTCAGGAGTTCGAGACCAGCCTGGCCAATGTGTTTGAAACCCCGTCTCTACTAAAAATACAAAAATTAGCCAGGCGTGGTGGCGGGTGCCTGTAATCCCAGCTACCCGGGAGGCTGAGGCAGGAGAACCGCTTGAACCCAGGAGGCGGAGGTTGTGGTGAGCCGAGATCGTGCCACTGCACTCCAGCCTGGTGACAGAGCGAGACTCCATCTCAAAAAAAAACAAAAACAAAAAAACAAAACCCACAGATACCACTGGGTGACAGTTGTCTACAGTATTCAAAACAATAGCATCCTATCCAGGTGTGTGGTCTGGGAGCAACTGGCTGTCCTATAGAGGCTGGGTGTGCAGTAGACTCTACCAACTAGGTGTGTGTAAGTGCAATCTAGGATGTTCACACAATGACGAAATGGTCTAACAGCGCACTTCTAAGCACGTTTAGGGATGTACGGCTGTGTAGAGTTCGTGGCAGGTGTCAAGTAAGTAGAATTCTTCCCAGGAAATTTTTCTTTTTCTTCTTTTTCTGAGACAGGGTCTCACTCTGTCACCCAGGCTGGAGTGCAGTGGCACAATCACAGCTCACTGCAGCCTCCACCTCCTGGGCTTAGGTGATCCTTCTGCCTCAGCCTCCCAAGTAACTGGGACCATGGGAGTGCGCCACCATGCCTGGCTACATTTTTTTTTTTTTTCTGAGGTGGAGTCTTGTTCTGTCTCGCCCAGGCAGGAGTGTAATGGCAGGATCTCGGGTCACTGCAACCTCTGCCTCCTGTGTTCAAGTGATTCTCTTGCCTCAACCTCCCGAGTAGCTTAGATTACAGGTGCCTGCCACCACACCTGGCTGATTTTTGTATTTTTAGTAGAGATGGGGTTTCCCCATGTGGCCAGGCTGGTCTCGAACTCCTGACTTCAAGTGATCCGCCTGCCTCAGCCTCCCAAAGGGCTGGGATTACAGGCATCAGCCAACACCCAGTGGTTATTTTTATGTTATTTAACATATTCTCTATATTATCCAGGCTGGTCTCAAACTCCTGGGCTCAAGCAATCTACCCACCTCAGCCTTCCAAAGCACTGGGATTACAGGCATGAACCACCATGGCTGTCCCCCAGGACCTTATTCTAAACACAGTTCAGTATTTCCCAAGCATTCTTGAATGCCAGGAACTAGGCTGGGACAATAGTAGTGTGCAGAACAGACTAGACATCTATTCAGCAATCTTGCTTCTGGGTATACACACAAAAGAATATAAATCCGGGTCTCGAAGAGATGTTTGTACACCCGTATTCATAGCACCATTATTCCTAGTAGCCAAGCGGTGGAAGCAACCCAATGTTCACTGATGGATGCGTGGATGAGCAAAATGTGCTCTATACGTACAATGAAATATTGTTCAGTCCTGAAAAGAAAAGGAAATTCTGACACTTGCTACAACATGAATGAAACTTATTTTTTTTTTTTTGAGATGGAGTCTCGCTGTGTCGCCCAGGCTGGAGTGCAGTGGTGCCATCTCGGCTCACTCCAACCTCTGCTTCCCGGGTTCAAGTGACTCTCTCACCTCTGCCTCCCAAGTAGCTGGGACCTCAGGCATGCACCATCATGCCCAGCTAATTTTTGTATTTTTAGTAGAGATGGGGTTTACCATGTTGGCCGGGCTGGTCTCGAACTCCTGACCTCAAGTGATCCGCCTGCCTTGGCCTCCCAAAGTGCTGGGATTATAGGTGTGAGCCACCGCACCCGGTCTTGAATGAAACTTTTGAAAATATTATGCTAAGTGAAATAAGCCAGTCACAAAAAGACAAATACTGTATGATTTTACTTATATACTGTACTTAGAGTAGTCCAACTCATAAAGACAGAAAGTAAAGTGGTGATTGCCAGGGACTGAGGGAAGTGGTGAGTGGGGAGTTAATGAGGGCAGTTTCAGTTTTGCAAGATGAAAAGAGCTCTGGAGGCAGATGGTGATGATGGTTGCACAACAAGGTGAATATATTTAACACTGCTATCTGTACGGTAAAAATGGTTAAGATTGGCTGGGTGTGGTGGCTCATGCCTGTAATCCCAGCACTTTGGGAGGCCGAGGCGGGTGGATCACCTGAGGTCAGGAGTTTGAGACCAGCCTGACCAACATGGTAAAACCCCATCTCTACCTCATCTACTAAAAATATAAACTACTAAACCTCATCTACTAAAAATACAAACAATTAGCTGGGCCTGGTGGCAAGTGCCTGTAATCTCAGGAGCTACTGAGACAGGAGGATCGCTTGAACCCAGGAGGCGGAGGTTACAGTGAGCTGAGATCAAGCCATTGCACTCCAGCCTGGGCAACAAAAGCGAGGCTCTGTCTCAACAACAACAAAAAAGTTTAAGATGGTAAATTTTATGTTACCTGTATTGTTCCACAATTAAAAAACAAAACGGGCTGTGTCTCTGCTGTCATGCTCTTGTTTTCCTGCACTTCTTGGAGGCTGCACTCTCAGTAGCCAGACTTGGAGCTCTGGACCTCTTGGCTTGAAACATTTCCCCTTGCCATTCCTTCCTGTTCTGCCTGCACTTTTCAGGACACTTCCTCCAAGGAGGCCCTCTCTGATGCCTTCCTCCCATCCCCTTCAGAATCGGGGTAGCCCCAGTGGTGGCTTCACCAGCCTCATGAGATCCAGTTTTGTTCATCTCTTCGCAACTCCACATTCGGTGATATCACATTGTTAGCTTCAGGTCAGCCACAGTGGGAATATTTACACCATGGGAATTGGCAGACTCTACAAAGCATGGTTTTGTTCCCTTGAGAGCTAGTTGTTAAACATTTACCAGCCCACCATGGAATGGTCACCCCTTCCGTGCTGCTCAAACATCCTGTCCTCTCTGATGTGATGTCTGTCTTCCCTGTTAGATGATAAGCTTCACTAAGGCAGGGGCCAGGCCTGTAGCTGGTGAGTGGTGGAACCAGGGTTTGAAGGCTCAGGGGATACAGGTTGAATATCCCTTATCCAAAATGCTTGGGACCAGAGGTGTTTCAGGTTTCAGATTTTTTCAGATTTTGGAACATTTGCATTTATGTAATGAGATATATCTTGGGGATATAACCCAAATCTATACATGAAATTTATTTGTTTCCTTTTTTTTTTTTTTTTTTTTTTTGAAACGGAGTCATCTTGCTCTGTCTCCCAGGCTGGAGTACGGTGGCACAATCTCAGCTCACTGCAACCTCCACCTCCCAGGTTCAAGCGATTCTCATGCCTCAGCCTCCCGAGTGGCTGGAATTACAGGCACCCACCACCATGCCTGGCTAATTTTTTTTTGTATTTTTAGTAGAGATGGGTTTCACCAGACTGGTTTCGAACTCCTGACCTCAGGTGATCTGCCCGCGTCAGACTCCCAAAGTGCTGGGATTACAGGCATGAGTCACGATGGCCGGCCTTATTTATGTTTCATAGACATTTTATACACATAGCCTGGAGATAATTTTATGCAGTATTTTTAATAATTTTGTGCATGAAAACAAAGTTTTGACTGTGTTTTCACTGCAACCCTTTGCAATTTTCCTCGTGTGGCATCATGCTGGCACTCAAACATATCAGATTTTGGAGTATTTCTGATTTCAGATTTTCCCATTAGATATGCTCATCCTGTAATGGCCACCCTAATTTCAGTCTCTCTCCCTGGAAATCAACAAGACAATAATAATGATAGAAATAATAGTCAGCCAGGTGTGGTGGCTCACGCCTGTAATTTCAGCACTTTGGGAGGCCAAGGTGGGCAGATCACAAGGTCAGGAGTTCAAGACCAGCTTGGCCAACACGGTGAAACCCAGTCTCTACTAAAAATACAAAAGTTAGCTGGGCGTGGTGGCACGTGCCTGTAGTCCCAGCTACTCCGGAGGCTGAGGCGGGAGAATCACTTGAACCTGGGAGGCGGATGTTGCAGTGAGCTGAGATCGTGCCACTGCACTCCAGCCTGGGCGACAGAGTGAGACCCTGTCTCAAAAAAAAAAAAAAAAAAAGAAAAAGAAAAGAAATAATAGTCATAGCTGTTATTATGAATTGCAGCATTCCTGTATTCCTGCAGACCTTTTACCTTTACAAAAACCTTACCCTAGCTCAGAGTCGTCTCCTCCCACCTCTCCGCTGGCTTCTTCAGCCACACTGGGTTTCTTTCTCCCTCTCCAACATATTTCTCTCCATTGTCTTCTCACTTCTCGGTATGTTCTTCCCTCAGATCTTTGCTTGACTGATCATTTAGGCTTCCTTCAACTTAAATGTCACTTCCTTGAAGGGGCCTTTTCTGAGAACCTGAGCTAAAATAGCCTCGGTCACCCTCCAGTAATGTATGTCGTGCTGTAAGTGGCCTCATCCCCATAATTAACCCCCAGTCTTTCATGTGGACAACTTGTGTCTCCTCAAAGTTATTTATAAAGCAATATACAAACCGGCTTCAAGTTCCTTTCTCTTTACCCTCTGAAGTCCCTCCTATGTAGAAACTCCTGAGGAACCAGCAAGTTCCCCAGTTTTATGATCTTCATTAATTATTTTATTGTGGTAAAAACCACATAACATAAAATGTACCATCTTAATTACTTTAAGTGTACAATTTAGTAATGTTAAGTATTTTCACATTATTATGAATCAGGTCTCCAGAACTCTTTCATCTTGCAAATCGGAAACTCTATAACCATGAAAAAACAACTCCCCATTTCTTCCTACCCCATTCCCTGGTAAATCACCATTTTACTTTCTGTTTTTATGAATTTGACTCAGTAACTTCGTATAAGTGAGATAATAGCATTTGTCTTTTTGTGACTGCCTTATTTCACTTAGCATAATGTCCTCAAGGTTCAGTCATGTTATATCACAACACTTCCTTTTTTATGCTGAATACTAATGTTCCATTGTATGCATATACCACATTCCCATTGTCCATTTATCTGTTGATGGGCATTTACTTTGCTTCAACCTCCTGGCTATTGTGAATAGTGCTGTTAGGAACATGGCTGCACACATATCTCTTTGAGTCCATGTTTTCTTTTGGGTAAATACCTAGAATTGGAATTGCTGGATCATAAGGTAATTCTACTTTTAATTATTTGAGGAACTGCCATACCATTTTCCAAAGTGGCTGTACCATTTTATATTCCCATCAATGGTGCCCAAGGGTTCCAATTTCTCCACACTGCCTTCTTTATTATTTTTTTATTTTTTGAGACAGAGTCTTGCTATATCGCCCAGGCTGGAGTGCAGTTGGCGTGATCTTGGCTCACTGCAACCTCGGCCTCCTGGGTTCAAGTGATTCTCCTGCCTCAGCCTCCCGAGTAGCTGGGATTACAGGTGCGCACCACCATGCCTGGCTAATTTTTTGTACTGTCAGTAGAGATGGGGTTTCACCAAGCTGGCCAGGCTGGTCTCGAACTCCTGACCTCGTGATCTGCCTGCTTCGGCCTCCCAGAGTGCTGGGATTACAGGCGTGAGCCACCACGCCTGGCCCACATTGCCTTTTATACTTTCCTTTTTTTTTTTTTTTTTGATAGTAGCCATCCCGATAGGTATGAGTTGGTATCTCATTGCGGTTTCAAATTGCTTTTCTTTAATGATTAATAATGAACATTTTTTCACGTGCTTGTTTGTCATTTGTATATCTTCTTTGGAGACGTGTCTATTCAAGCTCTTTGCCCATTTTTGAATTGTGTTATTTGATTTTTTTGGTGTTAAGTTGTTGTAGTTCTGTATATATTTTCAATATTAACCACATATCAGATGTATCATTTGCAAATATTTTCTCTTATTCCGTAGGTTGTCTTTGCATTCTGTCAATTGTTGTGTTATTTAAGGCACAAACATTTTACATCTGATATAGTCCCATTTGCCTATTTTCACTTCTGTTGCCTGTGCTTGGTGTCAGATCCTAAAGCATGTCATTGCCTAATTCCATTTATTTTAAAAATTTTCTTGTCAGGCGCGGTGGCTCACACCTGCCATCCCAGCACTTTGGGAGACTGGGGTGGGTGGATCACCTGAGGTCAAGAGTTCAAGACCAGCCTGGCCAAAATGGTGAAACCCTGTCTCTACTAAAAATTTAAAAATTAGCTGATCAAGGTAGTGGGTGCCTGTAATACCAGCTATTCAGGAGGCTGAGGCAGGAGAATCCCTTGAACCCAGGAGGTGGAGGTTCTAGTGAGCCGAGATCCCACCATTGCACTTCAGCCTGGGCGACAGAGCAAGACTCTGTTTCAAAAAAAAAAAAAAATTATCTTGATTCTGTTTGTCAGTTCCCACACCCCATTTCATCCACTCCAGGAGAAAACAGACATGTCTTCGGCTCCCCCGGACTTCCTAGAATTTAACACAGTGCCCAGGGCACAAGCATGAAACATACTTGCTGAATGAGTGGATGCTCTGTTGCCGATGTCTGACAGAATATTATTTATAGCTTACACCTGACTGTCCCTAGGCAAGGTCTCTGAATTCTTCTGGTCGGCACCAGAAGGGAGGGACGAAGCTTCCAGAGGAGACCTGCCTGCCACTGCCCTGTGATGGGGAACCTAAGGGACAGGCAGACCTTGGCTTTTGGTCCCCCAGAGAGCTGGCTCTGTACTGGGGCTGGGAATCTCCCTGATCTTTGATTTGCAGGGTGAATGGGGTGGAACCTTCTGCCCCTCCCTCCATTCCCCCTACTCTGGTGTGCAGGAAGCTGAGGCCTTCTAGGAGACTGGGGATACTGAGGCTGAGGGAGGTAGGGAGGAGTTAGGAGGTTTTTGATTCTCACTTGAATCTTTCCCACTGTAGCTGAAAACAGGGTTTTTGGGTCACCTGCCCCAGCAGGGGATGGGAGTATAGGCGGGGTCTGCGTCTGCAACCCCCTCCTGAATGTGGAAATCTTAACGGGGCCAACACCTCCCCCGTTGCTGGATATGGAAGCAATGATACTTTCTCCCTTCCAGCTCTGCACTCCTTATACCCCACTGGGATAGAAATCCTGTCTGTTGGTGTCAGGCAGGGGTCTCCGGCTACCCCTCCTCTGCTGGGGTGGAAGATGGAGAGGTCAAAGGAGCAAGCCTCCTTCCTGGCCCTTGCAAGGGCCTCCAGCCTGGCAGCCGGAGGGATTAAGGACAAGAGGCCCCTGGCGTCCGTGAGTCTGGCGTGGCTGCCCAGGAGCCTCCCAGGGGAGTCAGCGTGGGCCAGAGGGCTGGAGGCTCCCAGATCAATCAGAGGTCTGAAGGTCACTGGAGCTGTGACCTTCAAATTAGGATACTTGTAACCCAGGAGGCTGGCACACCCCCACGGGGGATGGGGCGCATGGTTGAAGAGAATCCATCTCCCAGAGAGGTGCCCTAGGGCCCCCCTTTCACCATGACCCTGCTAACACTTTACAGATGAAAAGCATACCTCTCTCTCACCCCCTAATCTTATCGCAGTGAATTGCCCTGGGGTGAAAGAAAAGCCTCTGGATCCCAAACCTAGAATCACTTTGAAATACTGCTGTCCCCAACGGCTCCCTTTATAGAGGCCCTGGGCTGCCTTTGAGGTGCATATTTTGCAAGGTTGAAAGCAGGAGGGAGTGAAAAAATGCCTGCATTTGCCTCTGAGGTGCTAAAGGAAAAAAATAGCTCAATGATGATGGATGGGCAGACTTTATTTGGGATCACCGCAGTGGGTACGGGGACCACTGCCATAGGGGCTTGCGGTTGGTTGGTGAGAGAGGTTGGGTTAATTCCTGAATACAGCAGGGAGAGTGGGAATTCACAGCCAAGGAGCAGGGTCGGGAGCAGTGGCTAGAAAACTGCTAAGAGGAAACTTCAGAGATAAGGGCGATTCTGGTTAAACTGACCTTGCTAGATTCCTGCTGAAGGCAGCCCCGGGTGACAGGAGGAATCCAATCAGACATCAAAGGGGATCAGATGTCGACAGTGGAGGGTTCCTTCTAAACTCACTTAGCAGGGTTCTTCCCTGAAACTGGGTCTTAGATGGGCCTAGCACAAGATTCAGAAGCCTGTCTAAAGTGTGGCCAAGCCTGGGCGCAGTGGCTCATGCCTGTAATCCCAGCACTATGGGAAGCCAAGGTGGGCAGATTGCCTGAGGTCAGGAGTTCGTGACCAGCCTGGCCAACATGGTGAAACCCCATCTCTACTAAAAATACAAAAATTAGCCAGGCGTGATGGCACATGCCTGTAATCCCAGCTACTCAGGAGTCTGAGGCAGGAGAATGGCTTCAACCTGGAAGGTGGAGGTTGCAGTGATCTGAGATCATGCCATTGCACTCTAGTCTGGGCGACAGAGTGAGACTCTGTCTCAAAAACAAAACAAAAGAAAACAAACAAAATAACGTGTGGCCAAGCAAAGAGTCTTTGTCAGTGGATCAGTGTCTATATGTCAAGTCAAAGGAATATATTGCAGATAATATAGTATCTTCTGTTTTCCTGAATGATGATCTGGATGTGTAGGAGAAAGGCTTTCACCAGCTTTGGCTGAAGGGTGGTTTTGTATTGCAACTCTGTCTTCGACATTCAATAAATACTGAATTCACTGTCAGTCAGTCAATGACTTCTTGGCTAGTCTCTTGCTAGTTTATTCCTACCAAGCCTTACTTCACTCAGGCAAATGGCAATGGGGACTCTGTTGTTGATTCTCTAGTAAGGGATGGACATCTACAATAAATTTATTATAGATTGTCTCTTTACTTACTTGTCATAAATAAGATTATTATATAATTATTGCATTACATATTTAATTATATGTTATGGATAAGATTATTGTAATATAATAGTAATAACCTATAATGAATGAGAAATGTGCCCCTTTTGCAAACCCTGCACTTACTTGTCTGATACCTTTCTTCTTGAATTTCATGGAATACTGTCTCATTCCAGTAATAAGAAAATTCACGGAAGATACAGGCATGACCTAAGTGTTCTCACCAAACATTTTCAGAGTATTCTCGCAATAACCCTTTGACTGGGTACTTTCAGAGATCCTTTTTATTTTCCACATAGGAAGAGATAATTTGTCTAACAGCTACTGAATAAACAGATCCAAGATTTGAACCCTCATAGTTTGGATGGGAATCTGAGTTCTTTCTTTTTTGTTTGTTTGTTTAGACAAGCTCTTGCTGTATTGCCCAGGATGGAGTGCAGTGGCACAACCACCACTCAGTGACACCTTGACCTCCTGGGCTCAAACAATCCTCCCGTCTCAGCCTCCCAAGTCTCAGCACACCTGGGACTACAGGTGTGCATCACCACGCCCAGCTAATTTTAAATTTTTTGTTAGAGACGGGTACTTCCTATGTTGCTCAGGCTGGTCTTGAACTCCTGGGCTGAAGTGATCCTCCCACCTCAGCCTCCCAAAGTGTTGGGATTACAGGCATGAGCCACTGTGCTTGACCAACCCACATCTCATTCAGCTCCTGCACCATTTCTCTTCTCCCCCTTAGAACTAACTCTATAGCCTCATCTTTACTTTTGCATTTCTCTATCTCTCTTAACCTCATTCCAATCAAGCTTTCATCTATACCATTTTACTAAAAGGCCACCAATAATCTCCACATTGGCAAATCCAGTAGTTGAGTTCCAGCTGTCATAAGGACTTGACAATTTGTCACCTGTCCTTCTTCTTCCTTTTTTTTTTTTTTGAGACAGAGTCTCACTCTGTCACCCAAGCTGGAGTACAATGGCATGGTCTTGGCTCACTGCAACCTCCACCTCCTGGGTTCAAGTGATTCTCCTGCCTCAGCCTCCCAAGTAGCTGAGATTACAGGCGCACACTGCCATGCCCAGCTGATTTTTGTATTTTTACTAGAGACGGGGTTTTGCCATGTTGGCCAGGCTGGTCTCAAATCCCAACCTCAGGTGATCTGCCCACCTCGGCCTCCCAGAGTGCTGGGATTACAGGCATTAGCCACCGTGCCTGGCCCAACCCGTCCTTCTTAGAAGACTTGAGTCCACACTGAATTGGGTTCACCAGACCTCCCTGACAATTCTCTCTTCTGGCTTTCTTCCTACCTCCCCTGTTGCTGGATATGGAAGCAATGATACTTTCTCCCCTTTCCTTCTCTATACTCCCTATACCCCACTGGGATAGAAATCCTGTCTCTTGGTGTCAGGCAGGGGTCTCAGGCTACCCCTCCTCTGCTGGGGTGGAAGATGGAGAGGTCAAAAGAGCCAGTCTCCTTCCTGGCCCTTGCAAGGGCCTCCAGCCCGACAGCCAGAGGGATTAAGGACAAGAGGCTCCTGGCATCCCTGAGTCTGACCAGATTGTAGTAGCCAGCCTCCAAAGTGGCCCGCAATAATCCTCACTCCCTAGTAGTGCTCACAGTCTTGTGGTCTCTTCTGACACCGACCCAGAGCTGGTTCATGACCAGCTGAGGCTGAGGGAAGTGTGAAGGGAGAGTCTAGGAAGTTTTTGATTCTCATTTGAACCCTTCCCATTGCAGCTGGAAACAGCAGAACATGGAGGAAGTGATAGTGTGTGTGACTTCTAATGCTAAGTCATAATGGACATCGTAGTTTCCACTTGGATCACTTGCTTGGGAGTAGGGGTAGGAATTCAGCCACCATGTTGTGGAATACTCAAGTAGCCCCTGGAGAGGTCCAGGTGCAGAGGAATCAGCTTGCCAGCACCAACTTGGCAAACTTCGAGTGAGCCACGTAGATTCTCCAGCCCCAGTCAAACCTTCTGACCACCTCATGAGAGACCCCAGACCAGAACTGCCCATCAGAGCTGTTTCCAAATCCCCAACTTTCAGAAACCATAAAAGATAATAAATGATTATTGTTTTAAGTTAATACATTTTTGCATGATTTGTTATGCAGCAAATTGCTAACCAATACATATTCTTTCTCATATTCCTTTCCATGTTTTTCTACTATCATGTCTCAATTCTAGAGTGCTCCAGAGTTCAGTGCTCAGATCTTGTCTACCATCTGGATTTGATACCTAAATGATCCCACACATTGCTAAACTTTGCAATAGCATCTATATATTGTTAAATCTCAGATTTATAGCTCTAGCTCAACATCTCCCATGAATTCCATCAACCCACTGTTTATAGGAAATTTCCACTTAGATGTCTTATAGTACTTTCCATCTTAACATAGCTACGAGTGAACACCTCATCTCACCTCATCCCTGACACAGCTACGTACCCTCAGTCTGCCCATCTCAGTAAATGACAACTCCATCCTCCCAGCTGCTCAGACCTAAGGCCATTTTTGATTCACAGCTCTGCATATCCAATCCATCAGCAAATCCTGGTTGGCCCTCAATATGATAGTGGCTTGGACAATAATACTGATTAGATTCAGGAAGAATGTTCCAGGTGAATGCTCAGAGGTAGAACCAAGCTTATGTTCTCCAGAAACTTCAAGGAGGCTGTGGTGGGCTAAATGTTGCCTTCCCCTAAAAAGATACATCCATGTCCTAATCCTAATATTCAGAGCCTGTGAATATTGCTTTGTTTGAAAAAAAGGTGGGGAGGTGTTGTGGGAGATATGATTATGATTAAGTTAAGGTTCTTTTGTTTTTTTTTTTTGAGAGACAGGGTCTCACTATGTCACCCAGGCTGAGTGCAGTGGGACAATCACAGTTCACTGCAGACTTGACCTTCCAGGCTCAAGCGATCCTCCTGCCTCAACCTCCCAAGCAGCTGGGACTACAGGCATGCACCACCATGCCTGGCTAATTTTTTTTTTTTTTTTGAGACAAAGTCTCGCTCTGTCACCCAGGCCGGAGTGCAGTGGCTCAATCTCGGCTCACTGCAAGCTCCGCCTCCCGGGTTCACGCCATTCTCCTGCCCCAGCCTCCCGAGTAGCTGGGACTACAGGTGCCCACCACCATGCCCGGCTAATTTTTTGTATTTTTTAGTAGAGACGGGGTTTCACCATGTTAGCCAGGATGGTCTCGATCTCCTGACCTCGTGATCTGCCCACCTTGGCCTCCCAAAGTGCTGGGATTACAGGCGTGAGCCACCACGCCCGGCCCTGGCTAATTTTTGCTTTTTTGTAGAGACAGGTCTCACTGTGTTGCCCAGACTGGTCTCAAACCTGAGGATCTCAAAGCGATCCTCATGCCTCAGCTTCCCAAAATGCTGGGATTACAAGTGTGATCAACTGCACCTGATCTTTTACCATTTTTTAATTGTGGTAAAATAGACATTACATAAAAATTTCCATCTTGACCATTTATTTACAGACACAGTTCAATGGTATTAAATACATTCATAATGTTATGCAACTGTCACTGCCACCCATCTCCAGAACTCTTTTCATCTGTCCCCCAACTGAAACTCTGTCCCCACGAAACACTAATTCCCCATTTCCTCTTGTTCCCAGCCCCTGGCCACCACCATTTTACTTTCTGTCTCTGTGAATTTCACTACTTAAGGTATTTCATGTAATTGGAATCCTACAGCATTTGTCTTTTTGTAACTGGCTCATTTCTCCTACAATGATGTCCTTAGAGTTCATGCATGTTATAGCACATGTCAGAATTATCTTCCTCTTTAGGGATGGATAATATTCCATTGTATGGATGGACCACATTTTTCTTACCCATTTATCTAGCAGTGGACACCTAGGCTGCTTTCACATTTAACTATTACTGTGAAAAAATGCCATTGTGAATATGGGTGTGCAAATATCACTTTGAGAACCTGCTTTCAATTCTTTGAGGTATATACTCAGAAGTGGAATTGCTGGATCATATTGTCATTATATTTTCAGATTTTTTTTTTTTGAGAAAAAGTCTCACTCTGTTGCCCAGGCTGGACCAAAGTGTCATGATCATGACTCACTGTAGCCTCAACTTTCCAGGCTCAAACAATCCAACCACCTCAGCCTCCAAGTAACTCGGACTGCAGGTGCATGCAGCTAATTTTTAAATTTTTTCTGTAGAGATAGGGTTTCTCCATGTGGCCCAGGCTGGTCTTGAATTCCTGAGCTCAAGTGACCTGCCTACCTTGGCTTCCCATAGTGCTGGGATTACAGATGTGATCCACAACTCCCAGCCTTTTTTTTTTTTTGGCCAGTTTAATAGGTGACGAATAGTATCCTATTTTCTTAGTTCACATTTTGAAAAATGAGCAAAGTTAATTCACCTTTAAAAATTTTGTGAGGCCAGGCATGGGGGCTCACGCTTGTAATCCCAGCACTTTGGGAGGCTGAGGCAGGGCGGATCATCGGAGGTCGGGAGTTCGAGACCAGCCTGGCCAACATGGTGAAACCTCGTCTCTACTAAAAATACAAAAAATTAGCTGGGTGTGGTGGCACATGCCTGTAATCCCAGCTACTCGGGAGGTTGAGGGAGGAGAAGAGCTTGAACCCGAGAGGCGGAGGTTGCAGTGAGCCGAGATCATGCCACTGCACTCCAGCCTGGGCAACACAGTGAGACTCTGTCTGAAAAAGAGAAAAAGAAAAAAAGAAAATGTTTGTTTCCTGGCAGAAACAAGGGCAGAATCTGTCTGGAGGGGTATAACCTAACCTAGGGCATACAGGATTCCCACTGATAAAACCCTAGTAAAGATAAGCCCACAATCCAAAACTGCAAACAATGAAAAGTCCATCCTGAATGAGGGTTAGTAGAACAATCAAACAGCAGGATTAGATCCCCAGGAATTGCAGCTAACAGAACTTCTGCCAGTCATGCATTCACTTATTTAACAAATATTTATTGAGCATGTGCTAGGTTCCAGGCAGTATTTTAGATACTTTGGGTACACAAGCGTACAAACAGTTTACAAGTCCTGCTCTCAGAGAGCATAATTCCAACACTGGATAGAGACTTTATAAAAGAAAGTTATTGGAAGATCATTATACATGGTATGCTTGTATCACATGTACCCCATAAACGTGTAGAACTATTATGTATCCATAAAACTTTAAAATAAAAACATAAATATATTCAAAATGATCCAAGACAACTCAACAACAGCAAAACAACTTGATTTAAAAATGGGTAGAGAAGTTGAATAGACATTTCTTCAAAGAAGTTATACAAATGGCCAAAAGCACATGAGAAGATGCTCAGCATCGCTAATCATGAAGGAAATGTAAATCACAACGGCAGTGAGAAGCCAGGCACGGTGGCTCCTGCCTGTAATCTTAGCACATTGGGAGGCTGAGGCAGGGGAATCACTTGAGGCCAATTGTCTGAGACCATCCTGGGCAATAAAGTCCTGTCTGTACAAAAAAAAAATTTTTTTTAATTAAAAAATTAGCCAGGCATGGTGGTGTTGCCTGTAGTCCTAGCTACTTGGGAGGTGAGGTGGGAGGATATCCTGAACCTGGGAAGTGGAGGCTGCAGTGAGCCATGATCGTGCCACTGCACTCCAGGCTGGGTGATGGAGCGAGACCCTGTCTCAAAAATTTATATATATATCACAATGAGCCATTAGGTTGTGGCTATATAGATTTTTAAAAGGCAGAAAACTACACGTATATATGAGAATGTAGGGAAATTGGAATCTTGTGCACTGTTGGTGGGAATGTAAAATCATGCCCCTGCTATGGAAAACAGTATGATTTAAAAAAAAAAAAACGTAAAAATAGAATTACCTTATGATTTAGCCTTTCCACTCTTGGGTTTATACCAAAAAATAAAAATAAAAACAAAAGTTGAAAATGGACTCAGGAAACGGGTATCTGTACACCCATAGCGGCATTACACCCAATAACCAAAACACAGACGCGATCCAATGTCCATTGACAGGTGCATGGATAAATAAAAATGGAGTCTGTCTACATAACCGAATATTATTCGGCCTTAAAAAGAAGGAGATTCTTATACGTGCTACTATATGGTAAACCTTGAAGACACTATTCTAAGTGGAATAAGCCAGTTACAAAACGACAAATACTGTAAGATTCCACTCATATAGGTATCTGAAGTAGTTAAATTCATAGAAACAGGCCAGGCACCGCGGCTCACACCTGTAATGCCAGCACTTTGGGAGGCCGAGGCGGATGGATCATCTGACGTCAGGAGTTTGAGACTAGTCTGACTAACATGGTAAAACCCTATCTCTACTAAAAAATACAAAAATTAGTCAGGCGTGGTGGTGGGCACCTATATTCCCAGCTACTCAGGAGGCTGAGACAGGAGAATTGCTTGAACCCAGGAGGCAGAGGTTGCAGTGAGCCAAGATCATGCCACTGCACTCCAGCCTAGGCAACAGAGTGAGACTCTGTCTCAAAAAAAAAAAAAATTCATAGAAACAGAAAGTAAAATAATGGTTGCCAGGGGCTATGGGTAAAGGAGAATGGGGAGTTACTGTTTAATAGTTCTAGAGTGTCAGTTTTGCAAGATGAGAAAGGTCTGGAGACTGGTCACACAACAATGGGGATACACTTAATAACTCGTTTAAGATGGTACATTTTATATTCCATGAATTTTACCACAGTTAAATTATTGAAGACATAAAAAAAATCCAAATATTTGAAAACAACAAGACATAATAAAATATCGGGGATATTGAAAAAAAAACCTTTGTTTTCTAGAAATAAGAATTTAGTCAGTGAAGGTGTTAACCAGGAGATTAGAGCCATCTAATGAGATAATTAGTGAACTGGAAAATAGATTTAAGGAAACCATGTAGAAGGTGGCCAGGGAAAATAAAGAAATTTTAAATATGAAAGAAGTTAAGAGCTGTAGAAGATAGAATGAGAATTCTAACATATGTGTATGTAATGCATTTCAATTTTTTTGGCTGCAATTGAGAGAAACCGGTTAAAATGGGCTCCAGACAAAATGATGAAGGGAGATAGCTTTTATTGACCCCAGTTACAGTCAGATCCAGGTGTTGAAAGCTCCTTCGCCAAATTCTGCTGCTTTCCTGTTCTCTGCTTTGCTTTAATCTCTCTCGGCCTCATCCTCAATCAGGATCTTCCCAACCAGTGGCAAGTTTGCTACTAGCAGTCACAGGTTTCCCTCCTTTCCAGCTTCTCAACCCAATTAGGAAAAGTAACATTTTTTGTTGTTGTTTGTTTGTTTGTTTTTTGTTTTGTTTTGTTTTTTGAGACACAGTCTCGCTCTGTTGCCCAACTGGAGTGCAGTGGCATGATCTCGGCTCACTGCAACCTCTGCCTCCTGGGTTCAAACGATTCTCCTGCCTCAGCCTCCCAAGTAGCTGGGATTACAGGCTTGTGCCACCATGCCCGGCTAATATGTTTTGTATTTTTAGTAGAGATGGGGTTTCACCATGTTGGCCAGGCTGGTCTCGAACTCCTAAGACTTCAGGTGATCCACCCGCCTCTGCCTCCCAAAATGCTGGGATTACAGGTGTGAGACACCGTGCCTGGCCTAAAAGTAGCTTTTTCTCAACAATTTCAGCAAAAGTCGCAGTTGGGGCTAGCATAGCCTTACTTAGATTCTGTGGCCATCCCTGAACAAATCACTGAGACCAAGAGGACGTGCTGCTCTCCTGGGCCAGACCTGGGTCCTTTTCCCTTTCCTGGAGTCAGCAGGGTGGGCTCAGCCCTGCCTGAACCATATGAAAAGAGAGCCGAGAAAGGAGCCATCTCAGAAGAAGCCCAGTGAAGACTTGGCAGGCGAAAGTGGCACACGGGGCTGGGAACATGGTAGCTATGGTAAGAAAAGCAAGGGACGCGCATGTGTTCCGATAGTGAAATACGCATATCAACTGAATTCACATCCACGTTTGTGTTTTCCCTCTTCTCTCACATATGTCTAGTGCAGTAGCAAATATTTTTGCCTGCTTCTTTCTATTCAACATTCAGGAAATGAGGCTATTCTTAGCTCACTCTTATTTGGGGCTTTCGAAACATGAGACACAATTTTGTGTATTTTGCATAGATTTTCTTACTTTACCCTGACCACAATTCTGTAAGTCCATATGCTTTTATTTTTATGTTTTATTTTATTTTTAGGTTTTAGAGATGGGGGTCTGGCTCTGTTGCCCATGTGGAGTGCAGTGGTGTGATCACGGCTTACTGCAGCCTTGAATTCCTGGGCACAAGTGATCCTCCAACTACAGGTGTGTGCCAACATACCTGGCTAATTTTGAAAAAATTTTGTAGAGACAGGGTCTTGCCCAGCCTGGTCTTGAACTCCTGGCCTCGAACTTCTGGCCTCAAGCAATCCTCCCATCTCAGCCTCCCAAAGTGCTGGGATTACAGGCGTGAGTCACCTGACATGAGTCACCCAGCAGGTCATACATTTCAATCATAATTTTCACTTCACTGATGAAGAAACTGAGGTGCAGAGATTAAATAACTTGTTCATAGGCACACAAAAGTTAATTATGGAGATGTAATTGGAACTGAGGCAGTACAATTCCAGATTCCATCCCTTAACTGCCGTAGTCTGTGCTGTGTCTCTGGAATTCAATTCATTTTGAAGATAACTCTCATCCAGCAATGCATGACAAAGTGGAAATGTCCCCTCAGAAGTAGTTCCCTTTGGCCGGGTGCGGTGGCTCTCACCTGTAATCCCAGCACTTTGGGAGGCTGAGGCGGGCAGATCACGAGGTCAGGAGATCAAGGGCAGCCTGGCCAACATGGTGAAACCCCATCTCTACTAAAAATACAAAAATTAGCTGGGGCTGGTGGTGCGTGCCTGTAATCCCAGCTACTTGGGAGGCTGAGGCAGGAAAATCACTTAAACCAGGGAGTTGGAGGTTGCAGTGAGCAGAGATCGTGCCACTGCACTCCAGCCTGGGCAACAGAGTGAGACTCCGTCTCAAAAAAAAAAAAAAAAAAATAGAAGTAGTTCCCTTAAATGGTACCAATTTGCACATTAGAATCAATTTGTTCAGTGTGTACGAAGCCCGTGACTTTAATGGTGGTTTCCTCTGGGTGGTCCTAGAAGACTATCCTGGTTACAAAAGAAAGAAGCCCCATTTACTTCACCTCATACCCCATGACCACCCCACACCCATAAGGGTTTTCAGTCAGCAGACATGGCCACTCCATGGAGCAGCTGGGGCACCGCTGGTCTCAGAGGGTTGAGGATGACAGAAACAACTCGAACTGGTTTCGGCAAAGAGGGGGGATTTCTTGGCTTAGGTAACCAAATCTGAGGGAGGGAAGGGGTGTAGTTGTCTTCAGGGTGATGGAATGCAGCCAGCAGCTGTCTCTCTACCACTTGAGTCTGCATGTTGGTAGTGAGCTGTCATGCAAGGCTTCCCCATGAGGTCAGAATGGTGCTATTCTCAGGTTATCCATCTGCAAGGAGAAGACCTGCCTCCCTTGTCCTTAGAAGGCTCTTCACCAGCCTGGCTTGGGTCACATGCCCACTCCCATGGCCAAGGCACCCAGCATACTACAATAGGTGACCTTTGTGGGGATACGGGTGAGAAGAAGCAGTCCCTAAAATAAAAGCCAGGGTGAGTTTTCCCGAAGCAGCAGGGAGGAGTGCCACACAGATGAACCCATTCATACCCACCTTGCACCACATCCTGTGTTGTGGGGTCTTAGGAACTCCTTCCTGGAAGAAATAGCCTGTGTGACAGGGCCTTGAAACTAAGCAGGAGCTTGCTGAAAAGAGGAATGAGAGGGGCCAGGCGCAGTGGCTCACACCTGTAATCCCAGCACTTTGGGAGGCCAAGGTGGGTGGATCATGAGGTCAGGAGTTCAAGACCAGCCTAGCCAACATGGTGAAAGTCCGTCTCTACTAAAAATACAAAAGAATTAACTGGGCATGGTGGCGCATGCCTGTAATCCCAGCTACTCAGGAGGCTGAGTCAGAAGAATTGCTTGTACTGGCACCCAGTAGGCAGAGGTTGCAGTGAGCAGAGATCACGCTGCTGCATTCTGGCCTGGGCTACAGAGCAAGACTCTGTCTCAAAAAAAGAGGAATGAGAGAGGAACGAGCATTTGGCAGACATGCAGAGGTCTACAGATGAGTAGTTTATTCTGACTGGCCCGTGGAGGCGGTGGTGGTGGAGGTGGGTAAGGTGAAGCATGGCTGCAGGGGAGGCCACAGGGAACTCCACAAGGCCTGAACCTGACCTCGAAGGTGCATGTGTACCTTGGATGGGTACAGTGGATATAAAGTTTTGCTCACCCGGTGTTCACTCTTTTATGAACAAAATACCCTTTTCCTTTTGGAGAGCACCCTCTCCCACCCTCTCAGTCCATGGAGCCTATGAGGCCTCTCTCTCCAGCTCCTGTGACCTCTACCTGGTCAATAGAAGTCACTGGCTCAGGGATGGACATGTGACCCAATCTGGGCCAATGAGGGGCAGCCCTAGGAGTTTTGCTAGAAGGATTGCAGACTATTCCTGCTAGCAAAATAAGACCAATAGATCTCTAATTTTTTTTTTTTTTTTTTTTTTGAGACTGAGTCTCACTCTGTCGCCCAGTCTGGAGTACAGTGGTGCAATCTTGGCTCACTGCAACCTCCTCCTCTTGGGTTCAAATTATGCTCGTGCCTCAGCCTCCCGAGTAGCTGGGATTACAGTAATGGACCACCATGCCAGGCTAATTTTTTTTGTATTTTTGATAGAGACAAGGTTTTGCCATGTTGGCTAGGCTGGTCTCAAACTCCTGGCCTCAAGTGATCCGCCCTCTTTGGCCTCTCAAAGTGCTGGGATTACAGGTGTGAGACACTGTGCCTGGCCTCTGATAAAAATTTTTGGGGGGTTGAGTCCAGGTACGCATGAAGCCAACTACCCCTGGACTTTTCAACTACATGATTCAGTAAACAACTTTTATTTTTGTTTGTTTGATTTCGCTTTAGCAATCAGCATTTCTGTTGCTTGTCATGGAAGAGATGTCTCTAAACAGGAGACTGATGGAGTTAGACTTGTGTTTTGGAAGGATGTCCTTCTTGGGATCGGAGAATGGTATGGAAACAGCAAGCAAGAGTGGAGACAGCCAAGCAGTGAAGAATCAAGGGCGGGGTGGACTAGAGCCATGTCACCTGGGGGATATATCAGTGTGAGAGATGAGAAATGGATGCACAAAAATGGAAAACAAGAGAGATGTGGGGACTCATTTATGGGCAGACGTTGATCTCCACAAGACATGGTGACTATTTGGATATGGAGAATACAGAAGAGGGATGAGTCAGGGATTACTTGACAAGGGCCCAGGAGAGGGGCTTTATCTGTCATGCCTATTTCAGATGTAAGTGATGAAAAATAAACTCAAATTGGCTTAAACAAAATAAATAGGAATGTAATAGGCTCAACATCTGTCAAGTTCAAGGAGCTTCAGTACAGTTGGATCCAGAACTTCTAATGATTTTATCAAGATATGACCTTTATGTCTGTGTTTCCTTTTTTTTTTTTCCTTGAGACGGAGTTTCGCTCTTGTTGCCCAGGCTGGAGTGCAATGGCGCCATCTCGGCTCACTGCAACCTCTGCCTCCCGGCTTCAAGGGATTCTCCTGCCTCAACCTCCTGAGTACCTGGGATTACAGGCACCCACCACCATGCCCAGCTGATTTTTTGTATTTTTAGTAGAGACGAGGTTTCACCATTTTGGTTAGGCTGGTCTCAAGCTCGTGACCTCAGGTGATCCACCTGCCTTGGCCTCCCAAAGTGCTGGGATTATAGGCGTGAGCCGCCACGACTGGCCATGTCTGTGTTTCTCAGACCTGCTTTCCTCTGATGTGGTTTCATCCTGCCACAGGATCTCCCCTCAAAAAGGTAAAGATAGCTGCCAACATCTCAGCACCTGGGTGCTACCAGCTAAGAGACCCAGAGGAAACAGAACACTTCTATCTCAATAGTTCCACCAAAGTTCCAGGCCCAACCATGAGTCAATTCCTGAGATGCTGATTGGTCAGACCTGGGACATGTGTCCGTTCTCACATCAGGAAGTGATGTGATCTCCACTTACACTGCACAGGCTGAGAGTGGGGTTGGTCTGGATCCCCAAGGAAAATAGAAAGTGCTAGAATCAGAATAAAGGGGGAATAGATGTGGGGTGGGAAAACCAACAGAGGCTCACTTCAGTGTGCATGGGATACATTTCTGAGTAATATGGGAGGGTGGTTTTTGTCTAGGGATCTACAGAATGTGTGTTTGTGTGTGGGGTGGGGATGAAGGGTTGTCTTTAAGGAGCCCAGCAGCATTGAGGATTGGTCTGGGATGGAGGCCCAGGGTTTGGAGGCCTGGATTTGGCTGCTATTTTACATTTTATTTTATTTTATTTTTTGAGATGGAGTTTCACTCTTTCACCCAGGCTGGAGTGAAGTGGCATAATCTTGGCTCACTGCAACCTCCGCCTCCTGGGTTCAAGCAGTTCTCCTGCCTCAGCCTCCCGAGTAGCTGGGACTACAGGCACATACCACCGTGCCTGGCTAATTTTTGTATTTTTAGTAGAGACAGGGTTTCACCATGTTGGCCAGGCTGGTCTCAAACTCCTTAGGTGATCCACCTGTCTTGGCCTCCCAAAATGCTGGGATTACAGGCGTGAGCCACTGCTCCTGGCCTTGGCTACTATTTTAGATAGGGCAGTTGGGAAGAGCCTCTTTTAGGAGATGACATTTAACCTGAACTCCGCAGGGTGAAAAGAGCTTGTCTTCATCTTCATGAGGGTAAGGGGGATGATTTAGAGGTAGGAATTATCTTGGGATGATCAAAGAACAAAATGATGACTGGCGAGACGAGAACATGGTGCACAGTGGGGAGCCGGGAGGCAGGATCTTGTGGGCTTAGTCAGTTCCTCATTGAACACTAGTATGGAAAGCCATGACAAAGTGTTAAGCAGAATCAGTAAAGCACAGTGTCACTCGACCTTTGAGGATTACCAGAAGGAGGACAGGCCAATCGTAAGCCTGATCAAGAGAAGGGAAGGAGGAAGGAGAAGGGGGAACTTTCTCTGTCACCTTCCCGCCCTGTTGAGGCAGTTTTCATACGTTGGATGTTTAACACAACCCAACCAAGACTGGGACCCGGTGCAGTGGCTCACACCTAGAATCTCAGCACTTTGAGAGGCCAAGGTGAAAGGCTTGAGCGCAGGAGTTCAACACTAGCCTGGGCAATATAGTGAGACCCTGTCTTTATAAAAAAATAGAAAAATTAGCCAGGCATAGTGGTGCATGCCTATAGTCCCAGCAACTCAGGAAGCTGAGGTGGGATGATGGCTCGAGCCCAGGAGGTCAAGGCTGCAGTGAGCCATGATCTCACCACTGCACCCCAGCTTGGCGACAGAGCAAGACCCTGTTTCACACACACAACACACACACAAAGATTGGTATGGTCACTCTTACTTTACTGACAAGAAACCTGCGTACAGAGGAGCTAAACCACCATCCCAAGGCCATAAAACTACTGCGAGTCTAAGCCAGGATATGTCTGAATATGAAGACTCCTCTGAATGCTGGGTCCCAGAAGCACTAAGCTTGGTTATGAACCTCATGGGCTCTACATAGCTTCTCACCAAGTTGGGTCCTGTTGAGCCTATTGTGCAAGGAAGGAGACCAAACACCCTGGAGGTTTGCTCACCTGGCCTGAGTTACCTGGCCGTGGAAGGCCCCTGGGCTCAAGTTCCCTGAGAGGCAGGGGTTAAACCATGTGTCCTAGAACCTCAGCTTGCATCCCACCCTGGAATTTTCCTCTGAGTTGCAAAATCAGGCAAGCTGCCAAGCCATATATACATTGCCGGGTAGCCAGGCAACACCGTGCTTTTTCTGGGAAGGAGCACAATGTGGTCACTGTGCTGCCGACGCCAGGTTCCAGATGGAAGAAAGACTTTAATCCCCAGCTTCACGGCTGTTTGGCACACTTCGCTCCTGAAAGCCTGCTCGGGCCAGTTTTCACTCTGACTCTCCAGTGAGGCCATTTTGTCTCATTCCGTTTCTGATGTTTAAATGTTAATCCTTTACAAGTTGGTTTTAGTGGAGTAGGAAATGGCGGAGAAGGCTGGAGGTGGATTCAGATGCAACAGGGATGGCACTTACACCTTTCGATGAAAAAGACGTGTGATTCCGCGATTTTGCAGTTGTGAATTGTGCTGCTATACGCATGTGTGTGAAAGTATCTTTTTCACATAATGACTTCTTTTCCTCTGGGTAGACACCCAGTAGTGGGATTGCTGGGTCAAATGGTAATTCTACTTTTAGTTCGTTAAGGAATCTCCACACTGTTTTCCATGGTGGCTGTACTAGTTTACATTCCCACCAGTAGTGTCGAAGTGTTCCCTGATCACAACATCCATGCTAACATCTACTGTTTTTTGATTTTTTGATTATGGCCATTCTTGAAGGAGTAAGGGGGTATTGCATTGTGGTTTTGATTTGCATTTCCCTGATCGTTAGTGATGTTGAGCATTTTTTCATATGTTTGTTGGCCATTTGTATATCTTCTTTTGAGAATTGTCTATTCATGTCCTTAGCCCACTTTTTGAAGGGATTTTTTTTTTTTTTTTTGGTTACTGATTTGTTTGAGTCCATTGTAGATTCTGGATATTAGTCCTTTGTCAGATGTATAGATTGTGAAGATTTTCTCCCACTGTGTGGGTTGTCTGTTTACTCTGCTGATTGTTCCTTTTGCCATGCAAAACTCTTCAGTTTAATTAGGTCCCAGCTATTTATCTTTGTTTTTATTGCATTTGCTTTTGGGTTTTTGGTCATGAAATTCTTGTCTAAGCCAGTGTCTAGAAAGGTTTTTCCAATGTTATTTTCGAGAATTTTTATAGTTTCAGGTCTTAGATCAATCAATGAGTGAATAAACAAACTGTGGTATGTATATATATACGATGGAATACTTCTCAGCCATAAAAAGGAATGAATTAACAGCATTTGCAGCAACCTGGATGAGATTGGAGACTATTATTCTAAGTGAAGCAGCTCAGGAATGGAAAACCAAACATTGTATGTTCTCACTGATATGTGGGAGCTAAGCTATGACGGCAAAGGCATAAGAATGATACAATGGACTTTGGGGACTTGAGGGGAAGAGAGGGAGGGGGGCGAGGGACAAAATACAACAAATATGGTGCAGTGTACACTGCTCGAGTGATGGGTGCACCAAAATATCACAAATCACCACAAAGAACTTACTCATGTAACCTAATACCACCTGTACCCCAATAACTTATGGAAAAATAAAATAAAATAATAATAAAAAAAGAAAAAATGTGTGAGCAAAATGATTAATAGGCAAATGATAGAAGAAAAAGAAAAAGCCCATGAAGTTAGAAAGAGAGGCATCACTTCTCGAGTGAACAGGAAATGGAAATCAGGACCACATAATGTCAAGTTTAACTCTCAGAGTGATGTAAAAATGAAAATCCTAGGGCTGGGCATGGGTGGCTCACACCTGTAATCCCAGCACTTTGGGAGGCTGAGGCAAGTGGATCATGAGGTCAGGAGTTTGAGACCAGCCTGACCAATATGGTGAAACCCTGTCTCTACTAATGTGCAAAAATTAGCCGGGGGTGGTGGCACACATTTGTAATCACAGCTAGTTGGGAGGCTGAGGCAGGAGAATCACTTGAACCTGGGAGGCAGAGGTTGCAGTGAGCCGAGATCGCACCACTGCACTCCAGCCTGGGTGACAGAGTGAGACTCTGTCTCAAAAAAAAAAAAAAAAAAAAAAAAATCCTGATAAAGGCCAGTGTTGGTGAGGGTGGGCAGAGTAAGTGTCTGCTGTCATACGTGGCAATGGGAGACATTTAGGGTATGACCTCTCTGAGGTGATTTTATGGGACTTGCCAACATTTTGACTATGTATGACCCCCCCAACACAGCAAATGTGTTTCCACTAATTAATCTTGCAGAAATACTCAGAGAAGTGCACATTTTAAGGCGAGAATTGCAAAATATTGGAGATTCTCTGTCTATCAATATAGAAATGGTAAAATAAATGGTGTTGCATCCATACCATTGAATCTTTTGCAGAAAAGGTTGATGCAGAGATGTGTGTTTCAGCATAGGAGGTTGCCTTGCCTGGGACATACTGTTGGGTCAAATAGGGAAAAAAATTAAGTTAGTGAATGATATATAGAGTCTGAATTCAATTCTGTTGAAAGAGTATATATGTATATATATGTTTGTATTTACTTATATTTTTAAATACACCAAGAACATTTCTGGACTTTGTATTTTTTTTTTTTTTTTGAGACAGGGTCTTATTCTGTCACACAGGCTAGAGTACAGTGGCACAATCACCCCCTGTGGTCTCAATCACCGCCTCTGGTCTCCTACCTCAGCCCCTTCACCTGTGGAGTAGCTGGGACTGCAGGCGTGCACCACCACGCCTGTTTTTTTTTTTTGTTTTTTTTTTTTGTAATGATGGAGTCTCACTGTGTTGCCCAGGCTGGTGTCAAACTCCTGGGGCCAAGCGATCCTCCTGCCTTGGCCTCTCAGAATGCTGGGATTATAGGTGTAAGCCACCATGCTCATCCAGAAAAATAAAATATTAATACTGGCCATCATTTTAGGATTAAAAAGTTGTCAAAAATGCACTGTTGGTTCAAAAAACAACAAAGGGCAAGTTGCCATGCTGTATGTAGAATATTATTTTATGTCTATAAAAAAGACACTGTGTGTGAGCATGCATGTGTACACACAAACACAGATACTATATATACATCCTTTGTACAAAAATTTAGAGAAGGTAAAAGCAAGAAAACCTTGCTAGTGATTGGCCCTGTGGGATTGGGAGAATATTTTTGCTTTTTTGCTTTCTATATTTCTATATAGTTTGAAGTTTCTCAAAGGTTGCATTTTTTTAATTTAAAAAAATTATTTAAAATACCTTTAAGAAACTGCCATAGTCCTACTACCCTAACAGGAGTAATTTTAGCAATTTTCTGTATGAATCTCTCCCTCTCTATATATATCTTTCTTTCTCTATACCCCCATCTATATACACACATATACACCTACCCAGTAAGTGAGTTGTTATCCCTTAAACCCCCTCCCATGGGAGAGTCCCCCCTTTTCTGAGTCATCAGTGTCCATTATACCACTCTGTGTGCCTTTAGGTACCCATAGCTTAGGTCCCACTTATAAGTGAGAACATACAGTATTTGGTTTTCTGTCTCAGTTACTTCACTTAGAATAATGGCCTCCAGCTCCATCCAAGTTGCTGCAAAAACATTATTTCATTGTTTTTCATGGCTTAGTAGTATATTCCATAGCATACAAATATACCATATTTTCTTTATCTACCCATTGACTGATGGGCAGTTAGGTTGATTCCATTTCTTCGCAATTGCAAATTGGGCTGCGATAAACAAATGAGTGCAGGTGTGACTTTTATATAATGACTTTTTTTTTTTTTTTTCAGATGGAGTCTTACTCCATCACCCAGGCTGGAGTGCAGTGGCTTGATCTCGGCTCACTGCAACCCCTGCATCCCGGGTTCAAGTGATTCTCCTGCCTCAGCCTTCCAAGTAGCTGGGACTACAGGCTCCCATCACCACGCCTGGCTAATTTTTTTTTAGTATTTTTAGTAGAGACAGGGTTTCACTATGTTGGCCAGGCTGGTCTCAAACTCCTGACCTCATGATCTGCCCACCTCAGCCTCTTTTCCTTTAGGTAGATACCTAATAGCGGGATTGCTGGAGGGAATGGTAGATCTACTTTTAGTTTTTTGGGAAATCTCCATACTGTTTTCTATAATGGTTTTACTAGTTTACTTTCCTACCAACAGTATCTCAGCATTCCCTTTTTACCACATCCCCTCCAACATCTATTGGTTTTTGACTTTTTAAAAATGGCCATTGTAATTGAGGTAAGGGGTATCCCACTGTGGTTTTAATTTGCATTTCCCTGAACTTCTTTTTTTTTTTTTTTACTTTAAGTTCTGGCATACATGTGCAGAATATGCAAGTTTGTTACACAGGTATACATGTGCCGTGGTGGTTTGCTGCACTATCAACCTGTCATCTAGGTTTTCAGCCCTGCATGCATTAGGTATTTGTCCTAATGCTCTCCTTCCTCTTGCTCCCCAGCCCCTGACAGGCCCTGGTGTGTAACGTTCCACTCCCTGTGTCCATGTGTTCTCATTAAAACTTCTTCTTTTTAAAAACAGTTTTGCTGAGGTAAAATGTCATCAAATAGACTCTGCATAAAGTGTACAATTTGGTAAGTTTTGACATCTGTCTGTACCCGTGAAATCTTCACCACAACCAAGGTAGTGAACGTATCCATCACCCTCAAAAATTTCCTTTTGGCCAGGCGCCGTGGCTCATGCCTGTAATCCCAGCACTTTGGGAAGCCGAGGCAGGTGCATCGCCTGAGGTCAGGAGTTTGAGACCAGCCTGGCCAACATGATGAAATTCCGTCTCTACTAAAAAATACAAAAATTAGCCAGGCGTGATGGTGGGTGCCTGTAATCCCAGCTACTTGGGAGGCTGAAGCAGGAGAATCGCTTGAACCCGGAAGGCAGAGCTTGCAGTGACTAGAGATCCCGCCACTGCACTCCAGCCTCGGTGACAGAGCGAAACTCCATCTCAAAGTCAGCAGCAAGAGGTCAGGAGTTTTTACTCCCTCTTCAATGTTTTATTCCCAATATTTAGATCAGTGCCTGGCATATAGTAGATAGTCAAATTGTAATTTGAATAAATCCTAGCTTCCTTTTGCTACACCAAGGCCCACAGCTCCTGCTGGTAGCTTTACACTAAGAACGACTGCGGTCTGCCAAGATCATGTGTGCACGTGCCTCCGGGCAGCTGCATCCAAGGACGTGATTAACTGCTAAGCCCCCCTGGATCTATGCATTCCTTGGTCAGCACATTTTCTTCCCAGTAAAGAGGCTACAGACCCAGCAATGTTATGTAATCCCCACCACACCCCATGTGAGACAAATCCTCTAATCATTTCAGATGAAAGATTTGAAGCACAGAGCCATTAAGGATGGATCAAGGTTGGACATGAAATTGGCGTGGTTTTATGCAGTGGATGGTAACCAGGACCCAAAATAGGATTCAAGAGAAGTCTATTTGGGGGTGGAGCAGTGGAGGCAGGAACCCAAATATAAGAATGTCATGCTGTGGGCCATCAGTCAATGGCATTTGGGGTCTAGGGGTGAGAGAAGGATCTGGGCTACAGCTGGCGTACCCTGATGGCGGCTGGGCCTGTGGCTGTGGCTGAATTATCTCAGAAGAAATGAATTACCTCAGAAATGATAAAGGAGGATTAGGACCATCCACACCCTTGGTGGAATGCCTGAGCTCTGGTGGAAGCAATATCTGTTCAGACGGATCTCAGCTCAGTACGCAAGAAAAACCCACCACAATGGCTTCAATGAGTAAGGGATTTATTTTTCTTCTGTAACTGGGGGTGGACTGTCATAGCTCACTGACTTCATCAGGGATTCAGGCTCCTTTTTTCTTACTCTCTCCGCCTTTCATAGCACACGGACTTTCATAACACACAGACATCTTCCTCATGGCTGCAAAACGGCTGTGGCGCTTCCAGGCATCACATCCGTGTTCCAGGCAGAAAGAAAGGGGAAAGACCAAAACCCTTCTCCTTACAAAGCTTTGCTTTTTATTTGAGAATGGATGGCAAAAGGATTTTCACCCACGTCCCACTGGCCAGAACTGTCTCACTTGCCCCATTTATACAGCTGCAAGGGTTTCTGGGAGAAAATATTTTTGACTGAGCACATTGCTGCTGTGGACAGAATCAGAGGTTGTTAACATTAAACAAGAGAGAGAGTGGAATGCAGAGCAGGAAGGCAAGCAGAATGTCTGGCACAGTCAGTAGCAAAGTGAGGAGAGAGCTTCGAGAAGAGGGGTCTAAGCAGGATCCTGGAAGTGAGGTGGGTCTCCAGAGGGAGTGCTGAAGGTATTTTCATTTCAGGAGGCAAGATCTGGAGGAGCGTTGGGAAGGGAATCGAAATAGCTCTCAAATGCCCTCACTGCCACCCACTAATGGAGACATGATCGTTCCCCTTCTGCAGATGGCAGAATGAAGTCTTACAGACGCTAACAGGCCCTTGTCACTGTGGTAACTTCCTGAAGCATTTATATACTTGAATAAGTAGTCAATACACGTGATACAAACCTTTTATTTAAAGCACAAAAGAATACGTATTAGTGAATTTTCCTTCCCATCGCTGTGTCCCAGCTCTCTTCCCTGGAGGCAACGACGGCTAACAGTTACAGTTGATCTTCATTATTTGCAGATTCTGTGTTTGCAAATGTACCTACTCACTAAAATGCATTTGTAGCCCCTGAATCCATATGCACAATGTTTTCATAGTCATTTGTGGATGTGCGTAGAGCCGTGAAACATTCGAGACCCTCACTGTACAGGTTCCCAGAGAAGGTGGACCGAGGTCTCCGCCTTCTTGTCTCAGTTCTCATATTGTAAACAACTGTCCTTTTGGCCGTCTATTTAGTGCCACATTTTTTGCACTTTGGTTGGTGATTTGGCTGTTAAAAATGGCTCCTAAGCATCGTGCTGATGTGCCGTCTGGTGTCCGTAAGCGCAGAAGCTATGATGCGTCTTATGGAAAAAATCTGTGTTAGATGAGCTTTCTTCAGGCACGAGCTATAGTGCTATTGGCCATGAGTTCAATGCTAATGAATCAGCAATATATATTAAATAAGGTGTCTGTAACCAAAAACTCACATAAAGCAAGGTTTTGTGTGAATCGGTTGATGAAAATGCAGGAACCTGAGTGTGTTAACCTTTTTTTTTTTTTTCATTTTCTGTATTTGTGATGCTTTGACATTTGAGAATGTGCTGATCCCAGAGAGCCTGCCTCTTCCAGGGCCAGCCAGTTCCTAGAGATTGAAACAGTAACCTAGGAGTGCACCTCTCTCATGCAAACCGGTCAGTCTGGAAACCTTCCTTCAAACCACATCCTTCAACTACCACCTTTGTGGGGCTCCCACAAGTGACCCACATCCCCCATGCCCTAGTATTGCCTCAAGTCCAGGTACCAGACAACTAGTGGCAGCTACACCCTGGAGCCTGCTGAAATTATTCCAATTTGCCAATCTGAAGGCTGCCTACCCCCAACTGGTTCCTTCCCAAGGAGACCATAATAAAGTCCTGTGCCTTCCTTTCTCCTCACTCCTCTGTCTCCCGGCCAACCCTGGTGCTTCCCCATGTTCCCCCATGTGGCATGCTGTGCCTCTGGGTTCCAGGGATCTGTGTCTATGAATCTGTTCCTTCACAACAATCATTTCTGTGCCTGCCTTTTTTTTTTTTTTTTTTTGAGACAAGAGTCTCACTCTGTCACGCAGGCTGGAGTGCAGTGGCTCAATTTTGGCTCACTGCAACCTCCGCCTACTGGGCTCAATTGATTCTCCTGCCTTAGCCTCCTGAGTAGCTGGGATTACAGGTGCCCGCCACCATGCCCAGCTAATATTTGTATTTTTAGTAGAGACAGGGTTTCACCATGTTGACCAGGATGATCTCGATCTCTTGACCTTGTGATCTGCCTGCCTTGGCCTCCCAAAGTGCTGGGATTACAGGCGTGACAATTTTTGTATTTTTAGTAGAGACAGGGTTTCACCATGTTGGTCAGGATGGTCTCGATCTCCTGACCTCAAGTGACCCACCCACCTCGGCCTCCTAAAGTGCTGGAATTACAGGTGTGAGCCACCGCGCCCAGCCTATGCCTGTCTTACCATGCCTGATTATACCAAATCCCAGGAACATTTCAACACTGACCCTGTATATTCCCTAGAAGCAATGGTTCCATATTGCTAATTCAGTGTCCACAGTGACGTTATAGAACACATAGCTACCCTGAATAATCAGAATCGACTGTTTGTATTTATCCTTCCAGAGATGTTCTGGACCTGTGCCAGGTAATAGATTTCTTTCTATTTCTTTTTTTTTCACCACATAAATGTATGCACATTATAGATGCTATTTTGCATGTTGATTTTTTTAAAAAATTGACAAATAACAATTGTATATTTCCATGGGCTATAGTGATGTTTTGATACATATAATGTATGATGATCAGATCAGGGTACTTGGCATATCCATCACATAAAACATTGATCATTTCTTTTTTTATTTTTATTTTTATTTTTTGAGACAGGGTCTCACTCCGTTGACCATGCTGGAGTGCAGTGGTGCAATCTCGGCTCACTGCAACCTCCGTCTCCTGGGTTCAAGCGATTTTCCTGCCTCAGCCTCCTGAGAAATTGGGACTACAGGACAGGGGCCCACCACCATGCCTGGCTAATTTTTGTATTTTTTTAGTAGAGACAGGGTTTCACCATGTTAGCCAGGATGGTCTTAATCTCCTGACCTCATGATCCGCCCGCCTCAGTCTCCCAAAGTGCTGGGATTACAGGCATGAGCCACCGCACCTGGCCTATTTTTATTTTTTGAGACAGGGTCTCACTCTGCTGCCCATGCTGGAGTGCAGTGGCACAGCGATCACAGCTCCCTGCAGCCTCGACCTTCCAGGTGCAGGAGATCCTCCCACTGCAGCCTCACAAATAGCTAGGACTACAGGCACATGTCACCATGCCTGGGGATTTTGCCATGTTGCCCAGGCTGGTCTTGAACTCCTGGGTTCAAGCAATCTGCCTGCCTTGGCCTCTCAAAGTGCTGGGATCACAGGCTTGAGCCACCACACCCAGCTGCCACAATGATCATTTCTTACTGTTGGGAAACTTCAATATCCTCTTGCTAGCATTTGGAAATGTTATGTTATTGTTCACTGTAGTCATCCGCAGTGGTATAGAACACTAGAACTCATCCATCTTGTCTGCATCCTAGTTTTTAAACCTAACCATGTGTCTTGGTGATTGCCCACTGTGTTAGCTTGGGTCTTCCGAGAAGTAGGCGCCAAAACAATATTAGATGTGTAGGGGATTTATTAGGGAAAAGATCTGTAAGGGAAAATGAGGAATGAGCTGGAGGAGTCTGGAAAAGTTATTGAATTTGGATGCCACCACACCCGACCCTGTTATCACTATTTTAACCCTAACTTGTACACCACCAGGAGTTCCAGTGGCAGTTTGCTTTGTGACCAGTTTCTCTCTTTCACAATCACCACAGGCTATGGATCCCTGGACATCTTTCTAGTCCTTGGCAATCTCTCTCTTCCAGTACCAATCCACAGGCATTCCATCTTTCCCAGGGTGAACAGGGCTATCCAATTAATTCCCCTTCTTGCAGGACTTGGCATTATAGCCCATAGGGGAACTGGAATTGCCTCCTTAACCTATAGCCAGCTCTCGAAGGAAATAGCCAACAACATTGATGCCATGGCTTGAACCTTCGCAACTGTGCGAGAACAAATAGACTCTAGCAGCTGTAGTCCTCAGAAATCATTGAGGACTAGATATGTTAACAGCAGCACAGGGAGGAATTTGTTTAGCCTTAGATGAAAAATGTTGCTTTTGGGTAAGTCAATCGGGAAAAGTACAAGACAACATCAGACCTGGACGGATTCGCTGCTGGTAACATACTTGGCCCATATTTTGCCCATAACAGCCTGGCCCAGGGCTGGGTGGTCGAGTAGACAGGCCTCGGGTGGCAAACTGCAGTGCTGGGAATCGGACCAGTTCACCTGATTCCCGGGGGGCTGCCTTTGGTATTCTGAACACGCCGCCAGGCACAAAGCGCTGGATGTTGGGTGTCTCGTTCACCTCTCACTGCCTTCTACGGATTTCAACACATAGCATCATGATGGGACCACAGCTCTGAGAATGACAGAAGCACCGATCTCCATATCACATGACTCCTGAGTAGAGGAAAATGGATTTGAGCTAAGGGCAGGTGAATTAAAAAGTTGGTGCAAATCAAGACAAAGCAGTTTGATTGTTAACACATGGCCCAGTTTCCGAAGGCAAACTCAGCTCATCAGCCTACTGTGGGATTTTCCCCTAGGCTGAAAAGCCAGGTTTGATTCCAATAAACGTATACATTGCAGTGTAATTAGGCAAGGGAACAGGGTTCTTGGAGCCACAAAGCCCCATGGTCAGTATTTGGGTGACATCTACTTCCTGACTGTAAACAGATTTAAATATACCATCTGTTTTGCAGATATTTCTCAGAACCTGTTTTTAATCAGTTTTTCTCTCTAATTTTCGGATACTGACAATCTTGTTTTCTTTTTCTTTATGTGTTTTAAAAAATGACATAAACCAGTATTGCTTTTATTTTTTTCATGTGCTTGGCTTGATTATTTTAAGCTAATTTATATACCTTCATTCGTTCCGTAACAGCCAAAAGTGAAACTTTTTTTTCCTGTTTCTTTTGTCATCAAGGCACAAAGAATAACAGCTTTCAAAATAGTCTTTGGTTTTGTCCTTTAAATGGTAGAAGGTCATCATTTTGTTTTCGCTTTTGTATTTCTATTTCTGATAGATAAATAGACATAGAAAAAATGATGTACAGAAGTTGGCTAAATTGTGATAATATACTCTTTAATTTCTGTTAACTTTGGATAATTCTAATAATGTTTCTTCTTGTTTTGAGTTTTTTTGTTTGTTTGTTTTTGAGACAAGGTCTCCATAGAGTGAAGATTTACTCTGTCACTCCCTGGAGTGTGGTGGTGCAACCACGGCTCACTGCAGCCTCAACTTCCTGGGCTCCAGTGATTCTCCCACGTCAGCCTCCCAAGTAGCTGGGACTATAAGCATGCACCACCGTGCCCAGCTAATTTTTTGCATGTCTTTATAGAGACGGGGTTTTGCCATGTTGCCTCAGCTAGTCTTGAACTCCTGGGATCAAGTGATCCACCGCCGGCCTCGACCTCCGAAAGTGCTGGGATTTCAGGCGTGCACCACTGAGCCCAGCCTGGGCAAATTCTTATGTGGGGGTCATTTATTACCATGTCTGTTATTGGATCACTGCTATTTGACAATTTAGGGCAGAAATATCAGAAAATAGGGAGGCCTTGGAGGCTTCCTCTTGTTCGTGCTGTGAACTGTTGGGTGTGTGCTCACAAATTCCAAATGAGGACGGAATAAATTAGCTCGGTTTTGGGATGCCATTCGAAGCTCCTTTATAAAACTTGGAAAGTTGATTTAAGAGATATTTCTCTTTCATTGTTTTATTTTTAATTACAAAAGCAGTAGATTTTTTTTGGATAAAGAAATTAGTTTCCCTTTCACATTCCAAACCAATGTTCAAAGATTTGCTGGTTTCTGCCTCCTTCTTTCTGCTTCTAGAGCTGCCTCATGATCCAATGTGGTTCTTCTAATTATTTGCTTAAAAATGCTCTTAATGTTTTTTGCCTAACCAACTTATTTTTAATTTTGCCCACCCTTTGCCATTCCCTACCCCCAGGCCCGTACGTCTTTGCCCGATTGCTATTGAGGTGCACATACTTTCAGCAGCCTGTGCCATTTCACAGGGCACCACGAGCAGGCTGGCGTCGGCCTCCTTCATTGATGCCACCAGTCACTTTTTATTACCTGCCTACGTTCCAGACCAGGTTCCCTCTATTTCCTGAAGATTAAGACCCTCTGAGTGTCACTCTGCCCTGCTAAATCAGTTCCGCTCATAATCCTCTGCTTAGAAATATCTACAGGGTGGACTGGGTCACGACCGACATCACCATCTGACAGCTGTTACAACTCCGTGCCCAAACTAAACTTTTCACTAAACACTTCTTTAGGGGACACCAAGGACCTCCTCCCAGCCCTGCCAAATTAACTCACTGAATACCCATTTGCCAAAAGCTGGTTCTCCAAATGATCACATTTTTAAAACTTCCCAATTTGCTGGTTTATCCCAAGTTGTTTTTCTCAAAACAACAACAACAACAACAACAACCCCGCCCACACACACACACATTAGAAACATTTCATTTCACTTCTTTAACAAATGTTTGTGGGGTTTTTACTACACACAAGGTGCCAAAGTGTTGGGGTTAAAGTAGTGAGTAAGAGAGCAAATGTTCTCATCCTCATGGAACTCCCAGGCCGGTGGAGGAAACAGGCAAGAAGGACATAAATAAATATGTAACACAGGTGGTCATGGAAACATGTAGAGCACCCTGAGGCAGCAAGAAGAGTGGGCATCAAATAATATAATAACATATATGATGTAGTATTTATATAGTATAATACTATGTGATGCAATACAATGTATAATGTACACAGTATAAAAAATACCATTTGCAGCCGTAAAAAAGAATGAGTTCATGTCCTTTGCAGGGACATGGATGAAGCTGGAAGCCATCATTCCCAGGAAACTAACACAGGAAGAGAAAACCAAACACCGCGTGTTCTCACTCAAGTGGGAGTTGAACAATGAGAACACATGGACACAGGGAGGGGAACATCACACACCAGGGCCTGTCGGGGTGTGGGGGAAGGGGAGGGAGAGCATTAGGACAAATACCTAATGCATGTGGGGCTTAAAACCTAGAAGACAGGTTGATAGTGCAGCAAACCACCATGGCACAGGTATACCTATGTAACAAACCTGCACGTTCCGCACATGTATCCCAGAACTTAAAGTAAAATTAAAAAAAAAAAAAGACAGTTGACTCTTGAACAATGTGGGGAGTTAGGAGTGCTGAGTCCTGTACAGTTAAAAATCTACAGATAGGCTGGGCTGCAGTGGCTCATACCTGTCACTCCAGCACTTTGGGAGGCCAAAGTAGGTGGATCACTGGAGCCCAGGAGCTTGAGACCAACCTGAACATAGAGAGACACTGTCTCTACAAAAAATACAAAAAAATTAGCCAGGCATGGTAGTGGGTGCCCGTAGTCCCAGCTATTCAGGAGGCTGAGGTGGGACAATCGCCTGAGCCTGAGAAGTCGAGGCTGCAGTGAGCTGAGATCCTTGCACCACTACACTCCAGCCTGGGTGACAGGCAGAGTGAGACCTGTATCAAAAAAAAATAAAAATAAAAAAAAAGGAAATTCATGGAGAACTTTGGACTCTCCCCAGACTTAGCTACTAATAGCCTACCAAAGACCAGCAGCCTTACCAATAACACAGTCAATTAACACATATTTTGTATGTTAAATGTATTATATACTATACTCCTGAAGTAAAGTAAGCTAGAGAAAAGAAAACGTTATTAAGATAATCATAATGAAGAAAAAATATGTTCACTCTTCACTAAGTGGAAGCAGATCATCTTAAAAGTCTTCATCCTCGTTATCTTCCATTAAGTAGGCAGCGGAGAAGGAGGAAGAGGAGGGGTTGGTCTTGCTATGGCAGGGGTGTCAGAGGCAAAGAAAACCTGTATATAAGCGGACTCGCACATTTCAAACCTGTGTTGTTTGAGGGTCAACTGTATAGTATATAATGCAATATAATATGTAATATAGGCCAGGTGTGGTGGCTCACGCCTGTAATCCCATTACATTGGGAGGCCGATGTCGGGCAGATTACCTGAGGTCAGGAGTTCGAGACCAGCCTGACCAACATGGAGAAAAACCGTCTCTACTAAAAATGCAAAAAATTAGCCGGGCATGGTGGTGCATGCCTGTAATCCCAGCTACTCGAGAGGCTGAGGCAGGAGAATCGCTTGAACTCGGGAGGTGGAGGTTGCAGTGAGCTGAGATCACACCATTGCACTCCAGCCTGGGCAACAAGGGCGAATCTCTCCGTCTCAAAAAAAAAAAAAAATATATATATATATATATAAAATATAATATATAATAGATATGATATAATGTAATATGTAATGTAGTACTACATAATACTATAATATGTAATAATATAGCATATAATAATATTGCTTAGGGAGTAGACTTTTAGTGTTCTTATCGCAAAAACAAAAGTATGTGAGATAATGCATATGTTAACTAGCTCAATTTAGCCACTTCACAATGTACAGATTTTACAAAACACATACACAATAAGTACATCTAATTTTTGTTTGTCAATTTAAAAATAAAATGTTAAAGAAAAATATGCCATAAAACAGAACAGAATGTAATATCATCTAATATGTGACATGATGATATGATACGGTCATGTGTTATGCAATGCAGTAATGTGTAATATGGTTTAGAATAATACAGTGACCTGGCCAGGCATGGTGGCTCACGCCTGTAATCCCAGCACTTTGGGAGGCCGAGGCAGGCAGATCATGAGGTCAAGAGATCGAGACCATCCTGGCCAACATGGTGAAACCCTGTCTCTACTAAAAACACAAAAATTAGCCAGGCATGGTGGCGTGCACCTGTAGTGCCAGCTACGCAGTAGGCTGAGGCAGAAGAATTGATTGAACCTGGGAGGCGGAGGTTGCAGTGAGCCAAGATCAGGCCACTGCACTCCAGCCTGGGAGACAGAGTGAGACACCATCTCAAAAATAAATAAATAAATACAATAGAGTGACCTAATGTAATTTGTTGGGTGGTGGAAAGAGTAGAGCAGGTGGAGGGAGTGGGGAGTAGTGCAGAGGCGGCTGATGTGGTCAGCTGATGTAGTCAGGAAGGCTCCTCCAAGCAGGGGACAACTGCCCCAAGACCCGAAGGATGTACTCATTCTACCACAGCAAGATTCTGGGGGAACTGCAGAGGGAACCGGAAGGGCACAGTCTCCCTGCAGAGGCACAGAACATGCTCAGGGAATGGAGGGAAGCTTGGTGTGGTGGGAATGGAGTGAACAAAGGGGAGATGGGAGAAGGTAAGAGTAGGCTGAAGAAGAGCAATGGATCTCATGGGACCTCATGGGACCTCGCAGGCACAAGGGAGCCGTCTGGATCTTGTTCCCAGCACGATGAGACCCTTGGATCTTCTTCAATGTTGTGACGTCTGGTTTCTGGATCTGGTTGCCCCTGATCCTCAGTGTCCCTTGGTTTGCAGCCACAGGGCTCCAAGCTCTGCCTCTAACATCACAAGGCATGCTCCTCCCTGCATCTCTGCGTGTCCTCTTCTCTTCTTATTGGGACACGAGTTATTGGATGTGGGACCTTCCCTCATCTGCTGTGACCTCATCTAAAATAATGATATCTGCAAAAATTCGATTTCCAAATGAGGCCACATTCTGTTCTGAGTGGACATGAATTTCGGGGGACCCCGTTCCACCTAGTACAGCTAGGAATTGGCATGGGCTGGACGGAGTGAGTGTGGGTAGAAGTGAGAAAATGCTCACTGACATGGAAGGAAAACCCAGAGAGTTTGGGATGTGCAAACCAAACGAGGAAAGATTTTAGCAGAGAGGACGAGGTCTAAGTTGTCATGTGTGGTCAACAATTGGATCTGATGAAGACTAAGGACTGGATTGTTTCTGGCAAAGTGGAGAATCCTGGGGAACTTGACAAGAGTAGGTCAGTGTGGGTTGGGAATGGAAGCCAGATACCCATGGGCTCGGGAGAGAGGGAGGGGAGAGAGTTGAGGGGAAGGAGCAGAGAGATGCCTTGGATGTGTTTTGCCTATGAAGGGGCAGTGGCTAGGGAGGAACTTAAGATCTAAAAAGCATTTGTTTTTTTAAGATGGAAGACAACACAGTATGTGGGAATGTTGATGGGAAGATCTCATGCAGAGAAGGAAATAGATCGGTTGATGCCAGCAAGAGAAGATGACAAACTGACTTTCCGATGAGCCACAAGTGATGGGATGCGCTGTTCAGGGGGAGGAGTTGGAAAGAGGATTTGCCAAATGGACAATTTGCCAAATTATGGATCCACTGTAAATGAATTTCTACTAAATATTTGTAAACATTACACAAAATCATGCCACCATGGGATGGTGTTAATGGACTTCAAGGGTAACTCTTCTCTTTCTTTTCTTTTCCTTTCCTTTCTTCCTCCCTCTCTCCCTCCCTTCCTTCCTTCCTTTCCCTTCCTTCCTTCCTTTCTTTCCCTTCCTTCCTTCCTTTCCCTTCCTTCCTTCCTTCCTTCCTTCCTTTCCTTTCCCTTCCTTCCTTCCTTTTCCTCCATTCCTTCCTTCCTTTCCCTCCCTTCCCCTCTTTCTGTCTTTCTCTCTTTCTTTTTTCCAAGACAGAGTCTTGCTCTGTTCCTCAGGCTGGAGTGCAGTGGTACGATCATGGCTCCTGCAGCCTCCACCTCCTGGGCTCAAGCAATCCTTCCACCTCAGCCTCCCCAGTAGCTGGGATCACAGTTGCACACCACCACGCCCAGCAATTTTTTGTAGAGATGGGGTTTCTCCATGTTGCCCAGACTGATCTTGAACTCCTGGGCTCAAGCAATCCTCCTGCCTCAGCTTCCCAAAGTGCTGGGATTACAGGTGTGAGTCACTGCACCCAGCCAGCTTTGATGTTTTAGTTTCATTTCAGCTGAAATTAAATTTGGTTTCACTGTAGATTTTGTTTCACTTTGGCAGATTTATCTCAGCTCTGTAGCTGATTTGCAAATCAGGCTCAAAGACGCATCAGATTTAGGTGTAATTCTCATTATAGGCACTGAGCATTTCTCAGATGTCTTACCCATGTTGAAAACATTTGTGTGATCACACTGGGTAACATATCTGTTAAGAGAATTTCAAAAGACAGGAGTGAAAATGAGTTGGATAATAGAAACCTGTTCTACCTTTTGTATTACGCTTGGTGGAAGCATCCCGAAATTCTCATTTTAAATATAAAAATCCTCAGAACACACTGAACTTCAGTTTGGCTACAATGAAGCAGCTACAGCCAATGTAAAGCTAAACTAAAATCTGCCAAAAAAATGAAACGAAAACTTCAAGTCAGATCATTTAAACAGCACAGAAGTTTCCAGGAACTCCCTTACAATTGGGATCGCTGTAGCTGTCACAAGGAGTTAAAGGAAACATGCTTCTGTCGCTGTTAACTAGCTGCATCCGGTGAATTGGGCAAATTTGGCCATTCAGGGAATTAACCATCCACAAAAGTAAATAAATAAATAAATAAAATAAGCCAGTCATTTGAAGAACTGATTTTCAGGGAATTTATTTAGCGTTGGTAATGTCTAAAAGTTACATGTGTGGTTGTTGGTTTTATGATTATCTTTAATGCATTCCGATGTATATTTATATATACGATCTTCTCCATGCCTGACATATTTCACGGTAAGATAAAGAAATTCCCGTGGCTTATAAGGAATGGAGACTGAATTTGAATTCAAGTTGTTTAGAAAGAAATGGATGAGCACTGAACCCACATATTTGAATTTTTTAAAAGTCCAGCTGACAGATGTTGAATCAGCTTATCCCCCTGCTGGAGAATTTTGCCCCAAGGTAAAAGCAAGCTTTGATTTCAGCACCGTATGCATCGCAGTGAAGTTGGGCAAATGAATGGTGTCTTCCATACACAGCACTACGTGTTTGGCATACGGAATCCCTCCCTTGCCCAGCAGTAAACAGACTTGAATACACCATCTGTTTGCACACCAACTGTTTGCAAGGAAATTTTTTTTCCTTTTCTTTTTTTCTCTGTGAAGTTAATGTTGTGACAACTTTATATTTTCTTTTTTTAAAAAAACAGAAATCTGTGTTTGTGTTTACTTAGACCTGGGCTACCTTAGATGGTTCTCAGGCTCACTTATACACTTTCATGTGTTCCATTAAAAAATGTGATCGCTTTCTTTTTCTTCTGATTTTGGTTGCAAAGGCTAAGAACTTTCAGAACAGAATTTTGTTTTTGTCTTTAATACGGAGACGTTTCGTGTTGTTCTCTGGTTTTTCAGATGGGTGGACACAGAAAAGACAACTAATACCCTGAAATTGGTTGAAACTTGATTATTCATTCTTAAAGTCTGATAATTATAACTGTCCAGTAACTTGATAATTCCAGTTCTGTTTTCCTGTTTAGAACCTCTACTTTCTTATTTGAGAAAAAATGTTTGAGGATGTTATCTCAGTATGTGTTTACTTATCTTAGTACACATTCCCTTGAACTTTTCGCTTATCATGACCATTGAAATATCTTGGAACATCAGTGTTAGAAAAGCAGGAAGAACGTGGGAAACTCCCCCTGTGTGCACGGTGGGCCCCTCTATGAATTGCACCAGACAAATTCCAAACAAAGTGATGGAGAAAATCCCCCAAGAAAATTAGCAGTCTTTTTTATTCAAACTTTTTTATTCAAACTTTTTGTTGTACTGTGTCAACAGCTCTCTGGAGACCACCGTGTGCCCCTCCTGTTCCACAGCCACCCCAAAGCAACTGTTAAAGATGTTTTGTGGGCTGGGCACAGTGGCTCACACCTGTAATCTCAACACTTTGGGAGGCGGAGGCGAGCAGATCACCTGAGGTCAGGAGATTGAGACTAGCCTGGCCGACATGGTGAAACCCTGTCTCTATTAAAAATACAATAATTAGCTGGTTGTGGTGGCAGGCACCTGTAATCCCAGCTACTCAGGAGGCTGAGACAGGAGAATCGCTTGAATCCAGGATGCGGAGGTTGCAATGAGCTGAGATTGCACTCCAGCCTAGGCAACAAGAGTGAAACTCTGTCTCAAAAAAAGAAGAAGAAGAAAAGGAGGAGGAGGAGGAGGAGAAAGAAGAAGAAGAGGAAGAGGGAGAGGGAGAGGGAGAAGGAGATGGAGAAGGAGAAGAAGAAGAAGGAAGACGAAGAAGAAGAAGGAGAAGAAGAGCAGCTACCTTGACAGGGACGTCCACCTTGGAAGGTGACATGCTCTGGGTGAAAAGGAAAGTTGGTTTTATTCCAGAAGTGGCACCCCTGGGGAGGCGGTGAACAGTGGAGGCGTGTTCCAAGACCACCTCTCCACGTGTGCCTCCGGATCAGGGAAATTAGGGGAGCTTAAATGATGGTCAAAGTGCTTTTGGGAAACGTGCACGGGCTCAGGCGGACAGTTAATCGCGGCTTCCTTGGTCAATGTCCCTGGCCTTCTGCAGGAATGCTCAAGCTGTTCTTATCAGGGCGGTCAGCACATTCCCAGGGTGGCTGGTCAGCTGCTCTCTCTTTTATCTCTGTTGAAGGCCTTGTTCTCCGGAGGCTGTTTTTAATAAAGAAGCTACAAACTCGAGCAAAGCAAGGATTCTATGCAAGCAAGCAAGCAAGCTTTTCTCTAACACGGAGTCAGTACTGTGACACAACTTCACTGTCTTCATCCTGTCCAACTCCTCACCTTGGAAAGCCTCCCCTGCACCCCCATTGTTTAAAACAACCACAAAACCCTCTGCACAGCTTTCTTCCCCGAGTCCTCCTGGTGATTCTGCACCTCCTGGGTCTTCTCATTCACTGAACTGAGTGGGTTCCTTCTCAAAACCTGACCTTTAAATACAGACGTTTCTGAAGGACTCTGTCCGGGGCTCCTTCCCTTCCCTCTCCACATCCTCTCCTTGGTGGATTTCATGGGCCGCTTGGCTTTATATGCCGTCCATATGCCCCAGACTCCCTGCTGTAGACTGACTGTGTGCACCCATTCCCCATTCTTATGTTGAACTCTTACCTTCACTGTTTTCCACAATGGCTGAACTAATCTACACTCCCACCAACAGTCTGTAAGCATGCCCTTTTCTCTGCCACCTTGCCAGCATCTATTATTTTTTTACTTTTTAGCAGTAGCTATTCTGACTGGTGTGAGACAGTATCTCATTGTGGTTTTGATTTGCATTTTTCTTAATGATCACTGATACTGAGCTTTTATATATATATATACTTCTTGACCCATCAATCCCATTACTGGGTGTACACCCAGAGGAATATAAATCATTCTATCGTAAAGACACATGCACATGTATGTTCATTGCAGCACTATTCATGGTGGCAAAGACATGGAATCAACCTAAATGCCCATCAACAGTAGACAGGATAAAGAAAACGTGGTACATATATGCCATGGAATACTATGCAGTCATAAAAAGAGACAAAATCATGTCCTTTGCAGGAATATGGATGGAGCTGGAGGCCATTAACCTTAGCAAAGTAACACAGGAACAGAAACCAAATACCACATGTTCTCAATTATAAGTGGGAGCTAAGTGATGAGAACACATGGACACATAGAGGGGGAACAACACACACTGGGGCCTATGGTGGAGGATGGGAGGAGAAAGAAGATCAGGAAAAAATAGATAATGGGTACTAGGCTTAATACTTGGGTGATGAAATAATCTGCACAACAAACTCCTGGGACATGCATTTACCTATATCACAAACTGTACATGTACCCCAAACTTAAAAGTTAATGAAAAAGAGAAAGAAATGTTGCCCTCTAAGGTGATGGTGTTAGGAGGCGCCTTCCAGGACCGTCTACTCTAAGAGGATCTCCTGGGTTATTTGCTGTGTCTGCTTCTGTGGTCTGGCCTTCACAACACTTAGTACAGTTCCTACTTATTTTATTTACTGGCCTATTTCCTGTTTTTTGTTTCTCTCTATGACATAATATGAAATGGCCGGGCCCAGTGGCTCACGCCTGTAATCCCAGCACTTTGGGAGGCCGAGATGCGCAGATTGCCTGAGGTCAGGAGTTCAAGACCAGCCTAGGCAACATGGTGAAACCCCGTCTCTACTAAAATACAAAAAGAAAATCAGCCAGGCGTGGTGGCAGGCGCCTGTAATCCCAGCTATACAGGAGGCTGAGGCATGAGAATTGCTTGAACCCTGGAGGCGGAGGTTGCAGTGAGCCAAGACTATGCCACTGCACTCCAGCCTGGGCAACAAAGTGAAACTCTGTCTCAAAAAAACAAAAAAAAAAAGAAAGAAATACATATTTGGTTTCTGCTCATGTTCTGGGCACACAGGTTCGAATTGAAAAGTGTATTTGTTTGCTAGTGGTGACTGCTACTAGGGGCTCCCGGACAGCCTCAGGTTGGGGGTGGTTGCCGGGGAAATCAACCATGTGATTAGAGGGTTGGAGCTTTCAGGTCCCTCCTCGCCACGTTGAGGAGAAAAGGAGAGGGGCTGAAGGTTGTTGATCACCAATGGCCAGGGATGTAATCAATCATGCCTACATAATGAAGCCTCCATAAAACCCCAAAAAGGACAGGGTTTGGAGAGCTTCCAGGCTGCTGAACACGCAGAAGCGCTGGTGGGGTGGTTCGCCCAGAGAGGACATGGAAACGTCTCACCCCGTACCTTCGTAACTACAGCCTCATCCTCCTGATGCGATTTCACTGTTATGCTTATAGGACTTAACACGTTAATCACAGCCCTTTACTCTCTGTACACACTAATCACCACACAGCAAGGAATATTTACATACCACATCAACAATATTAAATCCTCATTCATGCAAGAAAATACCCCAATACCGATACACCTAACACCCCTTCTCCTATTATCCTTAAACCCCAAAATGATTTTGAGTTTTACATGCTGTTGTTATAGTTTAACCAAAACATTAGATCGTGGATCTAATAACAGAAGTCTACAATTTCTTATCTACCGAGAAAGTATGCAAGAACTGGTAACTCATGCCCCAATATATAACAATATGGCATTCTCAACTTTTAAAGGATTAGAGTTAACCATTGGTCTAAGGAACCAAAAACACTGGTGCAACTCCAAATAAAAGTAACAAGTACATTTTCCTCCCATACTGTAACACCCCTAATATCACTAATTTTACCAACTGCTGCTACCTTAACTGACATCTACTGTAGTGATTTGTACCCCAATTACGTAAAATCATCCATTGCATGCACCTTTGCCATTAGCCTCATCCCAACAACAATATTCATATACACGAGCCAGGAATCTGTCATCTCTTTATAATAAATGGATCATCTAAGTAACGTGGTTTCCTGAGTTCTGTGAGCCGCTGTAGCAAATGATCACACCCAAGCAGGGCATCGTGGGAACCCTGACTTATAGGCCATAGGTCAAAAGTACAGGTCCCAACTGGGGACTTGCAATTGGCATCTGAAATGAGGGCAGACTTGGGCTGAGCTCTGGCCTGGGCCTGTGGGATCTGACTCTAACTCCAGGTAGTGTCAGAACTGAATTTAGGCCAGGCGTGGTAGCTCATGCTTGTAATTCTGGCATTTTGGGAGGCTACCTTAGGCAGGAGGATTGCTTGAGCTCAGGAATTTGAAACCAGCCTGGGCAAGAAGGTAAGACCCCATCTCTATAAACAAAACTAAAAAAATTAGCCGAGTGTGGTAGCACATGCCTATAGTTCCATCTACTTGGGAGGCTGAGGCAGGAGGATCCCTTGAGCCCAGGAGTTTGAGGCTGCAGTGAGCTGTGATCCTGCCACTGCACTCCAGCCTGGGGGACAGAATGAGACTCTGTCTCAAAAAAATAAAAAAATAAGAACTGAATTTAGTTACGGGACACCCAGTTGATGTCTGCTGGAAAATATAGAGTAGAAAAAAAAAACCCCACACATTTGGCGTCAGAAGTGGTCTGTGGTGAGAGTACAGTAGGAGAATAAACAGTTGTACATGTTCCCTTCCTGGAAAAGTTATTTCCCTGCACTGAGGGCCTGCATTAATTAGGATAGGCTGATAGCACTGCGGTACAAACAATACCCAAACTTCATTGATTTCTTATTCACTCTATGTTCATTTTGAGTCAACAGAGAGCTCTCATCATTACAGTCACTCAGGGTCCCAGGTTGTTGGCACATCTACCATCTCAGTGTCTACTTTATGGAAAATCCAGCCTGCCACACTAGACTTGCCAACCAGAGCTTCTACCATGGTGTTTCCATGTGGCTTGGGCTTCCTCACAGCATGGCAGCCTCAAGGTTGTCAAACTTGTTACATAGTGGCTCCAGATTCCAAGTATGAGCGTCCTAGTAAATAAGACGGGGATGCATGGACATTTATGAAGCAACTCAGAAGTCACATAGCATTACTTCCTACCCTGTGGGTGAAGGTAGTCATGAGCCCACCCAGAGCGGGTACATAGACCCCACTTCTCAATGGGAGGAACGTCAAAGTCACATTGTAGCAGAGAATATGGAAAGAAAGATATTGTCATGGTCGTTTTTGTAAAACCGTCTGCCATGACCCCTGTCTCTCCTGGCTCTCTCCCTCAGCTTCGCTGGCCTTTTTTTTTTCTTCACTTCCTTAAATGCCCTAAGTGCTTTCTTACTTCCAGGACTTTGCTCCTGCTGTTCGTTTTGTGTTGTGGTGCTTTTTTTCCAGGAGCACTTCTTCCCAACACCTAAAGCACTCAGCTTCCTCATCCTCCTTCAGTCCTTACACCATCAGAGAAGACTTCCCTGACCGCCATAGTTGGGCCTGTGTCCCCTGATACTATCTTTCTCAGATACTGATTTGTTTCCATTGTAACACTTAGTGTAATTTGTAACTTTTTTTAATTGATTATTTGCTTTTCTGTATTATTTCCAACACGCAGAAAAAAATATATAGGGAATAATATAGTAAACACGACACCCAGATTTATCAAATCTTTACATTTTGCCATATTTATTTCAGAGCATTTTTTTTAAATTAGGCACAAATGTAGGTGAAGGTCCTTGTGCTCTCTTTGAAATACCACCCACGTTCCTCCAACACCGACATTTGGAATTGATCATTCTCATGTCTGTTCTTCCTACATTGCTGCTGAAAGTAAGAAAGGGTGTTGTAACATGTTCCAAACCTGTGTGAGTGGCATTGTTCTGCAAGGAGGTTGTAATGTTCTACCCTTTTATTTTTAGCATTTTGTTAAGTTGTGTGGCTCCGTTCACAGCAGGTGCACCACCATATTCCAATTTAGGAATTCACCCTGTTTTACACATCCATCTCCTCCTAAGCACATTTAGGTTGGTTCTTGGTTTTACTACTGCAAATGAAGCCACACACCCCCACAGCCTTGCACAGTCCCTGGCATGCAGTCAGCACTCAAATAAGATTTGTCACATACATGAATATCGTGATGAACATTCTACTCTGTATCTCTTTGCCCAGATGTGGGGAATTTCTCTAGAAAACATTTCTCAGCACAGAACTGCTGAGGGGTTGAGGATGTGCTTCTCCACCTGCCTAGATATTGTCAAATTACATTCTCAAGTGGAAGTTTCTTTATGTCTTTCTCCCATCAAAATGAAATTTCCAGAATTCAGAAAACTCGTCTTTCTCCCCGCCCCCCGCCATATTTCTGGGTCTCACAGTGTTCTTGATGTGTAGAGTTGCTCAATAAGATTTCTAGTCCTGTGTTGTCCAATACGGTGTCCACCAGCCATATGGAGCTACTAAACCCTTGAAATGGGGCCAGTGCCATATGTTGAAATAATATTTTGCATATATTGGGTTAAACAAAATATATCATTAAAATTATTTTCCCCCTTTTTTACATTTTTAAATATGACTACTAGAAAATTTAACATACGTAGCTTGCATTACATTTCTCTTGGACATCTCTAGAGTATGTATAAATGAATGGATGAGTGTATTATTTTGACTCAACTTTGGGATTAGAATATGTTTTTGAGGTCTTTAACCATGGAAAATTTTGTCTCCCCCGGGGACATTGGGCCATGTCTGGAGAAATTTGTGATTGTCACAGCTGGGAAGAGGAGGGCTGTCAGCATCTAGGGAGTAGAGACCAGAGATGCTGCAGAACATTCTACAATGCACAGAGTGGCCCCCCCCAGCAAAGCGTGATCAGACCCTCCGTGTCCACAGTGCGCAGGCTGAGGCACTCTGGTCTATATCAAGGCTTATATTCTTATTCTTATCCCATTAAATATATCATGATTTTAAATGTTCTTCGAAAACCAAATTTGTTTGTAAAGGAAGACACTTACTTTTGTTTGACAGTAAAATGCTATCCCATCTTTGCCATTAATGTTCTTGTGTAGGCATTGTATATAATTTTTTTCACATTTTCTTAATTCACATCGCAATGGTACTCTACAGACACGTGTGATTTTTTATGTATTTATGTAGACCAGAAGTGGGCTTGTATGTGTTTAATTCTGCTGTGTATTTAGCTCTGAAGCCTTCCTAGTTCTCTAGAAAAGCTGCGTCAACACATACCTGCTGTTAACTCAGGGAAGTGTCTGTATCTTCACCCTTTCAACCACCCTAGATATTTCATCACCAGATTTTTCATCTTTCTGAGTCTTGTGGAAATAGATTTCATCACATTTTGGTTGTTATATCCAACTTTTGTTTCTGTTGTTGTTATTTTGTTGTTTGGTTGGTTGGTTTTTTTTTTGGGTTTTTTTTTTGAGATGGAGTCTCACTCTGTCACCCAGGCTGGAATGCAGTGGCACAATCTCGGCTCACTGCAACCTCTGTCTCCTGGGTTTGAGCGATTCTCCTGCCTCAGTCTCCCGAGTAGCTAGAATTACAGGTGCGCACCACCACTCCCAGCTAATTTTTGTATTTTTAGTAGAGGTGGGGTTTCACCATGTTGGCCAGGCTGGTCTCAAACTCCTGACCTCAGATGATTCACCTACCTTGGCCTCCCAAAGTGCTGGGATTACAGGCATGAGTCACAGCATCTGGCCTATATCTAGCTTTTGGAGCTCAAACATTATGATGCATTTTTTTCAACATTTCTATTTTCTTTTCTTTTAGTTTCTTTTATTTTCGTGTGTGTGGGCGGGGGGGGGGGCTGTGTATATACACACTCTTTGTCTGCATTTCTATTCTGAAGTTCTTTTTATTTTCCTTTATGACCTACTGACACTCTGTGTAGTGCCTGACTTTCTTTGAGTATATATTTTGTATTTTTACTCGGCTGTCCATCAAGTCTTATTCATGATGGGGTTTCCCTGTAACCTAACTTTTTAGTATTTATGGAGATGGATTTATCAGTATTTTCTTTTATATCCACTGGCTTGTTTGTTCATTTTAATGGAAAGTTTCCCACCGTATGATTATAGAAATATCCACCTATATTGTCTTATGGTGAGGTGAGCAAAGAAGTTCTCTACATGCTCTGAATATTCCTTCTGTCCTCAACTCAAATGCATCCTCAGAGTCCTTCAGCAACCAATTTCAGCTGCTAAAAGCAAGATATGGACCAAAACCGAACATGATAGAGGGTTCTACTGGAGCTGATTATTTCTGAGAAAGAGCAAATGATCTCTGAAAACTAGCTGTTAGGATGTTCAGCTTGGTCCAGTTGCCAAACAAAACCCCAGGGCAACTACTCACCACGGAATTTTCCCCCAATTAATAACCTACGAATGCCCGGCTTGAGTCCAAGCTCCATATGCACTGACACCCAACTCAGGAAGGCAACGGTTTTCCCAGAAACAGCACAACATAGCCAGTAGTTGGGAGACAACCATTTCTAAACCATAGAAAAGACTTCATACTAGCTATCTGTTTATAGATTGTGTTCCTGGGTCATGTCCATAACTGGATTTTCTCTGGTGTTCTGGGAGCAAAAATCTTCTGTCTTCTTTTTGAGGTGAGTAGAGTCTTCCAAATGTCCTTCATGGCCCCAGCCCACCGTTTTCTTTATGTAGGAAGGTTTTAGATGTTGGCACATATTGACACCTACTTGCAGACAGGTTTGTTGAATTACATTATATAAACGTTGAAATAATAACTCAAGCAGTGAGTACATTTTCACTCTTACTCCCCTGCACCTAGCTTTATAAATCGCTAAATACATGCATTCAGAGAATCTGTGTGCTTTTCTCAACAGCTATGTTGTGTAATGGTGAACATCATTATGCAAACACAGCTGCAAGGCAAGTTCCCTAGCTCCCAGCCTCAGATCAGACCTTCATTCCCAGGTCCCTTCTACGTGGAAGTTCTGGAGTCCACCTGCTCACAGATGCTCACAAAGCACTGGCGGGACATCTAAAGAGTAATAGGAACCCACACCGATGTTCTAAGCAAGGATGGGACGTGGCCAGATTTTCCTTTGATAAATCTACTCAGACTCACACGAGAAAAATTAACTGAAGACCAGGAATGATGAAGGAGGAGCCCAGTGTAGAAATAGATGGTCGCAGGACACAGGAGAGAGACGATGGAGACAGGGATGAGGTGGGACAGTCAGGGAGAGGGAGAGATGCATCCACGAATAAAGTTTTATTGGAATACAGCCCCATTCACTCATTCTATATTGTATATGGCTGCCTTCACACTACAAGGGCGGCAATGAGTAGCTGAGTCAGGTGCCGTATGGCCCACAAAGACTAAGACATTTACTACGTGCCTCTTTACAGGAAACTTTGTTTACACCCAGCAAAATTGTTCCACATAATGATTCAGAAAAGCCTAATGATTCAGAAACTTTTGTTGACCCAGCTTCGAGGAAAATTCCACAGAGCTCACTTCCTGCATAGCTGGCACTCTCTTGGGTCATCATCACTGGTAGGCTTCTGTGAGAACAGCGGAATTTATCCTAAGGGCAATAGGAATGGCTGAAAGAGTCAGCAGGGGATGGCTTGACTCCTTGACCTGTATGTTCCTTCAAGGAGAAAGAGTAGTTAGAGTTGTTTTTGCAGTAACTTGAACAAGAGATCAGAAGGGCAGGCTGATGAAAAACCGATTTCTAAGGCAGAATGGACAAGTCTTCGAAAATTGATTGGCTACAGGGCTGCGGAGGGAGAATCTAGCACGGGTTTCATGGTTTTGTTTTTGTTTTTTTACAAGACAGAGTCTACGCTCTGTCATCCAGGCTGGAGTGCAGTGGCACAATCTTGGCCCACTGCAACCTCTGCCTCCTGGGTCCAAGTGATTCTCCTGTCTCAGCCGCCTGAGTAGCTGGGATTACAGGCGCACGCCACCACATCTGGCTAATTTTTGTATTTTTAGTAGAGGGGGTTTCACCATGTTGGCCAGGCTGGTCTCGAACTCCTGACCTCAGGCGATCAACCTGCCTCAGGCCTCCCAACGTGCTGGGATTACAGGTGTGAGTCACTGCACCCGGCCAGGTTTCATGTTTTTGCAAAAGCAGATGAGAAACAGCTCTCAGGCATGGATAGTACTCCTATCTCTGGGAAAAGAGACCCTGTGGATGTGGATGGACAAAGATTTTCTAGAAAGAGGATGAGTGAAGGGTGCTGACCTCCAATGGAGGAAAAACACAATTCCAAAAGGAAAGAAAGGCTGACCAGGCCTAAGCAGGGCGTCTCTCCTTTCCTTTCCCCCAGGATTCCTTTAATGGGAAGGGCAGAGTCCCCAGGAAGCAACTCTTGGGGAGGAAGAAGAACGAAGCTCCCAGGCAGCTTTCTAACCACTCACCTGACTCCACCTATCCCTGGGAGGAGTCCCTGTCTCCATCCCCTAAATGGAGAGCAGAAAAACCTACGGCTAGGCTGGGCGCAGTGGCTCACACCCGTAATCCCAGCACTTTGGGAGGCTGAGGTGGGTGGATCACTTGAGGTCAGGAGTTCAAAACCACCCTGGTCAACATGGTGATGCCCCGCCTCTACTAAAAATACACAAAAATAAATGGGGCATGGTGTTGGGTGCCTGTAGTCCCAAGGGAGGCTGAGGCGGGAGAATTGCTTGAACCTGGGAGACGGAGGTTGCAGTGAGCCGAGATCGCACCACTGCACTCCAGGCTGGGTGACAGAGCAAGACTTCATTAAAAAAAAAAAAAAAAAAAAAGGAAGAAAGAAAAAAAAGAAAAGAAATAACAAGTATTGGCAAGGCCATGGAGAAATTGGAACACTTGTGCACTGTTGGTAAGAATGTGAAATGGTACAGCTGTTTCAGAAAACAGTATGGCAGTTACACAAAACAATTAAAAATAAAATGACCATATAATCCAACAATGCCATTGCTGGGTATACACCCAAAAGAATTATAAGCCGAGTTTTGAAGAGATATTTGCACACCTGCATTCATGACAGCAATATTCACAATAGCCAAATGGTAAAGGCAACCCAAGTGTCCATTCATGGATTGATGGGTAAACAGAGATGTGGTATAGCCATACAATAGAATATTATTCAGCCTTCAAAAAGGAAATTCTGACACATGCTACAGTGTGGGTGAATCTTGAGGACATTATGCTATGTGAAACAAATCAGTCACAAAAAGACAAATATTGTACGATTCCACTTACAGGAGGCACCTAGAGTAGTCAAATTCATAAAGACAGAAAGTGGAATGCTGGTTGCCAGGGGACAGGAGGGGGGAAAATGGGGAGTTGTGGTTTAATGGATACAACATTTCAGTTTTGCTAGAAAAGAGTCCTGAAGCTGAATGGTGGTGATGGTCGCACAACACTGTGAATGTCCTCAACACTACTGAGCTATATATTTAAAAGTAATTTTGATGGTAAATTTTAGGTTATGAGTACTTTACCACAATTTTTTTTCTTTTTTTGTTGGAGTCTCGCTCCATCGCCTGGCCAGGCTGGAGTACAGTGGCACGATCTTGGCTCGCTGCTATCTCCACCGCCCAGGTTCAAGCAGTTCTCCTGCCTTGGCCTCCCAAGTAGCTGGGATTACTGGCATTCACCACCACACCCAGCTAATTTTTGTATTTTTGTAGAGACAGGGTTTTGCCATGTTGACCTGGCTGGTCTCGAACTCCTGACCTCACAAGATCCACCTGCCTTGGCCTCCCAAAGTGCTAGGATTGCACGCATGAGCCACCACACCCAGCCCACAATTTTTTTAAAATGTAAAACAACAACAATAACAACTAAAAAAACCTGCATCCATGAGATGAACCTGAAAAGAAAATATCTGTTGCAACACACAAAGCCAGTCAACACTCTTAGATATGGTGGAGGCAGCTTTTTCTCTGCTGAAATTAAGGGAATGAGTGTCCTAGAGAATTCTCAAAGATGTGTCAATGTTTCTAACAGGAGTTGCAGCTTTTTGCCTCAAAGTTAAGGACAGCTGCACCGTCAAACCTTGACCATGAATGTTTAGGGTGGGTTACATTTGCCCAGTATTTGTTTGACTCTGTTGAATAACATCGCAGATAGATGGTTTTCAACAGGCAGAAGAGTTTTTTGTTTGTTTGTTTGTTTTATCTCTTGTAGGTTTTTCCATAATAACAAACCCAAGTAAATCACGACCCAACCAGTGACTGGCAAATTTAGTGCAAACTCTTCAATGCTGGTTCCACATTTGGCACCTGGCTTGGATTGATTTGCCACTGAGTTTTGTAAATATTTCCCTCAGCTTTTAATTCATTCTTTATAAACAATGTTGTTTAAATAAAGGATATTTGTGTTTCTCATTCTGACGTTTTCTTTTCAACGTCCACTTGATGAGTATAATGTCTCCCATGAAATTTTTATTTGTAGAGTAAATATTCCTTTCTGTCTGGTCTAGTGCATTTTTATTTGAATAATGTATCATCTGAGTAAACATAGCCTTCTGTGCTCTCTAAAGCCTTCATCACGTTGGAGGGCCCTTAATATATTTATTCAGTTTAAAACTTGTCTGATGTAAGTAATGTCATTCTGGTTGAAAAGCATTTACAAACAAAACAATGATATGCCAAGCTTTAATGTTTACAAAGATTAGCCTGGATCTCATAATAGATTATTTATTGTCATTGCATATTCAGTGGTTTTTTTTCTGTAAATATTATTGAGATTACACTTTGGAAAAGAAAACATTACTAGTTTTTTGAGTGTTGAATGGAATATTGCCCAACTCAGCAGATCACAATGAAACCTCATGGTTCTTATCAAAATCAACAAATCTGTTGAAATGAATTTAATGCTAATGTCTTTGTATGTGATTTGCTGACCTACAAAATGTGTTTTAGTTGCTTTTATTTATCTTTTCTTTCTGCTTTTAATTTCTTATTTGGAGGAGTCTTGGTTCTTTTTTTAGTTTGTTTGTTTTTTGTTTTTTGAGACAGAGTCTCGCTCTGTCAGCCAGGCTGGAGTGCAGTGGCGTGATCTTGGTTCACCGCAACCTCTGCTTCCCAGGCTCAAGCAATTCTCCTGCCTCGGCCTCCCGAGTAGCTGGGATTACAGGTGTCTGCCACCAAGCCCGGCTAATTTTTGTATTTTTAGTAGAGACGGGGTTTCACCATGTTGGCAGGCTGGTCTTGAACTCCTGACCTCATGATCCGCCCGCCTCGGCCTCCCAAAGTGCTGGGATTACAGGCGTGAGCCACCGCGCCCAGCTGAGTCTTGGTTCTTATAATTAAAAAAAAGTCTTCTGCAACTGTTTTCATTTTCTACATCTTAATTTTTTTGGTGGTCATAATTATTTTTCTTATCATCATGACTTTCTTCCACATCAATTTCGATTATTTTTATATTTTGAAGCACCTACCATTCTTTTTTCAGACTAAAATTTGGCTTCCTAGGATACTTCCTTTTTGGCACATTTGAATTCTGATGTGATTGATATTTTTGAAAAAAAAAAAAAAAAGAAAGAAGAAAAAAGACCCAGAAAACAAAAAATCTGAAATTAGATCATACACAAATGCTTTTTGAAATTGCCATGACATTGTATTTGGTGGTGCTGAAAAATTGTGTGATCAGAGTACTCTTTTGCTATCATGATTGATGAATTGATGGGTTGAATGAATGTGTACAGGAATTTAGTCACTGGAGCATCTGCTTCTTGTTCCACTCTTCAGCATCAGAGGGAAATTCTTATGTGACATTTTGCCTGGAACCCCCAGACTCCCTCAGGACCGGGCACCTTGTGACATCTTCATCAACAGGTGTCCTCACTCTTTGTAGAACTCCACCAAGTTGGTCTCAAGTGAAACAGGGATGCAGCTAAATTCGAGGTTACAGTTTTCCTGGGATGTTATCATCACAAACACCATGCTAGTGAGTTCATTCCTAACAGAGGAGAACTTGCATCTTGACTAAGCATTAGTGATCATCAAATCCTCTGCTTATGATTTTTAAACTTCTGATCTTCAGAATATTTTTCCATGAGCTAGCTCTGGCTTTGTGCATCTCAAACCTTGTTTCTCTCCCATGGCTGTCATACTTCTGGTGCCCTGAGATGCAGAATTTATTTCTACTTGATACACACATTTGGGTATTGATGTAGGGTTAGTACAGCAGGTAGGTTGAGAATTTCTGGAGCCTCCCTCCCTCCCTTTGTTCCGACCTTTCCTTAGTCATATCATCCTAGAAAGATCTTCCCTGGCTTCGTCTAAAACATGGCCTCTCATTTCATTCTCTCCCTGACAACCCTGATGTAGTTTTCATTTCAGGACTCATCACCCCAACATCCTTTCCTGTTTACAGCCCATCTCCCCTGCTAGAACACAAGCTCTGAGAGGTGGAAGGCCTCTATTGTGGGTTTTGGCGAATCCCCAATCTCTAGATGGTGTCTGGCATGTGATAGAGATTCAACAAACACTTCAACAAATAATGAATAAAGTTAAATTTTTCAGAGTGCAATCATGCCTCTCCCTTCCTCTGCCAGGGCGGAGGCTGTGCCTGGTTTGCGCGGCTTCTGCAGCTCCAGCTCCTTGTACTGAGTCTGGAGAATGATGGAGCTCAGTCCATTTTAATCCCATGAACATTAAATGCGTGGATGTGTGGATGCTGGGATGGATGGATGACGCTCCTAGCACGGCAGCTTGCAGGGGATTGGCGATTTCCAGTAAGGTGTGCTAAGACTCGAGGAAGCCCATTTTCTCTTCATTTGCAAGGACCCTGTCTGATAATGCAATTTTTCACACATCAATGCTGTGCATGAGGTGTTGATGGGGTGGCTGTCTGCTGGTTCCTTCCCCCAGCCCATCCCATCCTCCAAACAGACTATTTTGTTGTTAGCTGCTCTGCTCTGTTCATCCCTCAAGAGCTCTCACCCTCTGCCATTGCAGGGGCTGTCTCCATGGAAACTGTAGCCAGCGTTTCCATGGAGAAAGAGCCCGCAGAGTCTGGAATTTTCCAGGCTCTAAAGGTGACTGCAAAAACATCTCAGCACATCTCCAGAACTGGGCTGCCCAACATGGCGGCCACTGGCCACAGGTGGCGACTGACCACTTGAAATGTGGCCGGTCCCCGAAGAGACATGCTGTCGTGGCAAAGCACACAGTGGATTTTGAGGACTTGGTACAAAAAAATTTTTTTTAATTGAAATATCGCTAATAATTTTTGTATTGATTAGTTTTACCTATCTTTTTTTTTTTTAAACAGCCGTTGCTAGAAAACTTAGATTTACATACATGGTTCACATTTGTGGCTGAAATTTTATTTCTGTTGGGTGGCATTCTTCTAGAGTATGAGTAACTGAATACATGAATGAATGATTGATTTTTGGTCAAACTGGGATTATTATCCATAAACCGTCACTTTCCTGCTTTTCTTCTTAGATGATTTGTTTTTTAAATAGTTCATTAAGTATCTTGGTTGAAAGATTTTTTTTTTTTTGAGACGGAGTCTCACTCTGTCACCCAGGCTGGAGTGCAGTGGCGTGATCTCGGCTCACGGAAACCTCCACTTCCCAGGTTCAAGCGATTTTTTTGCATCAGCCTCCGAGTAGCTGGGATTGCAGGCATGTGCCACCACGCCCGGTTAATTTTTGTATTTTCAGGAGAGATGGGGTTTCACCATTTTGGCCAGGCTGGTCTTGAACTCCTGACCTCGTGTGATCCACTGGCCTCCTAAGGTGCTGGGGTTACAGGCGTGAGCCACACGCCCAGCTGAAAGGTTTATAGATATAATTTTTAGTATTGAATTAGGCTAGGAGTTAATTACAATTCTTTGAACAGCCATTGAAACACCACTAATTTTTTTTTAAGGAACCATCTCCTCCTGAGTGTAAGACACTGCATCCTACTGCAGATGACGTCTTGTACGTAGATTCTACCCATCAGCTTCCAACATCTTGCTGTCCTTCACAATGTTGTCATGGCTCCCATGTAGATAGGCAAACCTTCCTGATTTTCATGCTGACCAGATGCCCAGAAACAGGATCGCGGAGGCAAAGGGTGTGTCTCCACACTCGGTGCTTTGATACCAATGACTCAAATACTTACCAGAAAGACTGTGCCTACCTACTTTCCCACTGGCTTCATCTGAAGGGGTCTGTCTTTATCACAGCGATGATTTTTTATTTTAGTTTTGACTTCCAGATTTTAAAAACATTATGGTGACATACACATAACACAATATTTACCACCTTAGCTACTTAAAAGTGTGCAGTTCAGTGGCCTCGAGCACATTGACATTGTTGTGCAATGGTGGTGTTATCACCGCCACCCATCTCCAGAACTCTTGCAAAACGGACAGAAAGACAAACATGGCATGTTCTCACTTATTTGTGGGATCTAACAGTTGAACTCAAGGATGTAGAGAGTAGAAGGTTGGTTACCAAAAGGCTGGGAAGAGTAGTAGGAGCTGGTGGGGAGGTGGAATGGTTAATGAGCACACACATAAGAAATGTTAGCAAGAATAAGACTTACTAAGACCTATTAGATAACACAACAGGGTGACTATAGTCAATAGTAACTTAATTGTACATTTTAAAATAAAGACTGTAATTGGATTATTTGTAACTCAAAGGATAAATGCTTTAGGGGATGGATAAAAAAAACCTTGCAAAACTGAAACTGTGTACCCATTAAACAACAACTCCCCATTTTCCCCACTCCAGCCCCTGGCAACCAACACTCTACTTTTTGACTCTATGAATTTGACTACTTTTGGTAGTGGAATCATATAGTATTTCCTTTTGTGTCTGGCTTATTTCACTTAGAATAATGTCCTCAGGGTTCATCTATGTTGTAGCCTGTGTCAGAATTTCCTTTCTTTTATTCATTTATTCATTTTTTTGAGACAGGGTCTCACTCCGTCACCCAGTCTGAAGTGTGCAGTGGCGTGAGCACAGCTCACTGCAGCCTCAACCTCCTGGGCTCAAGCCATCCTCCTACCTCAGCCTCTTGAGTAGCTGGGACTACAGGCATGCACTACCATGCCTGGCTAAATGTTGTATTGTTTTTTTTGTTTTTTTTTTGAGATGGAGTCTTGCTCTGTCACCCAGACTGGAGTGCAGTGGCACAATCTGGGCTCACTGCAAGCTCTGCCTCCTGGGTTCACGCCATTCTCCTGCCTCAGCCTCCCCAGCAGCTGGGACTACAGGCGCCTGCCACCACGCCCGGCTAATTTTTTTGTGTTTTTAGTAAAGACGGGATTTCACTGTGTTAGCCAGGATGGTCTCGATCTCCCGACCTCATGATCTGCTCGCCTTGGCCTCCCAAAGTGCCGGGATTACAGGCATGAGCCACTGCGCCCGGCAAATGTTGTATTTTTTATAGCGACTGCGTTTCACGGTGTTGCCAGGCTAGAATTTCTTTTCTTTTTAAGACTGGATAATATTGCATTCATGGAGAGACCACATTTTACTCATCCACCCATCCATCACTGGACACTGGGTTTCCCACCACCTTTGGGCTATGGTGAATATTGACTTCCAATTTTGCTTTATCAGAAGATTGGAGCATCTTTTCATGTTTCTTGAAAGTTTTTGCTGGGTGTGGTGGTTCATGCCTATAATCCCAGCACTTTGGGAGGCTGAGGCAGGTGGATCACTTGAGGTCAGGAGTTCAAGACCAGCCTGGCCAACACGGTGAAACCCCGTCTCTACTAAATATACAACAACCAGCCAGGCATGGTGGTGCATGCCTGTAATCCCAGCTACTCAGGAGGCTAAGGCAGGAGAATTGCTTGAACCTGGGAGGCAGAGGTTGCAGTGAGCCAAGATCATGCCTCTGCACTCCAGCCTGGGCGACAGAGGGAGACTCGAAAACAAAAAAACAAAACAAACAGTTTTGCTTTTTCTCTTTCATGAACTCTCTTTTCAGATCCCTTTCTGGCTTTTCCAATGTGATGTTCAGTTTTACCATCTTGACCTGTTAGCACAATTGCTTGACCCGAGCAATTCCTTTGACTTTACACCGCAATGATTTCACCTGGTAGATTGTTAAACCACATTTGTGACAGGAGTCTTCATGTTCCCACATTTTTAGTGTTTGGATGGTCAGATTGAACGCCCTTTTATTTTGTGACTGTTGATGTTTGGATTGTTTTGAATGAGTCATTTCCCATCACATGATTATAAACATATCCTCCCAAATCCTATTTTACTGAATATGATTTCTTCAGAAAAGAACCCTCTTCCTGCTGTGCACACCATGCCCATCCCTGCACCCAGAAACTCCAGTCCTCATGAAGGCCTCCAGATCCCATTGCTGCAGGAGGGATTGGCACCAGATCTGAATTGCACCTAGGGGTCCCTCGGGAGAACATGTCTAATTGGAAACGTGTGGTTCTTGGAAAGGAGCCGAATGGATATTGCCTCCTGGCCTGGTCATCAGATTATATTTTAGTTCAAAGACTCACCGTGGTTGATATTAGCTCAGTGCTCGGCTGGAAACCAAACCCTACGTACATCTCCTCTCTAGCAGGGAGCGGTTGGATTTCTTGGAAACAACTTAATATTGGCCTCTGTGCTGAAGACATGCGTTTCCGAACCCTGAAAATATCAAATACCAGGCATCTCCTTTCCAGACGACATCCTTCCCTCACCTTCGTTAGCTTTTCTCCTAGTTTTCCGGGGTGGAACCTCGGCCTCGTCCCTCTTTGATGGACTGGGTGCCTGTGTTGAGTCCTGGCCCAAAGCTGGTGTTTTTGTGTGCACGCTGCAGATTTTTAAACAGAATAGCCATCTGATTCTGGATATGCTTGGCTAACCCAAATTACACAATGGGTTGAAATCATGGATAGGTCAATGAGAATTTCAGGGTTTTTTTGTGTGTGTATACACGTTCCCACACTCACACTTTCGCACACACACATACATGTATTACCAAATATTCGAGGAAACTGTTTTCATTTTCCTAAAGGCATTATTTGAGTCAAAGCATTGTGTAAATGAATCTTACAGGCAGCCTCTCCCCAATCTGAATGCATCTCACCCCCAGCCCCTCCTGCCTTTGTAGAAATTCTGCACAGCAAACTGCTTGCGAATCATGATGGGGAAGGAAGTTTTACTTACAGAGCAAAGGGAATCCACGGAAGTGATTTAAGCACGGGAGAGATGCAGTCACACTTTCCTTTGAGGCCTGTTAATCTCTAGGGGAGGAAATAATTTGTATTTATGTACATATATGTATATGTGTATACATACATGCACACACAACCAATAATTATTGGTCAAAGAGAAAGAACACTTCTAGGGTTCTGGACCTCAAAGATCCAAATGTCTCCCCATAGTCTAACAGCTCCGTGAAAAACATGGCTTAGAGCTTGCTGCGTGTCCAGGCTTTTTTTTTCCATGCTTATCTCCACATAAAGTTTTACATAAAATTGGGATACCTTATCTGCAGTTTTCCATCTTCCTTTTTATTTAATGCATGAACATTTCAACATCAGGAAGTGTACTTTAAAATATGGCTTTATTTTGAAGGAGAAAAAGAGCTTGCCTATTTGTCTCTTTTTCCCCCGCTTTTATATTTTATGTTATTTTTATTAGAGATGGGGGTCTTGCTATATTGACCAGGCTGGTCTTGAACTCCTGGCCTCAAGCGATCCTCCCATCTCAGCCTCCCAAAATGTTGGGATTACAGGCATGAGCCACTGCACCCAGTCTTTATTTTGTTTTATTTTATTTTATTGTGGTAAGAACATTTAGCATGAGATCCACCCTCTTAACAAATTTCCAAGTGTACAATACAGTACTGTTTTGTTTTTGAGATGAGGTCTTACTCTGTTGCCCAGGCTAGAGTGCAGTGGCATGAACATAGCTCACTGCAGCCTCAAGCAATCCTCCCACCTCAGCCTCTCTAGTCGTCTAGTAGCTGGGACTACAGGCACACACTATAGGCACATGCCAACATGCCCAGCTAACTGTTAAAATCATTTTTTAGAGATGGGTTTTGCCTTGTTGCCGAGGCTGGGACAATACAGTACTGCTGACTCCAGGTACAATGTAGAACAGCAGGCCTCACAAGTTTATTCATTGCGCTTGACTGAAATGGACTCTGTTTATGATTAGGAAAATGCCACCTGCTCACTGGATTCACCATTCTTGGTGAAGACGGTTTATAGACTTGACTGCAAATGTGCGTATTTCGTAAACAAGACTGCCCAAGTCTCAGTGATAGACATTCTTTGTACATTTGAGCGAGTTTCCATTGAGGATAAATTCCTGGTTATAGAATTAAAAAGTGGGGCAAAGAAATGAAATCAGACACAAATTGACCGATTGCTCACCACCTATAAGGAGGTAGGGGCTGGGATCAACTTGTGTTTTTAAAGGAGGGTCATGGCTGCTTATTGGAGAAGGACCTTGAGGGCTAAGCATGGAAGCCTGGAGACCAGGGTGGGAATGGTCCAGATGGTGGTAGCTTAGACTAGGGCAGTGGCCAAGGGTGCAAAATGACCGGTGGGACAGGACAAAGCCTTAAATGGGAACAGACCCAGGGATAGTGGGGAGAGATCCTACTTCTTGAATCCCTTAGAGGGTTCCAGGGAACCAGGTCCAGATGTCAGCCAGCATCCTTCCCGCCAGGGTATCCCTGATGCATGAGCTAAACAGAGTCCAAATATATCCAGTTAAGTAAGGAAGAGATCAGCCATGGTGGCTCACACTTGTAATTCTAAAACTGTGGGAGGTCGAGGCAGGAGGATTGTTTGAAGCCAGGAGTTCGAGACCGGCCTGGGCCACATAACAAGACCCTGTCTCTACAAAAAAATAAAAATATATAAAAACTAGCCAAGGGTGGTGGGGCAGGCCTAGAGTCCCAGCTACTCAGGAGGCTGAGGTTAGAGGATCACTTGAGTCCGGGAGTTTGAAGCTGCAGTAGGCTATGATGGCACCACTGCACTCCAGCCAGGACAACAGAGTGAAACTCTGTCTCTTAAAAAAAAAAAAAAAAAAAAAGGCGTGGTGGCTCACACCTGTAATCCTAGCACCTTGGGAGGCCGAGGCGGGTGGGTCACCTGAGGTCAGGAGTTTGAGACCAGCCTGGCCAACATGGTGAAACCCCTATCTCTACTAAAAATACAAAAATTATCCAGGCATGGTGTCGGGCGCCTGTAATCCCAGCTACTCGGGAGACTGAGGCAGGAGAATAGCTTGAACCCAGGAGGCGGAGGTTGCAGTGAGCCGAGATCGTGCCATTGCACTACAGCCTGGGTGACTCAACGAGACCCTGTCTCAAAAAAAAAAAAAAAAAAAAAAAGAGAAAAAGCAGATACGTGCGGATTCAAAAACCATCCCAGCACAGAGCAGCTGCATCATATATGTCTTTTTGTACAAATGGATAAGGATACCTCACTCCCCGCCATAATTCTATCAGTAATAGATTGTTTTCGGAGGACAGACAATGTCATCTGGGAAAAACCGCTCCTTTAGTTCTTCTTATGATTTCAATTCTGTTAGTGGCTCTCAAGAGAAATAACTAAGAACGGTGAACAAGAAAGGAAAGAGGATTCTTTCAGCTGGTTGTAAGGGCACTGGGGAGATTGAGCCGCGTGATCACGTAGATGGTGACTGGGCGTGGGGCTGCACCGACCGTGCCCAGCCTCCCCTTTAGACATTTATTCTCCATGCAGTAACTTCTATTCTTTCATTTGCAGTAATGTAGCAATCACTGTGTGAATACATCCTCGTCTTAGTCTGTTCGGGCTGCTATAGCAAAAATACTATCGATTGGGTGGATTAGAAACAACAGATTTTTATTTCTGACAGTTCTGGAGGGAAAATCCAAGGTGCAGCAGATTTAGTGCCTAGGGAAGGGCCACTTCCTGCTGTCTTCTTGAGGGAGCCCTCTGGGGTCTTGTTAAAAATTAATTAATCAATTAGTTTTTAAATTGACAAGTAAAATCGTGTATGTTTATGGTGACGACATGATGTTTTGAAATATGTATACATTGTGGAATGGTTATGTTGATCTAATCGATATATGCCTTTCTACCTCCCCCCTTTTTTTTATGGTGAGAACACTAAAAGTCTACTGTTTTAGCAATTTTTACATTGTCATGAACTATAGTCACCACATTGTACAATAGACCTTGTGAGCTCTAGGGCCTCTTGTCTAGGACAATAATCCCATGATGAGCCTCTACCCTCATCATCTAATCCACTCCCAAAGGTCCCACCTCCTAATACTATCTCACTGGGAGTTAGGATTTAACATCAATTGTGGGGGGAGGTGGGGACGCAAACATTCAATCTACAGCAATTATCCTTCATTTGCTCCGTCTCCTCTTGAGGGGCATTCTGGCTGCTCCCCACCCTGATTTTTTATTTTGGGGATCAGAGTCACTCTGAATGTCTCAGACAGTGCCTCACACATCGCCTCACACATCACTCTCACCTTATCAATATTTACTGATTGGTTGAAGGTTGCAGTGGACAACCTTGTGTATGTTCCCTTGCCCACATGATGGAGAATTTCTTCAGGTGATGTAGATAGGGGTGGAGCCATGGAGAAAGCACAGTTTTTTTTTTTTTGTTTGTTTGTTTTTTTGAGACGGAGTCTCTCTCTGTCACCCAGGCTGGAGTGCAGTGGCTCAATCTCAGCTCACTGCAACCTCCGCCTACCAGGTTCAAGCAATTCTGCTGCCTCAGCCTCCCAAGTAGCTGAGATTACAGGCACGCGCCACCATGCCTAGCTAATTTTTTGTATTTTTAGTAGAGATGGGTTTCACCATGTTGGCCAGGCTGCTCTCGAACTCTTGACCTCAAGTGATCTACTGGCCTCGGCCTCCCAAAGTGCAGGGATTATAGGCATGAGCCAGCATATTTGTTTGCAAATAGTGCAGAATGTCTTTCTAAAGAGGCATTTTCCTTGTTTTCTCTTGGCAGCTCTGTAAGCAAGGACCTGCTTTACTTTTGCTCTCTGCCATCTCCCCAGCACCTCACACCAAGTCTGGTGCATACAAAGTCCTCTATTTGTCTGTCTCAAATATACATGAGTGAATGAATGAATTATTTTATGCTCCAAATTGGCATTGAAGTGGATAGATATATATCTAGCCTGTCTTTCTCATAGCATATGTTACCATGACATCAAATATTCCTCCAGAAATACTTGTTTTGGGAAGAATTTGGTTTGTGCATCAAGACTGCAGGATAAAAGGATACTCATTGTATACACTTGTTGCCAACTTCTTGCTAATGTAGACAAAGGTGTGCTAACTCCTCTGTACCTTCCTGAATGTTTGTGAATGTCTGCAGACAGCAGATTCCCAGAAGTAGACTGGCTAAGTCAAAGCACACATACTTTTTAAATTTTGGCACCTCTCCCCAAAATTTGGTCACTAGCATTTGAGAATGTCCATTTTCCTACAACCTTCCTTACTCTAATATTATTCTTGTTTTCGATACAAATAGAAGTCATTTCGACAAAACAAGTCATTTTGTCGAAATGACTTCTATTTACTTTGAGTGTCTGTTTTGGTATTAGAAGTAGGGTAGACTCACGCCTATAATCTCAGCACTTTGGGAGGCCAAGGCAGGCAGATCACTTGAGCCCAGCAGTTTGAGATTAGCCTGGGCAACATGGTGAAGTCCCGTCTCTATAAAAATATGTTCTTTTTTTTTTTTGTATTTTACCGGGGCGTGGTGGTGCATGCCTGTAGTCCCTGCTCCTTGGGAGGCTGAGGTGGGAGAATTGCTAGACCACAGGAGGTCAAGGCTGCAGTGGGCTGTGATCATGCCACTGCACACTCCAGCCTGGGCGACAGAGCAAGACTCAGTCTAAAAAAAAAAAAAAAAAAAAGTAGTAGTAGGGTGGACTGTCTCTTTTATGTTTATTGCACCTAAACATACTCTCTGGTAAATATTCTACTCATAGTCTTTGCCCGTGTTTCTATCTTGGTGTTCAACTTTTCCTGAGTTTATATTACATTTATTTATGTATATAATTTCTATGTATCTCATATGTTTATGTTAGTGATACAAAGTTCTGGATCATCACCTCTATTTTTACATATTTGACCTGGGCTTGCCATTTAAGTCTTGTTTGTGGTGGACGTTTTCCTTACACACAACACACACATTTTCAATTTTTGTGAAGTATAGATTTATTATTTTATATTCGTTAACTTTTGTGTCATATTTAGTACATCTTTCTTCATCCCATAGCTTCAAAAATATTCTCTTCGGTTTTCTTGCCATGACTGCAGAATGGAGGCCACGAGCCCACTTCCTTGCCCCAAGCCCTGTTCCCTACTCACACGGCGCGAGCGCTGCCCCCCCTACTCAGACGGCGCGAGCGCTGCCCCCCCTACTCAGACGGCGCGAGCGCTGCCCCCCTACTCAGATGGCACTCTAGAACTGGAATGTCCCACAGAGCAGCCGCAAACCACAGATGGCTGTTAAGCACTTAATATGTGGCTGCTGTGAATTGAGCCTTGCCACACGATGAGTTTCAAAGACTTAGTATTAAAAAAGAATGTAAAAAATATTATTACAATTTTTATATTGATTACATGTTGAAATGATAACGTTTTTGAAACATGGGGTCAAACAAAATATATCATTAAAATGAATCCCATCTATTTCTTTTAAAAGCTGATAGAAAATAAAAATAGTAAATAATAACAATGACTTACAAAAATAGAAATATCTGCCCAGGCGCTGTGGCTCATGCCTGTAATCCCAGCACTTTGGGAGGCCAAGATGGGTGGATCCTGAGTTCAGGAGATCAGGATCATCCTGGCCAACATGGTACAACCCCATCTCTACTAAAAATACAAAAATTAGCCGGTGTGGCAGCGCACGCTTGTAATCCCAGCTACTCGGGAGGCTGAGGCAGGAGAATCGCTTGAACCCAGGAGGCAGAGGTTGCAGTGAGTCAAGATCACGCAACTGCACTCCAGCCTAGGTGACAGAGCGAGACTCCGTCTCAAAATAAATAAATAAAAAAAATAAAAAATATATAATATATGTATTTTATATATATTATGTATATAATAGAACACTTAAAATGATAAAAATGGCTCATATTATAATCTATCAGACTCAGGTCCTGCAAGAAGACCTTGGTTACTGCAGGAAGAATTTGGGCTCAAATAAATAGAAGTTCAGATGGTAGAAATCTTTCTAACTGGAGACTCTTGGTCTTTGAGAAGTAGTTTGAATGTCAACATCTCACCCAGTTGCCAGATAAAACCTCGGTTCAACAACCCACCATGGAATTTTTCCCTGATTAATGAGCTAAATTCTGTACTGGAATCCAAGCAATATATATGTTGCCATCCAACTCAGGAAGAGACTGGCTTTCTCGGAAAGAGCACAACCCACCCAGTGTTCTGGAGACCTCTATTTCCAAACCATAAAAATATTAAATACTAGCCATCTGTTTTGCAGATCGCGTCCCTGATTTCCATCATTCATCAGTTTCTTTTTTCCTCCCTCTCGTTTCCTGGGGTGAACATCCTGCCCCCTCATTTTCTGGGTTCCCCTCATGAGGATCTGTTAAGGGACCTGGCATGAAGCTGCTGGTTGTATGTGATGCATAATGCCAGCCTACTTCCACTGAACAAAATTCTGTTATACATTCAGAGCAAAACTAAACAAATGAGAATTCACTAAAATTTAATAACAGCTTTGTTGAGATAGTCACATACTATACAATTCATCGTTTAAAGTACTTATAAGTCAATGGTTTTTAGTATACTCATAGAGTTGTGAAATCATCAGCACAATCAATTTTAGAACATTTAGAATTTTAGAACATTTAGATCATCCCCTACCAAAAAATCCCATGCCCCTTAGTCGTAACTCAGCATTTCCTCCCAGTGTTCCCCAGCCCCAGGCAGCACATGAATCTACTTCATGTATCTGTAGATTTTTGCATTTTGAATCATATGATATATGACTTTTGGGTAAGATTTTTTCACTTAGCTTAATGTTTTTGAGCTCATCTGTGCTGTAACATGTATCAGTACTTAATTCTTGTTTATGGCAGAATAATATTTCATTGTATGGGTGTGCCACATTTTACATATGTATTCATAAGTTGATAGACCTTTGGGCTGTTTTCACTTTTGGCTATTATGACTAATGCTGCTATGAACATTTGTATAGAAGTTTTTGTTTGTGTAGATGTATGTTTCCATTTCTTTGGGGTATATATCTAAGAGCAGGATTACTGTGTCTCAGGGTAATGCTATATTTAACCTTCTGAGGAACTGCTTTCCAAAACAGCTGCACCAGTTTACATCCCCACCAGCATTTATGAGGATTTCAATTTCTCTGTCCTCACCAACACTTGTTATAGTCTGTGGTTTTTGACTATAGCCATCATAATGGGTGTAAAGTGACATCTCACTGTGGTTTTGACTCACATTTCCTTGGTGCCTAATGATAGTGAGTATCTTTTCATGTGCTTCTTGGGTATTTGTGTATCTCATTTGCCATAATATCCACTGAGAACCTTTGCTGCTTGGTCACGCTACACCCAACCATTTTCGAAACATCTGGGCTATCCATGATAGTTTGGATACTGAGTTTATGTGGGTACAGTGGAATCAGAAAAAAGAAAAGTTACCAGAGAATTTAGTTGGTAACGACAAATCCTTTGGAGAGAACCTTGACAGGACTTGCTAATGGACAACGTTTGCTGTACCTGATCAGGTCAACTTTGAAGTTAACAGAGGCTGAAGTGCCGGAATCAATCCATTCCAGAATGATTTCTAATTAAGGGTGCAATATAAGATCACTCTGGCTACAGGGAAGGAGGCAGAAGAAGGGAAAGGGAAAGACAGGGAGATGCCAGGAGACCTAGCTGGCCACTCACTAAATCTAGATAGAATTAGTTAATTCTTCCAATATGCTTTTATTAATTTATTTATAAATGAGATACACAGAAAAATGTTAGGTGCAAAATAAAACACGGAAAATTTTTCAGAGGATAAGATTTAAAAAAGTGAAAATGGAAGCTCCAATAATTTATTTGCACACATGACCCGTTCTGAGACCTCAAAGGGGTCGCAGCATGCGATGAAGTTGGGCCAGGGTAACGACAGAAGATGGGAAGGTTGGGGAGTTACGTGGGGTGAGTGGAATGGCTGAAGGTAGACTCTGGAGAAGGATTTGATTTGATGTGCTGATGGACTTGGTTTCTCATTGTTGGAAACGATGTGAGACCAATTGATGGCTGTAGTTGAGAAGGAAATGATTTGGAATGCTCAGGAGGGAGGTCTGGGCTGTTGGTGGAGGGGGACAAAATCATAGAGAAGTGAGTTCGTGAGTGTGGCCAGGGGACTGGAGGAGATGTCAGTGGGGATTAAAAAAAAAAGCCAAGAGCTAACACGGAGTCCCGAAAGCTCAACCTGGAGACCTGGATGTGACAGGAGAGCCCCCAGGCCTGGGTCTGCAGCTTTCTCAGAGCCTGAGATCTACCCAGCACCCTTTCAGCAATACTTCTTGTAGATGCCAGCCACCGCTAGTTTCTCTTGATGCAACTAAGAATTCCAATGCAAACAAAATGCAGCGGCTCACACGCCCTGCTGTGCTCCCCTCTCTGAGGACCTCATCCAAGAACATATTTTAAGATATACAGGACCCATTATCTAAGCACGGATGGAGAAAACTGCAGGCTTGAGCCCCTCCCCCTTGCTGCCTCAGGAGCACTGATTTTCTGTGAAGGACAGATGCAGCCTCCAGCTGTTGCCATGGAAACCAGGGCTGCAGAGAGTGAAGTTTTCCAGGCTCTGGAGTCCGTTGTGTGTGGGTGGATGCAAGATCCCAGCCTGGCATACAGCAGGCAACTAATAAATGTCTGTAGAAGGACTGAATGTTTGTCTCCTCGACTCCCACCACACCTCGGCATTCTGTGCTAGAACAATCATCTTCTTGTGGGCCTGAAATCTGTGAGGTTGAAATTTTGTAAAAACTCCCTGGATTTATTGAGTTATAATTTACATATAATATGATTTACCTATTTTAAATATACAGTTTGATGCATTTTAGTGGTTGTATACACTCATGAAACCACCACCACAATCAATAAGCAGAGCATTTAATTAGTCTAAAAAGTTTCTTGGCCCGGCAAGGTGGCTCACACCTGTAATCCCAATGCTTTGGGAGTCTGAGGTGGGAGGATTGTTTGAGGCTAGGAGTTCAAGACCAGCCTTGGCAACAAAGCAAGAACCTGTCTTTACAAAAAAAAAAAAAAAAAAAAATCAGCTGGATGGGGTGACACCTGCCTGTAATCTCAGCCACTTGGGAGGCTGAGATGGAAGGATCACTTGAGCCTAGGAGGCCAAGGCTTCAGTGAGCTATGATCATGCCACTGCACTCCAGCCTAGGCTACAGAGTGAGAACCTGTCTCGAAAAAAAAGTATGTATATATATATATATATATATATATATATATATATATATATATATATATATATATATATATATATATATATATATATATAAATTTAAAAAAAAGTTTTTTATTAGTCTGTTCTCACATTGCTGAGACTGGGTAATTTATAAAGAAAAGAGGTTTAATTGACTCACGGTTCCGCTGGCTGTACAGGGAGCCTGGCTAGGGAGACCCCAGGAAACTTACAATCACGGCAGAAGGTAAAGGGGACCAGGCATGTCTTACGTGGCGGGGGCAGGAGGAAGAGATGGGGGGATGTGCTACACACTTTTAAACAACCAGATCTCGTGAGAACTCACTCACTGTTATGAGAACAGCAAGGGGCACATTCCACCCCCATGATCCAATCACCTCCCACCAGGCCCCGCCTCCAACACTGAGAATTACAATTTGACATGAGATGTAGGGAGCGGAGTGGATACAGACCCACACCATAGCAGACTTTTCTGTGCTAATTTGCCTTGGATCCCTTCCCTCCCTCCAACCCACTACCACACCACCCCGATCTACTTCCAGTCTCTACTGTTTTGTGACTTTCTAGAATTTTATGTAAATAGAATTATGCAATCTTTTGTTCAACTTTTTTCTCCTAATGTTTTGAGATACTCCATGTTGTTACATGTATTAAGATTTTACTGATTAATATTAATTATTAAATAATTATATTTTATTCCTTTTTACTGCTCAGTGATATTCCATAATATGGATATATCAGTTTATTTATTTTCCTGTTGGTGGCTATTTAAACTGTTTCCAATTTGAGGGTCAGGGGGTGCAGTTACAGAATTATACAGCTATCAACATTCCTTTCTAGCAACATTTTAAGATTTGTCCCAGGTATTTGCAAACCTAAAGTGTTGTGCTTTTCTCACAAAAACAATAGACATCGGTGTGGATATGGTGAAAAGGGATCACTATACACTGCTGATGAGCATGTCAATTAGTACAGCCTCTGTGGAAAACACTATGGAGGTTTGTCAACTAACTAAAAGCAGATCTACCATTCCTTCCAGCAAGCCCACGACGGGGTATGTACCTGAAGGTGTCTTTCATATAAAAGAGACACCTGCATTCATATGTTTATTACAGCATAATTCACAATTGCAGAGATATGACATCAGTCTAAGTGCCCATCTACAGATGAGTGGATAAAGAAAGTGTTGTACATATACAGCATGGAATACTACTCAGCCATTGAAAAAGAATGAAATCGTGTCCTTTGCAGCAATTTGGATGGAACTGAAGGCCCTTACTCTTTTTCTTTTTTCTTTTTTTTTTTCTGAGACGGGGTCTCGCTCTGTCACCCAGGCTGGAGTGCAGTGGTGCGATCTCCGCTCACTGCAACCTCCGCCTCCTGGGTTCAAGTGATTCTCTTGCCTTAGCCTCCTGAGTAGCTGGGACTACAGTCGTGCACCACCATGCCTGGCTAATTTTTTGTAATTTTAGTATAGATAGGGTTTCTCCATGTTGTCCAGGCTGGTCTCAAACTCTTGACCTCATGTGATCCGCTCGCCTTGGCCTCCCAGTGTGCTGGGATTACAGGCGTGAGCCCACCGCTAAAGGCCCTTATTCTAAGGGAAGTAACTCAGCAATAGAAAACCAAATACCGCATGTTCTCACTTATAAGTGAGAGCTAAGCTATGGGTACACAGAGGCAGACAGAGTGGTATAATGGACAGTGGAGACTCGGAAAGGGGACAGGAAGGGAGAAAGGGAGGGATAAAAAAACTACATATTGGGTACAATGTACATGACTTGGGTGATGGGTGCACTAAAAGCCCGGACAACACCACTATCCAATTCATCCACGTCATCAAAAATCACTGGTATTCATAGAGCTACTCAAATAAAAAGATTTAAAAAACAAAACATAGACTGGCACACACACAAAATAATGTCTTGTACTTTTTGTTTCATTCTTGCCAATTGGATAGAAGGAAAATAAATGGTCTCCCTGTTGACATGGCTGCCCAATTTTTGGATTACAAATGAGATGAACAATCCTTCATCGTTCTTTGAAGTGACTTTCTCTCTCTCTCTCTCTCTCTCGTGTTTTTTGTTTGTTTGTTTTTGTTTGTTTTTTTTGAAGTCTTGCTCTGTTGCCAGGCTGGAGTGCAGTGGTGTGATCTCAGCTCACTGCAACCTCCACCTCCCGGGTTCAAGCAATTCTCCTGCCTCAGCCTCCCGAGTAGCTGGGACTACAGGTGCACACCACCACACCCGGCTAATTTTTGTATTTTTAGTAGAGATGGGGTTTCACCGTGTTAGCTGGGATGGTCTCAATCTCTTGACCTCATGATCTGCCCACCTCAGCCTCCCAAAGTGTTGGGATTATAGGCATGAGCCACCACACCTGGCCTCTTTGAGTTATTTTTAAATGTACAAATAAATTATTATTGACTATAGTCACCCAATTTTGCTATCAAATACTAGGTCTTATTCACCCTTTCTAACTATTTTTCTGCACCCATTTACAACCCCACTTGCCCCCCAACCCCCAACCCATACTGCCTTGTGCTGAAGAAGAAGATGAGACCATTGGCCCCTCCCTGGCCCAAACACCATTCCCCCATTCCCCCCACATTGAAGCGCCCAGACCTACAAGGAGGCTTTCAGCTCCCGGTCCTGCATGAGGAATTTGGACCAAATCCAAATAGAAAATGGGGTCAGAAGGGAATGACATTTCTAACTGAATAGCCACGGTCCCTGAGAAGAAGCAGTTACAACGTCAGCTGCCAGATAAGACGTCGGGTCAAGGACCCACCGTGGAACGTCCCCTTGGTTCCTAAGCCAAATGCCCAGCTGGAATCCCAGCAATACACATGTTGCCTTCAGCAAGGGAATGATTTTCTCATAAACAGCACAGCCTGGCCAAGGTTCTGGAGACCTCTGTTTCTAAGCCATGGAAGTATTTTATCCTGGGCCAGGCGCCATGGCTCATGCCTGTAGTCCCAGCACTTTTGGGGTCCGAGGTGGTTGGATCGCTTGAGGCCTGGGCAACATAGAAAGACCTCATCTCTACAAAAAAAAACAAAAATTATCCGGGCATGGTGGCACACCCCTGTGGTCCCAGCTACTCTGGAAGCTGAGGCCAGAGGATCACTTGAGCCTAGCAGGTCAAGGCTGCAGTGAGCTGAGATTGCGCCCCTCGCTCCAAACTGGGCAACAGGGAGAGACACTATCTCTAAAAATATATATAAAATAATAAAACAAACAAACAAATATTTTATTCTGGTTGTCATTTTGCGGATTATATCCCCTGGTCCCGTCAGTAATCATTTTGGGGCAGTTTTTTTTGTTGTTTTTTTGGGGGTAGGTGTGAAAATCTTTCCGCTTCATAATATTCCAGGCATCACTGATGTTCAGCCATAACTCCCCCCACCCCTGAATATGCTCATGGAACTAAATTTCCATAACTTGTTGGATTCCGTGAATTACCAAAATCAGTAAGAATGGACTTTTAACACTTCATCTTAGTCTGAATTAAGTTCACACACATAGCTGTCTGCACAGGGTTCGTCTGCCTTTTCCCATAACAATTATGTCAGCACGACCTCACAGCAAAGACCACATTGCTCCCTGTCATGGGCTGAAATGTGTGCCCCTAAACTCACGCTGGAACCCTACTTTCCAGCACCTCAGAGTGTGAGCATATTTGAAGATGGGGTCTTTACAGAGGTGATCAAGTTGGAACAAGATCATTAGTATCATCTGTGTCTCCTGATTCACTATGGCTGGAGCAGCCAGGTGTGGTGGCTCATGCCTGTAATCTCAGCACTTTGGGAGGCGGAGGCAGGCAGATCACCTGACATCAGGAATTCGAGACCAGCCTGGCCACCATGGTGAAACCTTGTCTCTACTTTAAAAAATACAAAAAGTAGCCAGGCGTGATAGTGAGTGCCTATAATCCCAGCTACTTGGGATGCTGAGGCAGGAGAATCACTTGAACCCGGAAGGTAGAGGTTGCAGTGAGCCGAGATTATGCCATTGCACTCCAGCCTGGGTGACAGAGCAATACTCCATCTAAAAAAAAAAAAATGGCCAAAGCCCTGATCAAGAGAGGAGATGAGGACAGAGGCACATACAAAGTGATGACCATGGAAGGACACTGGGAGAAGATGGCTGTGTCTATACGCTGAGGAAAGAGGCCTAAAGAGAAACCAACCCTGCTGGTACCTTGATCTCTCAGCCTTCCAGCCTCCAGAACAGTGAGAAAATGAATTTCTGTTGTTGAAGCCGCCCCGTCTGTGGTGTTCCGTTGTGGCAGTCCTGGCAGGTTAATGCACGTACCCAACCAGAGTGCCCCAAACCCTTCCTACGTAGCAATTCTGGAGCTTAGACAGTCTGTGGATCATAGTAAGGAACTAGGTCTTTATCTGACAGTGACATGAATCTGTTGACGTGTTTTAGCCCGGGCAGTGGTCACGGATGCCTTTTCTTTTAAGACAGTCCATGTTGGCTCCACTATGGATGAAAGCCAGGGCTGGTGCATGGCAGAGACACACACAGAGGAGATTTGGGGGACACAGGACAGAGAGGATAGGTGCCCAGACGAGGTGGGGTAGGGGGAATGACGGAGACAGAGCTGGCTCAGGGGATGTCCAGGAGGCAGAACTGACGAGGCCTGGACGCTGGTGGGATTCGGTGGGTGGCTTATTTCATGTGTCCACCTGGCCAGGCTCCAAACCCCACAGTTTCCGTCAAACCCTCATCCAGCTGTGGCTGCGAGGGCATTTTACAGATGCAGTTAACATCTACGATAGCTGACTTTCAGTGAAGGAGATGATCCTGGAGGATGTGGGTGGGCCTCATCTCATCAGTTGAAGGCCTTACGAGCAAAAACTGAGTTTTCCCTGAGGAAAAATAAATTCCACCTCAAGGTTGCAGCATTAGCTCCTGCCTGAGTTTCCAGCCTAGCGTCAGTCAGCCCCACAGATGCCATGCCTCCCAGACTTCAAAATCGTGTGAGCGATTGCCTTACAATGAGTCTCTTAAAACAGTGGTTTGCAACCTTTTTGGCACCAGGGATCAGTTTGGTGGAAGACAATTCTTCTGCAGACCAGGGTGGGGAGATGGCTTTGAGATGATTCAAGCACATTACATTTGTTGTGCACTTTATTTCTATTATTATTACACTGTAATATATAATGAAAAAAATTATGCAACTCACCAGAACATAGAATTGGTGGGGAGCCCTGAGCTCATTTTCCTGCATGCTCCCAGCTGGGAGTGATGGGAGACAGCGACAGATCTCTAGGCATTAGATTCTCATAAGGAGCATGCAACCTGGATCCCTCACACACGCAGTTCACAACAGGGTTCGTGCTCCTATGAGAACCTAATGCGGCTGCTGATTTGACAGGAGGTGGTAATGTGAGCAATGGGGAGAGGCTGTAAAGACAGATGAAGCTTCACTCACTCACTCGCTCACCCACCCACCCTCACGTCCTGCTGTGTGGCCCAGTTCCTAAACAGGCCATAAGCCAGTATGGGTCCATGGCCTGGGGGTTGGAGACCCCCATCTTTAAAGACAAAAATTATATATATGACATATGTGATATATATATGATATATATACACACATATGCGTGTATACACCTATTATCAATATCCCCCCACACATATATACATATAAATATGCATGTATTTCACCCCATACACATATATGCTTATCCCCCCCCACAAATATACTTATAAATATGCATGTATCCCCCCACACACAAATATACATAGAAATATGCAGTATTCCCCCCAAAACATATATGCATGTATCCCCCACAGACAAATATACATATAAATATGCAGTATTTCCCCCCCAAAACATATAAACATGTATCCCCACAGACAAATATACATATAAATATGCATGTTATGTCCTACTTAGTCTGCTAGGGCTGCCATAACAAAGTTCCACGTACCGAGTGGCTGAAACAACAGAAATGTGTTTTTTCACAATTCTGGAGGCTGGAAGCTTGCGATCAGGTGTCAGCAGGGCTGGTTTCCTCGGAGGCCTTTCTCTTTGGCGATCAGACGGCCGCCCTCCCGGTGTCCTCACGTGGGCTTTCCTCGGTGTGTGTCTGCATCCACACTTCCTCTTCTGTTGAGGAAACCAGTCCTATTAGATTGAGGTCCATCCTAGTGACTTCGTTTTAGCTCAGATGCCTCTGTGAAGACCCTATCCCCAAATACAATCACAGTTTGCGGTGCTGTGGGGTTAGGACATCAACATATGAATTCAGGGAGTCTACAGTTCAGCCCATAGCACTACTGGGTTTGTTTCTCTGGTAGGACTCTGACGGCTACAGGAACAGGCACCATTTCTGCCTTAAGGAACTAGGTGGACAACCTCAATCCCTGAGAAAGGGAAGGATTTTTGAAAGCATAATGGGTTCAACTTAGCTGGGTGGAGACCTCCTAAGAAGAGGTAAGAGTCTTGTTCTTTCTCTGTAAAAGGAAAATGGTTTTCTAACGTTTTACTGTTCCAGAGAAAGACAAAACGCCCAACCTCCATTTACATCTGTCTCAGCGCGCCTCATTAATTCCCTAGAAAGAACTGCTGGAAGTTGAATTACTGGGTCAAAGAGGATAAGAGGTCCTCGTGATTTGGTTATGTTACTGAGTTTTGTTCCAAGTCAGGCAGCTTGGCCATAACTCCTGTTTATTTATCACTGCATTTCTGTTTAATCATTTTCACTGCACAGATAGCATATCAATTTTTACTTGGAAATTGAAACTATATATATTTTTACAATTTATCATCCTGTATTTTCCCTCATGAGGCTGTCCCCATGATGTAAAATGATCCAAAATTTTGATTGCATTGTCCGGAGGAAAGGCATTTGTTATTTTCTCTTAATCATTTTAGTACTGACTTTTCATACGCCCTTCTTGTGCTTTATAGTCTTGTTTCCAAGCACTTCATTTTACAAACATGCCGTGATGTTCCCCTTCTATCTGCGCCCTGTGCCTTTGTGTACTGGGACTCATTTTTTGGGGGGAGACAGGGTCTCACTCTATTGCCTAGGCTGATCCTGACTGCTGGCCTCAAACAATCTTTCTGCCTCAGCCTCCCAAAATTTGGGGGTTACAAGCAAGAGCCATGGTGCCCAGCTTGAGTTACATTCTTTAAAAATCAATTCATTGCATTTGGCCTTAATGGGAAGACCAAAGCGAGATGTATCATGAACTTGAAAACTACAGTATTGACAACCTGTTTATCAGAAAGGTTCAGAAAAATTCCTCTCCCACCATCAGTATCTCAAACCATCCCCACCTCAACTTTGCTTCCTGGTGGTATTAGCAAATTCAAAGGTGGTGAACATGAAAGACATGTGAAATGTTACAGTGCTGTGGAGATACGGTATCGCTAGTCATTTATGAATCCACCTACCATCATTCATCCATTCCACCCATCCACCCACTATCCATCCATCCATTATCCATTCATCCATCCATCTATCCATCCATCCTCTGTCCATTACCCATTATCCATTCATCCTTCCATCCATCTATCCATCCATCATCCCTTATCCATCCATCCATCCATCCATCCTCCATCTATCCACCCATCCACTCATCTACCCATCCATCCACTCATCCTCCAACTATCTACTATCTATCCATCCACCCATCAACAGAGGAGCCACAGAGGGAAGTACTGGGGCTGGTCAGGAAGCAGAGGGAGTGAGGGGGAAATGTGAGCAGGAGCCTTTTCGTTATTTCCAAGGGAGGGAACGGGTGAAGCAGAGTGGGCAGGCTTAGGATTGGCTCCTGTGAGTGATTTCAGTGGCTCTGGGTCACAGGCACTGTCCTGGTTGTCTGGTTCCCAACCCTGGGTGATGAAGGCATGCACACAGAGGCCCTGAGTGTGGGAGCCCAATGGACGGGGTGCTGGGTGTGGGCTCTGGATGGGGTGGTTTGCATGTGAAAGGCACCATCTCAGGGGGGTTGTTTATCATCTTTAGGAAAATGTAAAGAATCAAAGTACAGAAATTTACACAGGCGTGGTTGATGCACCGGGGAGTGGAATGGGTCAGCCCAGGCGAGGATGGGGCATGTTGGACAGACGCAGCTGGGTGTGGAGGCAGGACACTGTCAGAAAAGGCTCCTCATGGCTCCTCTCTCCTTAGCGGCCCTCCCTTCAGCTTCTCAATCTTTAATGTGCATTCTACCCCACTCTGGGTCTGATTTAGCAGGTCTGGCTGGTGCCTAGTATTCTGCATTTCTCTCTCTTTTTTTTTTCAAGACGGAGTCTCGCTCTGTTACCCAACCTGGAGTGCAGTGGCGCCACTGCAACCTCCACCTCCCAGGTTCAAGTGATCCTCCCACCTCAACCTTCCAAGTAGCTGCAATTACAGGTGCCCGCCACCATGCCTGGCTAATTTTTGTATTTTTAGTAGAGACAGGGTTTCACCATGTTGGCCAGGCTGGTCTCAAACTCCTGATCTCGAGTGATCTGCCTGCCTCGGCCTCCCAAAGTGCTGGGATTACAGGCATGAGTCCCCGCACCCGGCCATTCTGCACCTCTAGAAAGCTCCCGGGTGTTGAGAATGACAGACTTTGATGGTTTGCCTGAGACGCTCTCCATTTTAGCAGGGACCCAAGGAGCCCCCGGCCCCGGGCAAACCAGGATGGTTGGTGGCTTCACTGGTGACGCTGCTGGTACTGGTACTGGGCCACATTTTGAGCAGAAATGTTCTGTTGGAGTCTGCCCTTCCCAAGGCAGGAGCTCAGAGAAAAAGGAGAAAATTTTCACTCTGTTCCCTGCTCTGCTCGGGCTGACCTTTCCTCCTGGTAAACATCGTGTTTTCTCCTTTACGCAACATGCCCTCAACCCACCTGAGGCCACGTCCAGTGTCTGGACATGCTTGGATATTTTTCCCTCTGGACAGTTCCTGACCTTCTAGATACATTTCAACATGACCTCTGTCTCAGGTTGGGGCTCGCCAACCGTGCATGTGAAGGCATGTGCTGTCTCTCGGCCGCCCAAGGCATGGTCTTTGCATTCTGTCCGTAGCCTGAACAATCATTAACCATGCAATTGCCCTCTTTTCTGCTCATCATGGGCCCCAAACCCCTCCGTAACCACTGGAAGCCATCGCTCTCTGCTCTCCACAAGGCAAAAGGGTGAAATATTTTAATAATCATACAGTGTGAAACATCTCACCGAAAAAAACACAGCAACAACCAACACATGTAAAAGACAAGACTGATGAATCTGACTCTATATGTACAGAAAATATCAGCAGCTGGAAAAAATATACCACCAAAAAAAAAAAAATTGAACAGAGAAACTGGCAAAAGCAGATATCACAGAGTTAAACTTTACAGGTTAATATATAAAGCGTATAAAGAGGTCAGAAAGACACAAGTGGAAGACCAAAAGCGAAGAGTGGGCAGAGGATGACAACAGGCTGCTAATAAAAGGGAACATTTAAACGTTTAGGAAAGATGAAAAGATATTCCACTTTATTTATAGTCTACTAAACTTGGCATCGAAAATCAAAATGAGATATCACTTTCTACCACTCAGACAGAACAAGGTTTATAAAATAGCACATGGAGTGGGCAAGGTGTGGCATGTGGAAACGGGGTCATCCGCTGGCTGGCGGTGAAGGCGTGGATTGGCACATTTCTGATGCGTATTTTAGCAATAAATCTGCAAAAGAGCCAGTCAACAGAGTCCCTTCCAGCAGAACAAATATAGGGAAGCTGCCTTCCTACTGGGCACTTCAGGTTAGTAATCGGAGAAAAGCAAACAAGCACGAAAGAAATAGAAGAGCGATTTGGCATTATCTAGAAAAGCTACAATCGGTGGCTCTCCATTGTGGGATGATTTCACCCCCTCCACTCCGGGAAATATTTGGAAATGTGTAGAGATGTTTTTTACTGTCACATCTGGGGCGTGAGTAGGGAGTGAACTACTAGCATCCAGTGGGTAGAGACCAGAGAGGCTGCTAACCATCCTGCAATGCACAGCACAGCCCTCATCAACAATAAAGAGTTACCAGCCCAAAATGTTAATCACATCAAAGCTGAGGAGGCTGCCGTATTGCCCAGCAATTCTGTTCCAAGATATATGTCCCAGGGGAGCTCCCTCCATTCCCACAAGGACCAAGCATAATCGTGCTCATTGCAGTACTCACTCACTCAGTGCAGATCTGTTGAATGTGAACTGTAGCCCAGTCACTTTGCCGTGATGGGGGCTATTCACAGTTTTTTGGGTTTTTTTTTGAGACAGGGTCTCGCTCCGTCACCCAGGGTGGAGTGCAGCAGTGCAAGCCTGGCTCACTGCAGCCTCCACCTCTGAGATCAAGTGATACCCCCACCTCAGCCTCCCAAGTACCTAGGATTACAGGCGTGTGCCACCATGCCCAGCCAATTTTGTCTATCTTTTTAGAGATGAGTGAGGTCTTGCTGTGTTGCCCAGGCTGGTCTCAAACTCCTGGGCTCAAGCATTCCTCCTGTTCTTGGCCTCCTGAAGTGCAGGGATTACAGGTGTGAGCCACTGCACCTGGTCTATTCATATTCTTTGTAGTGAAAAAAAGTGGGATGCTGGGAGAGGAACAACTGAAATGTCTATTGAAAAGAGAATGGATAAATAAATTGTGGTGTATTCGTAAAGTGGACTGCAGTACAGAAGATTAAAGAATGAGAGGTACATGTGTCCCTGTGGAAAGAGCGCAATGGATGAGAGCAAGTTGCGCTGATAGAACATCCACCCTTTAGCCTGGCGTGGTGGGGCTTGCCTGTGCTCCCAGCTACTGGGGACACTGAGGTGGAAGGATCACTTGAGCCCAGGAGGTGGAGGCCACAGTGAGCCATGATTGTACCACTGCACTCCTCCCTGGGTGACAGAGTGACACCCTATCTCAAACAAACAAACAAATTGACAAGAGAAGAAGGAAGGGAGGGAGGGAGGGAGGAAGGAAGGAAGGAAGGAAGGGGAGAAAGAAAGAAAAGAAAAGAGGAAAGGAAAGAAAAGGAAAGGAAAAAGGAAGAAAGACACCCACCCTGTTACCAACCACCCTCCCAGATCTGTCTGTTGGGTTGCACTGATCCCTTGCAGGGAATCGTCTTCTTACTTTGTGAGTTTACAGCTCAGCTCCGTGTCATTATTCAGAGTTACTGTAACAATGCAATTCACGAGAAGCCCTGAATGAATGCCGTTGTGGCTACCATCAAATGTTGACACAGCGTTCAACCCCATCGAGAGGAGATGCATTACTCAAGACATCTGTAGACAGGGATGGAGGACTGGAAGAATGAATGAAGTCATTCATTCTTTCAACAAACTTGAAGCACCTGAGGGGTTCTTGCCTGGCACTTTGAACCCCCTCCTTTCCACCCCCAAACACACAAACACACACACACACACACACACACACACACACACACACTGATATCAGAGCCCAGAAAATTCCAGTCTCCGCAGCTCCTTCTTCAGCCCTCCCCTTCCCGCCTCCAGCTGCTGTGTCCATGGTGACAGTCTGAGCAGGCCTGGGTTGCCGCCGAACAGGTGATTGCTCTTGAAGGAAAACAACACCAAGCCACTGGGGGGATGGGAGGCAGTGGAAATGGCTCAAACCCTGGCCCCACAGCTGTGGCCTGTGCAGGACCCGCATGTCCCTGAAAATGCATCCTTGAGAGCTTTGCAAAAGATCACGAAATCGGCCATGAGGGCCTCCCTGACCCTGTCAGAGATAATACATCTCTTAAGCATGAGTGACATTGGCGTTAGCTTTTTTTCTACTTGTTCATTTATTCATATATTCAACAACTATGAACTGACTGTCCTGGGAGCTGGTGATACAAGAATAAAACAAACAGACAAACAGGAGGCACACTCTGATCTGATAGAGACATTTGCTCCTTCAAAGAAGATTTTTTTCATTCATTCTGGATGGACTTACGGAAGAGCCGCTGCATGCTGGGGCCATGCTGGGCACAGAGGATGCACCACAAAGAGAGAGAGAGAGAGAGAGAGAGAGGAAGAGAGGAAGGGAGGAAGATGGGAAGGGGGGAAGGAAGGAAGGAAGGAAAGAAGGAAGAAAGGAAGGACGGAAGGAAGGAAGGAAGGGAGTCAAACAAAGTCCCTGCTTTCTGTTAAAGAACAAAGCATTCGATGAGACTTGTTAAAGCATGGGAAGGAACAAGATTTAGGACCATAGTGATGGGCATAGACAGACTGCGACAAGGGGATTTTGCAGTGGGGGAGAGAAACAGGGTGCTCAGCTCTGAATGCAGCATGGGCAAGAGAGAATCTGTAGCCAAGAAGCAGGGTGGGGGTCAGTGGATGGAAAATTACTGAGAGGAACATCTGGGGTTTCCTCTGGCTGAGAACTGACCTAACAGGATTCTTGTTGAAGACAGGCTCAGGGTGAGTTGCCCGGGGGAGGCTGAGGATGAGGGACGTGAAAGAACCTGTCACTCCACAGGGATTGTCGTCTAGTTGGGGAGAGACATGGTAAATCAGTATATATTTTTGTTTTCTTCTGTATCCTCACTGCCTAGCAGAATGCTTGGGATCTAGTAGGATCTTCACAATCATTTTTCAGATTGTGAACAAATGAACAAATAAATGGGTTCTGTGGAGTTCACAATTCAAATTCTGGTGCCTTTATTCATGTACCACGTTCATAGCATCCTTTCTCCTGAGAGTATCCAAGGTTCCTTTCTTGGGTGGATGGGGAGTTGGCTGGATATGGGGCATCCCGGACAAAGATGCAACTGCCTTTGCAAAAACTATATCAGTGAGAAAATTCTGACAGTGAAAGAGATCTGAGCTAACCCACCTCCCATCTTGCCTTTCCCTTAGTTATTCCTGGGCTATTGGGCCAAGCTGACTTTGGAAGACATTTGCGCTACAGTGTAAAAGAATAATAGGCTTTGCCCAAAACTCAACTGCTTTTGTAAAGCTAATGGGAGGCTGGCCAGTGTGGTGGCTCATGCCTGTAATCCCAACACTTTGGGAGGCTGAGGCAAGAGAATTGCTTGAGCCCAGGAGTTGGAGGCCAGCTTGGGCAACATAGTAAGACCTTGTCTCTACAAAAAATATAAAAATTAGCCAGACATGGTGGTGCACCCCTGTTGTCCCAGATACTCAGGAGGCTGAAGTGGGAGGATCACTTGAACCCAGGAAGTTGAGGCTGCAGTGAGCTGAGATCACGCCACTGCACTCCAGTCTGAGCAATAGAGTGAGACTTGTCTTAAATAAATAAATAAATAAATAAATAAAAATAAAAAGCTAATGAGAGGTCAGCCGGTCTCACTGTGTTGCCCAGGCTGGTCTCTAACTCCTGGGCTCAAGGAATCCTCCTGCCTCGGCTTCCAAACTGCCAAAATTACAGGCATGAACCACTGCTCGCAGCCCCAGGCAGAAAATTCTTGAAGCAATATCTGACCATTCATCTCTCTTTCTTAAAAAACTTTAACGGGCCTGGCGCGGTGGCTCACGGCTGTAATCCCAGCACTTTGGGAGGCCGAGGCGGGTGGATCACCTGAGGTCAGGAGTTCGAGACCAGCCTGGCCAACATGGTGAAACCCCATCTCTACTAAAAATACAAAAATTAGCCGGGCGTGGTGGCAGGCGCCTGTAATCCCAGCTACACAGGAGGCTGAGGCAGGAGAATCACTTGAACCCGGGAGGCAGAAGTTGCAGTGAGCCAAGATCGCACTGCTGCATTCCAGCCTGGGCAACAGAGTGAGACTCTGTCTCAAAAAAAAGAAAAAAAACCTCAACATATTCCATTGCTCTTTAGATTAAAAACTTAATTCTTAATCAAGACCTACCAGAAGTTGCAGCTCCAGAATTCCCACATGGAAGGGACTTGGAGGGAAGTTTTGGGTCAGAGTGGAGGCCACTGTGGGGTTTGCCGTGTTCACAATGCCATTCATTTGAATCAATGCTGTCTGCCATGAAAAGTGTACAAGAAAGTGAAGGCATGAAGAAATCAATGTCCAACTGGCATTGACTTCTTTTTATTTCAAATTAGTATAAGAAATAGGCCAAGAAGCACATTAGGAAACAGAGGATATGACGGTTAATTTTAGATATCCACTTGGCCAGGCTGTGGTGCCATGCGGTTTGATCAGGCACCAGTCTAGATGCCGTAGGTGCTGAGTCGATGTAATTAGCATTTACAGTCAGTTGACTTCAAGTAAAGACTAGTCTCCATCGCCTTGATGGGCCTTATGCAATCAGTTGGAGATGGACTGTTTTTTCCAAGAAAAAAGAATTCTGCCTCAAGACTTTAACATAGAAACCCTGCCTGAAGTTCCAGCTTGCTGGCCTGCCCTGCAGATTTCAGACCCAGGGAGCAATATCCACTGTTCCCTCAGTCCCCAGCCTGCTGCCCTACCCATCGGGCTTGCCAAGCCCGGCAATTGCAGGAGCTAATTCTCTAAAATAGATTCCTCCCCTCCCCTCCTTTCCCTTCCCCTCCCCTCCCCTCCCTTCCCCTCCCCCCTCCTCTTTCCCCCTCCCCTCCCCTCTCCTCTCCTCTCCTCCCCTCTCCTGTCCTTTCCTCCCCTCCCCTCCCCTCTTCTCTTCTCTCCGCTTCTCCCCTGTCCTGTCCTCTTCTCCTCTCCTCTCCTCTCCTTTCCTCCCCTCCCCTCCCCTCTCCTCTCCGCTTCTCCCCTGTCCTGTCCTCTTCTCCTCTCCCCTCCTCTTCTCCTCTCCTCTCCTCCTCGCTCCTCTCTCGTGTCTCCTCTCCCCACCTCTCCTCTCCTCTCCCTTCCTCTCCCCTCCTGTCCTCTCCCCTTCCCTCCCCTCCCTTCCCCTCTCCTCTCCTCCCCTCTCCTCTCATCTCCTTTCCTCTCCTCCTCTGTCTTCCCCTCCTCTCTTCTTCTCTCCTCACCTCTCCCCTCCCCTCTCTTCTCTTCTCTCTCTCCCATGCATGTCTCCTCTTCTCTCTATACTTCTCCATCTTCCTCTGTCTCTGTCCCTCTCCCTCCCTACCTTCCTCCGTATCTCTCTGTGACTCTCTCTCTCTCTCTCTCACACACACAGACACACAGACACACACACACACACACACACACACACACACACACACACACTGTTGGTTCTGCTTTTCTGAAGAACCCTAGCACAGAAGGGTATTGTGCGCACAAGCTGACAACATAGACACACCAACATCTGCTGCCTGCCAGGCCCTCAGGACAGGAGACCAGACCAGTCTGTAGATATCAAGGGAGTGAGACCCACCCCAAAATGTGGAGAAAACTGGTTAACAACCTGATACATGGACGTGGATGACAGCAGAATGGCTGGTAGTCAATATTCTTAAACTCTTTGTATGATTCGGAAACAAACCTCTCTAAAGCTCTGTCTGTATTGTGCTGTTTCTGAGAAAATTGTTCCCTCCTTGTACCCTGGGCTCTTGTTGAACATACCACGGTGGATCTTTGAGCTGAAACTTTGTTTGGGTCCTGGGCCAGATATGAACATTTTAGCCACTTCTCCTTCACCACCAGGAGCATCCCCGTGGCAATATCTGTCCCATCCAAACCCTCTTTGGCCCTCATCCCTCCCTTGGCGTTGGTGCTGTGGTCCCCGGATGGTTTAGACTCTATCAGAGGAGGAGAAGGAGGCACATCCTTAGGACAGGGAGACAGCTCGTGGCCTCGACTTCCCTCCCACACCAGGACACTCAGGAGAATAGTTTCATAATTTGGGTGCAGAAAGTCTTAGTGAGCACAATTCTTAAAAGCTTACAATCATTAAAGATAAGAAGAATTAAACTGACTCCATAAGAGCTGAAAAAGGCCTGGCACGGTGGCTCACACCTGCAATCCCAGCACTTTGGGAGGCCGAGGCAGGTGGATCACCTGAGATCAGGAGTTCGAGACCAGCCTGAGCAATATGGTGAAATCCTGTCTCTATCAAAAATACAAAAATTAGCTGGGTGTGGTTGTGGGCGACTGTAGTCCCAGCTACTCAGGAGGCTGAGACAGGAGAATCGCTTGAACCCGGGAGGCAGAGGCTGCAGTGAGCCGAGATCATGCCACTACACTCCAGCTTGGGCGACAGAGCAAGACTCTGTCAAAAAAAAAAAAAAAGCTGAAAAAGTAGGCACAGAATAACAAAAATGTAAACCAGAAGAAATGATAAAAATGGGTGAAACTATTTTCAACCTAATGAGATTCAAAGAAACTATATAGTTTACATGTGAATTGTGTTTACAAGAAAAGAATTTAAAATACGGGGTAACATAAACTTTAAAATCCATCAAAAGAGCAACAGGTAGGAACAGAAAAGCCTTAAAAGATAAAATAAAATGTGCCAAATAAGGAAAATGATGTTTCGACCTTTCTTGTACTCCAAAAAAATGAATATGCAAACCATACTGGGAAGTCATTCTTTCTCTTGTCAGATGGACAATAAGGAAATAGACAAGCAGAGTTGACTATGGGGTGAGAGCGGACGCCTTCTCAGGCTGCTGGGGAGAGCGAGTTGCTGTGACCTTTCTGGCAAGATCTTTTGGCAGTAGACTTCAAAGTTTAATATCTGCATGCCCTTTGACCCAGCAAATCCACTTCTGGGAACCCACCTCCCCACAGACATACACAAAAGCACACCCCACACACACACATGGTCATGGCAGCCTTGCCAGAGCACGATCAGCCGAAAAGTCCATAGAACGTGCATCTGGGTTGTGTGAAGCTCAACACTGATGCAGAATTTTACAGTCCAAAGACATCAGCCCCTTGTTAGACAAATGAGCTGTGTTTTGAAGGTCATCTAATGTTAAGATGTATATTACATAAGCAAAAGTTGGATTAAAAAACAAAAATGCATCATTATCCAAGTTTGAGCAACTGTAATACATTTATGCATCCATTTATTTATTCAGCTTCTAAAAACCATTGATGCTGGGCATGGTGGCTCATGCCTGTAATCCCAGTACTTTGGGAGGGTGAGGTGGGCAAATCTCAAACCTGGGAGTTTCAGACCAGCCTGGGCAACATGGCGAAACCCCGTCTCTACAGAAAAAAAAAAAAATTAGCTGGGTGTGGTGGCGCCTGTGGTCCCAGGTACTTGGGGAGGCTGTGGTGGGAGGATCACCTGAGCCAGGGAAGGTTAAGGCTGCAGTTGGAGGTTGAGGATCACCTGAGCCTGCGAGGTTGAGGCTGCAGTGAGCCATGGGGATGCCACTGCACTCCAGCCTGGGCGACAGAGTGAGACCCAGTCTCGATTAAACACACACACACAAAAACAAACAAACAGAAAAACCATTGAACACTCACGCTAGATATTCTATCAGGGAGAGAGGATGTGGCAGAGCTAAAAGAAAACAGAGTGTGCCTGCTTTCACACAACGTCCATTTCACTGGGTGAAAATCACAGAAGAATATAAGTACAAGACCATTTTGGAGAGCAATCTGCCGGTGTCTAAGAACGCTGATCCTATGTGTTCCCCTATCGCCCAGAAATTCCAGTTTGAGATTTGTGCCCTAGAGAAACTCTCACACATAGGGCAAGGAGGCAAGTTCAAAGATGTTCATTGTGACTTTCATTGATTTGGCAGATATTGATTGAGCAGAAACTGTGGACTGGGCACTGCTCTGGGCTCTGGGGAGATGTAGCGTTGCTTGTGATGGCCAGGAAAGCAGGAGGAGAGGTTACATCCCAAGTGCCTGCCAATGCGAGAATGGGTGAATAAACTGAGTGGAACGTGAAGAGCGGGGAGAGATTGGGATCAAGTTGCAGAAGGATCAGTCCACAGAACAGTCCTGCGCAGACCCTCTCTCAGAGACCTGGTTAATGTGCTTTGTGGACCTCTCAACTCTGAAATTATTTCTGTCCTCTCCTTTTTTCCCAGTTTTTAAAATTGTGGTAAAATACACATAAGCAGGCCGGGTGCAGTGACTCATACCTGCAATCCCAGCATTTTGGGAAGGAGAGGCAGGAGGATCATTTGGGCCCAGGAGTTTAAGACCAGCCTGGGCAACACAGTGAGACCATATCTCTAAAAAAAAAAAATTTTTTTTTAAATTAGCCAGGCAGGGTGGCGCGTGCCTGTAGTCCCAGCTACTCAGAAGGCTGAGGCGGGAGGATCGATTAAGCCCAGGAGTTTGAGGCTGCAGTGAGCTGTGATCACACCACACACTCCAGCTTGGGCAACACAGCAAGACCTTGTCTCAAAAAAAAAAAAAAGCCATAATATAAAATTTGCCATTTTAACTATTTTTGAGTGTACAACTCAGTGGTATTAAATACATTTATAATCTTGTGCAACCATCACCAACATACATCCCCAGAGCTTGTTTCATTTGTAAAACTGAAGCTCTGTCCCTGTTAAACATAACTCCACCGTCCCCCTTCCCCAGCCCCTGGCAACCACTGTTCCGCTTTCTGTCTCTCTGTTATTTGCCTACTCCAGGTACCTTATAGAAGTGAAATCCTACAAGATTTGCCTTTTTTTTTTTTTTTTTTTTTTTGTGGCAGAGACTCTCTCTGTCTCCCAGGCCAGAATGCAATGGCGCAATCTTGGCTCACTGCAACCTCCACCTCCCAGGTTCAAGCGATTCTCCCACCTCAACCACCCGAGTGGCTGGAATTACAGGCATGCGCCACCATGCCTGGCTAATTTTTGTATTTTTAGTAGAGATGGGGTTTCCCATGTTGGCCAGGCTGGTCTCAAACTCCTGACCTCAGGTGATCTGCCCACCTTGGCCGCCTCCCAACGTGCCGCTAATAGAGGCGTGAGCTACCGCACCCGGCCGGATTTTCCCTTGCGTGACTGGCTTATTTCACTTAGCCTAATGTCCTCAAGCGTCATCCACGTTGCAGCACGTGTCAGAACTTCTTTCCTTTCTAAGGCTGAATAATAGCCCATGTTCCGTTTGCCCATCGTTCGTTGGTGGACACCGGGGCTGTTTCCACGTTTTAGCAATCGTGAATATTGCTGCTGCGGGTGGGGGCAGAGCTGTCTCTCTGAGACTCTGGTTTCAACTCTTTGGGGTACGTGGTGACTCCAGTTTTAATTTTTTCCAGCTTTCCCTTCTCTTTGTGCCTTCAGCTGGAGTCATTCTGGATCCAACTAAGATAACTCATCTGAGCAGGTGGACTGACTGTGTGGCTCCCACGGACACAGCCACAAGGAGAAAGTTCTCTTGGCTCAGATAGAGGTGGGGAGGGGGTGCAGGGCTGTTCGTTTTCTCAGAAAACTTGTAGGAAGCACCTGCGTTGCACTAGGCGGGCATTTTGATCTCAGCACACTTCCAGCTCCAGACCTGGACATTTGCAGCCTCCTGGGCCTTCACTCTGGTTCCTCAGCCCCTCCCCTCCTCTTTGGCTATGGTTTCCACGGCAACAGCCTTGGCCCGGGCCTGCCTGGGGCCTGCATATCAGAGGACAGTGCTTGAGGGAAAACATATAACAACCGCCCCCGCTCTTCCAAAGACCGAGACCGGCTGGGGAGGCGTGGACTTGCGGGGCAGGGGGCTCACGCTGCAGCTCCGCCTCCCCCATCGCTGGGTCAGTCTGACCCCGTTAGCTCTTTCCTGTGAATCCTGAGAGGCGGTCCCTGAGAAGCGAAAGCCTCCTGCAAGAGCCGGTGATGTCAGTCTCAGCTTTTCCACACCCCTTGGTTCATTCCACACATCCATTGAGCACCACTGAGTACCTGACGCTGGTCCTGAAGACAGGGGCGCAATGCTGGGTGTTCTCAGCCTGAGACTTTCACATCCCAGACATTTGTCTGCCAGACACATGCATTGAATCACTCGACCAATACGGACTGAGGGCTCAGCAGGGCAAGGGTGGGTGCCACAGGAACCAGCCCTAGGCAGAGATCCCTGCCTCCTTGGGGTTTCCATTCTAGTGGGGAGTACACATGGTGAGCACAGAACACATAAAGTCACAGCACGATGAGCGTGGCCAAGAAACATCAATCGGGGGAGAGACGGAGTGACCTGGGCAGGCTGTTTTAGGTAGGCGTCCGGGAGGGCCTCGAGACCATGACGAGAAGTGAGGGAAGGGAGCAGAGGGACGAGCATTCCAGGAGAGGAACCAGCAAGGCCAAGAGCTTGGAGGTGGGAGTTTGTGGGGACATGCCTGTGTGAGGGAAGCCAGTGGCCCCTGGCAGCAAGGGCTCACAGGAGGTGAGGGCTGAGTCAGTAAGGGGCAAAGGGCATCCTCCTCCTACTCCTCCCTGCTTTTCCTCCTTTCCCTGCCTTTCCTCCTCCTCCCCTTCTTCCTCCCCCTCCTCTTCCTCCTCTTTCTCTTCCTCCCCTTCCCCTCCTCCTCATTTTCCTACTCCACATCCTAATCTTCCTCCCCTTCCCTCTCTTCCCCCTGCCCCCTCTTTCTCCTCCTTCTCCTCCCCTTCATCCTCCTACTCTTCCGCCCCCTCCTCCTCATTTTCCTTCTCCTCCTCCTAATCTTCCTCCCCCTTCTGCCCCCCTTCCTCCTACTGATCTTCCTCTTCTTCCTCTTCCTCTCCTTCCTCCTTCTCCTCCCTCCTCATCCTCCTCTTTGTCCTCTCCTTTTTCTAAAAAGCCTTTTAACTTGCCTGGCCAACACAGTGAAAACCTGTCTTTACTGAAACTACAAAAATGCAAAAATTAGCCAGGTGTTGGGGGGAATGCCTGTGATCCCAGCTACTCGGGAGGCTAAGGCAGGAGAATCGCTTGAACCCAGGAGGCAGAGGTTGCAGTGAGCCAAGATCACTCCACTGCACTCCAGCCTGGGTGACAGAGAGAGACTCTGCCTCAAAACAATAAATAAATAAATCTTTTAAAATGTGAAAAGCATTCTTAGCACTCTAACTGCCATGGTTTTCACACTCCTGAACTACAGTATGATTCCGATAGCACGTAGTACATTTTATGTATGCATATATGTGTATTTACAAGGCCAAGAAAATAAATAGCAAAATAAAAATATGATTACTTCCAGACTGTCTGAATATGAAGTAAAAACTGGTATTTTAAATTAAAAGCGTTAACACCTTTTATTCTCTTGGATCCAATAATTCTACATCCAATCTTTTTATCTTTTTCATTTCTCTCTGAGGATTTCATATGATGTGGTCAAGTTAGTGTATAAGGCTGTTGTTCTACCTTTCTGTGGAACAGTGAAATACTGACAACCTTATTCTCTCTTCCCAGAAGAACACCATGGCTTAATCAAAAACTTCTTGGCTGGGCACAGTGGCTCATGCCTGTAATCCCAGCACTTTGGGAAGCCGAGGTGGGGAGATCACAAGATCAGGAGTTCAAGACCAGCCTGACCAACATAGTGAAATCCCGTATCTACCAAAAATACAAAAAATTAGCTAGGCATAGTGGTGGGCTCCTGTAATCCCAGCTACTTGGGAGGCTGAGGCAGGAGGATCGCCTGGACCCAGGAGGTGGAGCTTGCAGTGAGCGGAGATCATGCCATTGTGCACTCCAGCCCAGGCGACAGTGCGAGACTCTGTCTCAAAAAAAAAAAAAAAATTCTTTCATAGGAGGAACTTCCAGAAAACCAACACCTAGTGTATATTTAAATATTCCTCCCGGCTGGGCACGGAGGCTCACGCCTGTAATGCCAACACTTTGGGAGGCCAAGGAGAGTGGATCACCTGAGGTCAGGAGTTCGAGACCAGCCTGGCCAACATGGTGAAACCCCGTCTCTACTACATTCAAAAAATTAGGTGCAGTGGCGGGCGCCTGTCATCCCAGCTACTCAGGAGGCTGAGGCAGGAGAATGGCTTGAACCCGGGAGGCAGAGGTTGCAGTGAGCTGAGATCTCGAGCCACCGCACTCCAGACTGGGCAACAAGAGTGAAACTCTGCCTCAAAAGAAAAAAATTATATAGATATATTCCTCTTCTCAAGGAAAGAAGCCCCCACCACCCAGTCCCAGTTCCCTGAGACAGAAACTGGGGAATCCCTGACTCCCTGTCACACCCTGGACATCCAGCCGCCGGGGCTGCCAGGTACTTCTCCGGGTGGCTCCTGAGTCAGCTGAGACTCAGGAGTGTGGTTCTCCCTCTGCCCACCCCTTGTGCTCTTCCCCCGGGACCCATTTCCCGCCACCTGCACCCACTATGCTTGACTTTCATCAGTTGTCCACACAGAACACGGACTGGAATTTCTTACAGGAAAATCTGAACCATGGCCCTCCCTTGCCTAAAACACCTCAAAGAATACACTTTGCATTTTATATAAATACTCGAATTCTTCTCAAGATTCACAAGCTGTTGGAGCTCTAGAATTTCTACATGGGAGGGAGTAAGAGTAGCAATTGAGCCACAATAGGGATGCTTGGAGGCTTGCCTTGAAGCTGTGTTCACAAAATGTTGTCACCAGTTGTGGGAGGGAGGAAGGAAGGAAGGAAGGAAAGAAGGAAGGAAAGGAGGGGGAAGGAGGGAAAACGGCTTCTTTTACAGTATGTTTCTGTGGGTACACACACAGAAAGCAAGGTTATGAAATCATAAAGGTTATTCTTACATGTTATATCTCACTTATTATACATATGTTATATATCTCATTTATTTTAATCCTCATTCATTTTTACTTTAATTCAACACTATACAGAATTTTGGAAATGGGTTTGCAAGGCCCCCATAAAGTCACTTAGTACAGGAACTAAAACCAATAGAAATTAGAGCCAAGGTTTTTAACCCCAGGAAAGGAGAGAGAAACTCATTTACAACTGGAGCCAGGGACATAATCTAGGAAACAGACACCTAGTATTAAATATGTTTATGAACATATTGAAAATGAACAGGCCCAGAATCCTGGCCACATTTTACTCTTTCCGAGAAAGCCATTCCCTTCCTGAGTGAGAAGGCGAGAGAGGGAGATTCAGAGAGATTTTGGGCTTCACCCTGGCATTCGGGACATTAATCAGGGAAAATTCCAAGTAGGTTGATTTATCTGGCACTTGGCTGAATGTTGACATTCTTACAGCCTCGTCCAAAAAGCCGTGAGATTCCGGGAGAAACTTCCCTCTCATGGGAGCCCTCCTTTCAGTTTAAGTCTGGCCCAGATTCCTCTGTGAGCAACTGGAGCCAGGACCCTGCTGAACAGAGTTTCTCTGTGGGCACAAAGTGCACTCACCATTGCCTTTTCTCAGCTTGGTGTGAGAGGGTGTAAGTGTTCTTATCATCACAGACAGGCAAGACATTCCGTTTTTAAAAGGTAAAAAGCATTCTTAGCCCTCTAACTGCCATGGTTTTCACACTCCTGAACTACAGTATAATTCCAATAGCACGTACATTTTATGTATGCATATATGCATATTTATAAGGCCAAGAAAATAAATAGCAAAATAAAAATGTGATGACTTCCAGACTGAATATGAAGTAAAAACTGGTATTTTAAATTAAAAGCCTTAACAAATTTTATTCTCTTGGATCCAATAATTCTACATCCAATCAAGTATGAAAGAAAAGGTACATGCTTCTTACCACATAGAGACAATGAGATACCACCTCGGACCCATCGGCAGGGCTACTGTCAAAACAAACCAACCAACCAACAAACAAACAAACCCAGAAAATAGCAAGTGTTGGAGAGGATGTGGAGAACCTGGAACCCTGTGCCTGGCAGGTGGGACTGCGCTTCTGATAGGGTATTCATAAAGCAGAAAAATGCCAGAGCTTGGGCAACATCCACAAAGCTCTCACCTCACTTGTAATCCAAAAACTGGATGCCAGACCAGGTGTGGTGGCTCATACCTATAATCCCAGCAATTTGGGAGGCTGAGGCAGGAGGATTTCTTGAGCAGAGGAGTTCGAGACCAGCCTGGACAACATAGTGAAGCCCCATCTCTACAAAAAATACAAAAATTAGCCGGGCATGATGGTGCTCATCTGTGGTCCCAGCTACTTAGGAGGCTGAGGTGGAAGGATCAGCCTAGGAGTTTGAGGCTGCAGTGAGCCAAGATTGTACCACTGCACTCCAGCCTGGGCAACAGAGTGAGACCCTATCTCAAAAAAAAAAAAGAAAGAAAAAAAGAAAAGAGGATACCCAAACCGAATTGAACCACAGTTTCCACTGTATCCTATGGGTGAAGATGAAAATGCAGTTGGCAGGGGCTGGGGCAGGCACGTGTGTGACATACTGCGTCTGTTCAGCATTTTGGGGAATGAGTTCAGACTTTAAAATATGTTCACTCTTTGACCCAGCGGTTCTGCCCCTGAGTGCACAGGACCCCTAGTCCCCACCTTGTGGTCATTACAGTGATGTTTATGAGGCGACTCATTAAAAGAAGGGATGTCGTGGCTGGCAGTCAACAGAAGAAAGCAATTTTGTATAAAACAACGTGTGTTTCTTCAGCATCCTGAACGCCATGGGTCGGGGTCCCCAGGGGCACCTCCAAGTTTCATGACTCACTGGAAGGACTCACAGCAAAAGAATGAAAAGCAAAGTCAGCGAGGGGGAATGGCACCGAGAGCCCTCTTCGCGGGAGTCACACAGGAGGCACCGATTCCTCCAGCAAGGAGTTGCAACAACACCTGTGAAATGTCATCTGCTGCGGAACTCATTAGAGACTCGATGTCCGGGGCACTTACTTGGGGCTGGTCACACAGGCACCTGCTGCCTGGCATCTACCAGAATTCCAGACGCCCAGTAGGAAGGCGGCTATTTAGCATAAACCATGCTATTTGCATAAACAGTGTGGACACAGTGAGACACCAGCCCAAGGGCCAACCTGCTACATAAAATCTTTCATTGCCCGTCGTAATAGCAAGATAAACCAGGATAAAGACTTATGTATAGACTTAAATCCCAACGCTGAGTAAAAATATTCCATTTACTCATTTTTTTCTTCACAATCTAGTGATGCTTGATGATGGTCACATGAAAAAGAGCAAACATAGTGGATGCCCCTGCCTTCCTGAAACCTCCCTGATTTATTTATTTATTTATTTATTTATTTAGAGACGGAGTCACGCTCTGTCACCAGGCTGGAGTGCAGTGCTGCGATCTCAGCTCACTGCAACCTCCGTCTCCCCGGTTCAAGCGATTCTCCTGCCTCAGCCTCCCGAGTAGCTGGGATTCCAGGCGCATGCGCCGCCACGTCCAGCTAATTTTTGTATTTTTAGTAGAGACAGGGTTTCACCATGTTGGCCAGGATGGTCTTGATCTGTTGACCTCGTGATCCACCCGCCTCAGCCTCCCAAAGTGCTGGGATTACAGGCATGAGCCAGCACGCCCGGCCTGAAACCTCCCTTTTAAACCACAATTTGGGAAAGCAATTTGGTCCCATCTAGAAAACTGTTTATGGTTTGAAAATGCACGTACCCAGAATCCTGGCCACATTTTACTCTTTCTGAGAAAGCCATTCCCTTCGTGAGTGAGAAGGCGAGAGAGAGATTTAGAGAGACTTTGGGCTTCACTCTAGCATGTGGGTCATTAATCAGGGAAATTCCGAGTAGGTTATAAATCTGTGCTTTTCCTCTCCCCCAGCAGCTCCATTCCTAGAAGTTTCACCAGAGCAAAGTCTCCCACGTTTGGGCGAAGGAGAGAAGTACATGTAGCAAGCACCAGCTCTGTGCTGTTTCAGGGTTGTTTGTAACAGCAGAAAATCCTGGGGCCATCGACAGGAGAAGAGATGAGTGGATCCTGCTGTGTTCCCCTAGTCGGATACTCTGTAGCCATTTAAGTGGATGACTGAGTGCCATGTGCACCCGCACGGATACGCGTCAAGGCAGTGATGATGTTTGAGGATGACACGTCTCAATACCGCGCAGCTAGTCTCACCACCCAGTCACTCTCTGTCTCAGTCGACTCAGGCTGGGTCTCAGTCTGTTTGTGCTAACAAAATACCACAAACTGGGTAATTTATGAAGAACAGGGATTTATTTCTCACAGTTCTAGAGGCTGGAAGTCCCAGATCGAGGTGCCAGTGGCTCAGTCCCTGGTGGGGGCTCTCCTCCTGGCTTGCGGACGGCCTCCTTCTCCCTGTGTCCTCACATGGTGGGAGAGACTTAGTGTCTGGAGAACTCACTTTCCCTTCTCATAGAGACATGAAACCTGTCATGGGCCCTACCCTGGTGGCCTCATTTAAATCTAATCATTGGCCAGGCACGGTGGCTCATGCCTATAATCCCAGCACTTTGGGAGGCCGAGGCGGGTGGATCTCCTGATGTCAGCAGTTCAAGAGTGGCCTGGTTAACGTGGGGAAACCCTGTCTCTACTAAAAATACAAAAATTAGCCAGGCATGACGATGGGCGCCTGTAATCCCAGCTACTCAGGAGGATAAGGCAGGAGTATCACTTGAACCCAGGAGGCAGAGGTTGCAGTGAGCCGAGATCGCGCCATTGCACTCCAGCCTGGGTGACAGAGCAAGACTCTATAAAAAAAAAAAGAAGAAGAAGAAGAAGGAGGAGGAGGAGGAGGAGGAGGAGGAAGGGGAGGAGGAGGAGGAGGAAAATCTAATCGCCTTCCAAAGGCCCTGCTTCCAAGCACCATCACACTGGGGCTTTGGGCTTCAACGTATGATTTTGGGGGGTAAACAAATGCAATCCATAGCACTGTCTATGTTCCTCATTGTATGAAGAACTGAAATTGTTTCCTGACAGCTTTGCAATTCCTGACAGTTTTGAGCTTTATCCACCAAAATCTACCTGGCAAGGAGAGCTAGGTGCATGCCATTCTCCCTAGAATCGAACACTGATCAGTTCTGGTTTTGCCTTGCAAGGAAGAAACATTCCTTACAGCACAGAGAGTGCAGGTGGGGATGGGAAACATGTTTTGTTCTTTTCCTGAGCTCATGTTGTGTTCCTTGTATGCTGGGACATTTTCAAACCCACGCATGCTCACCTCTGGAGCCTGGACATTGCCCAGCCCTGAGCCTCTCTCAGCAGCCCCTTCCTGGCTCCCACACAAGCTGCAGTTTCCATGGCAACAGGCAGAGCTGGCCTTTGTCCTTGGAGCCTCCCGGTGAGAGGTCTTTAGGGAAAACAGGCTGGAGCAATGGACAACAAAATTAAACAGCATGGGGCCCCGAGGCGTGTTCTTTCCTATAATTAAACTGCACCCTTGGACATTTGTAGAATGCCATAAATTGGCTGTACCCTGCTCAGCATTCCAAGTCCCCTGCAAGCATCATAATCAACCATTATCTGCTTTCATCATTTGTTTCTTCATTTGTCTATGCATTAACCATTGATTTTACCCCAACAGTAGTAGCAGACACGCTTCTAGAAAATGGAGATCTTGCAGAGGTTTCTAACCAGGGACCATTTTGCTTACAAAGAGGCATTCGGAAATACTTTCAGTCGGCACAGCTGGAAGGGGTGGGTTCTATTAGCCTTGAGTGGGTAGAGGCCAGAGGTGCTGCTAAACATCCCATAGTGTACAGAACAGCCAACCCCTGCCGACCCCGACACACAAGGAGGAATGTTCTGGCCCCACAAGTCAGGAGTGCCCTGGCCGAGAAACCCTGGGATACAGTGATTTGCAAGAACCCACAATGAAAACCCTTGAGGCACGTACGCTCTAGGGAAGGAGACAGCTCATGAAATATAATGCATGTGCCATAATGAAGAATCAGAGATAGTAGGAGAGAGAGCAACGGGGGCGAAGGAGATGGAGCAGCCAGGGCTGTCTTCTCCCAGGCTGTGATAAGTGAAGAGAGACGAGTAAGGGGAGGAAGCAGTCCTGGGGAAAGAACACTGGGGAGTGGGCACAGCAGGTGCCAAGGCCCTGGGGCAGAAACACACGGAGTGCATTCTGGGAAGGATGAGGAGACCAAGATGGCTGAAGTCCTGTTAGGGAGAGTCAAGGAGAGAAGGAAGGGATGTTGGATCAAGAAGGTCCTTGTAGGTGGTAAGGACTTGGGATTTATAATTTAGCTGTTAAAATTAGGAATTATGAGCATCATCAATATTAACTGAGCATTTACTCCATGCCGGGCTTTCTGTAGAGCACTGAGATTCCTAGGGCCTGGAAGCCGGCTTAGCTAATGGGAGAGAGTGGAGGAGGTCAAACAGACAGTCACGTAGAGATAAACTTCAAAGAGAACAAATACTTTGTCCAGGGACACTCTGGGCTGTGTGGCCACTAGGGCAGGGGTGGACATGAGAGGAGGCTGCGATTAGGGCACTAGCCAGGGAGAGAGGCAGCATGGATGTGTTTTGGATGGTGGAACTGTTAACTGAGACAAAGGATTTTTGTATTTTTAGAATCAGCAGTTTCAAATTTAGGATGGGGCCAGGGTTGCCAATAGATACACCATCAACATTATCATTACAATCATTACTTATTTTTATTTTATTTTATTTATTTATTTATTAGAGGCAGGGTCTTTCTCTGTCACCCAGGCTGGAGTGCAGGGCTGTGATCATAGCTCACTGCAGCCTCAAACTCATGGGCTCAAGCCATCCTCCCACCTCATCACGACTATGATAATGAAGTAATTAATATGTATTATACTTGTTCTGCACGTAGCTTTCTACTGGATGCCCGTGGCACGGCATATCTGCAGGGCAGGCGTGATCACCTTCCCACATTCCTGATGAGGCCTCTGAGGCACAGAGAGGAAAGGGGTGGCCTCCTCTCATTCTGTCTGACTGTGGAATCAGACTAGCCTGGACAGAATCCATCACACCACGGCCACCTAATCCTCTGAGCCACAGCTTCCTCATTTGTAAAAAAAAAAAAAGAAGAAGACCTCGCTCCCAGGGTCGGCATGAGAATTAAATGAACAAGGGAATAATGGCCACACAGCAAGCTCAATAAACAACAGCACAAAACACTCAGTCATCAAGATAAACAATATTTTCATGCAGTATTTGAAAAAAAAATTCATGTACAAAAAAACGTGATAAACAAAATATTAAAAATTTAAATAAAGACAGGACCCTATGAGACTGTGCTGAGCTACATCAGACCCTCAGGCAAAAGGAAAAGTGCGTATGACCCTAAGCATGTTGCTACTGTTTTTTTTTTTTTCTTTGAGACGAAGTCTCTGTTGCCAGGCTAGAGTGCGGTGGCACAATCTCAGCTCACTGCAACCTGCAACTCCCTGGTTCAAGCGATTCTCCTGCCTCAGCCTCCCGGTTATGTATTTTTTAATGGTTATTTTCCAGAAATAGATTTTGAAAATATTATTGATGAGTCTGCTTCCACTGAGGCCGGGAAAATAAAATTATAATAAATTCTATTTTTAACACATAAAATTAACATAAGACATTGCGAGTTTAATATAGCTATTTTTCCTTTTTTCAACATTTTTAAAACTAATATTCTGTGGGGGTGGGGAGTGAACCATTAAATAATTACAAGCTGCGTGAGAGAGCTCACACCTGTAATACCAGCATGTTGGAAGGCTGAGGCGGGTGGATTACTTGAGACCAGGAGTTCAAGACCAGACTAGGCAAGATAGAAAGACTCTATCTCTACAGAAAATTTTTAAAAAGTCAGAAATGGTGTTGCATATCTCTAGTCCCAGCTACTTTGGAAGCTGAAATGGGAGGCTTGCTTGAGGCCAGGAGGTCGAGGCTGAAGCAATCTTCAAGAACAAATATTTGCTCAGGGACTTCTCTGGGCTGTGTGGCCACTAGGTCAAGAGTGGGCTGTGGACATGATAGGAGGCTACGATTAGGGTAATAGCCAAGGACAGAGGCAGGAATGGATGAATTTTGGATGGTAATACTATTCACCGAGTCACCACTGCACTCCAGCTTGGGCAACAGAGCGAAACCCAGTCTCTACCAAAAAAAAAAAAAAAAAAAATTGCACAATCACACGGATATAGGGAATCACACTTTTTTTTTTGGCCTCGGGCTTCAGTACAGCTCAGCACACATTGGGTTTGATTTAAATTTTGAGTATTTGTTCATCCATTATGGGGGGTTGCTTTCTGCGTTCATTTTGGTTTTCAAAACCATTGTGTTAAATATTATTTATCTTAAATAAAATTAACCATACTCACCATGTGGTATAATCCCCGGAACGTATTCCTCCTTCATGACTGAAATTTTGTGTCTTTGGACCAACATCTCCCGTCCCTGAACCCCTCAGCTTTCTGGATGACTGTGCACCTCCGTAAGCCTCTTCCTAATCCCCAGGTCTGCCTTTGAGGATATGACCTTTGAGCTGAAACGTGAAAATTGGGAAAGAAACAGCCATGGGGACTGTGGGGAAAGGAAATTCCAATTAGAGGAAAGGCAAGAGTGAAGGTCTTGGGGCAGGAAGCTTTTTCAGGGACAGTGAGGACAGCATGGCCAGGGGGTGGTGGGTAAGGAAAGCAGCAGACAAGAGCCAGGTTGCCACCGACCTTGTGGGCCAACCACGGGTAGCTTTCCTTTTAATCCAAGTGTTCTAGAGCCACCGATCTAGGCTCAGTTGGCATGGAAGGTGGGTGAGAGAATGACATTATCTGACTCATTTGCAGAAGGTCTGCAGCTTGATTTTTTTGGAGGATAGACTTATCATGGGGACAGGAGTGACCCTCATCATCAAGATGTGATAGTTATCTAGGGAGAGGTGTTGGTACCTGGACGAAGGTGAACAGAAGTGGATTGAATCTCATTACGTCATGAGAGTGAGAAGCACAGAGGATGACAGAGGATGATGTCTACGTTTCGAGTTTGGGCTCTTGCAGACTGGGTAGTGCCTTTTATAGAGACTGGGGAGACTTGGGGGTGAGGAGTAGAATTTTGAGGGGGACTGACAATTTTGATGTGAACGCGTTGGCTGAAGATGCCAATTTGACATCCATGAAGAGGACCTGTCCCGAAGCCTCACATTGCTAAACCCCAGAAAATATCAGTTTTGCCAGCCCAATAGATAACATCAGGGGATTCTATTTTTTGCATGTTTTCTCCTCAAGAGTCCAAGGATAACCCACTGAGTCCGCTCCTGATCTGAACCTCTAAGGTATTGCCAGGCCTGGTGTCCTAAACATCAGCCCATGAGGAAATCAGCCCTGGGCCCTGTACCACCAACACAACATCATGTCCTGTATCCCCAAAACATGCAAAAGTCTCATGAACATGCACATCCTCTGTGCTTCCCTCCCCTGAACCACCCTCATCCTCCTTTCTAGGTCCTTACTGCCACGCACGCGTGCAGTCTCATGAAAAAGGGGAATACTGTGACCGCCCCTGTTTCCAAACGGATATTGGGCCTCTTTTCAAGCGTACGTTTTCAGTTTACACTTTCAGAGTTTGTTGATTTGTGAGTTCAAGGCCCTCTCTGCCCTGCGGAGAGCACGGAAATTCCTGGAACTGGGGGCGTGTGTGAAGGGGACGTTGTCAACGCTAGGACAGAGAAGAAAGCCGCTCATTTTGATGTGTCAGAGCGGTGGGGGGTGGGGCTTCCAGCCCCTGGCATCTCAGCCCTATCCTTCCTTCCTGCACTGTGCTTCTCACAAACAGCAGGGGCTTGTGTTACTTTGAGTCGATAGCCTCATTCACGACACTCTCACAGAATAGTGCCCGTCTGTGCTCAGCACATGCCCGTAAAACAGGATTCCCCAAACACGTCCATAGGTAACTGTAAATCATTTAGAAGAATCTAAAGTGTGAATTTTGTAAACTGAAGCTACGTGCATGTATACACGTGTGTGTTTGTGTATATCATATATACACATTAATGTTATTATTATTATTTGCAATACCCAGCATCGCATAATAGGTGGGATAATGCAGATGCCACTCCAAGCCAAATCTCCTGGCCCCACCGGTCATAAGCTTACCTCTGTAGGGAAGAAAAGGTTTCTTTTTGGCAGTGGTTTGTTGTTTGTTTGTTTGTTTTGAGACAGGGTCTTATTCTGCGGCACTGGTTGGAATGCAGTGGTGCGGTCACTGAAGCCTCGACCTCCTGGGCTCAAGTGATCCTCCCACCTCAGCCTCCCAAGTAGCTGGGGCTACAGATACGCACCACAACGCCCAGTTAATTTTTGTATTTTTTGTACAGATGGGGTTTTGCCATATTGCCTAGGCTGATCTGTAACTCCTGAGCTCAAGCGATCTGCCTACCTCAGCCTCCCAAAGTGCTGGGATTGCAGGCATGGGCCAGTGTGCCTGGCCTCTTTTTCCTCACCAATTGCTAGGTTCATGACTGAGGCCCCTGTAACACAAGACAGATCAACCAAAAAAAAAAATCATACAGATTTATTTAGTATAAGTTTTATGTGACACGGGAGCCTTCCACAAGGAAATAAAGACCCAAAGAAACAGAAAAACGTGTATATTTGATGCTGGTCTGATGAAGAAGTGGATGGCTGTGGAGAAGTATTTGACAGAGGCAGTGTGCTCTCATGCTACAAGAGTGAGAGAGTGAGGGGAGCTTTTCAAGGCCTGTTTGTTCAGATTCAGTGTCTTCAGAGATAAGGATGCTCCTCTCCTACGGGTACAGAGAGGGCACGCTGGAATGACAGTCTTACAATTGCTTCAGAGAGAAGGACGAGGAAAGCTGAGACAGGCATTTCTGCTCATGCTGTTTTCTCAAATGCCAACGTGCCATATTTCAGGGTACCATGTCCCGAGCCCCACCATCTCCTAGGTAGGAATTCAGGATTTTGGTGTTTGTCCTACTAGTAATGGGAACCCAACAGGAAGGGAATTCCAAGTGTGAGAATTCCAGCCAAAGCCCAGGGTATTCCAGGGACCCCTCAGTAAGCTGTTGCAACACTCGGAGCCAGGAGATGCTGGTGGCCGGTAGGGGGTGGTGGCCAGGACCTTAGATGGATGGGCCACCCTCAGGGGAGGTTCTGTGGTACAGGGTGGTGGCCAGGACCTCAGATGGATGGGCCACCCTCGGGGGAGGTTCTGTGGTACGGGGTGGTGGCCAGGACCTCAGATGGATGGGTCACCCTCAGGGGAGGTTCTGTGGTACGGGGTGGTGGCCAGGACCTCAGATGGATGGGCCACCCTCGGGGGAGGTTCTGTGGTACGGGGTGGTGCCCAGGACCTCCGATGGATGGGCCACCCTCAGGGGAGGTTCTGTGGTACAGGGTGGTGGCCAGGACCTCACATGGATGGGCCACCCTCAGGGGCGGTTCTGTAGGCCACCTCGCGGGACTCCATGACAGACGTTAAGCATGGAGCCTGGAGAGGAGGACCCCAGGTGGAGGCCCTGGTCCCGCCTTTACGAATGGGTAGAAAGGGCTTCCGTCTACTGAGACAGGGGTCTTGCTCAATCTCACTCACATGGATGCTCCAGGAAGAAGGAGCCCACTCTTCCCACAAAGAAAAGAAAGATGGCTGGGGGTGATGGCTCACGCCTGTAATCCCAGCACTTAGGGAGGCCGAGGCGGGAGGATCACCTGAGGTCAGGAGTTTGAGACCAGTCTGGGCAACATGGTGAAACCCCATCTCTACTAAAAATACAAAAATTAGCCAGGCATGGTGGCGGGGGCCTGTAATTCTCCTGTCTCAGCCTCTCAAGTAGCTGGGATTACACGTGCCCACCACCACAGCCTGGCTAATTTTTGTCTTTTTAGTAGAGACAGGGTTTCACCAGGTTGGCCAGGCTGCTCTCAAACTCCTGACCTCAGGTGATTCACCCGACTCGGCCTCCAAAAGTGCTGGGATTACGGGTGTGAGCCACCGTGCCTGGCCTAAAATACATTTTATAGCCTATAAGAGTGTCTCATTTCAAGCACAGACCACAGGCCTGGTATACAGTAGGTGCTTACTACAGCCTTGTCGATCTGAATTCTATCAGCTCTTCTCAACAGTTCTATAAATCAAGAACAATGGGTGTTCAGGACTCTAAACTTCCATACAAATTCTCTGGACATCCCCTTCCAGCAAGGTGCTGTTCCCACCCCTCCAGAAAAACATTCTGTAGCTCCTACTGATTATGGGCCATGAGAAGGAGTGGGAGTTTTATTCTGAGAAAATAGTAAGAACTGATTGCAGAGTTAGGCACGGGAGGCGGATGCTCCGATTTTCCTTTGAAAAGGATCAGGGCCTTTCGAAAAGCAATTGCGGACTTTCAAGGGCAGACGATCTCTGGTCACGGGGTTGTTTGTGCAGCGGGGCCTTCAGGACGAGATGGATGGGACGTGTGGGCTGCGGGGCAAGGCCGAGCCAGGCTGACGTCGCGGAAAGCAGAGAACTGATGAATGGAGGCTGGCTGTCTTCCTTGAGACCGGGATCGTATTTTCAAGTGTTTGGGTGGCAGAGGCGTTTTAGAGGGAGAGAGAGCCAAGAATAACCAGTCCATGGGCAGAGAAAAAGGCAATTCCTGAAAGGGAGGGATAACAAGCTCACACACACAGAGCTGGGAGTGGTGCCCAGACGCCTCTCCCATTCCTGGACCCTTAGTTGTCTTTTATTTATTTATCTATTTATTTATTTTTTTGAGACAGGGTCTTGCTCTGTTGCTCAGGCTGGAGTACAGTGGTGCAGTCACAGCTCACTGTAGCCTCTGCCGCCCAGGCTCAAGCGATCCTCCCACCTCAGCCTACTGAGTAGCTGGGACCACGGACACATGCTGCCACACCCAGTTAACTTTTTTGCATTTTGTCGGTAGACACATGGTCTCACCATGTTACCCAGACTGGTCTCAAACTCCTGGACTCAAAAATGATCCTCCTGCCTCGGCCTCACAAAGAGCTGGGGTACAAGTGTGAGCCACCCACCAGCCCTCAGTTGTCCCATCCATCTCATCCTGAAGGCCCCGCTGCACAAACAACCCTGTGACCAGAGAACGTCTGTCCTTGAAATTCCGCAGTTGCTTTTCGAAAGGCCCTGATCCTTTTCAAAGGAAAATCGGAGCATCCGCCTCCCGTGCCTAACTCTGCAATCAGTTCTTACTATTTTCTCAGAATAAAACTCCCACTCCTTCTCATGGCCCATAATCAGTAGGAGCTACAGAATGCTTTTCTGGAGGGGCTTGGAACAGCAGCCTTGCTGGAAAGGGACGTCCGGAGAATTTGCATTAGCGCTTAGAGTCCTGAACACCCGTTGTTCTTGCTGTATAGAAACGTTGAGAAGAGCTGATAGAATTCAGATCGACAAGGCTGTAGTAAGCACCTACTGTATACCAGGTGGGAATGTAAAATGATGCAATTACTGTGGAAAACACTTTGCAGTTCCTAAAAAATTAAGTGGAGAATTTCCATATGACCCAGCAACCCTGCCTCTGCATAGAGACCCCAAACAGTTGGAAGCAAGGACTCGACTCAGACTGATATGTGTACACCCATATCCACAACAGCATCATTTACAAGAGCCAAAAGGTGGGAGCAGCCCAAATGTCCATCCATGGATGAAGAGAAACAAAATGTGGTTTGTACACAGCAGAATGTACAAGCTGAGCATCCCTCATCGGAAAATCTAAAATCCGTAATGCTCCAAAGTCTGAAAACTTTTTGAGTGCAGACATGCAGCTCAACGGTCGTGCTCAAAGGAAATGCTCATTGAAGCATTTTGGATTTTGGATTTTCAGATTAGGGATGCTCCACCAGTAAGTATAAATGTAAATAATCTGGCCAGAGGCCGTGGCTCACGCCTGTAATCCCAGCACTTTGGGAGGCCGAGGTGGGTGGATCACTTGAGGTCAGGGGTTCGAGACCAGCCTGGCCAACATGGAGAAACCCTGTCTCTACTAAAAATACAAAAATTAGCTGGGAATGGTGGCGCATGCCTGTAATCCCAGCTACTCAGGAGGCTGAGGCAGGAGAATCACTTGAACCAGGGAGGTGGTGGTTGCAGTGAGCCGAGATCGCACCACTGCACTCCAGCCTGGGCGACAGACTGAGGCCGACTCCATCCCAAAATAAATAAATAAATGTAAATAATCTGAAACCTGAAAAAATCTGAAATCCAAAACACTCCTGGCCCTGAGCATTTTAGGTAAGGGATACTCAACCTGTAGTTCAGCTGTAAAAAGGAAGGAAATTCTGACACATGCTACAGCATGGGGGAACCTTGAGGACATCATGCTAACTTAAATTACGCAGTCACAAAAATACAAAGACTGTATGATCCTAGTTATATGAGGTCCCTAGAGGAGGCAACTTCACAGAGACAGAAAGAAGGTGGCATGGTGGCAGCCAGGGGCTTGGGGGAGATGGGATGGAGAGTTCATGTTTGATGGATGCAGAGTTTCAGTTGGGAAAACGAAGGCGTTCTGGAGATGGATTCACTCACCCATGTGAATGTATTTAACCCCACAGAACTCTACACTTTGAATTGGTTCATTTTATGTTACCTATATTTTACCATAATGAAAAAATTAAAAATAAAGATGTACATGAACCACTGGTGAGGTCTCTGCGGGGTTAATCGTCTTCATCTCCGCTTCCTTGCAGGTCTGACATCAGTAGCGCTTCCATTTCCACTCAGCAACATTTACCTGGTTTTTCATCATAAAGGGCTTAGGCTGTTGCCATGGAAACTGCAGCAAGACTGGGAAAGGGGAGGGGGCTGCGAGGGAGCAAAGAGAGAGCTTGGAGACTGGAATTTTCCAGGCTCTGAGCTCACGCTGTATGCTTCCTTTGTGATAAGTCACTGAGTGAAAATGTGGGTCTTTGTCCACAATAGCATGGTCGCTCTTCATTCCTCAGTGAGACTCTCTCATGGAGGTGATGAACACACAGCAGTCAGCCCAGTGCCAAATCTCCTAAGAGCCAGGTTTCTCTGTGGGTCCCCTCTGGATTGACACTTGCGTATGGACCTTGGGAAAGAGATTCTCATTTCCTCTTCTTATTATTTTTTAACTTTTATTTTAGGTTCAGGGGTACGTGTGCTGGTTTGTTACGGAAGTATATTGTGTGTCGTGGGGGTTTGGTGTACAGATTATTTCATCACCAAGGTAAAGAGCATCATACCCAACAGGTAGCTTTTTGATCCACTCCCTCCTCCCATCTTCCACCGTCAAATAGGCCCTGGTGTCTTTTGTTCCCTTCTCTGTGTCCATTTGCACTCATTGTTTAGCCCTCACGTATAAGTGAGAACATGTGGTATTTGGTTTTCTGTTCCTGTGTTAGTTCAATAAGGATAATGACCTCCAGTTCTATCCATGTTACTGCAAAGGACACAATCTCTTTTTCATGGCTGTGTAGTATTCCATAGTGTATCTATGCTACATTTTCTTTCTCCAGTCCACTGTTGATGGGCATCTAGATTGAGTCCATGTCTTTGCTATTGTTGATAGTACTGTGATGAACATACACGTGCATGTGTCTTTATGATGGAATGATTTATATTCCTTTGGGTATATACCCCATAATGGGATTGCTGAGCCAAATGGTACTTCTGTTTTAAGTTATTTGAGAAATCTCCAAACTGTTTTCCACAGTGGCTGAACTAATTTACATTCCCACCAGCAGTGTGTAAGTGCTCCTTTTTCCCCCCAGCCTCACCAGCATCTGTTATTTTTTGACTTTTCAATAATAGTCATTCTGACTAGAGTGAGAAGGTGTGTCATTGCGGCTTTGATTTGCATCTCACAACCCCTTTCAGAAGTGCTTAAAGTATATGAACAGATATTTTTTCAAAAGAAGACATGCAGATCTGGGCATGGTGGCTCAGGCCTGTAATCCCAGCACTCTGGGAGGCTAAGGCAGGCTGAGGTCAGGAGTTCGAGACCAGCCTGGCCAACATGGTGAAACCCCATCTCTACTAAAAATACAAAATTAGCCGGGCGTGGTGGCGGACGCCTGTAATCCTGGATACTCAGGAGGCTGAGGCAGGAGAATCACTTGAACCTGGGATAGGGAGGTTGCAGTGAACCGAGATCTTGCCATTGCACTCAAGCCTGAGCAAAAAGAGTGAAACTTCGTCAAAAAAAAATATATATATATAGAAGAAGAAGACACACATATGACCAACAAGCACATGAAAAAGACATCGTTATTTAAGGCAGACTCTCTCCAATTATTTAAGTTTGAAAGTCTTTACAAAAGGAGCAAAACCATTTCTACTCTCCTCCTTAGCATGTTGACTTCTAAAAACAGGCTTTGTGCCACTGAAACGTGAGTCAAGTACAGTTTTGGGCTAATTGTTTACTAGCTGGTTTATATAACAGTAACTCTAACTGTGGACCAGCAACCACAATAACAAAAAGCACTTGCTGGGCTTAATGACTCACACCTATAATCCCAGTTCTTTGGGAGGCTGAGGCAGGCAGATCGCTGGAGCTCCAGAGTTTGAGACCAGCCTGGGCACCATGGTGAAACCCTGTCTCTACAAAAAAATTAACCAGGCATGGTGGCATGCACCTGCAGTCCCAGCTACTTGGGAGGCTGAGGTGGGAGGATGGCTTGAACCCGGGAGACAGAGGTTGCAGTGAGCTGAGATTGTGCCATTGTGCTCCAGTGCAGGCAACAGAGTGAGAGCGTGTTTCAAAAAAACAAAAAGGAATTATTTATTCAGCCAGTCACTTCATGTATGAGTTATCTATTGCTGTGTAACAAATCATCTGAACTTAGTGGTGGAAACTACACATATTAACTGAGACTCTGTGTGTCTCATGAGGCTGGAGTCAAGACCTCAGCTGGGCAGTTCCTTTCAGGGGCTCAGAGTCCTCCTCCAAGTTCACCAGGTTGTTGGCAGAATTCAGTCATTTAAGGCTGTAGGACTGAGGTCCCACATTTTTGTCAGTAGTTTTTTGCTGTGTGGCCTCCTCGCAACATGGCTGTTCACTTCATCATGTGCTGATCATTGCCTTTTAAAAAATCATTTGTAGCTTGCACAGTGGTGCACACCTGCAGTCCCACATACTTGGGAGGATGAGGTGGGAGGAGCGCTTGAGCCCAGGAGCTCAAGGTTTCTGTGAGCTATGATCACACCTATGAATAGCCACTGCACTGCAGCCTGGCCAACATAGTGAGACCTCCGTTTCAAAATGATTACTTAAATAATTAAAAAATCATTTGTGACTCCAGCTGATTTAGAAATATGCCATCTGATTCTTTTCTTATTGCAATAAAATATACATAATATCCACAATTTTGACCATTTTTTAGTGTACAATTCAGTGGCATTAGGTACAGTCACATCGCTGTGCAACCATCACCGCCATCCATCTCTAGAACTGTTTCATCTTCCCAAATGGAAATTCTGTCTCTGTTAAACGCTCATTCCCCTTTCCCCCTCCCCCAGGTCTTGGCAACCAGCTTTCTACTTTCTCTCTATGAATTCAGCAACTCCAGGTACCTCGTATCAGCAGAATCATACGATATTTGATTTTTTGTGTGTCTGGTTTATGTCACTTGGCATAGTGTCCTCAAGGTTCCTGACTGACACAGGAGCCTAATTTCTGGCCAATGTCCTTCTCCAGGGGAAGATGGCCGCTATCGGGTCTAGAGTAGACAATGGATGAAGAGAACTAGAATGACTTAAGATTGATCCAGATGGTGGGAGATGCTCAAAGCTTTTGTGAGAACGAGAAGGAAAGCACAGGGAGGAGGAATACTGTAACTGAAGCTGGTGCATTCTGAAAACAAGAGTCACAATGTGAGCATAACACCAGCCCCGCCAAGTGCCCTCCTGATTCATGAGTAAAATGCCCAACGAAGCCCAAGAGCTATGAACGGAACCATCAATCAAAGAGACTTAATGGTTTTCTTGGAAGCAGCTCAGCATAGCGAATGATGTTGAGACACCCATTTCCAATATATTAAAAGGTGTCAAATGTTCACAGTCTTTTTGGCAGATAGTGTCTCTGGAACATTCTTTAACAAGCTGTCTGCTAATTTTAAGAGCATCTGATCTTATTCTCATGGTTTGAGGCATGGTGGCCACGGTTGGGAACGGCCATCACTGTGCCTGGCTCAGCAAACACCACCTCGGGTGGTGCCGCAGCTGGTTCTCGCATTTCAAGTCTATGAGATCCTCTCTCACCACTTGCGTGAAAATAGCTCCCTACCCCAATCCTCCACATTAATTTGGGACTTAACTTTTCTCACCCTCTGACAGTTTTTTTTCCTGTTTCTGTCACTAGAATGAAGCCTTTCGGAGGGCATGGGCTCACCGGAATCCTGTGTGTAGCAGGATGCCTAGCACAGAGTGGGAATGCTAAATACTTGTTAAAGGAGTGAATTAATATTTGGAAGGAATGAATGACTCTTCTGATTGCCTAAGTCCTGGAGGAGTAGAGATGGTGCCCGTTTTAACTTCCCTTTTATCCTGCATGCTTAGAACAGCATCTGATGCACAACTGGTGTCTGTTGACTGACTCGATGAGTGAATGAGGGAACAAGTAATGTCTAGACCACCGGAGCCTGCAGTAGAGTAGTGGGTCCCGGAGACGTCCACAGGACAAGTGGGGCCGCTTCCCCGACCTCGCTCCCATTCCGCAACGCTCCTTTGTATTTGAACATAAATGAAGTAGGGGCGAGGGCCTGCAGGCTGGAGAACCTCCCCTGGTCCTTTCATCCCCTCCTAACCCAGGCTGGGTTAACGACAGCGGCCCCATCTTGGTCCTTCCTCGGGGCTCTTGTTTCTTAGCAACCCAGGCAAACTCCATCTGTTACCATGGAAACTGCAGCCGGGATGAGGAAGTGGAGGTGGCTGAAAATCAGTAGACAGAACCTCAGAGGATGGAATATTCTGGAATCTTGTATCAGACTGAGTGTGCACTTAAAATTTTTAGCTTAGAACCGACTCGTTTCTCATTTATTTTTGTGAATAAATAAAACTGTGTGTTCTTGGGCAGGTGTTTCCATCTCTCCGAGGCATGAGCCACCAAGCCCGGCTTTTTTTTTTTTTTTTTTTTTTTTTTTTTTGAGATAGGGTCTTGCTCTGTCACCCAGGTTGGAGTGCAGTGGCATGATCAGAGCTTGCTGCAGCCTCAGCCTCCTGGGCTCAAGTGATCCTTATGCCTCAGCCTCCTGAGTAGCTAGGACTATGGGCACACGCCACCACTCCTGGCTAATTTTTAAAGTTTTTGTTGAGATGGAGTCTTGCTATGTTGCTCAGGCTGGTCTCAAACTCCTGGCCTCAAGCAATCTTCCCGCCTTGGCCTCCCTAAGTGCTGGGTTCACAGGTGTGAGCCACCGTGCCCAGCCTACCTGGGATTACAGGCATGAGCCACGATGCCCAGCCGACTAATTCAGTTTCTGAGGACCCCACCCTCATGATCTAATCGTCTCCAAAGGCTCCACTTCTAAACACCATCGCACTTGGGGTTAAGACTTTGACACATGAATTTTGGGGGCACATTCAGACCATAGCAAACCCTTAGCTCGGGATCCGTGCTTGATACGTGTTAATGATTTTGAACTTCATTAAGATGAAAATAAGAGAAGACGCGATGAAGGCAGCTGTCACTGGTCTCGGTGTTCACTGTCCTGGGATCTGCCCAGCCGAGGGGCTTCATTACTCATCGGAGAGAAAAGTGAGTGGGGGACTCCCACTCCTTGGGGCTCAGTTCTTTATTCTTTCAATAAATGCTTCATACAGGTCTACTGTGTCAGAGGTCATGGTTAAGAACCAACTCCAAAGACTGGAAAATTCCAGTTTCCGGGGCCCTCCCGGCCCCTTCCTCAGCTCCCCCCACCTTTCCGCCCTCCAGCTGCAGTTTCCATGGTGATAGTCTGAGCCTCCCTCTGTTGCTAAGGGCAGATAAACGGTCAGGAGAGGGAGCAGGTCACATAGGTTGATTAATCTCCCTGAGAGATGGTGGTGGGCATGGGAGGGGAGGGGAAGGAAAGAGGGAAAGAGACCCAAGGGGCTCAAGTCTGCAAACCCCCATCTATCATTCATGCACAGCCTTTGCGTGCCTTTGAATAGGGGTTTGCAGAAGAAGAGAAATGTGCCTGTGGAGAGAATATTTTAAATGTATTCTCTGAACCAGGCGGGGTGGGTCACGCCTGTAATCCCAGCACTTTGGGAGGACGAGGCAGGTGGGTCACCTGAGATCAGGAGTTCGAGAACAGCCTGGCCAACATGGTGAAACCCCATCTCTACTAAAAATACAAAAATTAGCCGGGGGCGGTTGTGGGCACCTGTAATCTCAGCTACTAGGGAGGCTGAGGCAGGAGAATTGCTTGAACTGGGAAGCGGAGGTTGCGGTGAGCCAAGATCGCCCCACTGCACTCCAGCCTGGGCAACAGAGTGAGACCCTGCCTCAAAAAATAAATAAGTAATAAATAAAATATATAAAATAAAATAAATAAAAAATAAAATCTATTCTGTTAGCAATTTGAAAACACACAATACATTGTGTGAGGTGATAGCTGTGTTAATTAGCTTGAGTTCATCATTCCACAATGCACACGTATATTAAAACATCACATCGTACTCCATAAATATGTACAATAAGTATTTACCTATTAAAAATAATTTTTTGAAAAGATCTCACATACATACAAACAAAAAAAAAACCCATGCATGTGAGGGTCTCTGCAGAGTCAGTTAGAAATCACGTATCTCCTGCATCTTCTGGCAATAACAGCATTATCTATCATCAGAATTCAAGTTATCTGATAAACATTGACTGAGACTTTCTGCAGGTCAAGCCCTTGTCCGTGGGCAGAAAATAAATGTCCGGCAAATGGGGCCGAGCCTGCCTTCCTGCGCTCTGTTTGTGTGGGAGGTGGATCCATTCATTCCAAAAGTTAGATCATTTATTTTTAAAAGATGTTGATTTTCTTCTAGGAGGCAGGTATCATGCTAGACATTGGGGAAACAGCAAGGAGTAAGACAGGCCTTGCAAGGGCTGCCTTGCAGCAAAGGAGACAGAAAATGAACTCACATATTTCACGTATTATACCATCAGAAAGTCCATTAGGCCTATGAAGAAAAATACAGCAGGGAATCCAAAGATATTAACACGGCAGGACTGCTTTAGATGCAGGATGCTAAGGAAGTGGTGATGGCTGAGCAGAAAGTTGAGTGAGGGAGAGAGTCACATTCTCAGGACTCTCTGGGGTAGGAAGAGGGGGACAGATGGGAGTGCAAAGGCCCCGAGGCAGGAAGAGGTAAAGCAGGTGCAAGGAATTCCATGGCAAGGAATTCTTTGCACAAGAACTTAAAACAGAACTACCATTCCACCCAGCAATCCCATTGTTGGGCATATATCCAAAGGAATACGAATTGTCCTACCATAAAGACACACGCGTGTATATGTCCATCACAGTATTGTTCACAATAGCAAAGACGTGGAGTCAACCTAGGGGCCCATCAGTGGTGGACTGGATAAAGAAAATATGGTACCTGTGCACCATGGAATACTATGCAGCTATAAAAAAGAATGAAATCATGGCCTTTTGCAGCAACGTGGATGGTGCTGGAGGCCATTATCCCAAGCAAATTAACAGGAACAGAAAATCAAACACCACATGTTCTCACTTTTAAGTGGGAACTAAACATTGGGTACTCATGGACATAAAGATTAGAAAAATAGACACTGTAGACTACTAGAGGGAGGAGGGAGGGGGTAAGGATTGAAAAACTATCTATTAGGTACTACGCTCAGTGCCTGAGTGACAGGTTCAGTCATACCCCAACTCTCAGCATCATGCAATATATGCATGTAATAGACCTGCACATACTTGTTTTTCTGATTTCACCAGTTTTTTTCCTCGAGGTATCATTCTATGAAAGTGTATCTCATTCATGTGACTATCATCATATCCGAATACAGAACTGTTCTATAGCCACATATACAAACAAAAAATAAAAACAGGCCGGGTGCGGTGGCTCAAACCCGTAACCCCAGCACTTTGGGAGGCCGAGGTGGGTGGATCACCCGAGGTCGGGAGATCGAGACCAGCCTGGCCAACATAGTGAAACTTTGTCTCTACTAAAAATATAAAAAATTAGCCGGGTGGGGTGGCGGCGGGCGCCTGTAGTCCCAGCTACTCGGGAGGCTGAGGCAGGAGAATGGCGTGAACCCAGGAGGTGGAGCTTGCAGTGAGCCGAGATTGCGCCACTGCACTCCAGCCTGGGCAACAGAGCGAGACTCTGTCTCAAAAAATATATAATAAAATAATAAATAAATAAATAAATAAATAAATAAATAAATAAATAAAAAGGAGAGAGAAAAATGGATTAGTGCCCTTATAAAGACAGCCTAGACAGAAAATCCGTTTCTCTACCATGTTAGGATGCAGTATGAGGATGATGATGACCTGCAAACCAGGAAGAGGCCTCACCAGAAACAGACCATGCTGGCATCCTGATCTCAGAATTCCAGCCTCCCAAACTGTGAGGAGTAAACTTCTGTTGTTGATAAGCCATCCAGTCAGTGGCATTTTGTTATGGCAGCAGCCCAAACAGACTAAGAGCTTTCATGGATTTTCTCAATTAGTCATTCCACCAACCCTATGGCGTATGCTATAATTATCTCCATTTAACGGATGAGGAAACTGAGGCTTGGTCGGGAGGTCCAAGGTCAGACAGCTTGAGAACGGCAGCTCCTGGAGTCAGATCCAGGATGGTGGCATCCGAGGCAGAGGATGAGAACTGGAGGTCACGGGGAGAGCTTCTGTGGATTCTGGATGGGAGAGAGGAGCGGTGACAGTCTGTGCTGCAGGGCGAGCCTTGCCTGACCTCCCTTGGATGCCTCAATCTGCTTCTGCCTGCTGCTTGCTCTCTCATTTCATCCTCTATAAAATAGGATGCAGCAGCAACACCACTTTTTTTTTCTTTTTTTAGACAGGGTCTTGCTCTGTCGCTCAGGCAGGGGTGCAGTGGCACGATCTCTGCTCAGCTGCAACCTCCGCTTCCTGGGCTCAAGTGGTCCTCCTGGCTCATCCTCCTGAGTAGCTGGGACTACAGGTGTGCACCACCACACCACACCACACCAGCCTAATCTTTTTTTTTTTTTTTTGACTCAGGGTTTCACCTTTGTTGCCTACGTTGGTCTCAAACTCCCAGGCTCAAGCATTTCGCCAACCTTGGCCTCCCAAAATGCTGGGATTACAGGCATGAGCTACCACCCCTGGCCAGTGATACCACTTCTGTACAGAAGTGTATTTCTTGCAAAATTTACAGAAGTATATTTGTTGCAAGGTTTGCAAAAGTGTATTACAGAAGCGTATTTGTTGCAAAGTGTGCAGAAGTGTATTCATCGCGAGGGGTTACAGGAGTGCATTTGTTTCCTAGCACTGCTGTGATGAAGTACTACAGACTGGATGGTTTAAAGCAACAGAAATGTATTCTCTCATCGTTCTGGAGGCCAGAAGTCTGAAATCAAGTTGTTGGCAGGGCTGGTTCCTCCTGAGGACTTTGAGGGAGACTCTTTTCGTTTCTTGCTTTTTCCCTAGCTTTTGGCGGTTTGCTGGCTTGTAGATACATCATCCCAATCCCCCATCTTTACAGTGTGCCTGCGTTCACCTGGCTGTCTTCTCCTAAAGGCATCTGTCCTGTGGGATCAGGGACCCAGCCTACTACAGGAGGACCTCATTGTAACTAATTGTATCAGCAGTGACCCTGTTTTCACATTCTAAGGTACTAGTGGTCAGGACTTCAACATATGTTTTTGTGGGATATGAAATCCAACCCATAACGAGGAGGTAGAGTGTGTGCCAGTGTTCATCACTGTTTGCAGCACATATAATAGTAAACTCTCCATGAAAGCTCTATACTAGGCTCAGAAGGGCCCTGAGGACACCACGATTATACACATTCATTTGTTTTTATTTTGTAGTTCTGATGAAGGAGCTGGACACCCTTGCCCCAGCCTCCAGTGCCATCTGCCCAGACGGAAGGATGGGAAGAGTGTAGACATGAAAGTTGAGTCTCAGAAAAGGTAGAACCCAGGCTGGGAGTGGTGGCTCACTCCCCTGTAATCCCAGCACTTTGGGAGGCCGAGGTGGGCGGATCACCTGAGGTCAGGAGTTCAAGACCAGCCTGGCCAACATGGTGAAACCCCATCTCTACTAAAAACACAAAAATTAAACAGACATGGTGGTGGGTGCCTCTAGTCCCAGCTACTTGGGAGGCTGAGGCAGGAGAATCACTTGAACTGGGAGGCGGAGGTTGCAGTGAGCTGAGATCTCACCACTGCACTCCAGGCTGGGTGACAGAGCAAGACTCTATCTCAAAAAAAGGAAAGGAAAGGAAGAAAGAAAGAGAAAGAGAGAGAGAAAGAAAGAGAAAAGAAGGAAGGAAGGAAGGAAAAGAAGAAAGAAGGAAAGAAAGAAAGAAAGAGAGAGAACCCAGGTGAGGCACAGGACATGTGTGGTGACCAGGCTTGCCCAGCAGTGTCCTAATCCCCCACCCAGCCTTTGGCACACAGGGCCTTTAACAGAGGGATTGGAGGTATGAAGTGGGAACAGGACCCCAAGGTGGGGCCGTTGTAATTGGCTATGAAAAGGCAATGGGTGGTGACGGCGGGACTGGAGAGAAGGGGAATGATTGAGAGGTTCATGGGGAGAGGGTGGATGCAAAAGTGGAATCATTGAGAGGTTCATGGGAAGCAGGTGGACGTAGAAGAGATAGAATCGATGGTGGTATTATGGGTTACAGTGTATCCCCCAAAGAGAGGTTGGCATCCTATCCCCTGGTACCTGTGAATGTGACCTCCGTTGAAAATAAGGTCTTGGCTGGGAGCAGTGGCTCACGCCTGTAATCCCAGCACTTTGGGAGGCCGAGGCGGGCAGATCACGAGGTCAGGAGATCCAGACCATCCTGGCTAACATGGTGAAACCCCGTCTCTACCAAAAATACAAAAAAAAAAATTAGCCGGGCGTGGTGGCGGGCACCTGTAGTCCCAGCTACTCGGGAGGCTGAGGCAGGAGAATGGCAGGAACCCGGGAGGTGGAGCTTGCAGTGAGCTGAGATCGCGCCACTGCACCCCAGCTTGAGCGACACAGCGAGACTCCGTCTCAAAAAAAAAAAAGAAAAAAAAAAAGAAAAGAAGGTCTTTACGGGAGGTAGCCACATTAACATCAAGTCAGTTGGGTGGGCTTTCACCTGACATGACTGATATCCTCATAAGAAGAGGAGAGGACTCAGACACAGAAGGAAGACCATGTTAGATGGAGGCAGAGATTGGAGCGATGTGGCCACATGCCGAGGGGCACTGGGAACTGCCAGGTGCTAGAAGATGCCAGAAAGGACTCTCCCTTCAAGCCCTCGCAGGCAGCATAGACTCGCAACGCCTTGGTTTCACAGCTTGAGCTTCCAGGACTGTGAGAGAACAAATGTCCATTGTTTTAAGGTGCCTGGTCTGTGATGCTTTGTCATGAGAGCTGCGGAAAACGCATGTGGGTGGGTGTCCAGGAGAAGGAGTGTAGGATTCTCCCAGGGGACGAAGTGGTCAGAGAACAGGTTACACTAGGTGGCAAAGGGAATTAAGGATACAGGTGGGAGTAAGGTTGCTAATCAATAGACCTTAATATCGGGAGATGATCCTGGATTATCCAGGTGGAACCATTGTCATCACAAAAGTTTGTTTAAAAGGCGTTAAAGAAGCCAGAGGGATGGATGTGAGAAGGACTCAGCCAACCACGCTGGCCTTGAAGAGGGAAGCTGGAGCCCTGAGCCAGGGAATGTGAGTGGGGTGGTCCCCACAAGCTGGAAAAGGAAAGGAGGCGGATTCTCCCCCCACACCAGAGACTCCAGAAGGAACGCAGCTCTATGGACACCTTGATTTCATCCCAGTGAGACCTGGGCGGGATTTCTGACCTCCAGGACTGTAGGATAGTGAAGGGGTATTGTTTTTAGTGTCCGAGTCTGTGGCGATTTGTTCCAGCTGTGACAGGAAGCCCACGGCGGCGTAAGCAATGCTGCGTGGTTTCCAAGACTGGGTCAGAAATGGGGTAAAACCACGTCCAGACTGTCCTGGGAACGTTCCTTTGCAGCTGGGGTAAGACGTCCAGCTGGGCAGAAGTGGCCACGCAGGAAAGGCTGTTTGGGAGGACCACCCAGAGGTAGAGATGCTGGGTGTCCAGCCATCCCAGTGCCCAGTGCCCACCTCCTCCCAGGTCGGGCATGACACGTGGGCGCAGACGCCTTCAAAAGGACTCAGCCCTGAGCGTCATCACTGACCGCAGCCACTGGAGAGGGCATGAGCGAGAACAGAGGTAGCTGAGCCCAGTCACAACCAAGAAACAGAGAGAGAATAGCAGATGGTGACTGTTGCCTTAAGCCAGGGTGCGAGCTGAGGGCTGGCTGCTTTTTGCAATTTAAATTTTTATTTAATTTTAATTTTAATTGTTTTTTTTTTTCAGACAGAGTTTTGCTCTTGTGTCCCAGGCTAGAGTGCAATGGCACAATCTCGGCTCACTGCAGCCTCTGCCTCCCAGGTTCAAGAGAGTCTCCTGCCGCAGCCTCCCGAGTAGCTGGGATTACAGGTGCACCCCAATATGCTTGGCTAATTTTTGTATTTGTAGTAGAGATGGGGTTTCACCATGTTGGTCAGGCTGGTCTCGAACTCCTGACCTCAGGTGATCCGCCCGTCTCGGCTTCCAAAAGTGCTGGGATTATAGGCGTGAGCCACTGCACCCAGCCTAAAATTTTATTTTTAATTGACAAATTGAAACCGAAGGGTTAATCTGACCAGGTCTGCCAGCTCCGCTTGCTTTCAGGCATTTGTTTTCTGTTATTTTTTGTTCCTCTTTCCACAAAGCTGAAGGCCATAGTAGCTGAAGGCCGCACCGCTGACTGCTCAGATTTAACCTTCACTGGCTATTGGATAGATAACATTCATTGGTCACCATGGTAATGGTTGCTTCTGTTGTTCAGGAACCTGGGAAATCTCCCATCAAGTTCAAACCGGTTGAGACCACCAGCCCTCCAAGTGGGCCCCTGCAAATGCCTAAGAGATGGCTGGGTTTTTTTTGTTGTTGTTTTTGTTTTTTTTTTATTTTTATTTCAGTAGCTTTTGAGGTACAAGTGGTTTTTTGTTACATGCATCAATTATATAGTGGTGAATTCTGAGATTTTAGTGCACCTGTCACTCAAGTCATGTACATTGTACCTAATATGTAGTTTTTTATTCCTAGTACCACTCCCACCCTCTTCCTCCTGAGTTTCTTTTCTTTCTTTCTTTCTTTTTTCTTTCTTTCTTCTTTCTTTCTTTTTCTTTCTTTCTTTTCTTTTCTTTCTTTCTTTCTTTCCTTCTTTCTTTCCTTTCTTTCTTTCTTTCTTTTCTTTTCTTTCTTTTTTTACTGAGACAGAGTCTCGCTCCGTGGCCCAGGCTGGAGTGCAGTGGCGCAATCTCGGCTCACTGCAACTTCTGCCTCCCAGGTTCAAGCGATTCTCCTGCCTCAGCCTCCAGAGTAGCCAGGATTACAGGCACACGCCACACGCACGGCTCATTTTGTATTTTTATTTTTAGTAGAGACGGGGTTTCATCATGTTGGCCAGGCTGGTCTCGAACTCCTGACCTCAGGTGATCCACCCACCTTGGCCTCCCAAAGTGCTGGGGTTACAGGCGTGAGCCACCGCGCCCGGCCTCCTGAGTCTCTAAAGCCCATTCCATCACTCTATATGCCTTTGCAGACTCCTAGCTTAGCTCCCACTTACAAGAGACAGTGTGCACTTTTTGGTTTTCCATGATGTGGGGAAAGGGAGTGTGAATACACTGCTGGAGAGATGGCCTTTTGACCTAAGCGGCCAAAAACTCCACCCTCAGATCATGCCAGCACTGCCATTTCCAGTACACGTGTCCTATAAAATGCCATGAAGCCCGACGATGCTTGTGCAGTACGCACCAGTCACTTCATTTTCGCCACTGTCAATCACCTTTCCGCAAGCCTCAGGCCAATCCACTCCCCCAACCCATACATCTCCCAAAGACTCACCTTCAGGGATGCAGATCTGAGAGATGTTCTCCCACCTCCTTCCTTGGTGCTCTTGCAAATAAATCTTTTCTCTTTTGCAAAGCCTGTGTCAGTGATTGATTTACTGTGTGTGCACAGAGTGGACCTGGACCTGACTGGTAACAGAATGAAACGTGTGTGTGTGTGTGTGTGTGTGTGTGTGTATGTGTGGTACAATATGATGTTCTGATCTAGGTATACATTTGGAATGGTTATATCAAGCTAATTATCCATCACCTCACCTACTTACCATTTTTGTGATGAGAACATTTAAAATCTACTCTTAGCAATTTTAAAATATTCAGTACAGGCCGGGTGCGGTGGCTCACGCCTGTAATCCCAGTACTTTGGGAGGCTGAGGTGGGCGGATCACCTGAGTTCAGGAGTTCAAGACTAGTCTGGCCAATATAGTGAAACCCTGTCTCTACTAAAAATACAAAAATTAGCCAGGCATCGTGGCGGACACCTGTAATCCCAGCTACTTGGGAGGATGAGGTATGAGAATTGCTTGAACCCAGGAGGCGGAGGCTGCAGTGAGCCAAGATCGTGCCACTGCACTCCAGCCTGGGTGACAGATCAAGACTCCGTCTCAATTAAAAAAAAAAGAAAGAAAAAGAGATAGAAAAAAAAAGGTTGATCAAAGGGTACAAAGTTTCACTCAGACAGGAGAAGTAAGTTTTAGTGATCTATCATACAGCATAGCAGCTGTAGTGAATAATAACACATCGTGTATTTCAAAACTAGAATAGTAGATTTTAAATGTTTTCGCCACAAAAAATGATAAGTAGGTGAAGTAATGGATACGTTAATTAGCTTGATTTAATCATTCCACAATGTATACATATATCAAAACATCACGTTGTACCCAATAAATACATACAATTATTACACGTCAATTTAAACATTTAAAAAATCTAATCTAAAATGCTGTGGAATATTTTTCCCTAACAGTAATAATCAATTGGTATTACTCAAATGTCTATATTAACTATCTCGTTCATTTGTTGTTTTTCCGTTTTTTTTTTTTGTTGTTGTTGTTGCTGTTTTTGAGGCCATGGATTTTTTTTTTTTTTTTTTTTTGAGATTCGAGTCTCGCTCTGTCGCCCAGGCTGGAGTGCAGTGGTGCAATCTCGCCTCACTGCAAGCTCCGCCTCCCGGGTTCACGCCATTCTCCTGCCTCAGCCTCCCGAGTAGCTGGGACCCCAGGCGTCCGCCACCACGCCCGGCTAATTTTTTTTTGTATTTTTAGTAGAGACGGGGTTTCACCGTGTTAGCCAGGATGGTCTCGATCTCCTGACCTCGTGATCCTCCCGTCTCGGCCTCCCCAGGTGCTGGGATTACAGGCGTGAGCCACCACATCCGGCCGAGGCCATGGATTTTTAAGATGCGTATTATTCGAGGCACCATGATAAAAGAAAAATGCTGTTTACTAAATTATGACAAACGTTTTAAAATCTAAAAAATATGTCAGAATAAATGAGATCCATTATTCTCTTCCTCAAACACCTGTTGCTTCTTTCTTTGTTCCTTGTCTAGAACCTTATTCTGTGGTGTTGGTAACGTCTTTATTTGGAAAATCCATCCCGGACTCAGTGCAGGGCCTGCGGGTTAGCAGGAACTCACAGATCCCGGACTCACTGCGTGGCCTGCGGTTTAGCAGGAACTCATAGATAACTGCCGAATGTGCAAATGCACAAGGGATGCATTTCACTTCTGAAAAATGTGGATCACTATGTTTACAATGTCTGGCCTCCTACCTCTTTTAGAAAATTTTAAAACTTAAAAATTTAAATTAGGGGCCAAGCGCGGTGGCTCATGCCTGTCATCTCAGCACTTTGGGAGGCCAAGGCAGATGGATCACCTGAGGTCAGGAGATCAAGACCAATCTGGCCAGCATGGCAAAACCCCGTCTCTACTAAAAATACAAAAATTAGCCGGGCATGGTGGCAGGCGCCTGTAATCCCAGATACTCGGGAGGCTGAGGCAGGATAATCACTTGAACCCGGAAGGCAGAGGTTGCAGTGAACCGAGATTGCACCGCCGCACTCCAGCCTGGGTGACAGAGTGAGACTGTCACACACAAAAAAAAAAAAAAGAAAAAAGAAAACAATTTAAATTAAAAATTATATTATAAGCATATCACAGAACATCAGCTGGCCTGGTACTTAGCAAGCATTTAAGAAACACTTGCCACTATTATTAATACTGTTCTTGCCACTTTTTAAAGTCACCAGATTGAGCAAATAAAAATTCAGGCTGCCCAGTAAAATTCGAATTTCAGATAAACAACAAATACTTTTTGTGAGATTGCATAGTTTACTGCCCATTGCCAACATGGATGCATAGAGTTGATGCTTAAAGGTATGCAAAATTTTTATACTACCAATATTTACATAAGTATTTTGTCAAAAGAAACAACAAATTCTTCAATTAATTTCTGAAGAGTCTACTTACACAGGCACGAAAACTTATTTTAAATGTCTTCAGAGTATAGGAATACAACAATTTAAGAATAATTTTACCACAAGAGAAGGTATAAATAGATCAAACAATTTTCTTGCACAGGGTAATAACATTTTAACAATACACAACATTTTTAAAACAAAGATTGTCTTAAGTGGCAACCCAATTATGATAATTAGAGAGATAAATCTGTAACAAATATCATAAATAATTTTTGAACACAGAGTGCTGATTCTCTTTTTATCATGGTTTTTTTTTTTTACATAAAAGAAATTTCTTTATATTTTCCCACCATTGACAATTTATATACTTGGGAATGAGCCTGTTTAAAAAAACAAAAATAAAGAGTATTTGCCATGAATCAAATCCGAGTAACCTGGAAAAAAATCTGAAAACTTGTAATCAATATATTTTTACTTTTATGATTTTAGACTGTGGTAAAAACCTTATGCATTCTGCAATAGGCATCTTGCCCATTACTACAAGAAATGATCCTTACATTTGGATAAACACAAAATACCCCTCGTAATCAGTTCAAATACAGTCTAATACTATATATTATGAAAAGTAGGAAGTATGGTAAGCAAAGCTAGTACAGTTCTTTTTCAAACCTCAGGCAAGCTGAACAAAAGCTTTTAACCTCAGAGTAATGAAGGACAGGCATCAGTTTCATAAAATGATAGATGGCTGTGACAAGCAAAGATTTGTGCAGTTTTTTTGTTTCATTTAAGAATGTAGTGCAATATTAAAGTTTAAAGTTTGTTCAAAATGACAGATCATCTGGAAACTAAATTGTAGCAATTGACATCTTTTAGCTGGAAACACTTAGGAAAAATCAGGTTTGCTTGTTTTTAGTTGAAAATGTCAAGATTTACAGCCATGGAGACATTGGATGAATCTGGAGGTCAGTGTGCCCTCAGGATGTGTCTTTATGAGCAATTGTTCAAGATTAAAAGAAAATTTATGCTAGAAAATTGTGTTTTTCTCGGACTAAAAATACTACATCAGGATGGGCACAGTGGCTCACGCCTGTAATCCTAGCACTTTGGGAGGCCAAGGCGGGCAGGTCACTTTAGGTCAGGAGTTCGAGACCAGCCTGACCAACACGTTGAAACCCCGTCTCTACTAAAAATACAAAAATGAGCCGGGTGTGGTAGTGCGTGCCTGTAATCCCATCTACTGGGGAGTTTGAGGCAGGAGAATTGCTTGAACCCAGAAGGTGGAGGTTGTGGTGAACTGAGATCATGCCTCTGCACTTCAACCTGGATGACAGCGAGACTCCATGTCAAAAAAACAAAAAAACAAAAAAATACCACCTCAGTTTATAAGCTTCCTGTACAAGTTGGAAGACCCTGCTGGGCTGTATCCCTCCCCTGCCCCATCTGCTCCTCTCCCTGTCTGCATTGTTCCTTTGCATCGCATTGAAGATCTCAGGCCCTCCCGTAGGATGGAGCAGGAAAGATTCAGGCTAGACATGTCCCCATCAACCCCCACCCCTACCCACTGAACCCTGGAACTATGAGCAGAAACCACACCGCTCCTTCCCCAACAGAGGTTTCCTGCTGCTATGTGGCCAAAAGAGAGTGGGGAGGAATTCTCAGGACACCCAGAGGTGGTACAGTCCAACCTGACCACAGGGAGGGAACCCCGGCCCACACCTGCCCTGCCCAGGTGAGTGTGTAGAGGGGCGTGAGAAGGAGGTGGTCCAAGTCCTCCCTGATTCAAGAAAGCTCTGAATTTCCCCTGCAATGAGCTTAGTAGAATTCAGAGACCTACCTGTGACAACAGAGACTCAGAGTGCTCTGAGAAGCTCTTCATTCATTCATTCATTCATGCCATTGATATTTACCTTGCTAGGCACTGGGAATACGTGGGTAAAGACACGTATTCCTGCCCTCATGGGGCTTCTATTCCAGCAGATGAGAAGCCGACCAGAACAAAAATCAATCAGAGTCATTGCTAATAGCAGTCACTCACTACACACCATTTGACATGTAAAGCAAGCTGACATGATAGTGGTTGTGGGAGAGGTGGGGAGAATTTCTCTAAGAAGGTGACATTTCAGCAAACCTTTGACTATCAAGAATGACCTATCAGGAAGAATCCAGGCCTGGGAAAATCCAGAGAGAGCGAGACAGGGGAGGGAAACGGCAAACTGCCAAGGTTCAGAGGTGGGAACGAGCGTGCACATCCAAAGGACTGGGCGAAGGCTGGTGCCTCTGGGGAGCAGGGTTACGTGGGGAGGGTCGGGGACTGGAGCTGGAGCGATTGTTTGGAGCCCGGTAGGCGCTATGTGTGTTTACTGACTGTACTAGAGATTTTTTTTTTTTTTTGAGATGGAGTTTCTCTCTTGTTGCCCCAGCTGGAGTGCAGTGGCATGATCTCGGCTCACTGCAACCTCTGCCTCCCAGGTTCAAGGGATTCTCCTGCCTCAGCCTCCCGAGTAGCTGGGATTACAGGCATGCACCACCACGCCCGGCTCATTTTGTATTTTTTTAGTAGAGATAGGGGTTTCTCCATGTTGGTCAGGCTGGTCTCGAACTCCCGACCTCAGGTGATCCACCAACCTCAAGTGATCTGCTGGCCTCGGCCTCCCAAGTGCTGGGATTACAGGCATGAGCCACTGCACCCAGCCCTTTTTTTTTTCTTTAATCAAGATCTCTGTCCCACAAGACTCCCATGGGAACATGGGCTGTATGAATTTTCCAGGGGCTGACATAGCAAAGCACTGCATGCTGAGAGGCTTCAACAGCACGGATTTGTTTTCTCAGAGTTCTGGAGGCTGGAAGTTCAAGGTCAAGGTGTAGCAGTGTTGGTTTCCCCTGAGGCCTCCTTGGCTCGTGCACGGGGTCGTCCCTCTGTGTGTGTCTGTGTCCTAATCTCCTCTTCTTATAAGGACACACACCCGTTGAAAGAGGGCCCACACTTAAATCCTCATTTTAAGGTAATCACCTCTTTAAAAATCCAGCCCCAAATACAATCTCATCCTGAGATACTGAGGGTCAGGGCTTCAACATATGGATTTCTTTTGAGGGAGTAGGACACGATTCAGCCCATAACAAGGACAGAGCTGGCTTGCGTTTGACGATCATTGCGTTCTGCGTACCTTGAACCGTTCCTGGCAGAAGGCAAGGACTCCAGCAATACATGGAGTGGGCGGGTGGAGAGAGCAGATAATACTGATTTCAGTACCACTCAGAGGGCACTGTGACCGCCAACCGTTTGCAGAGGCGTGCGCAACTGTAGTTCTGCAGACCTTGGCTCAGGACGTGCTTTAGTGTGCCCGGAAGAGGCACCTGTGTCCCCGGCTGAGGCACAGCAGGCCTGGCCTCTCAATCCTCCTCTGCCATCCGTCCACCCTGTCCTCCCCTAGGGAGCACCTACCTGGTGGGACCACTGAGGCGGGCTCGGGCTGTCACCAGGGAAACCGCAGCAGGGTGCGGAAGGCGAGGGGGTTGAGGAATGAAAAGAGGAAGTCCCCAAAACCAGACTTGGAGGGTGGGGACTCAAAACTTCAGCTTGGCACAAGTAGGTACTTAATAAACGTTTGTTGAAAAAAGCAATAAGTACCTTTCAAAGCATTACCTGTCCCAAGTGTGTCTGGACTGAAACAAGAACGTCTTTTGTTGCAAAGCAAAATGCTCTGTGACCAGCTCGTACGGATGCCAGGAGAATGGGGATCTTGTTTGTTCTCTGCCAATAGAAATGTATTAGTGAAAGTAAGACTTTAAAACCTCAGCACTAAGTGGTTTCGGCATTGACTGAGTGCCCAGCCGCTGTTTGAGCCACGTGGATGTGCTCGTTTTATTCTTAGAGTTACTGTGTGTGCATTCTGGGAGGCCAGCGGGGAAGTTTCCAGAAATTGTAAGAAGGTAATGGCGAAATGGATGGCTTAGGAACACAGGCAACACCTCGGCTGAGTTTGAGGCCACGGTCCGTGGCTCCGGAGCTCGGCGTCCAGCCAGGATGCTGGACTGCAGAATATGCCAACCTTCTTCTAGACCCATTTCCAGTGTTTTAAATGCTGATAGTACACGCTACCTCCTATTCCCTACATGTCCTAGGTGGGTGTTCATAGGCACATACCATAAAATAAAAAATAAATATCATGAAATTAAAAATCATACAACAAATCATAAACTAAAAATAACATTAATAATAATAAGACCCACGTGCAAAGAGGGGGGAAAGCCTTCCCGCAGGGTCCTTGCGCATTGCTTCCTCCCACGTGACCCCAGACGAGCCGCCTCACTTCTCTGAGTCTCTTTCCACTTCTGATGCAGACAATGACGCCACGCGTCCCACCCCACAGGGCGGCTGGAAAAAGGAAATGAATCCGTGCGTGTGGAAACGCTTGGGATAGTGGCAACACATGCTCCTTATGACATCGTGTCAGAGAGGTGTTTGCACATCAAGCTTACCCAAATCTTCACTCCTGTTTTCAGCAGAGCTGCCCAAACCTCAAGACGGTCCTTCCTTCCCCTCCTCCTCTTGCAGCCCCTGCATTCCATCCCTGACTCTTCCGCGAGCTGCAGCAGGAAGGATTCAGGCCATACACATGAAGGAGCAAGGCTACCCCTGGGGCCAAGGCCACCCCTCGCCCACCCCCGTCTCTCCCACCCCGGGTAGCCGTCACTGCCGCAGAGCAGGGGGAACGTGTCCCAGGTCACTGCACCCTCTGCTGTGTAGGGACTGGGGTCATTTCTGACCGAACATCTTACTCTAGGGCCTGAGATTCAGTGTCGTGGGGGACTGAGTCTGAATCCTTCCCGGGCAGGGCTCACCAGCAGAATTCAGATGGAAACTGTAGAGTGCTGTCAGCAGGGGTGTGCTGGAGCCAGCTTCTACTGGAGGACAGGAACCAACGCGTCAACTCGCAGGAAGTTTGTGAGATGTTTAAGCACATCGTTTAGTAAACAGGACACTCCATGCACTTTCAAAATTAAATAAATGACGTAAGCCGGGCACGGTGGCTCACGCCTGTAATCCCAGCACTTTGGGAGGCTGAGGTGGGCGGATCACCTGAGGTCGGGAGTTCGAGACCAGCCTGACCAAAATGGAGAAACCCCCGTCTCTACTAAAAAATACAAAAATTAGCTGGGCGTGGTGGCGCATGTTTGTAATCCCAGCTACTCGGGAGGCTGAGGTAGGAAGATCGCTTGAACCTGGGAGGCGGAGGTTGCGGTGAGCCGAGATTGCACCATTGCACTCCAGCCTGGGCAACAAGAGCGAAACTCCGTCTCAAAAAAAAAAAAAAAAAAAAAAAAGACGTAAAGAACAAAGGTAGGAAACACCCTAAACATACGCTTTCCTAGTTATTTAAATACATTTTACTAGCGTCTGTGTTTGGGGGTGATTGACATCCATTGTGTCTGCAGTAGATGTGGGGGCTGCTGACCTCCTCCCACCTCCATGCCCAGCGAGCAGGCCGGCTCCTGCAGCTGCCCATGCTGGGGAGGCATTTGCACCATGGAAGCTGGCAAACACCACCGGGCACGCCACCCCGGCCTCCAGAGTTGGCTGTCCAGCATTCACCAGCTCCCCACTGGCTGCAGGAATCCAATTCTTTACTCTTTCGGGTGTAAGTGCTTATTTAGGAAGCCCTCCGGTAGGCTGGTCTGTGCTCCACGCATCGGGGTACAACGGTGAGCAGAACTGCAAAGAGCCTGTCTTTCTGCATCTTCCATTTTGTGAGAATGAAAAGAAAATAAACATAAAACTCAACCCAGGAAGAAGATAATTTCAGAAGATTCTAAGTGCAAGAAAGAAACAGAGTGAGGTGATACTAACGGGCAAATGTTACTTTCTTTTTTTTATTATTATACTTTAAGTTCTAGGGTACATGTGCACAACGTGCAGGTTTGTTACATATATATACATGTGCCATGTTGGTGTGCTGCACCCATTAACTCGTCATTTACATTAGGTATATCTCCTAATGCTATCCCTCCCCCCCTCCCCCCACAACAGGCCCCAGGGTGTGATGTTCCCCTTCCTGTGTCCAAGTGTTCTCATTGTTCAATTCCCACCTATGAGTGAGAACATGCGTTGTTTGGTTTTTTGTCCTTGCAATAGTTTGCTGAGAATGATGGTTTCCAGCTTCATCCACGTCCCTACAAAGGACATAAATTCATCATTTTTTATAGCTGCATAGTATTCCATGGTGTATATGTGCCACATTTTCTTAATCCAGTCTATCATTGTTGGACATTTGGGTTGGTTCCAAGTCTTTGCTATTGTGAATAGTGCCACAATAAACATACATTTGCATGTGTCTTTATAGCAGCATGATTTATAATCCTTTGGGTATATACCCAGTAATGGGATGGCTGGGTCAAATGGTATTTCTAGTTCTGGATCCCTGAGGAATTGCCACACTGACTTCCACAATGGTTGAACTAGTTTACAGTCCCACCAACAGTGTAAAAGTGTTCCTATTTCTCCACATCCTCTCCAGCACCTGTTGTTTCCTGACTTTTTAATGATCGCCATTCTAACTGGTGTGAGATGGTGTCTCATTGTGGTTTTGATTTGCATTTCTCTGATGGCCAGTGATGATGAGCATTTTTTCATGTGTCTTTTGGCTGCATAAATGTCTTCTTTTGAGAAGTGTCTGTTCATATCCTTCACCCACTTTTTGATGGGGTGGTTTTTTTTTCTTGTAAATTTGTTTGAGTTCTTTGTAGATTCTGGATATTAGCCCTTTGTCAATAGGAAGAATCAATAACGTGAAAATGGCCATACTGCGCAAATATTACTTTCAAAAGGAGGTCAGGAAGACTTCCTGGAGGAGGCGAATGCACGGTAGCACTCACTCCCAAAGGGTCGGAAGTACCCAGTAATGGGAAGATCTGGGGAAGAAGTTGTGGGCAGGTGCAAAGTCAGGAAGAAGCCTGAGGTGCCCAGACAACACAGCGGCACATAATGAGTGGTGGGGAGAGAGATAGGAGGGGAGGCTGCTAGGTGCTCAGCAGAGGCTGCGTTACAGATGGACCCTGAAGATGGGGGTGAGGAGACTTGATGGCTTGATACTGTTTGATAGCACTGACAGCTATTGGAGGGTGATGACTCAGGAACTTCCCTCACCAATAAGCGTTTCTTAAAAAAAATTACTCTGACTCTACAAATATATATGTATATATAATTTAACCACATTTTACTAGCATCTATGTTTGGGGGTTACTGACATCTCTCTATCTATCTATTTATCTATATATTTGGAGGATCAGAGTAATTTTTAAAAGAAGTGTCTATATATAATGTATGTAGAAATAATATATAAATAAATACCTATATAAAGTAATTATATATTTTTATATTTTTATTTATATATTTCACTTAAAATATACATTTTTAAATATATATGTTTTGTTTTGTTTGAGAGAGTCTTGCTCTGTCACCTTGGCTGGAGTGCAGTGGCACCATCTCGGCTCACTGCAACCTCCGCCTCTCAGGTTCAAGAGATTTTCCTGCCTCAGCCTACCAAGTAGCTGGGATTACAGGCACCTGCCACCATGCCCAGCTATTTTTTTTTTTTTTTTTTTTTTGTATTTTAGTAGAGGCAGGGTTTCACCATGTTGGCCAGGCTGTTCTCGAACTCCTGACCTCAGGTGATCCACCCACCTCAGCTTCCCAAAGTGCTGGGATTACAGGTGTAAGCCGCTGCACCCAGCTGAACCCACCTTTGGAACTTAGTGAGTGTCTCGCCCTAAGTGCCTGTCAGCTGGGGCACTTCCTCTGTGCCCTACAAATGTTCCTCAAACTGAAATTCTTTAGAACAATGCAGGAAGAATCCCATGCAATGGCATAAAGCACTGTAAACTATTTCACTTTTATTACTCCGGAAATTTATATTGCTTTTTATTTTCCGTAACCTGAAGATATATGTGCTAGTTCCTTGGGGCTGGGACATTAAGATAAGTTGTGTGGTCCTTCCTTCCAACACAGCTACCACCCTGGGCTCCTCCTCTGGGCACACTGTGGGCGCCTGCTGCTCGCAAACTGTGATAAGGAAGGAGCTGTTTTTTCTAAGATCACTGGGATCCATTAAGGGCTCCGCAGGAGAAAGACAGAACTTCTCTTTAGGATGATGAAAGATGAGGGTGTCACAGGTGGTGACTCAAACAACAATTGAGAGGCAAAGGGGTCTGAACCCATCTGCAAATAAATATCATTTGAATGAATGAACGAGTGTATCCAGGGGTGAAGCGGGAACAGAAGTCATGGTGAACCACTGACAGGAGGACCGTGGTGGGAACCCTTCCTGCGCTATGAAGGCAGAGTTGAGGTGCTGTAGCCTAGACTGTAGGGAATCCCTTTTGCCACATCAGGTGACACCCACTGGTTCTAGATACTAAGATGTGGATATCACTGGGGGACCATCATTCAGCCCACCACAGATGGATGAGTAGAGAGGTTAATGGATGGAAGGATGGTAGGTGAAAGGATGGATAGTAGAGTAGATGGATGAATAGTAAGGTGGATGATTGGATGGAAGAGTGAATGGATAGATGGGTATACAGATTGATGGGTGGTGGGTGGATGATTCCTGTGATCCCTGCCTCGCTTCTCAGCTAAGCTACTCTGATGTCCATCACTCTGACCTGTCCCCCGACAGACACTCTCACTTGGTACAGACCTCAGAAGCAGGCTCTGGTGGTCACCATGGAAATGCGATTGGATGAGGAAGGTAAGTTGCTGAGGAGTGGGCAGAGAGACTCTCAGATGCTGGAAATTTCCAGACTCTGGAGTGAAATTAAGGTGTGTAAAAGGGACTATAGGGGAGGGGCAAGAGTGAGACCACGGAGGAGGATGTTGCAATCGTCCAGGAATCATGGTGGTGGAGGTCACTAAGGTTGTGCAGCAGACACTGAAAGAAAAAGAAAATGGCTCCTGACAAAGGAGGGGGAAATAGCAGGAACAGATAGGAAAGGCATTTCTGACTGGAGACCTTATACACACTACAAAACCACAAACATACCTTTAAATACTGGGCACAGTGTCTCACACCTCCAATCCCTGCACTTTAGGAGGCCAGGGAAGGAGGATCGCTTGAAGCAGGAGTTTGATACCAGCCTAGACTACAAAGTGAGATCCCATTTCTACAAAAATAAAAATTAGCTGGGCTCAGCCGAGTGGGGTGGCACATGCCTGTAGTCCCAGCTACTCAGGAGGCTGAGGCGGGAGGCTCGCTTGAGCCTAGGAGTTGGGGGCTGCAATGAGCTATGATTTTGCCACTGCACTCCAGCCTGGGCAACAGAGTGAGGCCCTGTCTCAAAAATACACACACACACGCACACACACACACACACACACTTAAAAAACAAAAGGTTGAAAATGAAACACATAGTGAAATAAAAGTTCTGATAGTATCTTCCCAATTGCTCCACCTCACTTTAGAGTCAGGTGAGGGAGGATGGTGGCGGAGGCTGCAACACAGTGGCTGAGACATCGCTCTCAGCGTGTCACCGTGAGGTCTCCCAGGGAGGGTGTGGAGAAAACAGTGCCCAGGACAGAGCCTGAGAAACCTCACCGGGAAGATGGAGCATAACAAGGAAAGCATTACTCAACCATTCTGTGTCACTGAAGTGTGTACACAATTAGCCCATCTGTTGCTCACCCTCCTCATTCACCAACCCCTATTCCAAGAAATTTAAATGCCCAAAATAGGACTTCCCACCAGTGGGAGGTGTTGGCAGCCAACACAGAGGAGCAGCTCCAGAATCCAGGGAGTTTGTTTGAAATAAAACTGACCTATAACAAAGAGAGACAAGTATCTCTTCAATCCCTACCATCCCTCCACCTACCCACCCATCCATCCACCCATCCATGTATCCACACTTCCATCTAATGCACACAACTATCCAACTGTCCATCCATTCAGCCACCCATGCAACAACCCACCTAATGCATTAATTCTGTCATTCTTCCAATTATCACCACCCACCCATCACTTCATACACCCATCCACCCACCACCCATCCATCCACATACCCCCATCCATCCATGCTTCCATCCAATCATGCACCCTACACCTGTCCCCCCACCCATCACTTCATACACCCATCCACCCACCACCCATCCATCCACATATCCCCATCCATCCACCCACCACCCATCCATCCACATACCCCCATCCATTCACCCTTCCATCCAATCATCCACCCTACACCTATCCATCCACCCACCACCCATCCATCCACATACCCCCATCCATTCACCCTTCCATCCAATCATCCACCCTACACCTATCCATCCACCCATCATTCCATACATCCATCTACCTACCCATCAATCTGTATACACATCTATCCATTCACCCTTCCATCCAATCATCCACCCTATACCTATCCACCCACCCATCATTCCATACAGCCATCCACCCACCACCCATCAATCTGTATACACATCTATCCATTCACTCTTCCATACAATCATCCACCTTACTATTAATCCATCTACTCTACTATCCATACTTCCACCCACCATCCTTCCATCCATTAACCTATCTACTCATCCATCTGTGGTGAGCTGAATGATGACCCCCCACGTCTTAGTTTCCAGAATCTGTGAGTGTCACCTGATGTGGCAAAAGGGATTCCCCGCAGTCTAGGTTACAGCAACTCAACTCTGCCTTTATAGCACAAAAGTGGTCCTAGACAAAACACAAATGATGGATGTGTCTATGTTCCAGCACAACTGTATTGTACAAAAGCAGGCAGGCCATAGTTTGGCAATCAGCCATCTTGTTCTGAATGATCAGGCCCCTACTTCACTTTCCGACAAATCTCTATCCACTTTTTCCCTTGCTCTCTCCACCGTAGCCACACTGGCTTCCTCGATGGTCCTCAGGCTGGGCAGTCATCAGCCTCATGGCTTTTCAAGACATACATTCTTCTGTCTGGACTGTTTTTCTTCTTGATATTCCCATAATTGTTCCCTCCCTCCATTGAGATTCAAATATCACCACCTCCAAGAAGGCATCCTTGACTCCCAATCTAAAACACCCCACCCCTGCTCTTTGAATCTGACTTATTGTTCCTGATAACACTCGCCACCACCTGAAATCTTACCTATGTTCCCATGTATCACCCCTGCTAGAATACTCATGTCCCAGCATGTGAATACATCTGTTGCGTTCTCTGCTGCACCCACCACGCTTGGCCAGGGTATACCACTAAGTATGCGCCCAGTAAATACCAGCTGAAAGACAGGATGGATGGATGCGTAAATGAGGGCATGAACAGCTGTCTGTCCTAAGAGTCCCCGGCTCCTTTTTTCACATTATTTCACTCTCCGTGTCTAAAGCAGTGTCTGGAGGGATGGGGGGGCTCGATGAATATGTCTGACTGAATAAGGACGTGAAATGCTGCTGCTTAGAAGATATTTGGGATTTCTGTCCACATCCACAGTGGCCCCTGAAGCCATTTTTCTACGTTTTGCGGAGACGCTGCTGCTGCTGACGCATTTCGATGTGTGCAAAATACGCACATGAACAGCCGATACGGACACTTTTGATGTCCGTCCCTCTGCCCTGTTCCCTGCTCACTCGGTGCTCCCAACCTTCTAGCGAATGGTGCAGGAGCTCAGGTTGTTGCCATGGAAACCCCAGCTGGAATGGGGGAGGCAAGTGCGTGGGGAAGGTGTCGAGAGATCCGCAGAGGATGGAATTTTCCAGACTCTGCAGTAAGATGTGAGCTCCACATTGAAGGCCTGGACCAATCGTCTGGCCTCACCCACATCTCTACTGACCTCAGGACTCTCTGTGTCCGTAGCCCCTTTGGGTCTCCTCATACTCTTTGGCAGTCTGGAGTTCCGGGTCTATTTCTCCTGTGAGTCCTTTAGAAAGGCTGTCTGCTCCTTGCATCTCTCTCTTGCTCTCTCGCTCTCTCTCTTCCCTCTCTCTTTCCTCTCTCCTCTTCTTCTTCTTCTTCTTCCTCCTCCTCCTCCTCCTCCTCCTCCTCCTCCTCCTCCTCCTCCTCCTCCTCCTCTTCTTCTTCTTCTTCTTCTTCTTCTTCTTCTTCTTCTTCTTCTTCTTCTTCTTCTTCTTCTTCTTCTTCTTCTTCTTCTTCTTCTTCTCGATCTCAGCTCACTGCAACCTTCACCTCCCAGGTTCAAGCAATTCTCCTGCCTCGGCCTCCCGAGTAGCTGGGATTACAGGCGCCCACCACCATGCCTAGCTAACTTCTTTGTATTTTTAGTAGAGATGGGGTTTCACCATATTGGCCAGGCTGCTCTCGAACTCCTGACCTCAGGTAATCCACCCAAAGTGCACCCTCGCCCTCCCAAAGTGCTGGGATTACAGGTGTGAGCCACTGCGCCTGGCCCTCCTTTCTTCTTTCTCTCTCTCTTTTCCTCCTCTCTCTCCTCTCTCTCTCTTTCTGTTCTCTTGCCTCTCTCTCTCTCTTTCCTCTCCCCTCTTCTTTCTCTCTCTCTTCCCTCCTCTCTCCTCTCTCTCTTTCTCTTCTCTTCTCTCTCTCTCTCTCTTATTCCCCTCTCTGCTCTCACTCTCTCTCTCACACACTCCCTCGGGCAAAATAACAACCCTGGATCACTCCAGTTCCCACTGCCCCAGATCCTCATTTTTGTTTCAGCTCTTATTGTCAGTCCAGGGGGTCCATGCTCAGGTTTGTTAAGTGGGTATATTACATAACTCTTAGGTTTGAGGTATAAATGGCCATCAGCACTGTACCCAATAGGTGGCTTTTCACCTCCTGCCCCCTCCGTCCCTCTCCCCTCTAGAAGTCCCCGGTGTTTATTGGTCCCATGTTTATGTCCGTGAGTACCCAATATTTAGCTCCCGCTCATAAGAGAGAACATGTTGTATTTGGTGTTCTCTTCCTGTGTTACTTCGCTGAGGACAGTGGGCAGCCTTGTGCTTTTAGCCATAATCAGCAACTTGATTGGAATGAATTTCCAGCTGGGTCCCTTGTCATAGGAGGGCTCGTGGTACCTTCTGGGAAACATTCCTGCATGCCTGTCTGTTCCCATGTCTGCCAAAGTTGAGTCCACTCCGTGATCTTAAAAATTATGTATTATGTTTAGTTTAATAAACAGTATTATAGCACTTACTCTGTACCATTCAGTCACTGAGGCTCATTTGAGGTATGTTCTAATATTATCTCAATTTTCGTATGAGGAAATGGAAGGACAGGAATGGCAGTAAGTTGTGCACCTTCACCCAGCTGGTCAGCAGCAGATCTGGGGTTCAATGTCAGGCAGCAATCCCCCATAGTCTGTGCTTTAAAAAGACCAGGGCTGTGCCCTTGCTTGACACATCTCTGAGGGTGGCCCATGCTCTGATGTCCGTTTTAGAGATGAGGCAGCTGAGGTACCAGCCTATGACCTTAGAAACGAGTTAGTCATTCTCTGACTCTATTTCACTCAACTATTTTAGTAATAACATTTTCAACAGAGTCTTCAAGGAGGGTTAGCTAGTTATTTGTAAATTGCATGCTACTGCAGCAATGTGACACACACACGCGTGCGCATAAGAAATACATCATTTTTAAAGACAAAATTTAAAAAATAGAAATAATTTTCTCACAATGTCCCACTTAGGACCCCATTGGGCCAGGCAAGAGGGAGTGGTGGCTTAAAACAGGGTGGTGACAATGGAGATTGGGGAACTAGGGATGATTTGAAACATGTGGGTGAGAGCTAACCTGTGCAAAATGTATCTTGGGATTCTTGACCTGTGGGTGATGGACTGGGTTTGCTGGCAATTCGATCAGCTCTGACTTGCACTGTCTGTACTGGATGCTGTCCCACGGGAGCAGTGGATGGGTGGATATCTGTTTCTGGAGCTCATGAGGGAGTCTGGGCTGGGGATGGAGATTTGGGGACCCATTGACACAGGGGGTCATTGGAGATCAGATCACAGTGTTGTGCATTGCACAACTCCAGGGGGCACCATCCAGGGGCACCATCCACGGGGCACAACTCCAGGTGGCACCATCCAGGGAATACCATCTGGGGGCACCATCCAGGGGATACCATCCAGGGGGCACCATCCAGGGGATACCATCCAGGAGGTACCATCCAGGGGACACCATCCGGGACACCATCCAGGGGGCACCATCCAGGGAATACCCTCCAGGGGATACCATCCAGGGGGCACCATCCAGGGGATACCATCCAAGGGATACCATCCAGGGGGCACCATCCAGAGGGCACCATCCAGGGGATACCATCCAGGGGGTACCTTCCAGGGGATACCATCCAGGGGGCACCATCCAGGGGGCACCATCCTTGCGGATGACGCTATGAGTAGGACCTCACCAAGATTGCCCTGGGAGTGCACGGGGAGAAAGAGGAGCATTCAGGACTTGATTAACTAATCAGAAAGACGAGAATTGATGATGAAAATATCACTCAACCTCCCCCAGGTCTTGGGAGCCCACCCCTTGCATGAGTGTGCCCTGGATGTGGAACACGGAGTCAAATAAGATTATTTTGGAGCTTTAAGATTTAGTGACTGCCCTACTGGGTTTTGGATTTGCATGGGGCCTGTGGCCCCTTTCTTTTGGCCAATGTCTCCCTTTTGGAATGGGAATATTTACCCAAGACTTGTACCCCCATTGTATCTTAGAAGTAACTAACTTGAAGGCTAATAGGTGGAAGGAACTTGCCTTTTCTCAGATGAGACTTGGGACTCTGGCCTTCTGAGTGAATGAGTTAAGACTTTGGGGACTTTTGGGAAGGCATGATTGTATCTTGCAGTGTAAGAAGGACATGAGATTTGGGGGGCCAGGGGAAGAATGAAATGGCTTGGATCTGTGTCCCCACCAAATCTCATGTCAAATTGTCATCCCCAGTATTGGAGGTGGGGCCTGGCGGGAGGTGACTGGATCATGAGGATGGATTTCTCACGGAGGGTTTAACACAATCCCCTTGGGCTGTTCTCACGGAAGTGAGTTCTCACAAGATCTGGTCGTTTAAAAGTGTGTAGCCCTCCCCACCCTCTCATTCCTGCTCTGGCCATGTGATGTGCCTGTTCCTGCTTCACCTTCCACCATGATTGTAAGCGTCCTGAGGCCTCCCCAGAAGCTGAGCAGATGCCAGCACCATGTTTTCTGCACGGCCTGCAGAACTGTGAGCCAATTAAACTTTTTTTCTTTATAAATTACCCAGTCTCCAGTATTTCCTCTTTTTTTTTTTTTTTTTTTTTTTTTACGGAATTTCACTCTTGTTGCCCAGCCTGGAGTGCAATAGTGTGATCTCAGCTCACCACAGCCTCCACCTCCCAGGTTCAAGCGATTCTCCTGCCTCAGCCTCCTGAGTAGCTGAGATTACAGGCATGTGCCACCACGCCCAGCTAATTTTGTATTTTTAGTAGAGATGGGGTTTCTCCATGTTGGTCAGGCTGGTCTTGAGCTCCTGACCTCAGGTGATCCACCCGCGTCGGCCTCCCAAAGTGCTGGGATTACAGGCATGAGCCACCGTGCCTGGCCTCAGGTATTTCTTTATAGCAATTTGAGAATGGACTAATACACAACCTCACAAGTGTTTTCATACAAAAAGGAGGCCATCTTTTGTAAAATGTCCATCCCAGAAAATAACCATCGATTATCCTTGTAGATTCACTGTTACTTCCAAATATCTGTGTGTGTATGTGTGTATGTGTATATGTGTGCGTATCCCAAAGTCATGATATTCACATGGGGGTGGTGTAGACAGAAAACAGGGACTACTAGAATTCAAAATTAACCCTAATCCTTGGAGAAGAAAAAAGGTGTCTATTCTATTTGTAGTATTCATCCAACCAACCATGTAAACATTTATTTACACATCCACACATCTATTCACCCCACGTTGATCCATCTGCCCACCCACCCATCCTTCCACATAGTCACCCATCCATGAATCCATTCAACCACCCATCAATTGATCCATCCACCCATCTATTCATCCAGCAAAGAAAGAAAATATATCTCCAAGAAAAAAATTGTGAGCTCCGTAATGATACATTTATTCATGTATTTATTCACTAAATGTAAGCTGAAAGTCACTTTCCAGCCCCTCTCTGAATTCGCCTCCACCCATTCTCTTCCTTGCTCACTCCTCTTCAGACACTGTGGCCTCCTGTGCTGTTCAAACGGACAAAAATCTTCATCTCCAGGTGTTTCCAGGCTCTGTTCCCTCTGCCCAGAATGGTTACTTCCCTGGTAATCCAAAGTTTCCCGCCCTCCCTTCACTCAGGTTGACTCAAATACCGCCACCTCCAGGAAGACCTCCTTGACCGGCTGCTCTGAAAGATCCCTCCTTCACTCCACATCTCACCTGCTTACGCTTTGTAGAACTTACCACGATCTGTTATTTTAAGTTAAACTTATTGACTGATAAACCCCCAAAGATAAAGGATTCATAAGAGGAGAGTTGTCTTGGCTTCAACCCTATCCATCACATTTAACTCAGTGCTGACCCATAGTGGGATGTCAGGAAATATCTGCAGAATATACATACATACACTTTTTTTTCTTTTTGTTTTTCTTTTTGAGACAGAGTATCACCCTGCCACCCAGGCTGGAGTGCCATGGCATGATTTAGGCTCACTGCAACCTCCACCTCCCGGGTACAAGTGATTCTCCTGCCTCAGCCTCTGAGTAGCTGTAATTACAGGCGCCCACAACCACGTGCTGCTAATTTTCGTATTTTTAGTAGAGATGGGGTTTCACCATGTTGGCCAGGCTGGTCTCGAACTCCAGACCTCAGGTGATCCACCCACCTCGGCCTCCCAAAGTGCTGGGATTACAGGCGTGAGCCACTGCGCCCCGCCCACATATACTTTTGAATGAAGAAAGGAATGAATGAATAATCTACCTGAGCACAGAGATTGGGCATTTATTTATTTATATTTATTCTATGGTTTTGTTTCCCAGATGCAGATGGAGCGTGTAAAACAGAAAGTGGCTCCATGCAGGCTGCTAGGTCTGCTCACCTATCTCATGATCTACACGCACACACAGCGCATACGGACTGAGTCAGTGCACGCTAGAACATAAACTGCTTCTGTTGCTGGTGCTCAGAATAGATTCATGATTTTACTCTGAGTCAGTGAAGGCTCTCGCAGCCGCTGGTAAATTTGTTTTTCTCCTTCTTCAAAGATGGGTAGCAATGACGCACTTCAGCGCGCACAAGATCCGCAGTCGCACGGCTGAGGTTGAGACGGCGCCAGGCAGGCCGCGTCCCCAGTGATGCGAATCCGAAGCCCCCCGACCGCTGCCCTTCCCACGCAGGACCCCGCGATCTGCGGGGACAGAGGCGGCGCAGGCTGCTGCCATGGAAACCGAAGCTGGGGGAGGGAGTTGGGGGATGCAGAAGGGCCTGACAGCCCCTTAGAGGCCCGAATGTCCACCCCTCTGCAGTCAGGTTGTACCCAGTCACCAATCCCAGCCTGGCACACAGTAGGCCTGCAACATAGAGTGGAAAGCCACAGTCTGCGCCCCCCATCACCCCGGGGGAGGGGGCTCCCTCCAGCATCCTGGAGCCTGGCCTTCCTTGAATCCGTTTTCCGAAGGCGTTTCTATCCCGGGCCCCACGTCGCGGGGTGGCGCAACGTGAGCCATGTATACAAAGCACCTCCTGGGCTGCTTTGTGGAAAACAGGCTGGGCAGGCAGCATTGCTGAGAACAGAGGCTGAGGCTTCTGCGGACACCCAGGAAAAAGCCAGAGTGACTTGGATGCCGTTGAGGATGAGGAGGATGGACAGAGTGATATGAAAATTGTGGATGGAAATAGTTATGCCGAGGCAGAAAAGAGAGACATCCTGGCCACGCAGCGCCAGCCTGTCCTGTTTTATTATTTGAATTTTATTTGAACCCAGAAGAGCAGAAGCTAATCACTACTCAGCCTTGAGTGCCGCGTGCTAGTCCTGCCACACAGATGATCTCCATGCATCCTCACAACTCCCCACGGCTGAGTGCGGCATGGTAGTCACCACCACAGAACGAATAAGGAAACTGAGTCTGAAAGAGGTGAAGGCAACTGCCCTAAATCAGAGGACTGGAAAACACGGAGCTGGATTTAACCCCAAATCTGACACCTTCAGAGCATAAACGTGGTGCACCCACATCATTCAAGCTTGAAGTTGAGTCGGGTAATCCATTCAAACAGAAAGACGCTTAAAATATTGTGGTAGCCCTTGGACCACTTCTCTTCTCTCCTTCCCTCTCCTCCCTTCTGTTCCCTTCTCCTCCCCTCCTTTGTCTCTTCTTTCCCCTTCTCTCCTCGTCCTCTCGTCTCCCTCCTCCTCTCCTCATCCTCTCTTCTCCGTCCCCTTCCCTCCCCTCTCAGCCCCTCTTCTCCCTCCCCTTCTTCCCCTCTCATCTCTTCTCCCTCCACCTCCCTCCCCTCTTTATCCCCTCATCTCCCTCCTCTTCCCTCCCCTCATCCCCCTTCTCCCTCTGCTTCCCTCCTCTCTCATCCCCTCATCTCCCTCCCCTTCCCTCCTCTCATCTCTTCCCCCTCCACCTCCCTCCCCTCCTCGTCCCCTCTTCTCCCTCTCCTTCCCTCCCCTCCTCATCCCCCATCTCCCTCCCCTTCTCTCCCCCTCATCCCCCATCTCCCTCCCCTTCCCTCCCCTCCTCATCCCCTGTTCTCCCTCTCCTTCCCTCCCCTCCTCATCCCCCATCTCCCTCCCCTTCCCTCCCCTCCTCATCCCCTGTTCTCCCTCCCCTTCTCTCCCCTCTCATCCCCCCATCTCCCCCCTTCCCTCCCTTTCATCCCCTCTTATCCCTCCACTTCCCTCCCTCTCACCTCCTCTTCTCCCTCCCCTTCCCTCCCTCTGATCCCCTCTTATCCCTCCACTTCCCTCCCTCTCATCCCCTCTTCTCCCTCCCCTTCCCTCCGTCTCATCTCCTCTTCTCCTTCCTCTTCCCTCCCTCTCATCCCCTCTTCTCCCTCCCCTTCCCTCCATCTCATCTCCTCTTCTACATCCACACTCCTTGGTGCTGTTATCCAATCTCACAGGTTTAAATGGAGTCCATACACTGATGACTCTAAAATCTGTACCTGCAGAGTCCTGACACTCACCTGAATCCACTGCCTCCCCTTCCCAGTCCTGACTCACCTGAATCTTCTCCCTCCCCTTCCCAGTCCTGACACTCACCTGAATCCACCACCTCCCCTTCCCAGTCCTGACACTCACCTGAATCTTCTCACTCACCTGAATCTTCTCCCTCCCCTTCCCAGTCCTGACACTCACCTGAATCTTCTCCCTCCCCTTCCCAGTCCTGACGCTCACCTGAATCTTCTCCCTCCCCTTCCCAGTCCTGACACTCACCTGAATCCACCACCTCCCCTTCCCAGCCCTGACACTCACCTGAATCTGCTGCCTCCCCTTCCCGAGCATCTCATAGCTTTCCCAAACTCAACTAATATTCCCTGAGTTTGTATATGCACCAAGCACTCTTCTAATTGTTTTACAGTTGTTAACATATTTAATTCCTTCAACAGCTGTAACGCCCATTTTACAGATGAGAAATCTACGGCCCAATTTACCAAAGGAACTCACTAGAGGAAACAGTGAGTGGGAGACTCCAGTTTACATGGAGCTCCTCCATGATGCCTGGTCTCAGCCTTCCGTGTGCCACCTCCCTCGTTCCAGGGTCCTTATGAGGCTCCGTTGTCCTCTGGGCCTTTGCACATATTGTTCCCCTGCCTTGAACACTGTTCCCTGAGCTTGATTCCAGGCTCTTCATCATCAACCTGCCCCACTGAGGGCAAGTTAGTAAACTCCCAGAAACTCTGTGTTTCATCAGTCATTGATGTTGGGCATCTTAGGACATACCTCATAAGGGTATTGTGAAAACTAATTACAACAATATGCTGGCCGGGCACAGTGGCTCACACCTGTAATCCCAGCATTTTGGGAGGCCAAGGTGAGTGGATCCTTTTCTTGTTAAATTGATAGCTAGATTGATTGATAGATTGATGACAGACGGATGGAAGATGGATGGGTCGATGGGTACATGGCAGAATAGTCAGGTGGATGTGTGGATGAATGGACTGGGTGAGTGGAAGGATGGGTTGATGGGTGGATAAATGGATGTGTTTGTGGATGAATAGATGGTCGGATGTATACATGGACATGTGGTTGGATGAATGTTTGGTTGAGTGGATGCCACACATAAACACTTTTCTTTTCCAAGGGTGAGTTTTGAGTTCTAGAAGTTCCCTTTGTTTTCTGTCTACGTTAACCACATGTGAATTTCATGACATTGGGACACACACATCCCCACTCAGAAATAAAGTAGCAGGGGATGAATGAGGAAAATGGAAAGATGGCCTCCTGTTTCCCTGCTAACACCTGTGGGGTTGAATGAGGTTTTCATCATCAATTTCCATCTTCCTGATTCATGAGTCAAGTCTCTCTTCCTACACCCTCCTGACTATCTCGGTGAGATTTGCATTCACGATGTCATACGCAAGGATGGTGCTTCTTTGAGTTCATCTGGACCAGAGACATCTGTACAGTAGCTGGTATGCTCATCTCTGCCTACACTTTTTTATTTCATGAGACAGGGTTTTGCTCCATCACCCTGGGAAGAGGCTGGAGTGCAGTGGCATGATCTCGGCTCACTGCAGCTTTGACCTCCTGGGGTCAAGCAATTCTCCCACCTCAGCCTCCCTAGTAGTTGTGACTACAGGCATGCACTACCATGCCTGACTAATTTATATATATATATAAAAAATACACATATTATATATATAATATACATATATAAAATATACATATTATATATAATATACATATATAAAATACACATATTATATATATAATATACATACACATATTATATATATATAATATACATATACATATTATATATATATTTGTTTGTTTGTTTGTTTTGAGAGGGCGTCTCACTCTGTCACCCAGGCTAGAGTGCAGAGGCGTGATCTCGGCTCACTGCAGCTTCAACCTCCTGGGCTCAAACGATCCTCCCACCTCAGCCTCCCGAGTAGCTGGGACTACAGGCATGCACTACCATGCCTGACTAATTTATATACATATACATATATTATATATATATATATATATATATAGAGAGAGAGAGAGAGAGAGAGAGAGAGAGACAGAGACAGAGACAGAGACAGAGTCTCACTCTGTCACCCACTGGGCTAGCCCTCTTTCTAAGCTTCGGTGTGCACGTGAATCCCGTGAATATTTATTAAGTGCACATTCGGATTGAGTAGGTCTGGGATGGAGCCTGCAATTCTGAATTTCAGGCAGGTTCTTAGGGGCTGCCAAGGCTGCTGGTCTTCAGCTCACAACGTGTGCAGTGAGTTCATGCTCTGGTTGACCTTTACCAATGTTTAGTTATACCCAGAAAACATTTGTGAGCTAAATATAAATATATACAATACTTATAGAAAATATTAAATATATTTAGTAATACATTTATTACATATTCAATTTAGTATATAATATTATTATTATATCAATATTATACATTATAACATATATATAATTATATGAATTTAGTTTATATTGCATAATATAAATAATATGTAACATTATATATAGCATAATATATATTATGTATCATCATATGTGTTATATAAGATATATCATTTGACATATGTATTATATATAATATATTATATAAAATTATATATAATAATCATATGTGATTCTATAATAATTTAATACATTTAATATACAATATACAATAATTTAATATATAATACATATTTAATCCTATATTTATATATTTAGTAACTATATTATATATATTTAATAATATAAAATAGTATTTATATAATTCATATGTATAGTACATGTTAATAAATATGCATGTTTATAAATGAATAATAAATATACTTGTTTATAAATCATACAAACCACTGTAATGTATAATATAAAACAAGCACAAAATGTAAGAATTTTAAAAGACATGACAACATAACACATAGAAACTGAACTTGTAATGGTATCATTCCCACCTCAGACATCACCATTGTAAACGGGAGATGTAGCTTAGAACTGAGGGAAGAAACGGAAGTAAAGAGAACAGGAAAATATAGAAAGTTATCTAATCTGTTGAGGGTCTCCTGAAGATACATTTCTGAGACCAACTTGATTTGCTGATCAACTAGACGGGTGACAAGGATGAGGTTGATTTTTAACACCACTGTACCTGAAGCTCCAGGAGATTGGGAGCCGCCACCCACGTGTGTAAATGCGCCATGGGCCACACGTCCAGTCCATGTCCCTTCCATTCTTCCTTCTAAACAGCTTGCTGATAACCCTGCTTTTCCCACATTTCCTTCCTAAATTACTGCAGCAACCCCGTCCATTTCTTCAGCCCCTCAAAGTGAAATCTAAAAAGTCCTCTTCATTCCGTAGCTCTTCTTGGGGTTCCTGCAGCTCAGGATAAAACTCGACTCCCCTACAAGGACCAAAGCAGTGGACACTCTTTAGTTTGACCCTGGGAGGAGCTTGGTCAGGGAAGGCCGACAGCCAATGGGACTTGTCTTGAAGCTGCTCTTTGCTTCAAATTCTTAATAAGCAGTCTTTGCACCACTTATGAGTGTGTGTTTGTGTGTGTGTGTGTGTGTGTGTGTGTGTGTGTGTGTTCTGGTCGCTCCATAACAAACACCCCAAGCTTAACAACATGCAACAACAATTATTTTGTTATGTTTGCAGATTCATAAAGTGCAAGGTGCAGATGGCTTCTTTCTAGTCCAGTATGTCTGGGGCTAGAATTAGGAAGGAAGGAAGTCAGTTAGGAATATTCGATGGCTGGGAAAAGCCCAACATTTAGAGGGGTGTAAAGTGAGGTTAGAAAGTACTAACAGTGAAAGCTGTATCATTGCCTGTCTTATAAACTATGGCGGTAGTTCTCAAGCTGGGATGCTCTTATCCCCCAGTGGACACTGGCAACGTCTGGACACAGTTTTGATTGTCACTACTGGGGAAAGGAATGAGTTCTGGGCATCTAATGGGTGGAGGCCAGGGATGGCCTTCAGTGCAGAGGACAGTCCCCACCACACACACAACAAAGAATCATCCACCCAGCTCCAAACGTCATGCTGTAGTTTGGAATTGCCTTCAACAAGCATATCTGAAAACAGGTTTGTATCGTGGCAAGGAAACGTGAAATGTGCTCACATAAGAGCCAGCTGTGCGCTGCACCCCTTTACAAGCATGTAGGACAGGAATTCATTATGTCAGACAATGAGAAGAAAAGACAGCCAGCCCCAGGAAATTAAAGAAAAGCTGGCTATCAACAGCATCTAGGGGCACAATCTGCAAAGCAGACAGCTGCAATTTGAATGTTTGGATGGTTCAGAAATGGACAGTTCTGCACTGCTGGCCATGATGAGCTGTTTCCAAGAGCTACTCCCTTCCTGAGTTTCCTGGAGATGCATATATTTCCTGGACCTCAGCTGAACCCTGGGTTTGTCTCTTGGAGGGAACAATCCGTGGTGGGTCAGTGAGCTGAGCTTGAGTCGCAACTGGACTGTCTTGACTTTCTAACTGCATCTTGTTGGATACCATGGACTTCATGTTGTAACAATAAGTATCTAGTCAGGCATGTGCAAGGTGGGAGGGGGCTCTCCCGACCCCACCAAGAATGTCAGGTGACCATCAGGTGATGGCCAGGGAGTTGTCACACTGCCTTTCTAAAATAATAACTGGTCACAGCCAGTGCTCGGTAAAAGCAGTTTCCCAATTGATAAAAAACACCTGAAACTGGTGATTGGCAGCTTCCCACTAAGATATCAAGAGTCGGGCGAGTGGGCTGGAGCATGCCCATGAAGAGACAAAATGGTGGAGCTTAACTGGTATTTGACCTTCTAGGGGCATTCCACCGGGAAGGGGAAGAGCGCCTCAGGTGAGCGTGCACATAACTCCAGTAAACACGCTGCATGTGTGGCCCCTCCCAAGTGCTAGCAGGCCACCGAGCATGCAGGCAGCTCATGATAAGAGGAGAATCAAGGGAAATGGGATGCAAGATGCTGGAAGTATGCCAGCATATAAAACCCTAAGTCCACGGTCAACCAGGGCACTGGTCCTTCAAGTTGCCCACTTGGGCCTCTTCCAAAGGTACTTTCCTTCCTTTCATTTTTTCTGGGGGGGACCCACAAGTCATTTTATTTAGGAGACCATCTATTCTGCTTTTCTTTTGGCTACTTTTTTTCTTTATTTCTAAACAAAAACAAAAAACAGGACACATGTGCACAGCGTGCAGGTTTGTCACATAGGTATACATGTGCCATGGTGGTTTGCTGCACCTGTTGACCTGTCCTCTAAATTCCCTCCCCTCATCTCTCACCCCACAACAGGTCCTGGTGTGTGTTGTTCCCCTCTCTGTGTCCACATGTTCTTAATGTTCAACTCCCACTTACGAGTGAGAACATGCGGTGTTTGGCTTTCTGTTCCTGTGTTAGTTTGCTGAGGTTGATGGCTTCCAGCTTCCTTTCCTTTTATTCTTGCCTTTCATTCTAAAGCTTTTTAATAAACTTCCACTCCTGCTCTAAAACTTGCCTCACTCTCTTCTTCTGCCTTATGCCCCACAGTCAAATTCTTTCTTCTGAGGAGGCAAGAATTGAGGTTGCTGGGCACCCATAAGGATTCGCCTCTGGTAACGTATTTTGGTGCTGGGTCACTTGGATAATTTGCATTGCTAACAATATCAGAATGTTCCCTCCAACTGAATCTTCTTTTTCATGCAAGACTGGACACATCCATTCTGTGAGGTGTGTTTTTAGAGAAAAAATTAATCCATGATACTTGTTAAAGTGGTAAGGAACACTTTCTTCAGGACCATGGAGATAGGTATAGGGGCCACAGCAATGGGATTTCACACTGGGGCAGAGAAACTGGGCTTAACTCTGAATACAGCATGAGCAAGTGCGAATGTATAGCCCAAGAGCAGGGTAGGTGTCAGTGGATGAAAAATTATTGAGAGAAAATCAAGGTGGTAGCCTGGCTGTGTTCACTGTTCCATGCTCAGTGTTCAAGAGATGTACTTTTCTGAATGGTGAAAAATGGTATCTGAGTCCATTAAGATTGTCAGGGAATTCAGGCTAAGTAGCCTCTCAGAATCCTTGCTGAAGACAAGCCAGGTTGGTCAGATGTTATGTAGGGGTTCACAGAGGGTGAGGAACCCAATCAGGCATCGAGGAAAGCACAAACCTGAGGAAATAGACACTTCTGGGAACTTTACAATGGCAGGAGTACCTGCAAATTGGATTTTCTGCAGAGACACATTTGCCAGGTTACAACAAAGTCACCTGAACAGATATACACTGCTTTTTAAATATATAATTCAATTTTGTGAAGGTAGGGCCTCACTCCATCACTCAGGCTGGGGTGCAGTGGCACACTCACGGCTCACTGCAGCCTCAACCTCCCAGGCTCAAGCAGTCCTCCTGCCTCAGCCTCCCAAGTAGCTGGGACCACAGGCACATGCCACCACACTCAGCTAATTTTTGTTTTTGTTTTTGTCGTTTTTGTAGAGATAGCGTTTCACCATGTTGTCCAGGCTGGTCTCAAACCCCTGGCTCAAGTGATCCTCCCACCTTAGCCTCCCAAATTGCTGGGATTATAGGCATGAGTCATAGGGCTTGACCTTATAATTATATATTTTTAGAGCTGTTTTAGGTTCACATCAAAATTAAGCAGAAGGTACAGAGTCCCCATAGCTCTGTACCACACATGCACAGCCTCCTCTATGGTCAGCATCCCCTCTGGAGATGTAAATACAGACTGGATGCCCCAGGTGCATTGGTTACAGTCGACCCACCTGCACTGACCCATCGCCCAGACTCCATAGTTCACATGAGGGCTCTTGGTTTTGTACATTCTGTGGGTTCAGACAGATGCATACTGACAAGCATCTACCATTGTCGTATCATACAGGACTGTTTCACTGCCCTGAAATTCCTCTGTGCTTTGCCTATTCATCCATCTCTCCCCCGCTTACCTCTGGCAACCACAGATCTTTTTACTGTCTCCATAGTTTTGCCTTTTCCAGAATGTCATGTAGTGGGAATCATACTAAACTAAACACACTCTCATGATCCAGCAGTCATGCTCTTTGGTATTTATCCAAGGGAGCTGAACACTTATTTCCAAACAAAAACCTTCACACTGAGGACTATAGCAATTTTATTCATAATTGCAAAGACTTGGAAGCAGCCAAGATGTCCTTCAGTCGGTGAATGGATAAACAAACTGGTCCCTCCAAATGACAGAATATTATTCAGGACTAAAAAGAAATGAGCCATCAAGCCTTGAAAAGACATGGAAGAGATTTAAATCCATATTGCTGAGTGAAAAAAGCTAATCAGAAAAGTCTTTATTTTTTTAATGGCAGCTTGATGTCCCATTGGACAGGTACACCACTACTTATTTTAAAATCCCATTTGGGGATGACTTTTAAAATAAGACTTTGAGACAATTAATGGATAACTAATCTCTAGCTATGAAAGGTCTACTGCACTGAAGAACTTTATTGGTGAATGTAAGAGTTCAAGAAACAGGAAAGAAACACACAAAGATGCTCAACAGTCAAAGACATGTTTATTTTGGAGAATAAACCTGAGAGGGGCTTCTGACCCATTTCAGTCAGGTGCATTCTCTCTCTTACAGATTAAAAGTATTTATGGGTTCAGAGCGAGAGAACCTGTCATAGGCTTGGAACATTTGTGTGTGGCGGAGAAGTTTATTGCGGGGTTGGAATGCCTCTGGTTGGAGGTGAGGTTATCTCGTGGCTGACATCTCTCCAGTCAGAGGGGAGGTTATCTTGGGGCTGGCATGTCTCTGGTCGGGGAGAGGTTTATCTTATAGTTGGAATGTTTCTGGTCGGAGATGTCATTTGTGGTTTATGGTCATGCTGACCTTCACCATTAGGCTGATGCCCTTTGGATTTAGGAGATTTTTGATCAAGGTGAACTTTTAAATGGTGGTGCTTGTCCAAGATGGCGATACTCCTGCTCTGTCAGTGAATATTTTAAACGTGTGCATAATCTCTCAGATAGATCAAGCTGGGGCACCAAGAAAGATCACCATAGGCCTCTATAGGATGGATTTTTTAATGTTCCTTTCATTTAGAAACATGTGCTCGGCTTCCCCTAAACCCTCTCTCAGGATATTTTACTTTTGTTGATGACTCACCCCACTCACCACATCTACTTAGGGCCATGATATTGGAGAGTCAGATTCTATACCGTACATTTTTTTAAATGGCTGTTTATCCGTGGAACACACTGGAAACACCTGCCCATGCCTTGACGTGGACTTCTAGCCTCTACACCAAGATAATAAATTTCTGTTGTTTCAGCCACTCAGTGTGTGGTAATTTATTTTAAGGCAGCCCTAGCTTAAATAAAGTACTCATAACTCATTCATAACACCCCATTTTTTTCACATTTCTGCCAAGACTCTAATTAAGAATAAATAAAGCTGTGCAAAATAAGAGCGTAACAAAACAATGGTTTCATCCTCATTCCTAGACTCCCCTCCCCCAGCCTAGCTTCTCAGTCTGCCTCTGGGGCTCCCACCTGTTGTGAGACGCAGGGGAGATGTGATGAGGGGATCCCCTGGTGCTGCCATGGAAACCACACCAGGAGTAAGGGAGAGGCGTGGCTGGGAACAAGGGAGGGAAGGCCTCAGAGAGAGCTCTGGAAAGTGTCTGGGTAAGGTTGCCCCAAATTCCATCCTAGCACACAGTATATGCTCAATAAATATTTATGGAGCAAATTAATGAAATTAATGAAATTCTGCAACTTTTTTTTTTTTTGAGGTGGAGTCTTGCTCTGTCCCCAGGCTGGGGCACAGTGGCATGATCTGGGCTCACTGCAACTTCCTCCTCCCGGGTTCAAGTGATTCTCCTGCCTCAAACACCTGAGGAGCTGGGACTACAGGTGCCCGCCACCACACCCGGCTAATTTCTGTATTTTTAGTAGAGACGAGGTTTCAACATGTTGGCCAGGCTGGTCTCGAACTCCTGACCTCAAGTGATCTGCCTGCCTCGGCCTCCCAAAGTGTTGGGATTACAGGCGTGAGCCACTGCGTCCAGCCTGAAATTTTGCAACATTTGTCTAAAGACTTCGAACATGGATGATTGTGGTTCCTAGGTCATGGGTTTACATAAGATTCTACTTATAAAAGTACATTAAGGTGGTTAAAAATTTGTTTTAAAACCTTTATTAAAATTTCTTGTCAAATAATTGTTTTGTTTAATAAGTGTTCAAAGTTGTGAAAAAGCGTGCTAACATTGTTAACAGCACAGACTCTGGCCCCTGCAAACAGAGCCTTTCTCAAGCAGCTTCCCCCAGCTCCCCTCTCTGGCTCTCTTTCCCTTTGTCTCCTCATCTTGTTTCTGTCACCGTCATCCGTGTTTGAACTTACTTGGCTTATTTATTCATTTTGTTTGTTCACTGGTTTTTTTGTTGTTCTCTGGGTGAACTGGTAAACTCCTGAGCACTGAGACCTTGTCTGTGTGTTCACCTCGTGTTTCCGGGACCTGAACAGTATTGGGTCATTACCGATGCTCAACGTACATGTTTTGAATAAATATAGGATGTGTCAAAGGTTATTTCAAAGATGTATATTTCCTTTCACTCAACAGTATCACTTCTAGAATATACCCTGCAGGTATGCCCAAATAAATGCCAAATATGATATGCATGGCGTTATTTTCTGTAGCTTTTCTAGACCAGAAGAAAAGAATGGAAATGACTTCATTGTGCATAGAAGGGTAGCTGGCTAAATAAACCTTAGTATCCTCACACTTTGGAAGATTCTACACAATAAAAGAGAATGAAGTTCTTACCGTATAGATAGAGAACAATGCCCAGGATGAATTGTCACATGGAGAAAGACAAGTGCCAAATGGTATACACCATCACTTTGCAGAATGTGCATGAGAGTGTAATTATGCTCAGTAGTTTATGAATAACCCATTATGCATAATAACATGGGCATAATAGATTGTGCATGATAATATTTGCATAATATATTAGAACATTTTTGCATGCATACGTATGTATGTAAAACTTCACTCTGGGGCAAAACACAAGTAATTGGCATTAGAAAAATTGCCACTGGAGGCCGGGCGCGGTGGCTCACGCCTGTAATCCCAGCACTTTGGGAAGCCAAGGCGGGTGGATCACAAGGTCAGGAGTTCGAGACCAGCCTGACCAACATAGTGAAACCCCATCTCTACTAAAATACAAAAATTAGCTGGGCGTGGTGGTGCACACCTGTAGTCCCAGATACTCAGGAGGCTGAGGCAGGGGAATTGCTTGAACCTGAGAGGTAGAGGTTGCAGTGAGCCTAGATCACGCCACTGCACTCCAGCCTGGGAGACAGAGCGAGATACCATCTCAAAAAAGAAAAGAAAAGAAAAGAAAAATTGCGACTGGAAGGGAGAAGTGAAAGAACAAAGCTCAGAGGTGGAAGAGAGAATTCTTTTTGTTCTGCTTAGCAATTTGTACTTTCTTTGAAATGAATACATAGATTTGCAAGAGTAACTAAAAACAACTATTTATATGATATTAAGAGTTCTATTAGTGTGCCATTTTATAAATGTCACCATAATCATTATCGAATGGGCTAGAGGTTAACATTTATAAGATATGTGCATTAAGGTGTTCCAAAATATTATAACAGGGACTGGAAAGAAAAAAACATTAATAAATATAAGATTATTTACAAGTTTAATTCATGGAAAAAATAAGCAAACGTTGGAAAGCAACCAGTAAACAATTGGAAATGAAATTTTAAAAATACCAATCACATTTATATCTAAAAATATGCACTATCTATTGCAAATCTAACAAAATATACAGAAGATGTGTACTTTAATAAAGCACACATCATTGCTAAGAGAAGTTAAATAAGACTTAAGTAAATAGAGACACATGTGATGTTCATGGATTAGGAGACCTGACAATGTTAGGATGGCCATGACCCCAGGGTATTGTAATCCCAGTCAAATTCCCAGTGCCATATTTTGTAGAAATTGACCCATTGATTCTAGAGTCTATGTGGAATGACAAAAGATCTACAACTGGCCCCCCAAAAATTAGGAAAACCAAAAGAAAGAACAAAATTGGAGGACTTTATCTGATGTCAAGATTGTATAAAGCTACAATAATCAAGGCAGTGAGGTATCAGCACATAGAGAAACATACATCAATAGAACAGAGTCCAGACACACATCCACGGTCAATTGATTCTTGACAAAGACCATGGAACTTGACAGGAAATGGAAAGTCTTTTCAACTAAGCATTCTGGAACACATATATAACTTAATTTAAGATGGGATTATAGACCTAAACATTGAAACCTTCCAGAAGGAACTATAGAAAAATATCTTCATGATGTTGGAATAGGCAAATATTAGGAGACAAAAAAAGCTCACCATTAAACAGTCAGTAAATTGAATTACATTAAAAAAAATTTCTGTTCATCAAAATATTCTGTTAAGACATGAATATGCAAGCCACATGGTGGGGGATTATATTTACAATACATATGTCTGCAAAAGGACTTATAATCAGAATATGAAAAAAATGCCTACGTCAATAATAAAGGGACAATTCAATTAAAAATGAGCAAGAAACTCGAATTGGAACTTTACAAAAGAAAATATAGGCCAGGCGTGGTAGCTCACACCTATAATCCCAGCACTTTGGGAGGCCAAGGCAGGCAGATCAGCTGAGGTCAGGAGTTCGAGACCACCCTGGCCAACATAGAAAAACCCCATCTCTACTAAAAACACAAAAATTAGCTGGGCATGGTGGCAGGTGCCTGTACTCCCAGCTACTCGGGAGGCTGACGCAGGAGAATTGCTTGAACTCGAGAGGCAGAAGTTGTAGATTGTAGTGAGCCGAGATCATGCCATTGCACCCCAGCCTGGGCGACAGAGCAAGACTCCGTCTCAAAAAAAAAAAAGAAAGAAAGAAAGAAAATATGCAAATGGACAATAAACACATGCAAAGATGTATAAGCTAATTAGCTGACAGAGAAACGCAAATTAAACCCAAAATAAGATAACATTTCACAATTACTAGGATGGTTAAAATACAAAAGACTGAAATACTGAATATTGGTGAGAATGTGGAGCAACTGGAATTCTCACACATCACAGATGAGGGTATATAATGGCGAAATCATTGCAGACAAACAGTCTGAGTATTTCTGAGAATATCAACTGTATAAATAACCTTTGACTGGCTCATTTCACTCCTAGGTATTTGCCTCAAAGAAGTGAAAACCTATGTCCATAAAAAGAATTATAGGCCAGGCGAAGTGACTCGCACCTGTAATCCCAGTACTTTGGAAGGCCAAGGTGGGAGGAATGCTTGAGCCCAGGAGTTTAAGACCAGCCTGGGCAACATAGCAAGACCCCATCTCTACAAAAAATACATAAATTAGTCAGGTGTGGTGGTGCACGCCTGTAGTCCCAGCTACTCAGGAGACTGAGGTGGGACAATCACTTAGCTTGAGGAGGTTGAGGCTGCAGTGAGCTGTGATCGCACTACTGCACTCCAGCCTGGGTGACAGAGTGAGACCCTGTCTCAAAAAAAAAGAAAGAAAGTTTAGGTCTGGGCATAGCTGTGCAGAGAGATGCTAGCCTAAGGCACCCAGGCCTCCTTTTACCTGGTAAATGCAGGGACCCCATAATCTGTGCGTTTGAAAACCTCTGCGTGGGTCATCTCAGGACTCCCTGAATGTGTCTGTATCCCTACGTGTTGCTCTCAGTCAATCCCTAAACCTTCTCTGAGGATGTTTGAAGCCCCCAACCTCCCTTTTCAAACAATACAATTAGCTCAGGGCTATGATATTTCAGGTACAGGAAGTGGCCTATGTCATCCTAATTCTGCACTGGTATGAGGAATAAATACGGTCGTTAATCCCTGGAATATCCTGAGGAAAACGTATTCAGTTTATTGAGAAGAAAATCTAATATATGATAAAGCAGCTGTTTGAAACCGTATGTGATTTTCTCATCAATCTCTTTCCTGGGTTACTGAGTGGGCACGCATGTTCTTTTTTTCCCAGTAATTGCTATTTTACTGTGACATTCCGGTTTAAGACTTTGACATTTAAATGATAAATGTCGTGTCTCGAATCTCAGCACAAAAACACTTTTCTACGGAATTGCTAATAGCAGTCTTCATTTGCCAATTCCCAACCTGAGCTGATCCTCACACGGCTACACTGTTCATGTAATTTGAGAAATGACTCACTATCCCTGAGTCGTGATTCTCTGCAAGGCACGACTCTCTAAAGGTGCCACGAGACAGAGACTCCCTCCCCGTTTCCAACAAGGCGTCTTCCACAAGGGAAATAAATGTTCACCTTTCTTGTCTTTCAAATGTCAAAGAATTGTTTTTTCTTACGGCAAGGAACTGTCCACAGGTTAAAATTTGTTATCCATTTTCTTATTGTGAAGTTTAAAATACGGGTAAAAAATGTGCATGAAGTTCATTGGAACAGGTGAATACATGACAGTAACAACTTCCTGCGTTAGGAAAGACTAGGGTTCCCAGAACCCCCACCCCTTCCCATCTACAACCCCCTTCCTCCCTCTGCTGCCCCCGTCCACCCCGCCAGCCCCCTGGACATAACCACTATTCTGACTTTTCTTTTGTTTTTCTTTTTTTCTTGACTTGGAGTCTCACTCTGTCACTGAGGCTGGAGTGCAGTGGCACAATCTCAGCTCCGCCTCCCAGGTTCACACCATTCTCCTGCCTCAGCCTCCCGAGTAGCTGGGATCACAGGCACCCACCACCACACCTGGCTAATTTTTTGTATTTTTAGTAGAGATGAGATTTCACTGTGTTGGCCAGGCTGGTCTCAAACTCCTGACCTCAGGTGATCCGCCTGCCTCGTCCTCCCAAAGTGCTGGGATTACAGGTGTGAGCCACCATGCCTGGCCTATTCTGACTTTTCTAATAATTTATTTTCGGGTCTTTATCCCTTCACTGCCTGGCTAAACCACTGTTTATTTTTATTTGTAAAATAGTAATCTTTGTATTTGTTAAAATGTTAGTAATGCTCGCTCTATTTTGTTTTGTTTTTCACTCCCCCACATCTCCGTCTTCCCCACATTGATAGCTGGTTCTGTTTGGTTTTAAATCCCCATCTACTGTGGGGATTTAAGGTTTTTTCCTTAACAATTTTAATTGCGGTAAAATACATGTATCATAAAACGTACCATTTGAGGGCCAGGTGTTGTGGCTCACGCCTGTAATCCTAGCACTTTGGGAGGCCAAGGCGGGTGGATCACCTGAGGTCAGGAGTTCGAGAACAGCCTGGCAAACATGACTACTAAACCCCGTCTCTACTAAAAATACAAAAATTAGCCAGGCATGTTGGTGCGTGCCTGTAATCCCAGCTAGTCAGGAGGCTGAGGCAAGAGAATCGCTTGAACCCCGGGTGAGGCAGAGGTTGCAGTGAGCTGAGATCACGCCATTGCACTTCAGCCTGGGCAACAAGAGCGAAACTCCGTCTCAAAAAAAAAAAAACAAAACAAAAAACAAAAATAACTGTAGCATTTGAGCCATGTTAAAATGCAGAGTTGAGTAGTATTAGTCTATTCCCATTGTTGTGCAGCCATCACCACTGTCCATTTCCAGAACTTTCCATCATCCAAAACTGAAACTCTGTAGCCCTTAAACAACTCCTCCCAGCCCCTGGCAGCCTCCATTCTACTGTTTGTATGTATGAATTTGATGACTCAAGACACCTCGTCTAAGTGGAACCAGGCAGTATTTGTCCTTCTGTGCCTGGCTTATTTCACTGAGCATCATGTCCCCAAGGTTCACCCAAGCTGCAGCGTGTGTCAGAGTTTCCTTCCTTTTGAAGGCTGAGTAATATTCCCCCGAATAGATGGACCACACTTTGTTACCCACTCCCCTGTCAATGGACCTTTGGGTTGCTTCCGCGTCTTCCTTCTGTGAACACGTGACTGCCCACAGCTTCATTCCTAGGCCATGCAGGAGTGAACGGCCGATACAGAGATATTAATCAATATCTTCATAATGAGGGCAGGAATAAAGGAGAAGATAAGTGAATGATGAGAGGATGTCTCAGACACCTGCACAGCTGACTAGAAAACTAAGATTTCTGGCCAGGCATGGTGGCTCACGCTTGTAATACTAGCACTTTGGGAGACCAAGGAGGGAGGATCACTTGAGCCCAGGAGTTTGAAACCAGCTTGGGCAACACAGCAAGACCCTATCTCTACAAAAAATAAAAAATTAGCCAGATGTGGTGGCACATGCCTGTAGTCCCAGCTACTCAGGAGGCTGAGGCAGGAGGGTCACTTGAGCCTGGGGAGGTTGAGGTTGCAGTGAGCCATGATCGTGCCCCTGCACTCCAGCCTGGGCGACAGAGTGAGACCCTGTCTCAAAAAGGAAAACGAAAAGAAAGAAAGAAAAAGAAATCGATTTCTGAGCCTGTAGAGGCTGAGCACAATCTGGTTTTTCCCTTCCATAAAGTCCTTATCCACGGACGTGATTTAACACACATAAATCACAGTCACCGGCAGTGGATAAAAACCTCGGCCTCAAGTCCTCGTCTCTGCCTTTCTATCCCTCCAGCTGGGCCAATTTCTGGTCCATTATTTCAGGGCTCAATCCCAGCCCCTCCCCAGCTCTCATGGCCATGGGAAATTGAGGTAAGCTCAGACTGCTGTCATGGAAACCAGAGTAATTGGGAGAAAAGGCAGAGCGCTGAAGAATGCTGTACAACGTTATTAGTATTCGTATATGCCAGATCTTATACAAATATATGAAAATGCTATCATTTGTTGTAAAAAAAATTATAGTTAGAAATAAATGCACATAAAGATGCTCACACAAACAACAACTCTGGAAGGACACACAAGAAAATTATTAATTGAGGCCGCGCGTGGTGGCTCACACCTGTAATCCCAGCATTTTGGGAGGTTGAAGAGGGTGGGTCACCTAAGGTCAGGAGTTGGAGACCAGCCTGACCAACACGGTGAAACCTGGTCTCTGCTAAAAATACAAAATTAGCTGGGCGTGATGGTGCATGTCTGTTATCCCAGCTACTTGGGAGGCTGAGGCAGGAGAATCGCATGAACCCAGGAGGCAGAGGTTGCAATGAGCTGAGATTGCACCATTGTACTCCAGCCTGGGTGATAGAGCAAGGTTCTGTCTCAAAAAAAAAAAAAAAAAAAAGTGACTACAAGGTTTGAACTAACTCAAGTTAGAGGCCTACTTTAAACCTTCAGCCAAAAATCCGTTAAAAATACACAAGCAGTTAGTATTTATAAGAGCTTCTACTAGAAAATTCTTCCAAAAGATCTTCGCAGAGGCAGAAAACAAATAACAATTGAGAGACAGGGTTGTAAGGGGGTGCTATGGTCTGAATGTAAGTACCTCCTCCCACCGAATTCCTCTATTGCAACCCTAACCCACAAGGTGGAGGTATTAGGAGGTGGGGGCCCCAAGGAGGTGATCAGGGCATGAGCGCCTTCGCCCCCCGACCATTCGAAGATACAGTGAGAAGAGGCCACCTGTGCACCTGGAAACGGGCCTTCAGCAGACACTGCCCCTGCTGGTGCCTTAAACTTGAACTTCTGGCCTCCAGAACCATGAGAAATCAATGTCTGTTGTTTATAAGCCACTCGGTCTATGGTATTTTGTTGTAGCAGCCTGACTGGGCTAAAACACAGGGTTTAAATACTAGGGCAATGACCGATAAACAACAATCACGTTCATAACACCCTGAAAATGAACACTTGCAAATAACGTGAGAAGGAACGAATTTTGCTTTATCACACGATGAACTATAACATTTCACAAGTCAACAAAAACGAGAAAAGTGCACACAGAGATGAACGGGCGAGGCTTCTCACGAGGAATGCAGACAGGAAAACCTTCTGTGCTTTTCCCAGTAATCTGAGAAATTCATGGGAAACGCACACATGAAATCCAATTTTCTCCTAATGGATGGACAGACAGCAGAAAGGATGGAGCAATTAGGCATTGCCATGGAAACCTGATTGAGAAGGAGAAGGGGAGGAGCTGAGAAGAGGGGCCGAGAGCACCCCTCACCCTCAGGCTCTGCAGCCAGACAGTGAAGGGCCAGCCAGGCTGCAGGGTATATGCAGGTGTATTTGTGGGTGGATAATTAAAATGAGGGACAGGCCGGGTGAGGTGGCTCACACCTGTAATCCCCGCACTTTGGGAGGCCGAGGTGGGAGGATTGCTTGAGGCTGGGAGTTTGAGAGCAGCCTGGGCAACACAGGGAGATCTGTGTCTCCAAAAATAATTAGCCAGGTGTGGTGGTGTGCACCTGTGGTCCCAGCTACTCAGGAGGCTGAGGCGAGAGGATTGCTTGAGCCCGGGAGATTGAGGCTGCAGTGAGCCATAACTGCACAAATGCACTCCAGCCTGGGCAACAGAGTGAGACCTTGTCAAAAAAAAAAAAAAGAGCAGAGGTGGCTTCTCAATTTGGGAGAACAATCTCTTCTACCTCGTTGGGTCACTGCGAGAACTGGATGATGTTTGTAAAGCATGTGGCCCGTTTCTGGCGTGCATGTGCTGGGATTTCCACAGGGACAGGTAGAGGTGCAGCTAGGAGAATCCCCAGGATGTGGGGGAAGCTGGGCAGAGCACAGATCCCTGGGGTTTACCCCAGTTGAATGAAGATCTCTTGATTGGAAAACTGCACTTCCTCTCACAATATGACAGAGGTCCGTGTTAGCCTGCTATATTTATTTGTGTGTATTTGTGTCCTTTTTTTTTTTACTATTTATTATTTGCTGAAATATTCTTTTTATTTATTATTATTATTATTATTATTATTATTATTATTATTTTGAGACAGAGTCTAACTCTTGTCACCCAGGCTGGAGTGCAGTGGTACAATCTTGGCTCACTGCAACCTCCGCCTCCTGGGTTCAAGCGATTCTCCTGCCTCAGCCTCTAGAGTAGCTGGGATTACAGGTGCCCACCACCACGCCCAGCTAATTTTGTATTTTAGTAGAGATGGGGTTTCATCGTGTTGGCCAGGCTAGTCTGGAACTCCTGACCTCAGGTGATCCACCCCCCTTGGCCTCCCAAAGTGCTGGGATTACAGGCATGAGCCACCACACGTGGCCTATTCTTTTTAAAAACAATTTTTTGTTCTCCTGGTAACTGTGGTTCTCCATTCATCCCAGTGTGTTCCCTGAAAGCAGAGATCCTTCTCCAAATTCATGTTGAAGTCCTAAACCCCAGTACCTCAGAATGAGATTGTATTTTGAGATGGGCCTTTACAGAGGTAATTAAGGTTAAATGATATTATCAGGGTAGGCCCTAATCCAATATGGCTGGTGTCCTTATAGAAGAGGAGATTAGGACACAGACACACACAGGGGGATGACCACGTGAGGAGAGGAGGGAAGACGGCCAAATACGAGCCAAGCAGAGACACCTTAGCAGAAACCAACCCTGCCCACACCTTGATGTTGACCTGCAGCCTCCAGAACTGTGAAAATTTTCTGTTACATGAGCCACCCAGTCTGTGGTACTTTATTATGGCTGCCAGAGCAGACTAAGACAGTCACCCATTTAAGGGGAAAAAAAAGGAAGTTCAGGTTGAAGAAACAGGAAACATTCTGAAAACATGCATATAATCAACAAGAAAACAAAGAATTATTTAGCATATTAGAAATGGAAAAAAAGTCCGGGCGCGATGGCTCATGCAGGTAATCCCAGCACTTCGGGAGGCTGAGGCAGGCAGATCACCTGAGGTCAGGAGTTCGAGACCAGCCTGGCCAATATGGTGCATCCCCGTCTAGAATATGAAGCAGGCAGAAGAACGTGAAAAACTAGACTGGCTTAGCCTCCCAGCCCACATCTTTCTCCCATGCTGGATGCTCCCTGCCATTAAACATCAGACTCCAAGTTCTTCAGTTTTGGGACTCGGACTGGCTCTCCTTGCTCCTCAGCTTGCAGATGGCCTATTGTGGGACCTTGTGATCATGTGAGTTAATATTTAATAAACTCCCTAATATATCCTATCAGTTCTGTCCCTCTAGAGAACACTGACTAATACACCCAGACTTGCAGAATCACCCTCACCTTCAACACCAGCATTCTGGCCTGGGGGCTGGACATGCAGGCTGGCCTGTTCCTTTGCAATCATCCCAGCATCACAGAGGCCACTGTGGCTGCATGGACCTATCACTCCTGACCTGTTGTTACTCCCTCTCCTCATCTTCCCTGTCCTGCCCCTTGAGACGGCTCCACTTCCTGAACTCCCCAAATCCAACTTCCACATTCCATCTTCATTGCTAACACCCTGGACCAGGGCACTGAGATCTCTACCCTACAAGACCACGGCACCCTCCTCATGGGGCTCCCCACCTCCACACCAGGCCCTGGGTCCTCCACCTTCCCAACAGGAGCCAGAGGGAGAGCTTTAAGTCATAAAACAGATGATGTTGCCTCTCCTTGCCATTCGGACTTACAACTTTCCAGTGGCCTCCAATGAACCTACAATGAAATCCAAAATCCCCAGCATAAGAGTATGTAGGAGAAGGAATTTGAAAACATCTAGAAAAATCGCATGCACATGTTCCCTCTGGCCCAGAGGTGATTGGTCAATACTTATCTAAACTGCAAACACACATAACCTTGAATTAAATACTGCAATTAAATTCTCAGAGTTCATCCAGAAGTCAGAGCAAGATTCGCCAACATAACATCTGTGTAATAAGACTGTTCAGTGTACCAGACTATTATTATTATTGTAACAGAAACTCATCAGGAAACGTGTCCATGAAATTGTCAGAAATCTGCAAATGCAATGTTCTATGGACATAAATAAGGATGTGTAATGTCTTTGTGTATTGATGATATAAGGTCGTCACCAAGATGTGGCGTTAAGTGATAAAAGCGAAGTAGCACACGATGCAATCCTGGGTTTCTTGCTGTGTTTTTAAAAGAGGAGAAGGGAGTAAGGCTAAGGGTATATGCTGGTGCTGATATATGTACATAACAGCTCTGCAAGGAAACAGAACTGGAAATTGGATTTGTCGCTAGACTTTTGTGCAGACTTTTCTTCTAAAGAACCTAGTACTCAACTCAGCCATTGTGAGGGCAAAAGCAGTCACAGACAATTCATAATGAATGTGCTTGACTGTGCCCAATAAAACTTTATTTACAAAGATCTGTAGAGCCAGATGTGGCCTGTGGAAAGGATAGTTTTCTGATCCCTGGTCCAGAGAATGAAAACTCGGGATGGGGAGGATAGATGAGGATCAAAATGGAAAAAGAAATGTATCATCCCAAAATCAATGTACAAAAATGAGTAGCATTTCTATGCACCAGTAACATTCTAGATGAGAGCTAAATCAAGAACACAATCCCATTTACCATGGCCACACCAAAAAAAAAAAATACCTATAAGTATTTCTAACCAAGGAGGTGAAAGACCTCTACAAAAACCTCTACAAAAAAAACAAAACAGTGCTGAAAGAAATCAGTGATAACACAAGTAAATGGAAAACCATTCCATGCCCATGGTTAGGAAGAATCAATATTTTTTAAGTGGCCATACTTCTCAAAACAATTTTACAGATTCAACGCTGTTCCCACCAAACTATCAACATCATTTTTCGCATAATTAGAAAAAACTATTTTAAAATTCATATGGAACCAAAAAAGAGCCTGAATAGCCAAAACGATCTGAAGCAAAAAGAACATAGCTGGAGGCATCGCATTACCCAACTTTAAACTATACTACAAGATTAGAGTAACCAAAACACCATGGTACTGGTACAAAAATAGACACATAGACCACAGGACAGAATAGAGAGCATGGAAATAAATCTACACACCTACAGCCATCTGCTCTTCGACAAAGTCGACAGAAATGAGCAATGAGAAAAGGACTTCTTATTCAGTAAATGGTGCTGGGATAACTGGCTAGCCATATACAGAAGATTGAAACAAGACACCTACCTATCACCATATACAAAAACTAACTCCAGATGGATTCAAGGCTTAAATGTAAAATCTCAAACCATAAAAAATCCTAAAAGGAAATACCATTCTTGATATTGGCCTCAGCGAAGAATTTACAGCTAAGTCCTCAAAAGCAATTGCAACAAAAAAACAAACTGACAAGTGGACCTAATTAAACTGAAAAGCTTCTGCACAACAAGAGAAACTATCAAGGCAGTAAACAGACAACCTACAGAATGGGAGAAAACATTAAATAACTGCGCATCTGACAAAGGTCTAGTACCCAGAATCTTTAAGGAATTTAAGCAAATCAACAAGCAAAACCAAAATAATCCCATTAAAAAGTGGGTAAAGGACATGAATACACACTTGTCAATAGAGGACATTCAAGTGGCCAACAAACAAAAGAAAAAATAGCATCACTAATCATCAGAGAAATGTAAATCAAAACCACAATGGGATACCATCTCACACCAGTCAGAATAGCTGTTTTTAAAAAGTTAAAAAATAACAGATGCTGGTGAGGTTGTGGAGAAAAGGGGACAGTTATACACTGCTGGGAGTATAAATTAGTCCAGTCACTGGAGATTTATCAAAGTACTAAGAGTTGAACTACCATTTGACCAAGCAATCCCAATATTGGATATAAATCCAAAAGAAAATAAATTATTCTACCAAAAAGACACATGCACCCAAATGTTCATCGCAGCACTATTCACAATAGCAAAAAAGGACTCACTATTCACGATAGCAAAAATGGTGCCTATCAATAGTGGATTGTGGTGGCCAGGCGCAGTGGCTCACACCTATAATCCCAGCACTTTGGGAGGCTCAGGCGGGTGGATCACAAGGTCAGGAGTTCGAGACCAGCCTGGCCAACATAGTGAAACCCTGTCTCTACTAAAAATACAAAAATTAGCTGGGCATGGTGGTGTGCACCTGTAGTCCAAGCTACTCAGGAGTCTGAGGCAGGAGAATCAGGTGAACCTGGGAGACGGAGGTTATGCTGAGCTGAGATTGTGCCACTGCACTCCAGCCTGGGCAACAGAGTAAGACTCCATCTCAAAAAAAAAAAAAAGAACATGTGGTACATATACACCATGGAATACTATACAGCCATGAAAAAGAATGAAATTTTGTCCTTTGCAGCAACATGGTTGCAGCTGGAGGCCTTGAGCTGCTGGCCCATCACACAAGCCCAACCTGGCCTACCTGGTGCCCATTGATCCAACCTGAATCCTCTTGAGAGCTTTTACCTGTTGTGATGAGGGAGGAAGTCTCAGGATTGGCCATGGAAGCTGCAGCTGAAGCAAGGGAGGAGAAGGGCCGGCAGAATAGTCCCCAAAGTATATCGTTAAGTAAAAAGCAGGCCCCAAAGAGGATATATGAGATGCTCTCATTGGTTGTTTAAAATAAGAGGGGAAGATTATGGTTTGGATATAGATGACTGAATAGATACATAGATAGATAGATGATCAATAGATGGATATATATATATATGGCAGATAGGTAGATAACACAGATGAAAGATTGATAGATGGATAGATATATATGTAATAGATAAGATAGATGATTGATAGATACTTGATAAATAGCTAGATAGATGACAGATAGATGGATAGATAAGATATATAGATGGGTGACTGATGGATGAATAGATATACACACAATAGATAGATGATATGTACTGATAGACAATAGATTAATTATAGAAAGAAAGAAAGAAAAAAGAGATAGGGAGAGAGAAGGAAGGAAGAGAGGAACGAAAAAAGGAAGGGAAGGAGGAAGGAAGAGAGGGAGGCAGAAAAGAGAAGGAAAATGTGTGAAATGACAAAAGGGAGAAGTAAGAGGATGAGGGATCAAGGCTGAGAGAAAGGTTCTTCTCTGTATCACCTTTGGAACTGTTTGAGCATGTATTACTTCTCCAAAAAACAAATTAAGATATGAAGTCCACAATCAGGATTGAACAAAAAATGCTAGCCACGTAAATACCGTCCTATCAGAATCTGCCCTCACACTTTCCACCATAACCAATTTCAAGTGGATTGGAAATGAACACCAATGTGACCTCTGTACCCAGGCTTTCCAAAATATAACAGCAGACTTAGATCACACGGAGGACATGATGACACAAGTAGCAGCAAGCAGCTTTTGAAATCTTCCTGATATCACACCTCTGTTAAGTAATTTGCAAATATTATATTGATCAGTCTCAAAAAAGGGAGTTGTGTTTGCAATAACAGCAGCGTTAACTGACCACTTACTATGTGCCAGGCACTCTCGTGACTTATATTTTTCTATAAATCTATATTTTAATTTATATATAATTAAATACTTTACATATAATTATATTTTTTAAATTTATATAAAATTCTTTGAATCCTCACACAACACCTGTGTGAGAGGAACTGTTTTTATCTTCAACACACAGATTTGGAAACTGATATTAAGGGAATTGCATAAGTCACCAGCTGAGAGGTGGAAAAGCCAAGATGCACACTCAGGCTGTGTGACTACCTCCTCTCCTTCCCCCTCCTCACCCTGTCCATCACCACTTCCCGTTCGTTCCACTTCCAGAACACTCCAAATCCATTTATCTCAATGGCCAAAACTGACACCAGACCCTGTCTCTCTCCCTCCAATGACCCCAAAGCAACCGCTTCAAGGATCTCTCTAATTCCATGCTAGCCACTTTGCTATTTTCTTCATGTTACTTCCCACATGTGAGCAATGGGATAAAAATAACTACTATTGAGTGTGTGTGTGTGTGTGTGTGTGCGTGTTTTCAATGAATGAAGCAGTAAACCAAAAACAAGATTCTAAGCCCCCAACCATCTGAATGGACTCCTCCCATCCACAGGGCATTCTAAAGTTAACCTGAAAAAAGTCGTTTAGGCCATGATAGTAAAGAGGAACCAAACATGCCTCATTCTACCCTCCTCTCTTTTGAAATTACTCATAGAACAAGCTTCTTAAGTCTGATAACAAAACTTTGCAATCTATTTTCTGAAGCCTGCTACCTGGAGGCTTCATCTGCATGATAAAACTTTAGTCTCCATAACCCATTATTATAACCCAGACATTCCTTTCTATTGATAATAACTCCTTCAACCAATTGCCAATCAGAAAACCTTTAAATCTACTTATGACCTGGCAGCACCCACCTCGAGCTCTCCCACCTCTTTGGATTAAACCAATGTATACCTTGTATTGATTGATGTCTCACATCTCCTTAACATGTATAAAACCAAGCTGTACCTCAACCACCTTGGGCACACGTCGTCAGTACTTCCTGAGGCTGTCATGGGTGCGTCCTTAACCTTGGCAAAATAAACTTCCTAAATTGATTGAGACCTGTCTCAGATACTCTTTCATTCACAAATCTGTACATATTGTCATGGGAGCATCTGGCAGTAGTCAGTGCTTTATGGTCATTGGTTATTAAGTTCAATCATGTCTCACATAACGACTGCATATATGACGGTGGTCCCATAAGATTATCATACCACAGATTTACCATACATTTTCTATGTTTAGGTACACTGATACTTACCATTGTGTTACAGTTGCTTACAGTATTCACTACAGTAGCTTGCTGTCCAGGTTTATACTCTCAGACCAGCCCTGTACCTTGTAGCCCAGGTATGTAGCAGGCTCTGGCATCCAGGCTGGCGTAAGTGCACTCCAGGATGTTCCACAATAAAGAACTCACCTAACGAGGCATTTCTCAGAATACATTTCTGTCTTTAGTGATGCATGACAGTACATGCACCATAATAAAGAAATATTAATAGGCTGGGTGCAGTGGCTCGCGCCTGTCATCCCAGCACTTTGGGAGGCCGAGGTGGGCAGACTACGTGAGGTCGGGAGTTCAAGACCAGCCTGACCAACATGGAGAAACCCCGTCTCTACTAAAAATACAAAATTAGCCAGGCGTGGTGGCACGTACCTGTAATCCCAGCTACTCAGGAGGCTGAGGCAGGAGAATTGCTTGAACCTGGGAGATGGAGGTTGAGATGATCATGCCATTGCACTCCAGCCTGGGCGACAAGAGAGAGACTCTGTCTCAAAAAGAAAAGAAAAGAAAAGAAAAGAAAAGAAAAGAAAAGAAATATTAATATAAGCCATGACCAATTCACACTGTTTATATAGTAACATAAATATCAGTACATATTCAGTGCTCAAGCCGCCATCATCTCTCCCCTGGATGGCAGCAGCTGCAGCCTCTCACTGACTCTCTGACTCCACGCCAGCCTCTCTCTCATCCCTCCTCCACTCAGGAGCCAGAAGGAGAATTGACAACACTCACAGACCACATCACCTCCACAATCAAGACTCAGTGTCTTCTCAGAAGAGCACTATTCACATTTCTTATCTTGGTTCTGGAAGGTCCTGCCTTTCTCCCCTTGCCTTCCTCTCCCACCCCATTCCTGCCACTGGCCCTGAACTCACCCTACCCAGCCCACCTCAGCCTATTCCATTTCCTTCTCACCTCTGGGCATCGGCACCTGCTGGCTCCCCAAACATCTCTATGGCAGGCTCCTTCTAACCAGTCGGACCTCAGCCCTGGTGTCACTGACCACAGATGGTGTTCCCAGACCCTCCTGACTGACCTCTGACACACATCTGTGCTACCTCCTGTAGAGAGTCCATTCTTTTTGGAGATCAGTTCTCGTGTCTGTTAAGTCGTGTATTTGTTGTCCACCTTCTCCACATAAATTGTAGCTTCTTGAGGTCCAATGTCTCATCTTTCTTATCTGGGGCACATAGGTGGTACTAAATACATTACTGTTCATCTGGTATTGTTTTATGTAACTTTCTGGTTAATGACTGCTTTACCCATTCATTCTAACCATCAGCAAGGAAGGAGTTGTTCACATTTATGATCTCAGTGGCTACAATAGCTACTGGATGGATGAATGCATGACAGATGGATGAATGCATGACAGATGGATGAATCATGGAAGGATGGTTGATTGGAAGGATGTCTGGGTGGGCTGATGACTAGTTAGATAAATGCACAAATGGATGGTTTGTTGAACTGATGGTTGCGTGGATGTATGTATGTTATGGATTGATGGGTGATCAATGGGTAGACGAATGAATGGATGGCTGGTTGAATTGATGGTTGCGTGGAGGTATGTATGTTATGGATGGATGGGTGCTCAATGGATAGATGAATGAATGGATGGTTTGCTGAACTGATGGTTGTGTGGATGTATGTGTGTTATGGATGGATGGGTGATCAATGGATAGATGAATGAATGGATGGCTGGTTGAATTGATGGTTGCGTGGAAGTATGTATGTTATGGATGGATGGGTGATCAATGGATAGATGAATGAATGGATGGTTTGCTGAATTGATGGTTGTGTGGATGTATGTGTGTTATGGATGGATGAGTGATCAATGGATAGATGAATGAATGATGGCTGGTTGAATTGATGGTTGTGTGGATGGATGATATATCAATGAATGGATGGCTCGTTGGATATATGGACAGGTGCATGGGTATTAGATGGATGCATAAATTGCTGGGTGGATGGATTTGTGGATGGATCAAAACGATGGGTGGATAAATGGATGTATGAATAGATGGATAGGTTCCTAATGAGAAATGACAATGTCTGTGTTACTCACACTAACAGAATGGAATGTGAATTGAAACCTGATGATTTCCTTGAGAGTCAGAAGAGGATTTCAAACACCCTACCCAAGACATTTAGCACTGACAAAATCCATGTGGTGACCTCTGCTGGGGTCCCCAGATTGCCCCTCCACAGCTGCGCTGCTCTTGCTTCCCTCCACCACCCTATTCTGCCCAAGGAGGCTCCCACCTGCCATAGGGATGGGCCCCCAGATCCACTGTTGCCTTGGAGGTGAGGCAGGAAAGAGCTGAGGAAGGGGCAGAGAGAGCCGGGAGACTGGAATGTTCCTGACTCTGCAGTCAGTGTGTGGCTTCAGTGTGAAGGCCCAGGCACACAGAGGCCAGAGAACAGAAATATTTTGGGAACAAATACGTGAATAGAAGTGACTGACTCCACCTCACTGAGCCTATGCTTAACCTTCTGAAATGGGGAAAGCAATCATGTCTAGCTCATTGAGTCATTTGAGAATTAAATCAGAGGGTGCTTATAAGGAGCTCAGCCCCTCCTGACAGGAGACAGGTGTCACTCTAATTGAGCCTTAGAGATCCCTGCACCAGGATCCCCTGGTGTGGAGGGATGGCTGCTATAAATGCAGGTGCCCAGGCCCATGCCAGACCTGCTGAAGGAAAGTGCTTGCCTAAGAAAACCTACCCTCCCTGCCACTTGCTGCTTTGTTCACTCTCTATATATATTTTATTTTCAAATATCATGCAGAGTTTGTTTTCTAAAAAAACATTAAATGTCACAGCTCATTTACCAATATGCTATAAAATGCAGTTATAACCATGCAGAGGCAAGAGTTGCAGAAAAAAAATGCAATTGTAAATCATTAACATGAAACAATAATAGAATGAATAAAAATGTAAATTTTGTAATATTTCCTTTCATCCCTCACAGGTTCACAAAATATTCAGTTTCAGCAACTTTTAAAAAATTAATAGGCTTTATTTTTAAAGCAATTTTAAGTTTATGGAAAAATTAAGCACAAACTACAGAGAGTTCTCATACGGCCCACACCAACCCAACTTCCCTATTATCAGCGTCGTGTTTTGGGGTGGTACATTTCTTATAATCGACTAACCAACATTGAGACGTTAGTATTGACTCAAGTCCACCTTTCTCAGTATTTTTCTTCCACTTATCAGAATCTGAGCTCTCTGTATTTGTTTCTTTCGAATTAGTCTCACTGTACTGCAACAAAGGTCCCTAAAGCAGTGGCCTATCCATCTCGTCTACCTGCATCCCCATCCCCTGGGAGGAGCAGGGCACACAAGGAAACATGAATAGGTGCCCAGAGGTGCAAAGGGTCGTTTAGAAAAAGCGCAGATTCATGGAGGTGTGAATGACCAAGAAATACAGATGATGGCCACAAGCCAAGAGACCAAGGAAGATTGCGACCCTTGTCCAGAAAATGAGGTGTCAGGTGTGGGAGAAAGGGCTGGCCTCCCAAACACAGGTGGTAGGAGACTTGCTTGCCTGAACCAGAACAGGCATAGGGACCAGAATGACCAGCGGATTAATTAGAGAAATGTCTTTGAGCCATACTATGTTCCTCGTCCTAGACTAAATTACTTTTAGTCCTAGACTAAATTACTCTGACTCACTTTTCCTCTTAATTATATCAACAACCTTTGAAGTGGGCATAATTAATACCCTGATTTTACAGGTAGGAAAACTGAGGCACAGAGAGGTGAAGTGACTTGCCCAAGAATGCACCGCTGATCACTGGAAGAACCAGAAAATGGGAACCCAACCAGCTCACAGGTGGAGAGGAGGGCCCCCTTGGACTGACCTTTAAAAATATATAGTCATTACATGTTCTGAGAAACAGCCCCAGGCAATGTCCTGGAATCTGATTGCTAAGAGACTCCAAGTGGCCTGGATTGTACCCAACCCAGGGCCTTTGCACCTGCTGTTCCCTTCCCCAGACATTTCACTTCTCATCATTCAGGTCTCAGCTCCAATATCCTTATCTCATTTCCAGAGCATCCTGTCTAAAAGATCACGTTCTTTTATTTTAAATTCTTCACAGAGCAAATTCCTCTCTGAAATCATGTCTTTGTTAATTAATGTATTGTCTCTTTCTTCCCTGAGTTCAGGTGCTTGTTTGTATTTGGTCAGGCTCTGCCTTTATGCCTAACCTTAGACCTGTCTCCCAACCTCGTTCTGCACCCCTGAATGTTTGTGACTTCTTCATCTTCTCACTGTACTGCCCTGCAGAAGAGACAAATAACACTTACTTGTCACATGAAATAATGAAAAGAACAAAAGTGAAATCTGAGAATAGACTTTAAAAAAAAATGACAACCAAAAGATTAGAGTCATGGAGATTCTCTTCTCCTGAGAAAATAAATACTGCTTTTGCTCAAATCCTTACCCTTCTCTGGTTCCTGGAGAAATTGTCTGTACAATATCAGGTTAGTGAGAGAAGGTTTCCTGGAGCCCCTAAAATAAGGCAGTGTGCAACAGCCAGACTCCAAGATGGTCCCCTCTGACCCTAGCCAACAGGTATTCCTTCCTTTGTGGTTCCCTCCCACATTGAAGGGGGCTGTGCAACCAGTAAGATATGGCAGACATGGCTGTGTGACTCCTGAGGCTGGGTTCTATGAGATCTTGTGGCTTCTGCCTTGCTTTCTCTTGGGTCACCTCCTCTAAGGGAAGCCGGCTACCATGATGTGAGGATGTTCAAGCAGTCTTATGGAGAAACCAAGGCCTCCTGCCAACAGCCAGAGCTGATTCATCAGCCTTGTATGTGGGCCATCCTGGTAGTGGATTCTTTAGCCCTAGCCCAGCTTTTAAATGGCTGTAGCCCTGGTCCACATCCTAACCACAATGTTATAAGAGACCCTGAGAGAGAACCACCCAGCTAACTCACTTCCAAATTCCTGATCCACAGAAACTGAGATGATAAATGTCTGTTGTTGTTTTGAGCCACTAAGTTTTGAGGTGGTTTGTTACACAGCAGTGGGTAACTAATACATCAAGCTGTCAGTAACCACCAACATTGTTCTTCCAAGCCCACATAGTTATCAGAGTCAGAAAAAAATCCTCTCAATGGCCTATGACATGACCTCATGAGAGCTGGCTCCTGCTACGTCTCTCCTTTGCTTCATACTTTTTCCCGCAGAGTGGCTGTTGATTTCAGCCACTATGACTCTCCAGCACATTTGCTCAGGCCTGCTCCCTCTGGGGGATTTGGTTTTGTTGTGCTCTCATCCTGGAGTCCTTCCTGCAGTGAGCCTCATTTCCAGTTCTCTCACTCCTTCAGCGCTTCCTGTTCAAATGCTCTCTCCCCAGAGACTTTCCTGACCTCCCTTCCTAAAATAGCTGCCTCCCTCCACCTTCTCTACCATCTCACCCTGCCTTGTTCTTCTTCCTAATACCTGACACAGCATACATTTATTTTTGTTTATTACCTGTCTTCTCTTATTAGATTGTAAGCTCCGAAAGGACTTGGCAATCACCTATTGGGTTTCCTGCTGATGCACAACCACCTGAGCAGTGTGGGGCACCCTCAAAAATGATTGGTTGACACTATGGAAAACAGTATAGAGATTCCCTAAAGAACTAAAAGCAGGACTTCCATTCTGTCCAGCAATCCCACTACTGGGTATCTACACAAAGGAAAAGAAGTCATTACATGAAAAAGACACTTGCACATATATGTTTATAGCAGCACAATTCACAATTGCAAAGACAGGGAACCAACCTAAGTACCCATTGACCAAAGAGTGGATAAGGAAAATGTGGTATAGACACACCATGGAATACTACTCAGCCATAAAAAGAAACAAAATGATGTCTTTTGCAACAACTTGTATGGAGCTGGAAGCCATTATTCTAAATGTAGTAATTGAAGAATGGAAAACTAAATATCGTATGTTCTCACTTGTAAGTGGGAGCTAAGCTATGAGGATTGAAAGGCATAAGAATGATATCATGGACTTTGGGGACGCAGAGAAAGGTCGGGAAGGAGGTGAGGGATAAAAGACTACATGTTGGGTACAGTGCAGTCAATGTGCCACACTGTACATTTTGATGGGTGCACCAAAATCTCAGCAATCACCACCAAAGAACTTATCCATGTAGCCAAAATCCACCTGTACTCCAAAAACTATTGAAATGTAAAAACAAAACAAAAACAAAAACAAAAAAAGCACAATACTTAATGATTGGTTAAGTGTGGCATGGTGGCTCATGCCTGTAATCCCAACTACTCAGGATGTTGAGGCAGGAGGATCACTTGAGCCCAGGAGTGTGAGGCTGCAGTGAGCCATTATCACATCACTGCACTCCACCCTGGGTGACAGAACGAGACCTTTTCTCAAAAAATTAAAAAAATATATTGGTGGCCGGGCGCGATGGGTCAGGCCTGTAATCCCAGCACTTTGGGAGGCCAAGGCAGGCGGATCATGAGGTCAGGAGATCAAGACCATCCTGGCTAACGCGGTGAAACCCCGTCTCTACTAAAAATACAAAAAAAGAGAAAAATTAGCCGGGCGTGGTGGCGGGTGCCTGAAGTCCCAGCTACTCAGGAGGCTGAGGCAGGAGAATGGCATGAACCCGGGAGGCAGAGCTTGCAGTGAGCCGAGATCGCACCACTGCACTCTAGCCTGGGTGACAGAGCAAGACTCCACCTCAAAAAAAAAAAAAAAAAAAAAAAAAAAAAAAAATATATATATATATATATATATATATATATATATATATATATATATGTAATGTTGAAGATTAAAAATGGCCAAAAATCACTTGATGCTCCAGAAGGGTAGAAGGGTGTCTGTCTCCCATGTTTCCTGGCTCTGGCCTGGCTCTGCAACTTTTTTTTTTTGCAACGGAACGTGGTAGAAACGATAGCATGTGCCTGCCGCCGTGAGGCCCATGAAGCCTTGCAGCTTTCCTTTCCACACTCTTGGAATGCTGAGACCACAGTGCTGTGAGGAAGCCTCGCCTCGTTCACTGGCCCAGGAAGAGGGGAGTCCACATGGAGGGGAACCCAGACCCTGGTGGAGAGTCCACACAATTGCTAAATATATAAGGGAAGGCATCTCATGTTCCTCCCACCCCACCCCATCCTCCAGCTGAATGAGGCCACACACGTGGGCCCAGGCAAAGACAGCATGGAACCACCAGACAACCCATGTAAAAAGGAAGCACACTGATTTTCTGTATGCTCTCAACACTCCTGACACCAAATATGTGGGAGATTCTCTCACACCATCCAATGCTCCACTTGTCAGCAGACATGGACTGGGTGTCCCACAAGTTAGCTCAATTATGACACTGAGTGCCCAAAATTAGTGCAGACTCCAGTGATTAAGGGCTCAATTCCACAAGACTGTCCCCACCCAGCTTCAAATACCCATCATAACTCCCCGGTTGTGACCTGTGCTTCTGACAAAGCAGCTGTAAGCTGGGAGTTCCAATAAGAACACATGGACACAGGGAGGGGAACAACGGACACCAGAGCCTATCTGGGGGTAGCAGGCAAGGCGGGGGAGAGCATCAGGACGAATACCTAATGCATGTGGGGCTTAAAACCTAGATGACGGGTTGATAGGTGCAGCAAACCACCATGGCACATGTATCCCTGAACTTAAAGCAAAATAAAACATAAAAAATTACAACTACCTCCACCAAAAAAAAACTGGGGGTTTCCACGGCCCCCTCCTCAGGTTTGATAATTTGCTAGAACGGCTCACAGAACTCAGGGAAACACTTTCCTTACTATTAATGGTCCATAATAAAGGCTGCAACTCAGGAACAGCCCAATGGAAGATGCTGAAGGAAAGGTGTGCAGAGAGGGTGCGGCGTTTCCCTGCCTCATCAGGTGTACCACCCGTGTTCACCTACCTGAAAACTCCCCAGATCCTGTTTAGGTTTTTATGGAGATTCCATTATGTAGGCATGGTTGATTAAATCATTGCCCATTGGTGATCAATTCAACCTCCAGCCCTTTTGCCCTCCCTGGAGGTCAGGAGTTGGGGCTACAAATTCCAATCCTCTAATCAGATGGTTGGTTCCCCTGGCAACCAGCCCCCATCCTTTGGTGTTTTTCAAAAGCTACTTCATTAACATAAACTTAGATATAAGTGAAATAGGATTTGTTATGAATAATAGAAAGACACTCCTCTCACCTCTATCACTCCCAGGAAATTACAAGGGTTTTGAAGAAACGTGGGATGAAGACATTTCTTATCATACCATGATAGCATACCATGGAAGGTGAGAAACAATGAGTTGTTTTATATGTCACTGCATTTTGGGGGCTGCTTGTTACACAGCAATAGATAACTGATACATTCCACGAGTAAGTAGCTGTCTGACAGACCTTCCTTCATCTACCCTCAGCCCCTCCAATCCATCTCCACACTGAAGCCAGGACAATGTTGGAAAATACCCATGCTGGTGTCACTGCCCAGCTCACTGGGAACAATGCAAAGGCACCTATTGCTTTGGGGATAAAGAGCAAGAGCCATAGATGATGAACCCTTTCCTATTCCAGCATCTCCTACTGTGCTGAGCCTCATCATCCTCCCCTCTACCTTCCAGAACTTCTGGGATGTGGCCAGTTCCCTAAGACCTTCGTATGTCCTGCCACTGTGGGGTACTTGAACACGCTATTTGATATGGTTTGGTTCTGTGTCCCTACCCAAGTCTCATCTCAAATTGTAGTCTCCATGTGTCAAGGCCAAAACCAGGTGGTGAGAATCGGAACATAAGGGTGGTTTCCTCCATGCTGTTCTCGTGATAGTGAGTGAGTTTCATGAGATCTGATGGTTTTATAAGCACCTGGCATTTCCCCTGCTTGTACTCACTCCATCCTGCTGCCCTGTGAAGCGGTGCCTGCTTCTTCTTTGCCTGCCACCATGATTGTAAGTTTCCTGAGGCCTCCCCAGCACTGTGGAACTGTGAGTCAATTAAACCTCTTTCCTTTATAAATTACCCAATCTCAGGCAGTTCTTTACAGCAGTGTGAGAACGGACTAATAGAGTATTCCTCTGCCTGGAATGCTCTCTCCCCACTCCCACAGCTAGGCAATGCCAACACAACCTTGAGACACCAGTTTCAGTATCACCTCCACAGGAAAGCACTTCTGTAATGCTGACATCTTATGTAACAATGGTCCACACACAAATATATTTTTAATTTCACGCACATACACATGCACACATGTACACACATAGTGAGACTCCAAAACAAACAAAACTCTCTTCATTCTAACACATCCACGAGTGGAACTTCTCAGTGAGCATTTATTGAGCAACAACCAGCTTCAAGACACCACGAAGAGTCCTTAGGTCCTTATTACTTCTTCTGAAAATAATGTTATAAAGTGATCAGTTCTGAAATGGTAGAGGAAAATCTAGTTAAAAACAGAATGTAGTCGTAGATTTGTCAAACAGATGGTTAGTGTTAAATATTTTTTGGACAGGGTTGCCTCCAACATGTTGTCTGTGCTGTGCTGTATCCAAGAAATCCTTCCCTTCCTCAATTACAGGGATGCGTGTCCTGCTTGGAATCCAGCCTGGCCTTTGGCTCAATAGAAACTCCACAGACAGCAGGAGAGCTGAGGCTCCACTGTGGCCATGCAGCCTTGTGTGAAAATTCTAACGGCTTCTCCTCCCTTGGAAATGTTTCCACCATCTGTTTCCCCATACCCAGGGGCCAGGATGGGTGAGGTGCTCAGATCAGGGCCAAAATCTAAGGAGGCAGGGTGCAAACATCAAGTAATCGAGGTAATTCATATTTTAATGTAATGTTTATTTAACATTTCTGAATTAATGCAAAAAAATAGACAATGCAGAAAATACCAACATTTTAACTAAAGATGGGATCTGATGCAGTTGGCATTAGGAAAAGGGAGGGATGTAAGTCTCGCAAAATACTGCCTTAAAATACTATTTATAGGCCAGGCGTGGTGGCTCACGCCTGTAATCCCAGCACTTTGGGAGGCTGAGGCAGGTGGATCACCTGAGGTCAGGAGTTCGAGACCAGCCTGGCCAACATGGTGAACCCTGTCTTTATTAAAAATACAAAAATTAGCCAGGCATGGTGGCGGGCACCTGTAATCCCAGCTACTCAGGAGGCTGGGGCAGGAGAATTACTTGAACCCAGGAGACTGAGGTTGCAGTGAGCCATGATTCAGACACTGCACTCTAGCCTGGGTGACAGAGAGAGACTCTGTCTCAGAAAGAATATATATATATATATATATATATATACACACACACACACACACACACACATACATATATATACACACATATATATACACATACATATATATACACACATATATACATATATACACACATACATATATATATACACATACATATATATATATATATATATATATATATATATATATATATATATATATATACACACACACTATCTGGAATATTGAGGTTTTCCACTGCCCTTTAAATTTTGCACCTGAGGCCAATGCCTCACTTGCCTGCCCCTGGCCATGCCGACACCATGTGAATTGCTCTTGGGTCTCCTCTCCCTCTCCACGGCCACCACCCTAGTGTTTTCTATTGTATCTGGCTTGAACAACCACAGCCAGCTCCTAACCATCCCCTCCACGCCCCAGTCTTGTCCAACTCATGAAATGTCACTACCACTTAACAAGCCACTCAAGACCAAATTGAGGATTCATTCTTGCTTCACTCCTTTCCTCTGAAGCCTGAGTCCCACCCACCTGCAAGTCCTATCAATTCCACCTTCATCTCCTACTGTCTAGAAATCGCTAGACATCACCCCCTCTTCCCCGTCCCACGCCATCACCTGCGGCTCAGATTATCGCAACTGACTGCATGGATTTTCTCAGCTCCTTTCCGTCCTCTGCCCAGACTGTCCCGGAATATGGACAGATTGCACTGTGGGAATGCCATATCAGATGCTTCGGTGCTAAAGATAACTGAGTCTCACCATGATAATGTTATTCGCTTGCCAAGTCTTTCTAGTTCATTCAAAGAGACGTTCCTCGTAGGTGCTGGTGTGCCTTCAACATTTCCGTCACACTTGCTAATTACTTTTTAAACAAAGGAGAGCTTTGCTCAGATCATTGGCAGGCGATGGCATCTAACCCAGGGTTTCCAGTCTCAGCACTGTGGACATTTTGGGCTGAATAATTGTTTGGTGGGTGGGCAGGAGGGCTGTCTTCTGCACTGTAAGCTGATAAGCAGCACCCCTGGTCTCTACCCCCTGGATGGCAGGAGCAAGGCCCTCTTCCCCACGTGTGACAACTAAAGACATCTCCAGACACTTCCAGATGTCCCCAAGTAGACAAAGCCACCCCTGTTTGAGAACCACTGGTTTAGGCACACTTGTGCATGTTGTTGTTGTTGCTGTTGCTGTTTTTTATCATTGTTCTTTCTTTTACTCTGTCTTCCACTTAAGGGAGGTGACGCTGGCTTTCCATGCATATTCATGATATCAAAACTTTAAAATGATTCTCACTCGGGTGTTTAAAGTTAATGTTATAGGCCAAGTGCAGTGGCTCATGCCTGTAATCCCAGCACTTCGGGAGGCCGAGGCAGGCGGATCATTTGAGGTCAAGACCAGCCTGGCCAACATGGTGAAACCCTGTCTCTACCAAAAATACAAAAATTAGGTGGGCCTGGTGGCACACACTTGTAGTTCCAGCTACTCAGGAGACTGAGGCAGGAGAATCACCTGAACCCGAGAGGCGGAGGTTGCAGTGAGCTGAGATCACACCACTGCACTCCAACCTGGGCAATAGACTAAGACTTTGTCTCAAATAAATAAACAAATAAATAAAAATAAAAGTTTATGTTATAGAACAACGGTAAATAGCACCTCATGGCCTAGTTCTTAACACAGATGGGGCAAAATTTCTGAAAAGTGAACAGACAGGTAACATCTATCCCACTGATCACTTCTCCCATTAAATGTCAAGTAAACTTTCTAAATTGCAAATCTGACCATGTCACTCTGCTATTCTAAACCCTGCTGCCCTCTGGAAAAAGTTTTTTTTTAAGCATACTTAATTCTTATTCTGAAGCACATTTAAAAGAAAGAGAGAATTGAAAATGAAAAATTTTGCTTAATTCTCAGTATACTCAGAGCTGCAAAAATCTACTGGTTTCTTGGGAAGAGCATAAAATATTCATAAAGCCTATAATTATGTCTTTGGTCCCTTTATCTAAGAGCTTCCTTCCGTGGTAAGCAAAGCTTACAGGCATTTTCCCACCTAGAATCGTTTTATTGTAAGCACCCATCTTTGAATTACGAGTGATAAATATGACATCTCAGAAATCACCAGTAATATATTTGAGGTCAACCACCTAAAGGAGCCTTCACCTAGAAATTCCCAAACTAACAGCTCTTTATGACGTATAGAGCCTATCTATAATTTCCCATTCAAGCTTGTGTTCGGATTGGGCCAAATATCTGCACCACTTGTAGCTAGATGTGGCCATGCAACCAAGGTCTGGCCAATAGGATGAAAGCACATGTATGGAGTGTGGACTAAGAGAAGCCTTAAAGGGAATATTGGGGGTGGAATCTTTCTTTGCCTCACCTCTCTTCCTCTTAGCTAGAAGGCAGAAATGCTGCCTGAATTCAGCCAGCTCTCTAGACAGTGAGGTAGAAGCCACCTGGTGAAGAATTCAGAATAACAAGACAGAAGGAGCCTAGGTCCTGTGTTCATTAGCTCCAGCTGCCATAACAAAATCACACAGACTGAGTGGCTTAAACAACAAAAATGTATTTTCTTACAGTTCTGGAGGCTGCAAGTCCAAAATCATGGTGCTGGCAAATTCTGTTCCTGGTGAGGACTCTCTTCCTGGCTTGCAGATGGCCACCTTCTTGCTGTGTCCTCACATGGCAGAGGTGGTGGGGTAGGGGAAGAGACCTGAACTGGTGTCCCTTTTCTTATGAAGATACCGGTTATATTGACTTAAAAGCCCACCCTTATGAAGCTTATATAATCTTAATTACCTCTCTAAAAGCACTGTCTCCAAATACAGTCACATTGGGGGTTAGAGCTTCAATGTAAATTTTGGTCAAGGAGCACCATTGAGGTCATAGCAGCCTCTAACAGCATAGAACCCTGAATTAGACTAAGATTTCTGCTACACAAGAGCAAGGGATGATTAAATCCCATTCAGTAATTAGGATCACCTCTCACCGACTCACATTCACACACACTCTAAGACACACAACTCCCAGCCACATGCCGAGCATGGTAACCCCATTTCCTACTTTAACCTTTGGGGGAGCCTGGGAGGTGGGAATCATTCTTATCCCCTGTCCAAAGTGGAGAAATGGAGGTCCTGAAAGAGCAACTCTCTTGGCAGGGTTGGAGAGTGAGTCTGTGCTGTCAAATGCCTCATGTGTGCATTTCTGACAAGATACAGAGTAATCTGAGGGTGGAGGAGGCGTGAAGGTGAATGGCAACCTAGACAAAGAACTGGGAAGAGATCGACGGAAATCTGTTCCTAAAAGCCCCATGCGTATGTTTATTGCAGCACTATTCACAACAGCAAAGACATGGAATCCATGTAAATGCCCATCAATGGTAGACTAGATAAAGAAAATGTGGTACCTATATAACATGGAATACTACACAGCCACAAAAAAGAAGGAAAACATGTCCTTTGCTGTAACATGAAGGGAGCTGGAGGCCATTATCCTTAGCAAATTAATGTAGGAACAGAAAGTCAAATACTGCAGGTTCTCACTTATTAGGGGGAGCTAAACAACAAGAACCCATAGATCCCAGGAGGGGCAGACCTGAGGGTGGAGGGTGGGAGGAGGGAGAGGATCAGAAAAGATACCTATCAGGTACTAGGCTTACTACCCGGGTGACAAAGTTATCTGTACACCGAACCCCTGAGACACGCACTTTACCTATATAACAAACCTCCGCATGTATCCCTGAACCTAAAATAAATTAAAAAAAAAAAAAAAGAAAGAAAGAAAAGAAAAAGACCCACAAGCCATTCTTGCTGCTGGAGTCTTCTGGAGTTTGGGTTGTTGTTGTTGTTGTTGTTGTCGTATTTTGTTAAAACATTCCTGTTCTTCTGAAAGGATACCTGGAGGCTTTATCTGGATTCCTAGGGTCCTCTATCCACAAAAAGTCAGTAAAGCCACGTCTCTAATTTTGGGAAAATGTGGGTGTGTGTCCTAAGACCCTCATGGTGGGTGGAATAATTTGCTATAGGGCAAGTTGGAGAGTGACCAAGGATGCCTCAAATAATGTCTCCCTTTTCATTACGGGGGAGTGCCTTTCAGAATTACACAGCAAGGGTGAATTATACGTTGACTCGTCATCTGTGACAAATTTCATGCAGCTCAAGGCTATCAACAGCAGCTCCCTTGCCAACAGCTTGCAGCAGCTGCCGCTGATCAAGGCAGTCAGCTCGATCCCCGTAGCCTTCCGTGAAGGACCACGGGCTGGTCAGAAGCAGTCTGACAGGTCACAGAGCCAGCCCAGCTGTTGGGGGGATTAGCTGTAAGGAAAGCTGATCCTATGACACATGCTTTAGGTATGTCCGCCCCTGGGAAACGTGACCTTCAAGGTTTGCGTTATAGAACTTTATTCGCTTCAAAAGATGGAGAACACTTTTGTTTTCTGAGTCCCTGGAGAATCATGATGCAGACAGCTTTGGAGGTACCCAAAGAAATGGAACACAGAATCCCAATTACATATAGGCCGCACACATGATAAACAACTGCTGGTTTGGGAATTGCTGGGCGAAGCTTCCTTTCGGCAGTTTGCTCAGAATATATTGCTGATGATTTCTGAGATGCTCAATTCATCATTCACAATTGCTTTGCAGTAAAATGCTTGCAGAAGGGAAAATAGCTGTGAACGCTGCTCCCCAAGGAGGAAAGCCTATAACTGCTGGAGCCAAAGATGTCATCGCAGGTTTTATCAGTATTTCATTTTCTTCCCATGAAACCGATAAGCATTCGAAGCCCTGAGTGTGGTGAGAATTAAGCAAGATTTGCCTCTTTCTGATTCTTTCCACAAGGTAGTGGGAATTTGAAATGGGAGAATGATGTTGTCCTATCTGTTGTGTGGAAAGATTACCTTGGCTTTGCTTGTGAGAAGGGATGGACGGGGGGGCAGTATCATGGAAAAAGTTTGAGAATATACAAAGGTAGGCAAAATAGCATAAGAAATCCCTTCTACTCATTGTCTGCAGTCATCAGCTCATGGCCCAACCTGTTGTGTCTATACCCCCATCACATCACTGGCATTGTTTGTAAAGCAAATCCCAGACATGATACCATGTCCTCCATAAACATTTCCATATCTGTGTTTTGTAAAGACTCTTGCAGAAAGCTGACTTCTGAACCAAAGCCCCATGCATATGTGCCCTTGGAAGGTCACTACCTGATACTGTCTATTGCTGGAAAAAGAGCAGCTTGCATAAGCATTTTTACCCACAAAACTGAAGCTATAGAATACACTAGGGAAATGCAGCTCATTGCTTGGGAGTTATGCATTAGATATGCTATGATCTGGTTCTACAGGCATTTATTGATTATTGACTCTTTGCTAGGAACTGTTTTGGGCATTAGGACATGGTCCTTGCCCCTGAGATACTCACCATCTAATGGAAGACACAGACCAAAAAACAAGTAATATAGTCAATGTCATGTGTGGTATGTAATAGCAAAATGTATCCCGTACTGAATGCTCCAGACTGGTGGAAAAATCATAATAAAATAAGAAGCAAGAACGGCAGCAGAATAGCTGGGGTTTACTGAGAACTTACTGTTTCGAGCACCCAAGATACAAAGCAACACGTTAGAGAAGATGGTCATTGTTTGGAAATTAGAGAAAAGCTGCTGGAAAAGAGGATTTAGAGATATAGTTTGGAGGACCACAACCAGCTTGCACATGTTTTTATGGTTTAGAAATGGCAACTCCAGAATTTTTTTTTTTTTTTTTGACAGAGTCTAGCTCTGTCGCCCAGGTTGGAGTGCAGTGGCGTGATCTTGGCTCACTGCAACTTCTGCCTCCCAAGTTCGAGCGATTCTCCTACCTCAGTCTCCCGAGTAGCTGGGACTACAGGCACATGCCGCCATACCTGGCTAAATTTCTTTCTATTTTTAGTAGAGATGGGATTTCACCATGTTGGTCAGGCTGGTCTCAAACTCCTGACCTCAGGTGATCCACCCACCTCGGCCTCCCAAAGTGCTGGGATTACAGGCGTGTGTCACCGTATCCAGCCCAGAATTCTGACCGCGTGGTTCTCAGTCCAAAAACATTGTCCCCCTTCCTGAGTCAGATGGCAACACAAAAATGCCTTGGGAACCAGCTGGGCCATTTCATGCAGCAGTAATTCTCTGGATCAGTCTCCTCGTGTGACTGATCCTGGTTTTAAGAAACTTGCTTCTATTTCCTGGTCAGAAAAGTCTCTCCCTCCTGCCTCATCTTTTCTACCCCTGTTTAGACACCACTCCTAGTTCAAAGCACCATTGCCTCCTGCCTGGATGGTTGTAGTGGTCACTCACCTGGTTTCCTTTCTTCTACTATTGCTCTACCATCATCAGCTCTCCTTAGAAATCAGAGGATCAGTGGGGTGTGGTGGCTCATGCCTGTAATCTCAGCACTTTGGGAGGCCAAGACAGGAGGATCGCTTGAGCCCAAGAGTAGTTCAAGACCAGCCTGGGCAACATAGTAAGACCCTATATCTTAACAAAAATATATATTTTGTATGTATATCTTTTTATATATATATTTGTATATATATTTATAGATGCATCTTTATATATATTTATAGATGCATCTTTATATATATTTATAGATGTCTTTATATATATTTATAGATGCATCTTTATATATATTTATAGATGCCTTTATATATATTTATAGATGCGTCTTTATATATATTTATAGATGTCTTTATATATATTTATAGATGTGTCTTTATATATATTTATAGATGTCTTTATATATATTTATAGATGTCTTTATATATTTATAGATGCATCTTTATATATTTATAGATGTCTATATATTTATAGATGCATCTTTATATATTTATAGATGTCTTTATATATTTATAGATGCATCTTTATATATATTTATAGATGTTTTTATATATATTTATAGATGTCTTTATGTATATTTATAGATGTCTTTATATATATTTATAGATGTCTTTATATATATTTATAGATGCATCTTTATATATATTTATAGATGTCTTTATATATATTTATAGATGTCTTTATATATATTTACAGATGTCTTTATATATATTTACAGATGTCTTTATATATATTTATAGATGTCTTTATATATATTTATAGATGTCTTTATATATTTATAGATGCATCTTTATATATTTATAGATGTCTTTATATATTTATAGATGCATCTTTATATATATTTATAGATTTTTTATATATATTTATAGATGTCTTTATGTATATTTATAGATGTCTTTATATATATTTATAGATGTCTTTATATATATTTATAGATGCATCTTTATATATATTTATAGATGTCTTTATATATATTTATAGATGTCTTTATATATATTTACTGATGTCTTTATATATATTTACAGATGTCTTTATATATATTTATAGATGTCTTTATATATATTTATAGATGCATCTTTATATATATTTATAGGTGTGTCTAAAATATATATATGTTTTATACATGTATAAAAGAAACCAGAGGATCCAAAAAAATAGAGCCTGAGGGTGGAAAAAAGAAATCAGAGAAGCCATGAAGAAGAAAATAAGCCAGACAGAATGGCGTGCACCTGTGGTCCCAGCTACCCAGGAGGATCCCTTGAGCCTAGGAGTTTGAGTCCAGCCTGGGCAACATAGCAAGTGTCCGTCTCTAAAACAATTATATAAATAAATAAAATTTAAAAAATAAATTTTAAAAAGAAAATATAATTTCATCCGTCTTTCTTACACACACACAACTTTTAAAAAAACTTTCATGGCTTCAGATCATGCACACAGTAACACTTGGGCTTCTTACCAGAGTCTGCAAGAACTGTGATATTCCAGCCCCAAAAACCCCTCTGCTCCCGCCGCCCAGCCTCCATCCAGGTCCCTGAGGAAGCCAGTATCCCCCATGGCTCCTCACCTCGGCACACGGCATTCCCACCTCTTTCCCTCGTGCCACTGGCCCCACCACCCTCCCCTGCTCCAGTCTGGTTCCTATTCTCCTTCTTTCTGTTGCCACATCAGGTGTCACTACCTTCGTAGAGCCCTCAATTCACCCACAGGACAGCTCCCTCTTACCTGCTTCTCTCACACCCCTCCTGTAGATTTTAACGCTGGGCACACTTTACTTTACCCTCTTTTGTCCACTCTAAGATCCACCTCCTCCTGTCCCCACTCTCTCACATCTCTGAAATCAGGCTGTGTCCTACATGGGTGGCAGTCATGCTTAAGTTGTGGGCATTTTTCTGTTTCCTGTGGGTATATAAAGTAACAGTACATCTTACAATCCATACCACCATCTTGGAGTCTACAGAAAGCACCATGTGTTTGCACAAAGTCTGTTTTCCTTGCACAGAGCTGGAGGATGAGTCCCATGGCTAGTCCCGGGGCCAAGCACAGCTCCTGGTACAAAGTGAGGCTCTGCCCAGAACAGGGCCAGACACACCCTTGATGCATCAGGTCAGATTCAAGAACCAGGTGGTTCCAAACAGCAGAGATCGTTTTGAAGGGTAAAGAGATAATGCATTTGTGTTACAAGTTAATAAATGATATTACAGTCATTCGTGGGCAAAGCAAGGCAAAGGGGCCAGAGGACTTAGTTATCATGGTCCACAGAGACCTTGGAAGAGAAAACATTTGAATTGAAGCCTGAATGGGAGAAGGAAGGAGCCATGCAGAGAGCTCTCTGGCAGAGGAGACGTCTCAATAGAGGGTTTCCAGATGGAGGGATTCTCAGCCTTGGCACTCTTCACATCTGGGGCCATGACAGCTACGTGAGTGCATGCGGTGGTCCCAGCTACCTGTCCCACTGCACTCCAGCCAGGATGAAAGCACACCCTCCCTGACCACCCTCAAGTGATCTGGCACCTGATAAGCTCTGACGTGGCCTCCTGTCCCATCCTTCCTTTCTCTCTCTCTCTCTAATTTTTTTCTTTTTGAGATGGAGTCTTGAAAGAAGGAAGGAAGGAAGGAAAAGGGAAGAGAGAAAGAAAGAAAAAGAAAGAGAGAGTAAGAAAGAAAGAAAGAAAAAAGAGAGAGAAAGAGAGAGACAGAAAAGAAAGAGAAAGAGAGAGAGAGGGAGGGAGGGAAAGAAAGAAAGAGAGAGATGAAAGAAAGAAAGAAAAGAAAAGAAAGAGAGAAAGAAAGAAAAGAAAAGAAAGAAAGAGAGGAGGGAAGGAAGGTTCTTAGGATGCTATAGGTCAAGGTTTCAACCTCGGAACTATTGACATTTGGGGTTGGACCAGTCCTTGTGGGGCCGTCCCATGGCTTGCAGGGTGTTTAGCAACATTCCTGGCCTCCACCCACTAGACGTCAGTAGCACTCCCCTCTCCAGTGGCAGCAACCACAAATGTCTTCAAACATTTCTAAGTGTCCCTTGGGAAAGGCAAAATCACCCTGGTTGAGAACCACTGCTGTGGAAGACTTCAACCATGATGAACATTAAGCCCCATCACTCCGTTCAAACCAAAAAGTGATAAAGTCTAGAGTTTACTAGAGGTCAGTGGTATGCCAGGAACCATGCTTCGCTTGGGATGCACCCTTTAACCATCCAGCAACCCCACCAGGTAGAGCATGGCATCTCCCTGTGTTACACTGGAGAAAACTAGAGACTCTGAGGGTTTAGTCACCTTGCTGTAGGTCATGTGTAGCAGGGGCAGACCTTGCATCCCAACAGGAGGTTCTGCTGGCTCTGGGACCTGGGCTCTGCCCTGTACCGTCTCCCTGCTTACAGACTCAAAAGCAGTATCTCCTAACATCTCAGCCTCTGCACGTGCCATTCTCCAGGCTTACATACAGCTCTGCTAACTCCCCTTCTTTCTTTATTGAGTTCCAGGACACTCTAAAGAGGTCACTTCCTGCTGGGCACAGTGGCTCATGCCTGTAATCCCAGAGTCTTGGAAAGCTGAGACGAGAAGATAACTTGAGTCCATAAATTCAAGATCAGCCTGGGCAACATAGTGAGACAGACCCTGTCTCTACAAAAAATTTTAAATATTAGTTGGGCCATGGTGGCACACACCTGTAATGGCAGCTACTCAGGAGGCTGACGTGGGGGGATCACTTGAGCCCAAAAGTTTAAGGTTGCAGTGAACCCTGATTATGGCACTGCACTCCAGCCTGGGCAACAGAGAGACAGAGTGCCTCTATTTTTTTTAAAGAGGCCACTTGCTATCAGAAGAGTTTCCTGAGCATCCCCCGCAACCTCACCCTACTCCCATTTTTGCTATCTCCATGGGCCCTACTTCTCCTCTCTTAGCTCCAATTATGCTATAATGCAGCACATGCATTTTTGCTGATCTGCTGACTTGCCTCATTGGTGTGAAGCAACAGCTGGGACAGCAACTGCTCCACATTCCCCCGGATCCTCCTTCAACTTCTCCCACTCCTGGGCCAAAGGTGTGCATTTAGCTCCATAGCAAAGTGTCATGGCTTCTGCAGAACACTCTGGTCACCAAGGCGAGAGGCAACACAGGTGGACACGGGTTTCAGTCCATCTTTGTGGGGCTCCTGCTTGTCCTTGCTCTACCTGGCTCTACATCTATCTTCTCTTCTTGACTTCCTGTCCTGTGGACTTCAAGCACCAACATCAGAAACAAATAAATTTCCTTGCAGAATCTTCTTAACCAGCTGCACAACTGCTTAAGATCAAATTCTAGAGTTCCTGCCTCTCTGCTTGAGCACTGACATACTTTGGTATCAGACTATATAGTTATTGCCTGCTTGCTTTCCTGTCTTCTCCCAACCTACTCCTCCAAACCTAGGAATTGCTCCCCCGTTTCCTAGAACCTGCCACTCCCTCTCTGAAATTCTGAGCTCCGAAGGGCAGGAACCCCACCTTATTCAGTTAAAACTGCTTTCATCTGAAAAAAGGTCATCTAAGTTTTCTTCCCACTGATTCATCTTAGTAAGATGGTCAAATGTCTTAGCAGTGGAGTAAAGACTTTGGAATCTGAAGTAAAACAGACCTAGACTTAGTTCTTTGTTTCTTCCCTTTTCAAGCTATCTAACCAAGGGCTGAGCCTTAGTGCCGTCAAGAGTAAACTGGGAGAAGAAGATTACTACATGCAGTGGTGTTGTGGAGAAGAACTGAGAGAAGCCATGCAAACGCTTCAGCACAATATCTGGTATCAGTAGGTGCTAAATCTTGGCTCTCAGCTGTCATGATTTTGAGTTTGGCTGCAGAATTCAGCTCAGAGGGAGGCCCACACGATTTCGATTTGCCCCAGATTCAAATTCCAAATGCACAGAGCTCTACTGATCCAATGAGAAGAAAGTCATTCGGTGCAGTGATTCCCAAATTCTTCCTTGATGTTCAGCTATTCCTTCCTTCAGCACTCGGTGACCATCTTCTGTGTGCCAGAGGTCTGTAATTTTTGTCTTTGTTGTTGTTTTGTTTTGTTTTCAAGATGGAGTCTCGCTCTGTTGCCCAGGCTGGAGTGCAGTGGCGCAATCTCGGCTCACTGCAAGCTCTGCCTCCCAGGTTCAAGCGATTCTCGTGCCTCAGCCTCCCGAGTAGCTGGGATTACAGGCATGCGCCACCACACCTGGCTAATTTTTGTGTTTTTAGTAGAGACGAGGTTTCATCACATTGTCCAGGCTGGTCTTGAACTCCTGACCTCAGGAGATCTGCTGGCATCTGCCTCCCAAAGTGCTAGGATTACAGGCATGAGGAGCCACTGTGCCCAGCCTGAGGTCTATAATTTTGAATCCACACGTCATGTGGCTGCCACGTCTGGAAAATCCCATCTCCAGGGCTCTCCTTGACTCCATACTCAGTCCCATCCTTTCCATTCACCAGCCTGAGCCTGCCCCTGTTCCCCAGGCAAATGGGAGCTCTCCTGGAGGCAGGTCAGTGATTCCGAAATGACTTCAATGGGAGAGATGGAGGACAGTGCAAGGGGTGCAACCACAGGCTTTTGCATATTCATCATGTTGGGTTGCTACAGGAGCATGCACATTTGGCTGTGTAAACCTCGATAGACCTTATTAGAAATTACAATGTTCCTGCAAACCCTAGTGATATAAAAAAACTCTTCCCCCAAGTCAACTTTTTTTTTTTTTTTTTTGAGACGGAGTCTCTCTCTGTCACCCAGGCTGAAGTGCAGTGGCGTGATCTCGGCTCACTGCAAGCTTTGCCTCCCAGGTTCACGCCATTCTCCTGCCTCAGCCTCCCCAGTATCTGGGATTACAGGCGCCTGCCACCATGCCCGGCTAATTGTTTTTTTTGTATGTTTAGTAGAGACGGGGTTTCACTATGGTCTCGATCTCCTGACCTCATGATCCGCCCGCCTCGGCCTCCCAAAGTGCTGGGATTACATGCATGAGCCACTGCGCCTGACTGAGTCAACTTTTATTTTAAAAATACTAACCCACTCTCTCCTCCAGTCACATAAGATGCAAAAAAAAAAAAAAAAAAATGCCAAGGAGAAGAAGGTGGCCCCAGTCCCTGCTGTCATGAAGAAGCAGGAGACCATGAAACTGGTGAATCCTCTGTTTGAGAAAAGGCCTAAGATAAGAATCTTGGCACTGGACAGGACATCCAACCCAAAACGGACCTCACGCGCTTTGTCAAACAGTCTCACGTTGCAGTGGCAAAGAACCATTCTTTCCGTGAGTGGCTGAAAGTGCCTCCTGCAATCAGCCAGTTCACCCAGGCCTCAGACTCTCACGCAGCCACCCAACTGCTTAAGCTGGCCCAGTACACACCAGAGGTAAAGCAGAAGGAGAAGCAGAGACTGTTGTCCTGGGCTAAGAAGAAAGCTGTCAGCAAAGGGAACACCCCTACGAAGAGACCACCCATCCTTCAAGCAGGGTTAACACTGCCACCACCATGTTCACACACAGCAAGAAGGCTCAGCTGATGGTGACTGCGTGTGACATGGATCCCAGCAAGCTGTCTGTCTTCCTGCCTGCCCTGGATTGTAAGATGGGAGTTCCTGACTGCATTAATGAGGGGAAGGCAAGACTGGGGTACTGAGTCCACAGGAAGACCAGCACCACTGTTACCTTCACGCCAGTTAACTTGGGAGACAAAGGAGCTTTGGCTAAGCTGGTGGAAGCTACCAGGACCAATTAAATTAACAGATATGATGAGATCTGTAGTCACTGGGGAGGCAACATCCTGGGTCCAAAATCCCTGGCTTGCATTGCCAAAGCTGGAAAAGGCAAAGACTAAAGAACTTGCCACCAAACTGGGTTAAATCTACACTGCTGAGTTTTCTGTACATAAAAATAATTAAAAATTCTCCTTTAAAAATATCAAGTAGCTGCTTCTTTAGAGCTAGGCACCGGATTACCCACTGGGAATACAATTGCGAGCAATTCTCTTAAAAAAAAAATAGATATGGCCAGGTACAGTGGCTCACGCCTGTAATCCCAACAGTTTGGGAGGCTGAGGCAGGTGGATAACCTGAGGTCAGGAGTTCGAGACCAACCTGGCCAACATGGTGAAACCCCGTCTCTACTAAAAATACAAAAAATTAGCCAGGTGTGGTGGCACATGCCTGTAATCTCAGCTACTTGGGAGGCTGAGGCAGGAGAATCACTTCAACCCAGGAGGTGGAGGTTGCAGTGAGCCAAGATTGCACCATTGCACTCCAGCCTGGGCAACAAGAGTGAAACTCCGTCTCAAAAAAAAAAAAAGAATCAGCTCAAAAGAATCCTGATGTCAAAGAGACACATCTGGGGACAGCATATTCTGGTCCCCTACACAGGAAATGCACAGATCTTGAACACATCGGCAGAAGCAGGCTTCTCTTGTCTCCTGGTAGCATCATTACCCCCAACTGTCTTCACGCTCATTCACCAAAAATTATTTATTTCATCAATTCATCAATTTTTGCTTGTCAAAAATTGGATATGATATTGGCATGCATCTATGGGGTACTGATTAATAATAATAATAGAGTTTTTTTTTTAAAAAAAAGGAAGGCCAGGCAAGGTGGTTCACGCCTGTAATTGCAGCACTTTGGGAGGCCGGGGTAGGCAGATCACCTGAGGTCAGGAGTTCGAGACCAACCTGGCCAACATGGTGAAACCCCGTCTCTACTAAAAATACAAAAATTAGCCAGGTGTGGTGGCGCATGCCTGTAATCCCAGGTACTTGGGAGGCTGAGGCAGGAGAATCACTTCAACCCGGGAGGTGGAGGTTGCAGTGAGCACAGATTGCACCATTGCACACCAGCCTGGGCAACAAGAGCGAAACTCAGTCTCAAATAATAATGATAATAATAAATAAAAGATGGAATACTACACAGCTACAGAAAAGGAACACAGGAGTGCTTAAGTTCCAAAATGGCATGATCTCTAAAATATATTTTTGTGAAAAAACAAGATACAAAACAATGGATTTAATGTGCCAAATTTTATACCACAGGGGAGAAATGTATAAGCACACCTCCTGTGTGTCCACAGACACCTCTGTTTTCTTGCTTGTATCATTGGTTGCCTCCAGGGAAGGAAACCAGGTGCCCACAAAACTGAGAAGAGAGTCTTCACGAAATCTCTTTCTAAACCTTTTAAATGTATCACCTATTCAGAAAATGAATGGAATTGAATTTACAATAAAAATAGCACTAAAATATAAAATAAAGTGGAAGGATCTGTTGTCCAGAGAGATAGAGACAGGGAGAGGGAGTGAGGCCTGTGCCAGGCTGTAGATGCAGTTGTTGTGATTGAGTTTTCTGGCGCCAGGCTCGTGGGCTGAAGCCCCAGCTCCACAAGTTACTAGCTGTGTGCTCTCAGGCAAGTTACTTAACCTCTCTGGGCCCGGGCCACCTCTGTAAATTAAGCATCATAAAATTACCCCCTTCATGTGGTTGTTAGGCAAATTAATGAATATGGTAAAATGCTTGAATACAGGGTCTGGCCCAGAGTAGGTTGTGTAATCATTTCTACAGCTACTTTTCTCCATCCCGGGCTGCTAATGACATCTGTATGATTAGCAGTACTCTGCGCTGAGCCCTGAGGATGCTGGGGAGGTAGTGATGCCCAAGGAGGAACTCTCCACCCCATAGCATAGGAATGGCCATACATCCTAGTAGGGTGAGGACTCCAGGCTGGGCCACTGCAGAGAAAGGCGCCAGCCCCAGTTAGGAAGACGTCTACACGATGTGTTGCCTGAGAAGAGTACACCAGCCTCTCTATGCCGAAGCCTGGTTCTACTCCATCCTGGCTACTGGACCTCAGATAAGAAGTCATTGAACTGCCCTGTGCCTCGGTTTCCCCATCTGGAACAACAGTATATTGATAGTGTCAACCTCGGAGAGCTGTTGTAAAGATCAAGTGAGATGATCCTATGAAACTCTCAGCACAGGCAGCTATTATTATTATTGCTGCTGTTGTTGTTGTTAAGGAGCGAGGCTCTGAGGAGTGGGTAAGGATAAGGTGGGTACAGATAAGCATGGGATGGTGCACGCGAGAAGCAAAGTTTAGTGTTTTTGGAAAGCAGAAAAGGGCTCAGCGAGTCAGTGTATTAATTTTCTAGAGCTGCCATCACAAAGCGCCACACACCAGGTGGCTTCTACAACCGAAATCAAATTTCTCATGGTCCTGGCAGCTGGAAGTCTGAGATCCACGCGTCAGCAGGATTGGCTTCTCCTGAGGCCTCTCCCCTTGGCTTGCAGACGCCATCTTTACCCTGGATACTCACGTGGTCGTCCCTCTGTGCGTGTCTGTATCCTAATCTCTTCCTATAAAGACGTCAATCATATTGCATGAGGCCTACCACCCTAACAACCTCATTTTACCTGAATTACCTCTTCAAGGACCCTATTTCAAAATACAGTCATATTTTGAGGGCCTGGGGGCGAGGACTTCAATATATGCATCTTGGAGGACACAGCCTCGCCTGTAACAGCCCCAAGCCCAGGAGGTGGGCTGGGCAGTGGTAAGAGGAGGCTGGAGGGTTTGGTAAAGGCTGGATCTGGGGGTCTATTTTACACCACAGTCAGCAGCCTGGCTTCCACCCTGAGTGCGGTAGGAGCCCCCATGGGTCACAGGAGGGCAGGGTCACACTCTGTGTCCAGGCAGGACGGCAATGGCTCCCTGTGGGCCCAACTGGATGCTAGAGGAGGCTGTGTGGAAATCCAGGCAAAGGCTGGAGACACGGCTGGGTCAGTGGGGTAGACAGGTCTGGGTGGAAGAGAGTTTGCACCCATGCCATCAACGCATGAGCATCTTGGCTTCCACCTCCCCTACTAGCAACAAAGCTCGTAAATGAGCTCGCACCCCTGCCTCTCCCCTCCGCTCCCCTTCTCCATGGGAGGAAAAGGGACTGGGTCTAATGCCGTTTCTTTCTCAAGCTCTGCCTGTGATTTCTTTCCTGTTGTAGATTTTAGACTAACTCTGTGGCGCCCTCTACTGACCAGGTGCGTCTCGCCCAGAGCGCTGTCCAGCCCCTTGAGGTCCAGTCCCGCGGTCTGAGGCCACCGTGACTACAGACGCTTGAAGAGGAGCTAGGGGAATTGAGGTGGGCTCAAAGGAAAAGCACACGCCGGATCTCAGAGACTTTGTTACCAAAAAGCACTGGAAAATATCTCGTTAACAGTGTTGTGCAATGGCTGCATGTTGATTACATCATCGTATTTTGAATATATTGGGCTAAATAAGATACAGTCTTTTTTTTTTTTTAGTCGGAGTCTTGCTCTGTCCCCCCAGGCTGAACTGCAGTGGTGCGATCTCGGCTCACTGCAGCCTCCTCCTCCCTGGTTCCAGCGATTCTCCTGCCTCAGCCTCCCGAGGAGCTGGGATTACAGGTGCACGCCACCACGCGCAGCTAATTTTTGTATTTTTAGTAGAGACAGGATTTCACCATGTTGGCCAGGCTGGTCTCGAGCTCCTGACCTCAAGTTGATCCACCCGCCTCAGCCTCCCAAAGTGCTGGGATTACAGGCATGAGCCACCACGCCTGGCCAAGATACAGTCTTCAAATTATTTTTACCTGTTCTTTTTTACTTTATTAACATAGGTACCAGAAAACTTTAAATGATATTTGTGACTCATATAATATTTCTTTATTTCCCCCTGCTTTAGACTATTATAAATGTAATGTATACATACCAGGGATTCGCAAATTCGGCACTATTGGCATTTGGGGCTGGATAACTCTTGGTGATGGCTCTGTGCTGTGCATTTGTGGGATGTTGAGCAGCAACCCTGGCTTCTACCTATGAAACGTGAGTGTCCCTGCCTCTCACCCAATTGTGACAACCAAAAATGCCTCCAGGCATTGCCAAATGTCCCCTGGGGCACAAAATCACTCCCAATCTAGAATCATTGAAATATATATGTATATGAAAAAGAGACATTGATGAAATGAAAAACCATGAACTCTAAGGACTTTTGACTCTTACAGAGCACCATCCTGTGTGAGCTCCGTGTTGCATGCCCACCTGTGTTTCCCTCTCAGTCCTCATAATGACCCTACAGGGTGGACATTATCATTATGCCCTTTTTGCAGATGAGGAAACTGAGGCACTGGGTGGTTAAGTGACTGGCCCTGAGGTGCACTGCTAATGGGTGGCCCAGCCCAGACCCAAATCCAGGCCACGTCCCCGGTGTAAGAGAGGCGAGCGTGTGCCTGGCACCTGCAGACCCACGGTGAGAACCCAGATCTCCACTGAGTGCCCCATCCCTGACGTGGAACCTGAGTCCTCCCTTTGGGGAGGAAGGTGAAGAAGTGGGTAGGAGTCACGATTAACTTTACCTCCCTTGGTGGCCAAAAGAAACCAGAAAATAAGCTCCATTCCAACCCCTTCCTGTGGAATTATGATAGAGCAGGAAAGCATAGCAGAGCACGGTGGCTCACACCTGTCATCCCAGCACTTTGGGAGGCTGAGGAGGGTGGATCACTTGAGGTCAGGAGTTCGAGACCTGACCTGGCCAACACAGTGAAACCCCATCTCTACTAAAAATACAAAAATTAGCCAGGCGTGGTGGTGTGCACCTGTAATCCCAGCTACAAGCAGGAGAATACCTTGAACACGGGAGGCAGAGGCTGTAGTGAGCCGAGATTGAGACACTGCACTCCAGCCTGGGAGACAGAGCAAGACTCCATCTCAAAAAAAAAAAAAAAAAGAACAGGAAAGCAGGAATCCATTCATTCATTCATTGCAGTCAGGTCGTGTGTATGGAGGCCCTGCTGTATGCCAAAGTCTATTGAAGGCAGTGAGAGTGCAGCCATGAAGAAAACAACACAGCTCTGCTCAGGAAACTCACCGACACTGAACAAGGATGGGGAATCACAGAAAAAGGAATTTAAAATTAATTAATTAATTAAAAAAAGGATTTCAGGCCTAGACAAGTTATTTGGAGAAAATAAGACAGAGAAATGACTAGCATGAGGACAGACGTGAAAGACTCCAGAAACATTTTTCTAAGGTGTCTCCCGGGAGTCACATGTTTAATCCGCATTGCGGGTGATTCTGCAGTGAGGGAGGGGGCTTAGGGCATCCTTGGCAAACCCTGCCTTGGACCCAGCCTGGGTTAGCCCCCCTAGGCCCATGGGGGGTTCAGGGTGGAGGAGAAGCAGCCTCCACCCAGACCCTCTTCTGTGTACCCAACCCCCAAGTCTTTAGGGAGTCCCCGCGGTGAGGCCAGGCTGGGATCTGAACCCGCAGGCATGCACAGGCTAAGCCCTGAGCCTAGAAAATTCCAGGCCCCGCATCCCTCCAGCATTGGCACAGCCCCTCCTCTTCTCCGCGGTTTCCATGGCAACAGCTGTCGCCAGGTGAGATCTCTCAGGGGACTGAGCCTCCCAGGAGCCAGGTGGGGATGGGGAGGGCTGGGCGCATTCATAGTCCACTCTTGACTTTGATGCAGTTAAACGCATCCTCAGACAGGGGTCTTTGCAGAACAGGGCAGAAAAACAGGCCTGTGCGGGTCTCTGCAGCCTCTGGTAGAAATCCCAGATCGCCAGAAATGACTAGTGACAGAAATGATATCTGTCCGCCCTTTCACTCCTTCATTCATTAAACCACTTAATTTTTGCATAAAGATCAATTCGATCAGTATAGATGATTAATATGAGAGTTTTATGAATCTATTAATGCTGTATCTATTTCGAGCTGCTGGCATTGTTCTAGGGAGACAGTATTGATGAAGAAAATACCTGCAGTGCTTCCTTAACAGGGTTGGCTTAGATGGGGCTGCCGCACAAAACACCGCGGACCCCGATATGTAATATGATGGCAGGCTTTGAAAAGTTCTGTGGAGACGAGTAAAGCAGCCCGTGTTGTTTGGGATTTAATTTCCTTCATTGTGAAGTGGTGATACATTCGCAGAGTCAAAATGACATTTTAAGATGTGATTTTAACTCTGCGACTGGAATAATTTCTGGGGAAACATTGTGTAATGAAAATTAAACCTCATGCCCTCATCCCAAGGCACCCGACACCCCTCCCGGAAGCCACGTCTGTTCCACGTTCCACATTCCTTCTTGAATAATTCTGAGCACACCGTATTGTCAGCTGCCCTCCCCACCATTTTATTTATTTTTATTTTTTAATTTTTTTTTTTTTGAGAGTTTTGCTCTTGTCATCCAGGCTGGAGTGCAATGGTGCAATCTTGGCTCACTGCAACCTCTACCTCCCAGGTTCAAGCGATTCTCCTGCCTCAGCCTCCTGAGTAGCTGGGACTAGAGGCACCTGCCACCATGCCCAGAAAATTTTTGTATTTTTAGTAGAGACGGGGTTTCACTATGTTGGCCAGGCTGGTCTCAAACTCCTGACCTCAGGTGATCCGCCTGCCTGGGCCTCCCAAAATGCCGAGATTACAGGTATGAGCCACCACGCCCGACCAGTCTGTGTATTTGTTTGTTTGTTTGTTTATTGAGACAGAGTTTCACTCTTGTTGCCCAGGCTGGAGTGCAATGGCACGATCTTGGCTCACCGCTGCCTCCCAGGTACAAGCAATTCTCCTGCCTCAGCCTCCCAAGTAGATGGGACTAGAGGCACCTGCCACCACACCCAGAAAATTTTTGTATTTTTAGTAGAGACGGGGTTTCACCATGTTGGCCAGGATGGTCTCGAACTCCTGACCTCACATGATCCGCCTGCCTCGGCCTCCCAAAGTGCTGGGATTACAGGCATAAGCCACCGCGCCCGGCCGGCATACTCACTTTTCATATACAATTAGAGCATCCCATTGTGTCATTGTCCTATAACTCATTTAACCTATCTCCTCCTCATGGATGTTCAGATTGTGTTCAATCTTTCATCATAACAAATGCTAATGCTGCTGCAGTGGATTACCACAGAAGCATGTTCCTTCACACATGCGTAAGTAAATCCGTACAATATATTTCTAGAAGTGGAATTTCTCAGTAAGAAAGTACAGGCATCCACATTTTGCTAAAGTGCCCACCATAAAGGTTGTTCCACGTTGCACGTCCACCAATAACATATGAAAATTCAAGCGCCATTGAAACCCATAAAATATGGATTTTCCCTTGAAAAATTAGAAGAGCTAACAACACTGGGTTTGATTTCAGCTTGGGAACAATTGGGTGGTGTCTGGTGGTACTGCCCACTTCAGCAAAACACACTCTCTCCCTTTTTTCCACACTCCCCACCCCTCCCTATTACTTCCCAATGCCCCCACTCTGTATCAGTGTCTGATTAGGATCATGCTTGAGGTGACCATTGCCATTTCATAGGTGACGTTACTTTACAACCTTGAGAATATTGAGGCCAAAAGAGTCACTTATTTGAAGAAAATGCCAGACCCTTTCCAACCAAAATGGTTGTGCCATTTTATACTCCCACCAACACTGTGTGCTCCTTCCAGCCACCCCACATCCTCACCAACATTTGATGTTGCTAATCTCTTCATTTTTACCGTTCTGGTGAGTGTGTCGTGGCAGAATCACTTATTTTAAGAAAAATAAAGGGCCAGGTGAGGTGGCTCACGCCTGTAATCCCAGCACTTTGGGAGGCCAGGGCAGGTGGATCACTTGACGTCAGGAGTTCAAGACCAGCCTGGCCAACATGATGAAACCCCGTCTCTACTAAAAGTACAAAAATTAGCCGGGGGTGGTGGCAGGTGCCTGTAATCTACTCAGGAGTCTGAGGCAGGAGAATCACTTGAACTAGGGAGGCGGAGCCTGCAGTGAGCTGAGATCGTGCCACCGCACTCCAACCTGGGTGACAGAGCGAGACCCTGTGTCAAAAAAAAAAAAAAAACAACTTGCATTTGGCCCGGGCGCGGTGGCCCACGCCTGTAATCCCAGCACTTTGGGAGGCAGAGGCGGGCGGATCATGAGGTCAGGAGATCGAGACCATCCTGACTCACCCAGTGAAACCTCGTCTCTACTATAAATACAAAAAATTAGCCGGGCTTGGTGGCGAGCGCCTGTAGTCCCAGCTACTGGGGAGGCTGAGGCAGGAGAATTGCTTGAACCCAGGAGGCGGAGGTTGCAGTGAGCTGAGATCGCGCCACTGCACTCCAGCCTGGGCGACAGAACGAGACTTTGTCTCAAAAAAAAAAAAAGAAAGAAAGAAAGAAAAAGAAAAGAAAAAAAAGAAAAATGAGCCAAGGAGGGGAGGCTGTATCTTTATGGAAATGGAGACATTCCACATTGTTGAATACACACAAGCCCCGCCCACTCTCTCCCCCTGCAGGACCTCCCCAGCCTCTGGGGTGGAAGTCTTTGCCTTGGGCTTCAGAAATGTCTGAGAACACGGGAGTGAGCTCTTCATCCAGGTAAGTCATGTCCCCACGGGTTGCTCCTCCCACTTTACTGTTCCCTTCCCTTGATTCTGGGTCTAGACAGAGACATTCTCTTACTACCTGGGGAGGTTGGGGCAGAGGTGGGTCCTTTACCTTCCAGAGTCTGGAGAGTAACCAGGATTTGCTTTTTTTTTTTTTTTTTTTTGTCGGAGTCTTGCTCAGTCACCCAGGCTGGAGTGCCATAATAGCTCACTGCAGCCTTCAACTCCTGTGCTCCAGCAATCTTCCCACCTCAGCATCCCGAGTAGCTGGGACTACAGGCACGTGCCACTACACCCGGCAAATTTTTTTTTTTTTTTTTAGATGGAGTCTCACTCTGTCACCCAGGCTGGAATGCAGTGGCACAATCTCGGCTCACTGCAACCTCTCCCTCCTGGGTTCAAGCGATTCTCCTGCCTCAGTCTCCCAAGTAGCTGGGACTACAGGCATGTACAGCTACGCCCGGCTAATTTTTTTTTCTCTTTCTTTCGTAGAGACAAGGTCTTCATATGTTGCCCAGGCTGGTCTCAAACTCCTGAGCTCAAGTGATCCTCCCATCTCTGCCTCCCAAAGTGCTGGAATGACAGGCATGAGTCACCTCACTCATTTTTGCATTTTCAATCATCCATCTCCCTAATCCTCCCCATTTGATGCAAGTGAAGTTGGGGACACATTGAAAAAAAAATCCTGGCTATGCTGTGGCAGGCATAGTGCCCAGTGATTCACAAGCAGCTTCCCACTGTCATCCTCACCACAACCTACAGATTCAAAAAAAAAAATGTTTACCCAGTTTTAGATGAGAAAACAGGCTCAGAAAAGTGAAGTCACTTTCCCATGATTCCGTACTTTATTTTGTTTTGTTTTGTTTTACTTTATTTTTTGAGACAGAGTCTCACTCTGTTGCCCAGCCTGGAGTGCAGTGGCACAATCTTGGCTCACTGCAACCTCCACCTCCCAGGTTCAAGCAATTCTCCTGCCTCAGCCTCCCAAGTAGCTGGAATTACAGGCACCCTCCACCACACCCCGCTAATTTCTGTATTTTTAGTAGAGACAGGGTTTCACCATGTTGGCCAGGCCGGTCTTGAACTCCCGACCTCAGATGATCCTCCTGCCTCGGCCTCCCAACGTGCTGAGATTACAGGCATGACCCGCCATGCCCAGCTGTATTTTCATTCACGCTCCTAACACACACACACACACACACACACACACACACACAAATCATTATAGGCACTCATTCATATGGCAGCTCAGGATTCTAACCCACACACAGCCTGGAAAGTTCCATCCTCTGAGTGCCTCTCAGCCTCCTCCCCATCTCCTCGATGCAGTTTCCATAGCAACAGGCAGAGCCTGCCTGCATCCCAGACCCCCAGCGAAGGCTGCTAAGGACCAGGGCAGGGCGATGGGGGAGAAGCCGAGCAGGGGGAGGGAGCAGGCCTACTGTACCCCATCGGAGATTCAGGTTGGGCATATTAAAACTTAAAATGTGCACATTTAAAATGATGTCCTTGACGAAGGGCAAAACCCAGCCATGTGTGCTTTGCCAACAGGCGTGGAAATCACAGGTTTCTGTTCCGTGGCAGCCGCCAGCACCGATGATACAAACAGCCTTTGTTGTCTAAAGATTAGTCATTTGATTGACTGATTATACCAACAAATATTTGTTGATTGCCTACTGTTTGCCAGACCTTGTGCGAGGCGGCAGCATCCAACACAGATGTAGTCTTTGTTCTCATTGGAGTTGACAACTTATTGAGACAGATAATAAATAGATATTGAAGTGGATATAGCTATAGAGCTAGGGCTGGAGACTGAGGAAAGAAAAGAACTTCTGTCTGAGGAATGTGAGGGCTTTCAAATGATCGGGGCCGGAGAAGCATTAAAATGACGCAGCAGTCACACCCTACTCCCAGCTTTCAGAATCTCTTGAAACTGCTTGCTATTGCCATAAGTAGCTGCAAATTAAACAGTCCCCAGTGGGACACTAAAACCCATACCCTATAGCTTAACAATTGTCAGCAGTAAAAACCAGATTCTGCCAAATATTTAAAGAGGTTTATTGTGAACCAGGATGAGTGACCGAAGCCTGGGGTTACACAGTCTCCAGAGGTCCTGAGGAGGTGCGCCTGAGGTGGTCATGTTCCGGTTTGGTTGCACACATTTCGAGGAGACAGGAATTGCAGGTAAAATCATAAATCAATACACTGAGGGTATACATGAGCTCGGCCTGAACCCGTGGACATCTTGAAGTCAGGGGCTTACAAGTCATAGTAGGTTTTAAAGATTCTTTTTTCTCACTCCTTCCTGCATACTGAAAACGTTTCTTGAGGTGTGTGTGTGTGTGTGTGTGTGTGTGTGTGTGTGTGTGTGTGTGTTTTGACACAGTTCTCACTCTGTTGTGCAGTGGCATGACCATGGCTCACTGCAGCCTTGACCTCTCAGGCTCAACTGATCCTCCCGGCTCAGCCTCCCAAGTAGCTGGGACCACAGATATGCACCACCACCCCCGCCTAATTTTATTTTACTTTTTGTAGAGACGGGTTCTCGTTGTGTTGCCCAGGCTGGTCTCAAACTTCTGGGCTCAAGCAATCTGCCTGCCTCAGCTTCCCAAAGTGGTGGGATTATAAGTGTGAGCCACTGAGTCCAGCCTTAAGGATTCTTTAGTTGGCAATTTGAAAGAGTTACACTTTGTTTAAAGCAACTCAGTAGAAAGAAATGCTGAAGTTAAGGGGGTCTGGTCTCCATCACACGATGCTATACCAGAGATGGGTTGGAAGTCAGCCACCTGATACTGCGTTAATAAAAGAACCTGCTTAACAAGATTTTATGGTTTGTAGAGTGTGACTACCTGGGCCACCTAGATAGGAATTTAGGTAAGAGAGAAAAAGGTCGCAGAGTCCTCACAATGCACACCTAATCACTAACCAATGTTATTTCTGTAAATTGTAAACAAAAAAATAAAATTCTAAGCCCCCCAACCTACTGATGGACCCTCCCCTCAGCCAGGGGCATTCCAAAGTTAACCTGAGGCTGGGTGCAGTGGCTCATGCCTGTAATCCCAGCACTTTGGGAGGCCAAGGCAGGAGGATCACCTGAGGTCAGGAGTTCAAGACCAACCTGGCCAACATGGTGAAACCCTGTCTCTACTAAAAATACAAAAATTAGCTGGGCATGGTGGCACACACCTGTAATCCCAGCTACTCGGGAGGCTGAGGCAGGAGAATTGCTTGAACCCAGGAGGCAAAGGCTGCAGTGAGCTGAGATCGCGCCATTGCACTCCAGCCTGAGTGACAGAGTGAGACGCCATCTCAAAAAAAAAAATCCACTTGTGGCTGGGTGCGGTGGCTCATACCTGTCATCCCAGCACTTTGGGAGGTCGAGGCGGGTGGATCATTTGAGGTCAGGAGTTCCAGACCAGCCTGACCAATATGGTAAAACCCCATCTCTACTAAAAACACAAAAATTAGCCAGCATGGCAGCATGCACCTGTAGTCCCACCTACTTGGGGGGCTGAGACAGGAGAATTCCTCGAAGCTGGAAGACAGAGGTTACAGTGAGCCGAGGCAACAGGGCAAGACACCATCTCAAAATACATAAATAAATAATAAAAATAAATAAAAATTAAAATTCACTTGTAACTGCTGCTAATCAGAGTGTGAATCAGGGGAAGTCAAATCTGTGCTCTTGGGTTGTAATCCTCAAGCTTGGCCCAAATAAACTCTTAAATTAGTTTTGCCTCAGCTTCTTCCTTTTAGGTTGAAAGGATAGAGACACACACATATATGCATACGTATTTTACCATAATCTATATGTACATAGGTAGCACCATATAGAACAAAATTTTTTGTAGTTTTGTCTTTTGACATTGGAAAGCACAGCTCTAAAAACTACTAAGAAAAAATATATCAGGATAAAAATAAAAAGAGCAGCAGATTGTGACGGTGAATGAATACTTTGCACAAAATATTTTGTTTCAGGACGTCCAGGTCGTAGCCAGGAATTGACATTTCGACAAGCCCCTACCTGAACCAGGTGACCACCTTGGTAGCAGACCCCAGGCAGGCAGGCAGGCAGGGAGTCCTCAGATCCTCCCAACAGCCCTGCTAGCTAAGGATGGTGATCACACCTGCTGCAGAAGAGTGGACCGAGGCTTCAGAGGGGAAAGCAGTGACCAAAGATCAGATTGTGCCTCTCCATCTCTTCCCAAATAATAAATACAGGTATTTATTGTACCCCTGCTCTGTGCCCACACGGGGCTTTTACATCCACGCATTCTGTGCTCAAGGGCATGGAAAATTCCAGCCTGAAAGCCTTGCTTGCCCCATCCTGTCCCCCACACTGCAGTGGTTTCCATAGCAACAGTCTTGGTCGCAAACATCCCTTGAGTCCCCTGAAGGGGAGGAGGAGTGGTTGATGTCAGAATAGCCTGGGCTGAGGGTGGTGGGACAAGGGGAAGGATTGAATTCTGCAATTCCCACCCCACCCCATATTCCTGGTTCACTCAAGCCTTTAGGGTTCATTCAAGGTCTCCTTGAATGGGGTTTTCGTAGAAGAACGAAAAAGGACCTGGGCATGCAAGTGGCTGCTGGCTCAAAAAAACCAAACAAATAGAAATCCCAGGTTCTCCATGGAGCAGCTGCCGCAGGTGCCTGTGACACCCCCAGCATCTATGCCCACCTTTCAGTCGCGCCTCATTCCTCCTCCAACACAAGTTGACAGAGAGCATATTATGTGCCAGGGATAATGTTAGGCACTTGAGCATAATTTCAAAAACCTGCTATGATGAATAAAAACTGGTCTCCAAAAGCCTCAAGTGTCTCCCCAAAAAAACACAAATGCATGAGGTCCTCTTATTCTCATTTCAAAAGATGTGGGGACCCTGTTTTCTGGCACGTGGGAACCCCAAACACCTGGAGGAACTAAGAGGAAATGAATGAAACTCAAGACTCAACCATCACCCAGGACCCAAATTACATTACTTTTGAGCTCAGCAGAGTGGGGAAAGGTGGCCAGTGGAGACCGTTAAGGGAGACACATTCAGAAATTAACTGCTGTTGATTGCAAGATGCTGCGATGATTCAACCCAACTCAAAAATCTCAGGACATGTGCTTCCCAGTTGAACTTTTGATGGTTGGAGAGATTCTCAGTAATTGTGTATGGCAGAAAAAGAAGCATATGGTATATGGAACACACAGCACTGAACATCTGCTTGAGCAAATGTTTGTTTCTTTTTTCTTTTCCATGAAACTGCATAAACTGTCAACGTTTTATTCTAATGATTATGGGCCTTTTCATGGGTTATGTTTTTTTCAAAAGCATGCCCATCCTGGCTCTAAAATATCACGGTCCTCAACAGATGGTGGCAGTTTAGAAGGGAGCGTTTGTGCAAAAGGCCATGGAGAATAAACTTAAGGTGTTTGTCTTCAGAGAGAGAACACAGGCTGAAGAATTAAAAGAGAATGACAAAAACCCACACAGATAGGTGTTCTGAAATATAGGCCAGGTGCAGTGGCTCACACCTGTAATCCATGCACTTTGGGAGGCCCAGGTGGGTGGATCACCTGAGGTCAGGAGTTCGAGACTAGACTAGTCAACATGGTGAAACCCTGTCTCTAACAAAAAATACAAAAAAAAAAAAAAATTAGCCAGGCGTGGTCGTATGTGTCTGTAATCCCAGCTACTCAGGAGGCTGAGGCAGGAGAATCACTTGAACCTGGGAAGTGGAGGTCGCAGTGAGCCGAGATTGCACCACTGCACACCAGCCTGGGCAGCAGAGCAAGAGAAAGATCGTGCCACTGCACTCCAGCCTGAGCGAAAGAAAGAAGGAAGGAAGGAGGGAAGGAAGGAAGGAAGGAAGGAAGGAAGGAAGGAAGGAAGGAAGGAAGGAAGGAAGGAAGGATAAAAGAAATATACAGGGTATAGGGGAGTTAGCACCAGCCTGGGCCACATTATTTATTCCTTCTGGCATCCCTCTGCCTGGTCACAAGCAAACTTAAAACATTGCCAGCTCTGTGTTTTAATAATACCATGTCTTGTAATAGCAAATGACTGGGGAAAAAACCTCAATTTCCCTCCAGAGGGGGCTGGCCAACTAAGTTCTGATAAATGCATTCGATGGAATGTTATGCAACTGTGTAAAATTCTGAAGAAGTTCTTTAGGGGCTGAACAAGCAGAATATACAGTGAAAGGATATATAATAATGAAAAGGGTTGCTATGATTGTGTAAAAGGAGGAAAAGAGAAATAATTACATTGACTTGGTCCAGAAGGAACCTGAACTGTAAATCACAGTTCCATGAGGCAAGGGGGTCAGATTTTGTAGCCCCTAACATCAAACATTGGCTGCCCCCAATTGTGGGGAGAGATGAGGTAACCTCCCGGGTGTCTGTGGATGAGGTGGTTCCAGGGGCAGCTCTTCAGAGGACAAGGTCATTAGCTGCGCCTCACCCACACTGCCTGCCCAAGTGGGGTTGGGGCATCCCTGTGTATGTGCTTTCAGAATTTCAAACTTCCTTCCCCATGAACGGAGTCCTGTATTTCATCCGATGGACGATGCTGTCCACTGTGGAGGCACCATTATTTCCTAGCCAGGAAGAACAATAAAGCATGGTCAATTAATGCAACTGACTGTAAAAGGCAGCCCAATTCCTGAGACTGTGTAATGAGTGGAAAAAAGTGAGCAAAGTGGGGAAGAAAGCAAAAGCATCTTAAAGTGAAAAACATGCATTAGCTGTCGTAAACAAACACACACAATGCCCAGGGCACTCCTCCCACAGTGGAGCACTCACTAAATGAATGAATGACAGGCCCTACCACACCCCAACACACACACACAATCTACCCAGTGTGGGGGGGCTCTTCCCCAGAACTCCTCCCACAGTGGAGCACTCACTAAATGAATGAATGACAGGCCCTACCGCACCCCAACACACACATACAATCTACCCAGTGGGTGGTGCTTACTGCTCAGCTGAGTACTGCTAAAAATTGCCGACAAGACTTACTCTCTGGGTGATTTGATGAAATCCTTGATGCCAGGGGGACCACTGAGTTTAACGGGCGTCTAATCTCCTCACACACCCCCATCCATGTCAAATGGGAGGCCAGGCAGGGCACAGTGGCTCATGCCTATAATCCCAGCACTTTAGGAGGCTGAGGCAGGAGGATCACTTGAGGCCTCAAGTGACCAGGAGTTCGAGACCAGCCTGGGCAACACAGCAAGACCCCACCTCCACAAATAATTTTAAAAATTAGCCAGGCATGGTGGTGCCTGCCTGTGGTTCTAGCTACTTGGGAAGCTGAAGTGGGAGGATCGCTTGAGCCCAGAAGTTGGAGGCTGCAGTGAGCTAGGATGGAGCCACTGCATTCCGGCCAGGGTGACATGGTGAAACCCTGTCTCAAATAATAATAATAAAATATAAAAGGGAGGCCAACAGGCTCTGGCAGAGACCTTCTGGGCAACTCCACCAAGAAATCAAGTCCCCATCTCCAGAAACCCCACTTTGAGGTCCAGCTCATGGCTTAGCTGCAGGCGAGATAGGATAGACAAAGAGACCATGTGAGTCAGGGTCCTCTGGAGACATAGAAGCAACGGGACATTCATTCATTCATTCATTCATTCATTCTCAGGAATTGGCTCTTGCGATTACAGAGGCTGAGAAATCCAGACCCAAGAGGGCCAGTGGTGTAAATTCCAGTATGAATCTTCATCCCAAGGCAGAGGCAGTCTGAGGTCCCAACTCATGCAGTCAGGAAGAGAGGAAGGATCCTTTCTCACTCAGCTTTTTGTTTTATGCAGGCTTTTGACTGATGAGACAAGGCCCACCCACACTGTGTAGGGCCATCTGTTTTAGTCAGGGTATAGATTTGAATGCCAAACTCAACCAGAAACATCCTCACAGACACCCCAGAAATGATGCCTAGCCAATATCTGGGCACCCTGTGGTCCAGTCAAGTTGACACAATAAATTAACCATCACAGATACTTTTTCATACATTTTATTATTGTACTAAATATTCTTTTGATAAATTTGGAATTTAGGGTAGGTTGAAGACTGTGAGGAGGGAGTAGAGTGGGGAAAAGGAGGATTTGAGGTAAGATATGGTTTTGGGGGCAAGATGATATAAACTTTTATTTTGCAAAAATTTCAAATTTATAAAAGCAATTTCAGGAATGATGCAAATAACTCCCATTTAACCTTCACCCACATTCACCAATTGATAACATTTTGCCACATTTTCTATCTCTCTCTCACTCTTTTTTTTTTTTTGAGATGGAGTCTTGCTCTGTCTCCCAGGCTGGAGTGCAGTGGTGAGATCTTGGCTCACTGCAACCTCTGCCTCCCAGGTTCAAGCAATTCTCCTGCCTCAGCCTCCGAGTAACTGGGATAACAGGCGTGCACCACCAAGCCCAGCTAATTTTTGTATTTTTAGTAGAGATAGGGTTTCAACGTGTTGGCCAGGCTGGTCTCGAACCCCTGACCTCATGTGATCCGCCCACCTCTGCCTCCCAAAGTGCTGGGATTATAGGCATGAGCCACCACACCCGACCTCTCTCACTCTTTTTCTATCTCTTTAGTGTAAGTTGCAGATATCATACCCCTCTGCTCCTAAATTTTTCCGTGTATATTTTCTAAGAATAAAGGCATTCTTTTTTCATAGCCACAGTACAATGATTACATTGAGAAAATTTAATATTGGCTGGGTGTGGTGGCTCACGCCTGTAATCCCAGCACTTTGGGAGGCTGAGGAAGGCAGATCACAAGGTCAGGAGATTGGCTAACATGGTGAAAGCCCATCTCTACTAAAAATACAAAAAATTAGCCAGGCATGGTGGCAGGCACCTGTAGTCCCAGCTGCTGGGGAGGCTGAGGCAGGACAATGGCGTGAACACGGGAGGCGGAGCTTGCAGTGAGCCGAGATGGCGCCACTGCACTCCAGCCTGGGCAACAGAGTGAGACTCTGTTATATATTATTATATAATAATAATAATATTGAGGCATTATATTCATTTTATGCATAGCCCATGTTCACACACAAATTATTCCAACAACTTACTTGATAGCATTTTCCCCCAATCCTGGATCAAACCCACCGCTTGTTTAAAGTGGTGTCTGGCACTGTGAAGTTATTTCCCCTCGGGATTAATTGTCTGTGGAAACTGCTTTGAGGCTATGGACGGCTCCTGCGTCTTCTCATGCTTGTGCCCACGAGGCCTAGGATCCTTTGATGGTTCTTAGATGCTTTGATGGTCCTGGATCAGATCCAGGATGATGCATTCTGTTTAGCCATCTTGTCTCTTGAGTCTTTCTAAATCTGGATTTGAAACCTCAGCTGTTCCTCATCTTCCCGACACTGGCGTTTTTGAGGAATACAGAGATTCCGGAGAAGGTCTCCACAATCCAGGTCATTTGTCTGATGCTTCCCTGTTCTTTATTTCAGATTTGCATTTTGGTTCACCAGTGACTTTTTTCTTTCTCGGCACTATGTTCAACTCGTGATGACAGTTGGTTCCAATGGTGGTGATGTCAGCTTTGATCTCTTGTTAAATGTGGCGTCTGCCACTGTGAGGCTCATTTCCCCTTGTAACTAGTCATCTGTGGGGAACTCCCATGAAATGACAATGCCCTGCTTCTGCTCATGCTCATGTCCACGGGGTCTAGGGTCTAGGGCCCTTTAATAATTCTCTCTCTCTCCTTTTTTTTTTTTTTTTCTGGAGACAAAGTTTCTCTCTGTCACCCAGGCTGGGCTGCAATGGTGCGATCTTGGCTCAACCTCCACCTGCCCGGTTCAAGTGATTCTCGTTCCTCAGCTGCCCAAGTAGCTGAGATTACAAGCACCTGCCACCATGCCCAGCTAATTTTGTATTTTTAGTAGAGACGGGGTTTCACCATGTTGGCTGGGCTGATCTCAATCTCTTGACCTTATGATCCGTCCACCTCAGCCTCCCAAAGTGCTGGGATTACAGGCGTGATCTCTCTCTATTTTTTAGGAGACAGGTCTCACTCTGTCACCCAGGCTGGAATGCAGTGAGTTCGTGATCATTGCTCATCGTAACCTCAAACTCCTGGGCTCCAGTGATCCTCCCACCTTCCCTCCCTAGTAGCTGGGACTACAGGTGTGCACCACCACACCCAAGCTATTAAAAAAAATTGTAGAGATGGGGTCTCGCTATGTTGCCCAGGCTGGCCTCAAACTCCTGGGCTCAAGTAATCCTCCCATCTCAGCTTCCCAAAGTTTTCCAATTACAGTCATGAGCCACTGTGCCCTGCCCTTTAATAATTCTTGCTTGAAATAGTTAATACTGTGGTGGTTGCTAGGTGCTAAGTTTCTAACTCAACTCCTCCTTCTGTATTTATTTGTTGGAATTCTTAGCCAGAATTTAGCTTTTGCTGCCCAGGCTGGAGTGCAGTGGTGCAATCTCCACCCACTACAATCTCCACCTCCCGAGTTCAAGCGATTCTCCTGCCATAGCCTCCCAAGTAGCTGGGATTACAGGCGTGAGCCACCATGCCTGACTAATTTTTGTATTTTTAGTAGAGACGGGGTTTCACCATGTTGGCCAGGCTGGTCTCGATCTCCTGACCTCAGGTGATCCGCCCTCCTCAGCCTCCCAAAGTGCTGGGATTACAGGCGTGAGCCACTGCGCCCGGCCTGTTGGAATTCTTCTGTGAGGCTCTGCTTCCTTTTCTCACACATTTATTGATTCAGTGTTGATTTTAGGGATTCTGACTTTAGTTTATGGGTTATAATTTATTACGAGCAGAATTTATTTTCACTGAAACTGTTCTGGTTTTGAAGTGGGAATCCCTTCAAGCTGGCTGCTGTATCTTTTAGACATTTTTTTAAAAGCTCTTCTTACTTTCAGGTACAATAAGACGTTCCAGTCTCCTACTGTCCTTTCCCTGCCCAGCCCAGCAATCAGCCACTTCTCCAAGGAGCCCTGGCTCCCCTGAGTGGAGAATCACATTTAGAAACCAGCATCTGAGCTCTAAGCGTGCTGTCTCATAAGCTATGTTTGGGAAAGTAGGCTTTATCCTGAAGACAGCAAAGTTTTAACTAGAGGAGTGATATAATCATTATCTGCATTTTTAAAAACTTATTTATTTATTTATTTAGAGACGGAGTCGCCCAGGTTGGAGTGCAGTGGCGCGATCTCAGCTCACTGCAACCTCCGCCTCCCAGGTTCAAGCGATTCTCCTGCCTCAGCCTCCTGAGTAGCTGGGATTACAGGCACCCGCCACCATGCCCAGCTAATTTTGTGTATTTTTAGTAGAGGTAGGGTTTCACCATATTGGCCAAGCTGATCTCAAACTCCTGAGCTCAGGTGATCTGCCCGCCTTGGCCTCCCAAAGTGCTGGGATAACAGGCGTGAGCCACCACGCCTGGTCATTACCTGCATTTCTAAAAGATGACTCCAGCAGCTAATGTGGAAAATGGATTGGAGAGCCCAGTGTTTCCAGAAATACAGCCCTTCAAGATCAGTCATTTTTCAACAACATGGATGACCCTGGAGAACATTATGCCAAGTGAGATAAGTCAGTCACAGGACAAATACCACATGATCTCCCTTCTATGTGGAATCCAAAAGGTTGAACCCATAGCAACAGAGAGTGGAACTGTGGTTACCTGAGACTGGGAGATGGGGCGGGTTGAGGAGATGTTGGTTAAAGGGTGCAAAATTTCAGTTAGGAGGAATAAGTTCAAGAAATCTATTATACAACATGGTGCCTATAGTTAAAAACAATGTTTTGCATTCTTGAAAATTACTAAGCGAGTAGATTTTTTTTTGTTCCCTATATCTTAGTGCTCAGAAGAAAGCAGATTTTAAGTGTTCTCACCACACATAAGAAAATGACAAGTACGTGCGGTAATGCATACATTAAATAGCTTGACATGGTCATCCCACAACGTCCACATATATCAAAACATAATGGTTGTACCCCATAAATATGCGCAATTTTTATTTGTCAATTAAAAATAAATAATAAAAGGAAATTAAAATTGTATTTAAATAAAATTTTATTTTATTAAAAATATGAATATATGGCACTTCATGTCCCATCTTGACGAATTTTGCCGTATTGGTGTCTTTACTAGGATATTAGACACAATATTTTTTCCTTTAAAATCAGTCTCTGTGATGAAGGGAATTTAAGAATCACTATCATGAATGGAAACACTGGTTTCACTTACCATAAGTGGAAAATAAAAATAGACACAAGAGAAAAAGCTCACAAAAATGTGTGTGTGTGTATATATACACATTTTTAATATATATATACACATTTTATATATATATACACATTATATTAGATATGTATATATATATTAGACAGGGTATCACTCCAATACCCAGGCAGGAGTGCAGTGGTACCATCATAGCTCACTGCAGCCTCGACTTCCTGGGATCAAGCAATCCTCTCACCTCAGCTTCCCAAGGAGCTGGGACCACAGGTGTGCACCACCACGCTGGGCTGATTCTTTTAAAATTTTTTGTAGAGTTAGGCTCTCGCTATGTTGCCCAGACTGGTTTCAAACTCCTGAGCTCATGCGATCCTCCCACCTCAGCCTCCCAAAGTGCTGGGTTTATAGATATGAACCACCTCACCTAGCCAAAAATATCTTTTAATATTGATTATATACTGCTGCCAGCCAAGGTTCTGAGCCCAAGACCTCTTTTGATTTTGTGGAGTTTTTTTTAAATTTTGTTTCATTTTGTTTTGGTTCACAGAAGATGTTGGCAATACCGTTAAAGACGTTCAAACCACACCAAGACATTATCCTTTATGAAACACAAAGGTTCAAAACATACTGAAAAGGGGCCGGGCGCGGTGGCTCATGACTGTAATCCCAGCATTTTGGAAGGCTGAGGCAGGCGGGTCACCTAAGGTCAGGAGTTGGAGATCAGCCTGGCCAACATGGTGAAACCCCGTCTCTACCAACAATACAAATATTAGCCAGGCGTGGTGGCGGGCACTTGTAGTCCCAGCTATTCGGGAGGCTGAGGCAGGAGAATTGCTTAAACCCGGGAGGCGGAGGTTTCAGTGAGTGGAGATTGTACCACTACACTCCAGCCTGGGTGACAGAGCGAGACTCTGTCTCAAAAAAAGAGAAGAGAGGGGAGAGGGGGAGGGGGGAAGGGAGAGAAGAGGAGAGGAGAGGAGAGGAGAGGAGAGGAGAGGAGGGGAGGGGAGGGGAGGAGAGGAGAGGAGAGGAGAAGAGAAGAGAAGAGAAGAGAAGAGAAGAGAAGAGAAGAGAAGAGAAGAGAAGAGAAGAGAAGAGAAGAGAGGAAGAAACTGGAAAGGGTTTCTTTGTTCTTTTGTGATTTGAGCATGACTTTTTTTTTTTTTTGAGATGGAGTTTTGTTCTTGTTGCTCAGGCTAGAGTGCAATGGTGCGACCTCTGCTCACCACAACCTCCACCTCCTAGGTTCAAGCAATTCTTCTGCCTCAGCCTCCCGAGTAGCTGGGATTACAGGCATGCACCACTAGGCTCAGCTCATTTTGTATTTTTAGTAGAGACAGTGTTTCTCCGTGTTGGTCAGGCTGGTCTCAAATTCCCGACCTCAGGTGATCCACCCGCCTCAGCCCCCGAAAGTATTGGGATTACAGGCATGAGCCACCACACCCGGCGATTCAAGCATGACTTAACGCCATCTGTCTGGCATCTTAATTTAATCACTTGAGAGCAGCCATGGGGATAGGTCACATCCTGGAAAGAGGTGCAAAGGCAAGTTAATAATTCAGTGAGTCATTCAGTCCCGAATGTGAGCAGAGAGAGGGGGCAACGTGGAGGGAGCTGCAGGCAGCTCTTGGGAAGGTGAAGTCCACAGGACCTGGGATGGGATTGGACGCTTAGGCGAGCAGGTGAGCAGGAGGGACTTGGACCTGAGTAACTTGGTAGGTGAGGGTGGCCTTTGGAGGCAGGCAGGGCAGGGAATCTGGGTGGGATCCTGGGAGGTGTCCATGGTCATCCTCGGGGTGCAATGGTGGGCTGGACCCGGGAGAAGGCAAATGGTTTGGAGAACAGGCTGAACAGGTTTTTTAGTGGAGGAAGACAATACGACTTGGGTAGAGCTTGATAAAGACAGAAGGGTTAGAAGCTCATTTCTTCGTGAGCATGCGTGCAGGGAAAACAAGCCATGAGGAGTTGACACAAGTTTCAGTGGCTGCTCAGAACCTCTGCCCTCCAGACCCCACGGAATTTCCAGAGTGGGGCAGTGCGTACATCCCTGTAATCGAGGAAGGCCGCAGGACAGTGGAGGCGCCATCTCCACACCTAAAACACCTAAGTAATATTGGCCAGTTTCACACATTATCAACCCTAGTTTTTCTTCTTAACTTGCTTCTCCCTAAACTGAAAACAGTGGGGGCAGTGATTTGCGGGGTTTTTTGTTTGTTTTGAGACAGAGTCTCACTCTGTCGCCCAGGCTGGAGTGCCGTGGCGCAATCTCGGCTCACTGCAACCTCCATCTCCCAGGTTCAAGCGATTCTCCTGCCTCAGCCTCCTGAGTAACTGAGACCACAGGCACCTGCCACCACAGCCGGCTAATTTTTGTGTTTTTAGTAGAGACAGGGTTTCACCATGTTGGCCAAGCTGGTCTCTAACTCCTGACCTCAGGTGATCTGCCTGCCTCCGCCTCCCAATGTGCTGGGATTACAGGTGTGAGCCACGGTGCCCAGCAGTTTTTTGTATATTACCTTTTCTTCTTCAGTTCTTATCATGGTGTCAAGCACACAGAAAGTGTCCAAAGATTTAGCCAGGCACAGTGGCACATGCCTGTAGTCCCAGCTACTTGGGAGGCTGAGGTGGGAGGATCACTTGAGCTCGGGAAGCGGAGGCTGCAGTGATCTGTGATAGCACCACTGCACTCCAGCCTAGGTGACAGAGTGAGACTCCATCTCAATTAAAAAAAAAAAAAAAAGGAAGTGTCCAAAGAAGTCGGTTTGCCAGAGTGATTTGCCTAACACATTCAGGCAAAGTAGTGAGCATTTTGCTTTCTGTTTTTGTCTCACTCTGTTATGGGCTGAATTCTTTCTCCTCCCACCCCATCAATCCATAGGTTGGCATCCTAACCCCCAGTACCTCAGGATGTATTTGGAGATGGGGTCTCTACAGAGGTGATGAAGGTAAAATGAGGCCACTAGCGTGGGCCCTAATGCAAGCTGTCTGGTGTCCTTATAAGAAGAGGAGATGAGGACACAGACACACACAGAGGGGAGACCTTGGAGGACACGGAGGGAAGACGGCCGTCTGCCAGCCAAGGGGAGAGGCCTTGGGGGAAGCCAGCCCCAGATCTTGGACTTCCAGCCTCCAAAACTGTGGGAAAATATATTTCTTTTGTTTAAGCCACATGGATCGTGGGGCTTTGTTAAGGCAGCTGGGCAAACCAATATCCACTCTGTGTTTATATCAATGTGTATTTTCATACAATTATGTACAGCTACAAATAGGAATGCACTCACGCATGTTTATTGGGGCATCAGTAAAGCAAGGAGGTTGGAGTCTATGTCTTCAGGAACTAACGGGAACCTTACGGCTCTACTGTAGGGAGGGCCCCTGGCTGGGGTAGGTGGGTGGAGAGTCACAGCTCCTGTCTCCACAGCTTTCCCTACTCACATGGGCAGCTTTTCACCTTCTCTCCCCAGATATGATTTCCATGGCTACAGGGCGATGCTCAAATGAGTCCTCTTGAAGAAGCAAGGACAAACAGCTTAACAAATCTCACCACTGTACTCCAGCCTGGGCAACAGAGCGAGACTCTGTCTCAAAACAAAAAGCAAAGGAGCCAGCCCGGGGATGGGGAGGACGGGGGCAGGGCGGCCTCCTATCCCCCGCTTCCATTAATAGACTCCCTCTTACCTTTTCTTTCTTCAGTAGAGACAGGGACTCACTGTGTTGCCCAGCCTTGTCTCAAACTCCTGGGCTCAAGTGATCCTCCTGCCTCCACCTCCCAAAGTGCTGGGATGACAGGTGCGAGCCATGGCACCTGGCCCTTTGTGTCTTGTATCCAACTAAAATGCATCCTCAGATAGGGTCTTTGCAGAAGAGTGAAGGTTGTCTGGGTAGGGCCTCTAGAAATCACCCACATCTGGCAAGGGCATGACCTGTTCTCTCCCTGCGGATGCACTCATTCCCTGAATCCCGGGTCCAAGATTCCCTCCAAAGAATTCCAGGCTCTGGGATTAAATCTATGAACCATCTCTTACCCTCCAACGAAATGGGGTCAGCACACCACACATTCATCAGTCAAATAATTATGAGTGTCTGTATTTCCCTAGCAAGAATTATTGTTTTTGTATCTTTCGTTTTTTGTTTGTTTGTTTGTTTCGAGATGGAGTCTCGCTCTGTCACCCAGGCTGGAGTGCAGTGGCACGATCTCAGCTCACTGCAACCTCCGCCTCCCGGGTTCAAGCGATTCTCATTCCTCAGCCTCCCAAGTAGCTGGGATTACCCGCATGCGCCAACACGCCCAGCTAATTTTTGTATTTTTAATGGAGACGGGGTTTCACCATGTTGGCCAGACTGGTCTTGAGCTCCTGACCTCAGGTGATCCACCTGCCTTGGCCTCCCAAAGTGCTGGGATTATAGGCATGAGCCACCATGCCGGCCAAGAATTCTTTACTGGGCACTAAATATATGCCAGAGACTTGGTGGATAAATTCTTATGGAGGTAAGGGTCTGGTGAGGGAGAGAGATGATAAAAAAGTAAGTGACAAGGAAAGAAGTTATCTTTCTGAATAAGTCAGATAAAAGCAGTGTTTAAGTCAATCAAAACGGAGGCCAGGCCTGGAGAATCCCTGTGCAGACCACACCAGCCTCTTGAGTCACCTCAACCCTGCTCGATTTGCATACATAAGTGAAACTTAACTTGAGCTATTTCTTGCAAAGGCGTACGTTAAAGAAAAACAGTTTGAGCTCACTGGAGGTTTAAACTCTTGGACTCAGGTGATCCTCCTGCCTCGGTCTCCCAAAACACTGGGATTACAAGTGTGTGCCACCATACCCAGCCTCCAGTGACCATTTACAAATTTACAACTCGGTGGCATTGAGTACATTCACAGTGCTGTGCAGCCGTCACCACCATTTAGTTCCAAAGCATTTTCAGCACCTCATGTTAGTCTATTCAGGCTGTTACAAGAAAATTCCAGGCTGGGAGCGGTGGTTTAAGCCTATAATCCCAGCACTTTGGGAGGCCAAGGTCAGAGGATCCTTTGAGCCCAGGAGACCAGCCTAGGCAACACGGGGAGACCCTATCTTTAAAAAATTTTTTAAAAAATTATCTGGCCATGGTGGCACACACCTGTAGTCCCAGCTACCCAGGAGGCTGAGGCAGGAGGAACGCTTGGGCCCAGGAAGTTGAGGCTGCATGGAGCCATTATTGCATTACCGCACTCCAGCCCGGGCAACAGCAACACCCAGAGCAAGCAAGCAAGCAAGCAAAGAAGGAAGGAAAGAAGGAGGGAAGGAAGGAAGGAAAAATATACCATAGACTGGGTGGTTTATAAACAACAGACATTGGCCGGGCGCGGTAGAGCACGCCTGTAATCCCAGCACTCTGGGAGGCCAAGGCAGGTAGATCAACTAAGGTCAGGAGTTTGAGACCAGCCTGACTAACACGGTGAAACCCCATCTTAACTAAAAAAAACAAAAATTCGCTGGGCATGGTGGCAGGCACCTGTAATGCCAGCTACTCGGGAGGCTGAGGCAGGAGAATCGCTTGAACCTGGGAGGCAGAGATTGCAGTGAGCTGAGATTGTGCCACTGCACTCCAGCCTGGGCAACAGAGCGAGACTCCGTCTCATAAATAAATAAATAAATAAATAAATAAATAAATAAATAAATAAATAAAATTGTTAGGGAAACAGGAGCACAGGAGAGCCAGACTGACACCATTTTTAAATCAACCCCACCTTAAAACTAGCAGGGGACCTTCCTTGCCAGTCATGAGCCGTGGTCCTCAGATGTTTACAGCTAAGGGAGCAGCTAGCGGCTTAATAATGCCTGCAAGGACAAACGTCTACCACAACAAAATGTCCAGATGTCCTGATATCACATAACAGTATTTGCTTTAAAATGATTAAATGCTGAGACCTGGGCTTTAAAAAAAAAAGATGATTATAGTTATGTTTTGATGTGCTTTCACACTAAAATGCCAAGGATATCTTCCTTTAAATCAAGAAAGTATTTAATAATACATTTTGTCCGGCTGTCAGCCCACCTGCCTGCAGACATAGCTTAGCTTTTAGACAAGGCTGCTACATCAGAAGAGTTTAAAACAAAGACAGCGAGTTCCTTCTCCTGTTTTCTGAGGACGCCCTGCCGTGTAACTGAGCAGCTTTCAATAAACAATCTCTGCTCACTGCACTCTGAGATTCACCTTGAACTTTCCCACCACAGATCCACGAACACTTTCTTGGGGTCTGGATCAAGACCCCTTTCTCTGGCAACAAAATCACACAGTGTGTACTCCGTTGAGCCCAGGCGCCTTGAGCTCACAATCATGTTTGTGAAATCGATGCATGTGGCCGGGCGCGGCGGCTCACGCCTGTCATCCCAGCAGTTTGGGAGGCCGAGGCGGGCGGATCACCTGAGGTCGGGAGTTCGAGACCAGCCTGACCAATATGGAGAAACCCCGTCTCTATTAAAAATACAAAATTAGCCAGGCATGGTGGCGGGCGCCTGTAATCCCAGCTACTCCGGAGACTGAGACGGGAGAATCGATTGAACCTGGGAGGCGGAGGTTGTGGTGAGCCTAGATTGTGCCATTGCACTCCAGCCTGGGCAATAAGAGCAAAACTCCATCTCAAAAAAAAAGAAAAGAAAAGAAAAAGAAATTGACGCATGCGATTGTGTGTGACTGTGGGGTTGTTCCACGTCGTTGGGACCGTTTGATTCATTGTGTATCTTTCCCCGGCATGAATGTATTTTCCATGTATTTATCTGCTCTACGTCACAGATACTCTTTTGAGGACTAGTGATCTCAAATCCACAGTGTTGATTCTTTACATTTTATACACCTGTGTCACGACCAGCGGATAAGGATACAGAACATCCCAGCACCCCACCAATTTCCACCCACCTCTCCCCGTGCTGTAGCCCTTTGCTCCCTCAGCACCAGATGCAACGTCTTTCTGATTTCTGTCGTCACTGATTGCTTTGCCTGTTCTAGGACTTCCTCTAAGTGGAAACATACGCTATACATACACTATACGTACTTTTGTGTCTGGCTTCATCTGCTCCACGTGGGGTCTGTGAGGTTCAGCCCTGTGGTTGGCTGCAGCCATGCATCCTTCCTTCGCAACGCCCTGTAGAATCTCATGGGATGGACACGCTACGCATTTGCATATCCATCCTACTGTGCCTAGTCCTGTGAGTACTTTCCAAATCTGCTGAGTGCTCCTTTTCCAACAAATATTTTGTTCGGACCCTTTTGACCTTCCTGAAGTGAAATTCATAGATATGAAAATGTTCTGAAATTTTGGCCGGGCGCAGTGGCTCACGCCTGTCATCCCAGCACTTTGGGAAGCCAAGGCGGGTGGATCACGAGGTCAGGAATTCGAGACCAGCCTGGACACATGGCAAATCCCTGTCTCTACTAAAAATACGAAAATTAGCTGGGTGTGGTGGTACACACCTGTAATCCCAGCTACTTGGGAGATTGAGGCAGGAGAATCGCTTGAGCCCAGGGAGCAGAGGTCACAGTGAGCCGAGATCATGCCACTCCGTCTTAAAAAACAAAAATGGCCAGGTACAGTGGCTCACGCCTGTAATCCCAGCACTTTGGGAGGCCAAGGTGGATGGACCTGAGGTCAGGACTTCAAGACCAGCCTGTCCAACATGGTGAAACCCTGTCTCTACTAATAATACAAAAATTAGCCAGGCATGGTGACACATGCCTATAATCCGCCTACTCGGGAGGATGAGGCAGGAGAATTGCTGGAACCTGAGAGGCGGAGGTTACAGTGAGCTGAGATGGCGCCACTGCACTCCAACCTGGGCAACACAGCGAAACTCTGTCTCAAAAAAAAAAAAAAAAAGATGTTCTGTAAACATAATGTAAAAACTTACCTGTAATTTAAATCAGAAATAAGGGAGACATACTCTATTATAAAACAATATGTAATTTAGTCAATAAATGCTCAGTTATGATCACTGTAGAAGATATGATGAAGCCAGGCACAGTGGCTCACACCAATTATCCCAGGACTTTAGGAGGCTGAGGCGGAAGGATTGCTTGAGACCAGGAGTTAAGACCAGCCTGAGCAACAGAGCAAGACCCCATCTATACACTAAATATTTTTAAAATATTAGCCAGGTGTGGTGATGCACACCTGTAGTCCCAGCTACTCTGGAAGCTGAAACAGGAGGATCACTTGAGCCCAGGAGGATGAGGCTGCAGTGAGCCATGATCGCACCACTACACTCCAGCCTGGATGGCAGAGCAAGATCTTGTCTCAAAAAAAATAAAAATAAAAAAGATACAATGAAGCAATTAGATGATGCTTCCATCAGTGGTAATGAATTGTTGGCTATTATTTGCATGTGTGTAAATCTCTGTATATATGTGAGAATAAATCCATATATATTTATGTGTGATACATATGTATGCATTCTTGTGAGTGTATAAGAATATATTTGCACAGTCCAGGAGCAGTGGCTCATGCCTGTAATCCCAGCACTTTGGGAGACTGAGGCAGGAGGATCCCTTGAGCCCAGGAGTTTGAAAGACCTTGTCTCTATCCTAAAAGATAAAAAAGAAGATATTCAGCCGGGCACGGTGGCTCTCACCTGTAATCCCAGCACTTTGGGAGGCCGAGGCGGGTGGATCATCTGAGGTCAGGAGTTTGAGACCAGCCTGGGTAACATGGGGAAACCCCATCTCTACTAAAAATACAAAATTGGCCAGGTGGTGGGCATCTGTAATCCCAGCTACTCAGGAGGCTGAGGCAGGAGAATCGCTTGAACCCAGGAGGCGGAGGTTGCAGTGAGCCGAGATTGCACCACTTCACTCCAGCCTGGGCAACAGAGCAAGACTCCATCTAAAATAAATAAATCGCGTCCTTTTAGGGAATACCAGGGGGATGTATCCCAAGGGTGGAAGCCCTGCTGAGGTTTTCCAGGGTGGTAGGAGGTGGGTCGGAGTCTCTGCAGTGCCCCAGGCTGTGAAGCTTGACTTCAGGTGTCCACCAGAGTGTCCTGTTCTTTTGTCAAACACCAGCCTCGGTGTCACTGGGAAGGTATTTTTCAGATGAGATTCACATTTACGATCACTTCAATCAAGTAAATCAAGTAAGAGAGTGTGCCCTCCACAATGTGGTGGGCCTCATTCCGTCAGCTGAAGGTTGAAAGAGCAAAAACTGTGGTTTCCTGGAAAGAAAGAAATTCTGCCTGAAGGCTGTAGTCACATAGAAATCCTGATTGAACTTCTAGCCTGCCAGCCTGCTCTACAGATGTTGGACTTACCAGCCCCACAATCACAGGAGCCAATTTCTTAAAATACATGTTGATAGATGGATAGATGGATAATTATCTTTCTATAGATATAGAGATATAGAGACATGTACATTTCCTTCTCCAAGGGAGACCAACATCCTTGGAGAGGCTCTCTCTCTCTCTCTCTCTCTCTGTCTCTCTGTCTCTCCAGGTCACCATTAATATAGACAGAAAACCTATTCAGAAAGAGAGATAAGTATGTAGACCATATTTTTTGAGCCCTGTCTCTCTGAGAGAGAGAGAGAGAACCTATTGGTTCTGTTTCTCTGGAGAACCCTGACTGATTACAGAGGCCTAAGTTAACAGTGATCTGGTCTAGGGCAGATAAATACAAATATGTGCACGATATTTTTGAGAAATATGTAGGCAACAGGGGAAGATAAAGTTGACTCCACGGGACTTGCAGAGAGGGGAGTACGTGAGGAGTTACTCGTAGGTTTTTGTCTTCAGAACTAGACGGACCTTGACAGCATTTGCTGAGACAGGCAAGCCTTAAAGGCAAGAGAGAGAAATGGAGGTGGTTCCTGTAAAACCATCTGCAGGGTATGTGATGGGGGCACTGGGAAAGGAGAAGGAACAGGAGAGGAATTGGTAAGAGGCGACGTGAAAAGAATAAAAGTACAGAGAACTTGTGCTCAAGGAGAAAGAGCAGCTGGGATGTTTACCATCTCTCCAGCGGCCAGATGAAACCTCAGCTCTCAAGTCCGCAACGGAATTTTCCACCAAGCTAAAGGCCAGGAGGAATTCCAAGAATTATATACATCACCGTGTAATTAAGGATGGGAAGATTTTTCTCTTAGACACTAAACAATGTGGACAGTGTTGCAGAGACGTCTGTTTAAAATCACATTTCTCTAAATAGCCATCTGTTTCACAGATTATTCCTGGATTCAGTCCTCCACAATTTTCATTCAAATTTTGAGAGCTGACAACATTTAATTTTATAATCTGCAGGTTTTGTGTCTTTACAAGTTTTTAGCGTAGTGTCTGGCACACAATAAGGGCTCAGTGGAATTATTGTGAAATCATATTTCCTGACATAGTCAATAAAGGAACAAAACATTCCACATTACCTAATTCGTACTCTCTTCTTTAAAAATTTAGAGATGTATTATAATTATATAAATTAAATTTATAAATGTATAATTTATAATTTATTTATATATTATACATTTATAAATTATATATTATGTAACATATATTAAACATAAAAAAATTAAATACATTATATATAAAGATGTACTGGGCTTGGTGGCTCATGCCTGTAATCCCAGCACTTTGGGAGGCTCAGGAGGTTGGATCGCTTCAGCCCAGGAGTTTGAGACCAGCCTGGGAAACATAGCAAGATCCCATCTCTACAAAAAATACAAAAATTAGCCAGGCGTGGTGGCACACACCTGTAGTCTCATCTTATCTACTCAGGGGGCTGAGGTGAGAGGATCGCTTGAGCCTGCGAGGTGGAGGTTGCAGTGAGCCGTGATCGCACCACTGCACTCCAGCCTGGATGACAGAGTGAGACGCTGTCTCAAAAAAAAAAAAAGCCATATTGATAAAATTATACCAAGATATATTTAAATACAGAATTAACTGTGTATCTATACTTTATATACATGTATGAATATATTTGAACATTAAATTATAATTATGAACATAAATTTGCATCATATATTCTACTTATGTCTCCCTGGGCACATGTCTGTATGTGTATCTGTGGACACACGTCCATGAAGAAATTGGATGGGATGAACTCGGGAGTAAGTTAACTCTGTCTGCGTCCTGTGCACCTGATGCAGCAATAAATACTCCATCAAAGGCATTGCATTTCCCAAAAGCCCGTGAGGCAGGCGTGATTCTAGTGTCCATTTTACAGAGAAGAGTACTGAGGTGTGGAGAGACTAAGTCGGCCAGCAGTGAACACCCTCAGCCACTGCTCGGACAGCTCTCGCTCACCTCCCTGCATCTCCGGCTCCAGACGCCATGGTCTCCATCACTCTCCCTCACTCGGGATCTCATGCCGGCTCCCGGCTTGGATCACAGACGCTGATGGCTCAAAAACGTGTGTCTGGGTTAGAGAATCCACCTGTCTCCCTTAGCTCTGCACTGGGGTTGCCCAATTTAATAAATAAAAATACAAATTGCCTGGTTAAATATGGATTTCAGATAAACAATAAAAAAGAATCAACTTTTATTTTAGAATCGACTTAGATTTGGCGAAAAGTTGCAAAGAGAATAGAAAGTTTTCCTTGTTCCTGCACCCAGCTTCCCCTGTTAGTAGCGTCTTACACGAGTATGATTTATCTCAATATTAGTGAACTGGCCAGGCACGGTGGCTAACACCTGTAATACCAGCACTTTTGGAGGCTGAGGCAGGTGGATCACTTGAGGTCAGGAGTTCGAGACCAGCCTGGCCAACATGGTGAAACCCCATCTCTACTAAAAAATACAAAAATTAGCCAGGCGTGGTGGTGAGCACCTGTAGTCACAGCTACTCAGGAGACTGAGGCATGATAATTGCTTGAACCCAAGAGGCAGAGGTTGCAGTGAGCCAAGATTTTGCCACTGCACTCCAGACTCGGCAACGAGTGAGACCCTGACTCTAAAAAACCGTAAAAATAAAAATAAATAAATAATTGCCAAGTGTGGTGGCTCATGCCTATCTATAATCCCAGCATTTTGGGAGGCAGAGGTGAGCAGATCACTTGAGCCCAGGAGTTCAAGACCAGCCTGGGCATCATGGCAAAAACCCTTCTCTACAAAAAATACAAAAATTAGCTGGGTGTGGTGGTGCAGGCCTGTAGTCCCAGCTACTCGGGAGGCTGAGGCAGGAGGATTGCTCAAGCTGGGGAGGCTGCAGTGAGCCAAGACAGCGCCACTGTACTCCAGCCTGAGCCACAGAGTGAGACCCTGTCTCAATAGAAAAACAAATACATAATAAATACATAAAACGCCCATGGCAGGGACACACACGCTGGTTTGGGTTGGAGCCAGCCCGTAAACCCAAATTTGGGGGCCCGGGCTCTCGGCTGCTGCAGCACTGACTACCGTTAAGGTACAATAAAACTGACACATGGGCAGTGAGGGGAATTTGCTCTCCTGCCTCCCTCCCTAAGTTCATCTGCTGAGAAAAATGCTTTGAGATAAACCTGGAGCCACAGCTCTCTGCACAGTCAGATCGCAGGAACGCGGCCTAGCTGCTTCAGCCACGTTCTCGCGGCGCCACCTGGTGGCCATGGACCGCCATCGCCGCTGGACGTCAGGGCCGCCAGGCCCAGCGAGATGTCACCTCCTCTGAGGAGCCTTCCAGGATCGCACCCGGCACGCGCTCCACGCCTCGTTGTCTGTTCTTCGGAGCACCGACCATGATCACAAATCAGCTCGCTCGCTGTGTTTCCTGCCGGGTCGCTACCGCCATGATCCGCACGTAGTGGTCAAGGCTGAGGTTGTATGAATGTGGACGTTATAACCCTGGCTCCCTCTCCCTCCCTATGCTGGGCTCCCCTCGATCCCCAGGCGGTGGGGTGCCCCTGGTTTTTCCTTTTTAAAATTATAAGTCTGGCCGGACGCGGTGGCTCAGGACCGTAATCCCAGCACTTTGGGAAGTCGAGGGAGGGTGTATCACTTGAGGCCAGGAGTTCAAGACCAGCCTGGCCAACATGGTGAAACACCATCTCTACTAAAAATACAAAAATTTGCCGGGCATGGTGGTGTGCGCCTGTAACCCCAGCTACTTGGGAGGCTGAGGCAGGAGAATCGCTTGAACCTGGGAAGCAGAGGTTGCAGTGAGCCGAGATCTCCAGCCTGGGTGGCAGAGTGAGCCTTCGTCTCAAAAAATAAAAAATAAAAAAAAGGTTAAATCAATTTAAATGTCAATGTCCACAGGAGCTACAGATGGTACCAATAGCTCCCAGCTGGGGCTCGTGTATCATTGGTCAGGGCTTCATCAGGATTGGCTACTGCCCCACCCTTGTTAAACATTTTTAATATCTTCCTTGTCTACCAGGGTCAGGCACCTCAGGTAGATGAATGAAGGATGGGGGGGATGGGGGAGGGAGATGGAAGAGGGAAGGGAAGCAGAGGGAGGAGGAGTGAGTGGGCAGCCCTGATCGGAGGTCCCTCCCCATCCCATCTAAAGGGGCTCCCTGGCCGGGCGCAGTGGCTCACACCTGCCATCCCAGCACTTTGGGAGGCTGAGGCGGGTGGATCACCTGAGGTCAGGAGTTCAAGACCATCCTGGCCAACATGGTGAAACCCCGTCTCTACTAAAAATACAAAAAGTAGCCGGGTGTAGTGGTTCATGCCTGTAATCCCAGCTACTCTGGAGGCTGAGGCTGGAGAGTCGCTTGAACCTGGGAGGCGGAGGTTGCGGTGAGCCAAGATCGCCCCACTGCACTCCAGCCTGGGCGACAGAGCGAGATTCCGTCTCAAAAAAATAAAAAATTAATAAAATAAAAATAAATAAATAAATAAATAAAGGGGCTCCCTGCTCTTCTGCTCCAACCTGTGGCTGCCGCATAGGAACATGGGTCACAAAACCCAGAAATCTGGATTCCTTTAAGTGAAATCTTCCAAATTTTATGTTTAAGAAGGTCATGTATTTATTCCTTCCTAAAGACCATGCTGACCAAATCAAATGAGTCTGTGGATAAGTGTGTCCAGGCTTCAGACTACTCCCTTTTGGAGCCTGTGGTGTAAAGGGAACAGCTTAAAGTCCCTCGCCCCAGTCAACAGGGGAATTTAATGTCTTGGGTTCCCTGGCAGAACTTTTCTGTTTTTTTTTTTTTTCTCTTTATCTAACACTTCCATGTGTCTTACTGAAAGCCAGCTGCAGAGTTAGAGCAGCGTTTGGCAGAATCAAATATGGACTAGCGCTTGCTTCTGTACGGCCCTCAGGTTAAGCATGGATTTTATATGTTCAAATTGTTGAAAATAAATCAGGCCAGGCACAGTGGCTCACACCTGTAATCCTAACTCTTTGGGAGGTCGAGGCAGGAGAATCGTTTGAGCCCAGGAGTTCAAGACCAGCCTAGGCAACATAGTGAGACCCCCCACATCTCTACAAAAAGTTAAAAAATTGGCCGGGTGCGGTGGCTTAGGCGTGTAATCCCAGCACTTTGGGAGGCCGGGGTGGGCGGATCACCTGAGGTCAGGAGTTCAAGACCAGCCTGGCCAACATGATGAAACCCCGTCTCTACTAAAAATACAAAAGTTAGCTGGGCGTGGTGGTGAATGCCTATAATCCCAGCTACTTTCGGGAGGCTGAGGCAGGAGAATAGCTTGAACTCGGGAGGCAGAGTTTGCAGTGAGCCAAGATGGCGCCATTGCACTCCAGCCCGGGCAACAAGAGCAAAACTATGTCTTAAAAAAAAAAAAAGTTAAAAAATTAACTGGGTGTGTTGGCACTTACCTATGGTCCCAGCTACTCAGGAAGCTGAGGTGAGAGGGTCATTTAAGCCCAGGAGATCAAGGCTTCAGTGAGCTATGGTTGCACCACTGCATTCCAGCCTGGGTGACAGAACAAGACCCTTTCTTTATTCAAAAAAGAGAGAAAAGAAAAAAGAGAGAGAAAGAGAACAGAAAAAAGAAGAGAAACAAAGAAAAGAAAATGATATTTCATAATATGTGCAAATTATATGAAATTCAAATCTTGGCTTCCATAAACAAAGCTGTGTTGGCCCATGGTCACGCCTTCATTGACATCACCTGGTGGCAGCTTTGTGTTACATCAGCAGAGTTAAGTAGACTGTGTGGCCTGCAAAGCCTCAAATACTTGCTGTTCTGGGCCAGGCGCGGTGGCTCACACCTGTAATCCCAGCACTTTGGGAGGCCAAGGTGGGCGGATCACCCGAGGTCAGGGGTTCGAGACCAGCCCAGCCAACATGCTGAAACCCTGTCTCTACTAAAAATACAAAAAAAAAAATTAGCTGGGTATGCTGGCAGGTGCCTATAATCCCAGCTACTCAGGAGGCTGAGGCAAGAGAATCACTTGAACCTGGGAGGTGGAGGTTGCAGTGAGCCGAGATCACACCACTGCACTCCAGTCTGGGCAACAGAGCGAGACTCCATCTAAAAAAGAACAAAAAAAATTGCTATTCTGGCCCTTTCCTGGGGGCATTTAGAGAAAATATTTACCCACCCTTCTAGGTACTTTGCGTGCATTAACTTATTTCATCCTCACAGAGCATCTATGATGAAGGCGCTGCTATTATCCCATTTCAAAGGTGAGAAAAGTGAGTACGAAAGGTGAAGTCCATGGAGACACAGCTGTGTGAGGCAGAGCCAGGATTTAGGCTCAGGAAGCCTGAACCTAGATTCTAGGGTGTTAACTGCTACATGAGGCTGCCTCTCTTTCTAAGCATTTTCACTTGTGTTTCTCTCCACATGCTATGTTCTACCATAAATTGGCTTCCTTGAATGGGAGGGCCACACTGAATCCCACTGTCTCTACAACTGTGACATCATGTAATGCTGACTCCTTTAGCTTTATTAAACTCAGGTTCTAACCTTAGCCACAGGCTCTCCTTCTGCCAAGCTGTCAGCTAAATCAAACCATGCTCTCTTATCCCCAGCCTGCTCCTGCCTTCATCTCCCTCGTTTTCTTTTTAAAGATTAATTATTTTTAGGCTGGGCACAGTGGCTTACGCCTGCAATCCCAACACTTTGGGAGGCCAAGGCAGGCAGATCACCTGAGGTCAGGAGTTCGAGACCAGCTTGGCCAATGTGGTGAAACCGCATCTCTACTAAAAATACAAAAATTAGCCGGGCATGCGGACAGGTGCCTGTAATCCCAGCTACTCGGGAGGCTGAGGCAAGAGAATCGCTTGAACTGAGGAGGTGGAGGTTGCGGTGAGCCGAATTCATGCCATTGCACTCCAGCGCCTGGGTGACAAGAATGAGACTCCATCTCAAAAAAAAAAAACCTGTCATATTGGATTAGGGTCTACCCTAATGACCTTGTCTTGCCTTAATTACTCGTCTAAAGACCCTATTACCAAATACAGTCACATTTCTAGGTGCTGGGAGTTAAGACTTCAACATGCATTTGGGGGGACAAAATTGAGCCTATAACAAGCTAATTACTTAATGTTTTCTGGGAGATGCCTCAACCTGTCCCAAACGAAGCTTATGACATCTTCCCCTCACCTGCTCACCTTCCAGAGTTGCCCATCTCCACCAATGGCACCATTATCCACCTGGTTACACTGACCAGAAGCCAATGGCGCCCTTCTCATTACCCCTCTCATCGGTCACCACGTCCTGCCGTTTGACGCTGATCAACCTGCTCATTTCCCCCCATCTCCTCTGCCGCCACTGAAAACCAACCCACCACCGTCATCTCCTGCACTGCGGAAAGTTCTAAATATCCCCATCCCGGACCCAAACTGCCTCTCCTCACCCAGGAATCATTTGATGTGGTCAGAGCGAGATTCAAACTCCTCCCAACTCCTGAAACTGTCAAAGCTGGACTTGAATACGGAGCAGAGCCGGCGTCCTGTTGGAGTGCTTGTGAGCTCACCAGTGCTCCCTCCCTCCACCGTCACTCTAAATCAGGACTACCCAGCCTGGCACCCTCAGCATTTGGGGTTGGAGGATTCTTTGCTGTTGGGGGTGGGGGAAGGGGTTCTGTCCTGTGCATTGTAGGATCTTAAGCGGCATCTCTGGTCTCACCAACTAGAGGCCAGGAGCAGCCCCTCACCCAGCTGTGACCATCAAAAATGCCTCCAGACACTGCCAAAGGTCCACCGGTTCGGGGAAGAACCACCTCTGATTGAGACCCCTTCCACCATCCCGCTCTAAATAATAATGATTTCTCCCATTATGCAGAGAAATACTAAAGTCATCCACATAGGGAGGTGAGTTTAAAAGCCCATCAGGACATGTGCATTTTACTAAGCCATTAATGTCCCTGCGATTTATGAGAGAACAGTAACTGCATTCCGGAAGACACAAATGGCTCCTTCCACGATTTCATTATCTGCCTTGCATGAGTGAGCCTGAGTTTCTGTAGCAGTTGCCACGTGCTGCCACTAGGTGGTGGTGGAAGCCAAGTCATAAAGTAGTTTGGGGCCCTTTTCTGTTGCTTTGGTTTTGGGGGGTTTGGTTTTGTTTTGTTTTGTTTTGTTTTGTTTTTCGTTTTGAGTTTTGCTGTAGCCAGGCTGGAGAGCAGTGGCACGATCTCGGCTCACTGCAACCTCCACCTCCCAGGTTCAAGCGATTTTCCTGCCTCAGCCTCCCGAGTAGCTGGGATTACAGGCGACTTCACCATGCCCAGCTAATTTTTGTATTTTTAGTAGAGACGGAGTTTCACCATGTTCGAGGCCAGGCTGGTCTCGAGCTCCTGATCTCAGGTGATCCGCCCAGCTGGGCCTCCCAAAGTGCTGGGATTATGGGCATGAACCACTGTGCCCGGCCTTTTTCGGTTTTTAGATCTTTATTTTAAAATTGACAAGCAAAAATTGTATATATTTATAGCATGCAACATGATGTTTCCATATTCTTATACATTGTGGAATGGCTAAATGTAGCTACGTAATTTTCTTTTTTTCTTTTTTTTTTTTTAAGACGGAGTCTCGCTCTGTCGCCCAGGCTGGAGTGCAGTGGCGCGATCTCGGCTCACTGCAAGCTCTGCCTCCCGGGTTCACGCCATTCTCCTGCCGCAGCCTCCCGAGTAGCTGGGGCTACAGATGCCTGCCACCACGCCCGGCTAATTTTTTGTATTTTTAGTAAAGACGGGTTTTCACCGTGTTAGCCAGGCTGGTCTCGAACTCCTGACCTCGTGATCCGCCCGCCTCGGCCTCCCAAAGTGCTGGGATTATAGGCGTGAGCCACCGCGCCCGGCCCTGATTTTCTACATAGCTTTTTTTTTTTTTCTTTTGTGGTGAGAACATAAAATCTACTCTGAGCAATTTTCAAAGACACTTTATTTTTTATTTTATCTTTTCTCTCAAATTCGTCGCTAGTATTACTTGAGTAGTTTCTAATACAGTCATGTGCCTCATAGCCACGTTTTGGTCAACAACGAGCCACATACGTGATGGTGGGCCCGTCAGATCATAATGGAGCTGGAAAAGCCCTACCGCCCAGTGATGCGGTAGCCAAAGTAACATCGTAGCACAAGTACTGTACTTTTAAAATATAACTTCAGTGTAGCCTAAGCTTAGAGTGTTATAAAGTCTACAGCAATGTCCCAGGCTTTCACATTCACTCACTCACACCACCCAGAGCAACTTCCCATCCTGCAAGCTGCATTCATGGTAAGTGCACTATGCAGGTGGACCATTTTTTTAATCCTTCATACCACATGGTTACTGTACTTTTTTTTTTCTTTTCTTTTTTTTGAGACAGGATCTCACTCTGTCCCCCAGGCTGGAGTGCAGTGACACGATCACAGCTTACTGAAGCCTCGACCTCTCGGGCTCAATCGATCCTCCCACCTCAGCCTCCTGAGTAAGTAGCTGGGACTACAGGCATGCACCACCATGCCAGGCTAATGTTGGCGGGGGGCGGGGGATGCTGGGGGGGTGGGGTGTGTGTGCAGAGATGGGGTTTCTCCACGCCCCCAGGCTGGTCTGCAGCTCCTGGGCTCAAGGAATCTCTTCACCTCAGCTTCCCAAAGTGCTAGGATTACAGGTGTGAGCCATGGCGCCCCGCATTACTACACCTTTCTCAGGTTTAGGTCCACAAATACTTTCCTTTGTGTTACAACCGCCTGCAGTACTCAGTACAGTAGCCTCCTGCACAGGTGCGAGGCTAGGAGCAGCAGGCTATTCATGTAGCTCAGGTGTGCAGCAGGCTGCCCCATCTGGGTTGCTGTGAGTCACTCTAGAACATTCTCACAATGAGGAGATCGCCTAAGGATGCGTTTCTCATACTGTGTCCCCTTCGTCCATCGAGGCGTGACTGTACCTGGGGCCTCAGAGCACCTGCAGTCCCCCCAAGGGCCACCTTCCTGAGACCACAGTCTGGGCAGCCGGCCTCCCTGCATCCCGGAGCGCACTGGGGATGAGGACTCACCCAGGAGAGCCCGAGACACCTGAGCGGCCGGCACAAAGGCCCTAGGGAAGTGTGGGGGTACCCTTGGTCTCAAAGCGCTGATCCGCCTGTGCCCCCTGACCTGCCAGGGCCGGCCCCCGCTTGGGTCTTGGAGGGCGCTGCGCAAGCCTGCGCCCCGCACTCGCCCGGGAAGGGAAGGGCAGGGAAGGGGCGCGCACAGCCTGGCACCTGCTGTGCACCAGGGGAGACGCGCGGCGCTCCAGGTGGAGTCGGCGGCGGCCGAGCTGCGCGGGGCTGTGCGGGGCTGGATTCTAGCCTGCAGGACGCGAAAACGGCCTGGGTCCGGCTTCCTCCTCCCCTGAAGCAGCGAAGGGGCGTCACTGGCGCGCTGTTAAACGTCTTCGCCATCGGTTCCCTGCATCCTCCCTCCTGCCTGGGTAGCCAGCTCCTGGGCGCGCCCAGGCGCACACGCTTCCCTCGCTCCTCCTGCAGCCACAACGCCCCCACCCCCCCCGCCCGCCCGCCTTGTGCGGCAGCGGTGACCGCCTTCTCCTGCTGCCACCCCCTCCACCCCCTGTTCAAGGTCTGTCACCGTAGGGGGCGGGGGGGCGCGTGGAGCCGCTGGGGGTTCGGCCCACCCCGCGAACCGAGCTCCCGGCCCTGTGCGCCCTCAGCTCTGCCGCGGGCGTTGGCCTGGGCGGGCGCAGGACTGCCTGGTCGCCCTGGAGCTCAGGGTCGGGGCCCCGCGTTTAACCACCAGGCGGAGGCGCAGGCGGAGCCCGGAGAGGACGCGACCCCTCTGGGCGGCCTTGGGCCCCTGGACGTGCCAGACTCTGGACCCCTGCGGGGGCTGCCGTGGAGAGCAGAGGCACCGCGTCCTGCCCAGAGCTCCGATAGGCGGGCCGCGTTGGGGGATTGTGGGGGCCGGCGCGCAGGGGAACCGTCCACTCCCAGGGTGGCACCAGGATGTGACTATTTCCATACCCAAATGAGGGTTGGATTTCCATCTCCTAATATTTCCACAGTTTGGGGGTTTCCTCACCAACTTGTCTGACATTTCTCGGCCTTCCTTAGTGATGACAACACTACCGTTGGTTAATTTTCTTCAAAATGTGTGCAAACCACTTCATGTATCTGTAGTTAAAATATGGAAAGGAGACATTTAATTTCTTCTCTTTTTATTTATTTATTTTGATTTTTTAATTATTTATTTATTTATTTATTTATTGAGACGGAGTCTCGCTCTATCGCCCAGGCTGGAGTGCAGTGGCGCGATCTTGGCTCACTGCAAGCTCCACCTCCCAAGTTCATGCCATTCTCCTGCCTCAGCCTCCCAAGTAGCTGGGACTACAGGCGCCCGCCACCACGCCCGGCTAATTTTTTTGCATTTTTAGTAGAGATGGGGTTTCACCTTGTTAGCCAGGATGGTCTCGATCTCCTGACCTCGTGATCCACCCACCTCGGCCTCCCAATGTGCTGGGATTACAGCCGTGAACCATTGTGCCCGGCCAAGACATTTAATTTCTATAGCATTTTATGAAGACCAGTTGCTGCTGAAATAGTCTGCCTCCCCACACGCCCCTCATCATGTTTATAATGTTTTCACAAGGCTCTTTTCTCCAGATCATTTTCAACTTATTTCTAACATATTATGTGAACTCGACACAATATTTATTTTGTTTCCTCCAATAATGTAGAGACCATACTTTTTGGTTATACTCATTCCTAAGCACTTTACATTTTATTAAACTATTTGCATGGAATAATTTCCCATTTCATTCTAATTGTAGTTATTCTGGAATATTATTTATTTAAGTGTTATTGATTAAAATATATTCCTGTGTGCTTGGTCATATTACTAAATTTATGACTTTTCAATTATTATTTCTTGTTTCTTTTTGGTTTTCTAAGCAGTCATTTCTTCTGTAAATATTATGACATATCTTTCTTCCTGTCCACTAGGTATACTGGACTTTCTAGTGATATGAACCAATAAACTTTCTATTGTGGCTTATATCAGTTTGTGTGTTCTGTCATTTCCAACACAAAGAATCTTAACCGATACAGATTTAGAAGAGAAAAAGTTTCAGGCCTGTAATCCCAGCACTTTGGGAGGCTAAGGTGGGAAGATCACTTGAGCCCAGGAATCCAAGACCAGCCTGGACAACACAGTGAGACCCTGTCTCTATAAAATAAAATAAAATAAAAATTAGCCAGGTGTGGGTGTGCGCCTGTAGTACCAGCTGCTTGGGAGACTGTAGTGAGAGGCTCGCTTGAGCCCAGGAGTTCAGGGCTGCAGTGAGCATGATTGCACTACTGCCCACCAGCCTGGGTGACAGAGTGAGACCCTGTCTCAAAAAAAAAAGCAAGTTTTAGAAGCATTCTTGCTAAAGAAATTGTCCCTAGAAAAGTATTTATTCACTAAAATGAACGACTTTTACTTACTTTTACAATTTTTTATAAGTCAGAGTAAAATTTAAACACATCGATATAGTTCATGAAATGATTCCCCTGAACCTGACATATACTAGCTTTCTTCTTAGAGCCTCAGTGCCTAGGCAGAAACTTGGCAGTTCCTGAGATGACACTGTAGATATAGGGAGGGAAAAAGAAGAGGAAAGCAAAGCAGATGAGACAGAAAAGATAACTTAGTAAGGAAGTTCTGTGACCATAAAATAGTGTTCATTGTTCTGAACATCATTCAAAAAAAACAATACTCACTTTGGGAGGCTGAGGCGGGTGGTCAGGAGTTCAAGACTAGCCTGATCAACAAGATGAAACTCCGTCTCTACTAAGAATACAAAAATTAGCCAGGCTTGGTGGTGTAATCCCAGCCAGCCTGTAATCCCAGCTACTTGGGAGGCCGAGACAGGAGAATCGCTTCAACTCAAGAGGCGGAGGTTGCAGTGAGCCGAGATCACACCACTGCACTCCAGCCTGAGCAACAGAGGGACACTCCGTCTCAATAAATAAATAAATAAATAAATAAATAAATAAATAAATAAAATGTAAAAGGAAGATTAAAAATTCCTCTTGTGCTGGAATAAAATGATATAGATACAGAAGATGACAACTCTGAAGGATAAGACCTGTGACCCATAAAATAACTTTTATTTTATGGTCATTTCAACTTATGACCCCAAACATCATTTAAAATAAATATTTAGAACATGAAAACAATTAACTTTTTAATGAATGAAATGTTCTTGAGAAAACTGATCAGAGCCAGTGTAGTATGCATCGGTGCTTCATCGTGATCTATGCTTATGAAGATTCAGTTCTGCTTTTACATAATATCAAGCGACATTGTAGTAAGAAAACAATTAACATTTTAGTTTGTATTGGATTAGGCATTTTTAAAATGAGATACTCACACAACTGCTAACAGGAATGCAAAACATCTCCATTTCTCCACTGAATCACCTTTACATGTAATGTTCTAAATAAATAATAATAAAAATATACACATTTCCTTCTGATTTCTTAAAAATCAACGTAAGTATTCATTGGCCAGGTGTGGTGGCTCATGCCTGTAACCCCAGCACTTTGGAAGGCCAAGGCAGGAGGATGGCTTGAGCCCAGGAGCTTGAAACCAGCCTGAGCAACATAGAGAGACCCTGTCTTTAAAAAAAAATTTTTAATAAAAATAAAGGTAGATACTCATCTAACTGCTAGAAAAAACTAAAAAGATGTCATAATTGACCTTATATAAGTTGTATACAATATGAGATACACTATTTAACTGCATATATTATTTTGGCGGGTTTTTTTTTGTTTTTTCTTACTTTTTTATGTTTAAACTTTTATATTATACAAAACACAGCCCTAACATAAGTTTTTTCTCATCTTTTTTTTTTTTGAGACAGTCTTGCTGTGCCACCCAGGCTGGAGTGCAGTGCTATGATCATGGCTCACTGCAACCTCCACCTCCCAGGCTCACGTGAGCCTCCCACCTCAGCCTCCCAAGTAGCTGGGACCACAGGCACATGCCACCATGCCTGGCTAATTTTTTTGTATTTTTTGTGGAGATGGGATTTTGCTATGTTGTCCAGGCTGGTCTTGAATTCCTGGGATCAAGTGATTGGCCCACCACAGCCTCCCAAAGTGCAGGGATTACAGGTGTGAGCCACTGCACCCAGCCAGTTTTTTCCATAAACCTTTAATAATAGGCTTTTAGGTCTAGAAAGTAATTTCTAATATAACAGAGTTTGAAAATGTATAAGTTCCATTAAATTAAATTTAATTTAATTTAATTAATTAAATTTAATTTAAATTTAATTAATTAAATTAATTTAAATTTAATTAATTAAATTAATTTAAATTTAATTAATTAAATTAATTTAAATTTAATTAATTTATTTAATTTAAATTAATTAATTAAATTAATTTATTTAATTTAATTAATTAATTAATTTAATTTAATTTAATTCCAATTAATTAAATTAATTAATTAAATTAATTTAAATTTAATTAATTAAATTAATTTGAATTTAATTAATTAAATTAATTAAATTCAAATTAATTTAATTAATTTAATTTAATTAATTTAATTCCAATTAATTAAATTAATTTAAATTTAATTTAATTCCAATTAATTAAATTAATTTAAATTTAATTTAATTCCATTAAATTACTAACATATAGGCTGGGTGTGGTGGCTCACATCTGTAATCCCAGCACTTTGGGAGGCCAAGGCAGGAGGATCACCTGAGATCAGGTGTTCAAGACCAGCCTGGACAACACGGCAAAACGCTGTCTCTACTAAAAATACAAAAATTAGGTGGACATGGTGGCAGGCACCTGTAATCTAGCCACCTGGGAGGCTGAGGCAGGAGAATTGCTTGAACCGGGGAGGCATAGGTTGCGTCGCAGTGAGTTGATATCGTGCCATTGCACTCCAGCCTGGGCGACAAGAGAGAGACTCCATCTCAAAAAAAAAATTACTAACATATAATATGAACTCTTTAGTTTCTAATAAATATTGAGCTAATTTTGAAGGCTTGACTCACAAAATTTTTTGCCTATATGAGTTCTTGCACGTTCACTAAGGGATGAAATGTGAGCAAAGGCTTTTCCACGCTTATTAAATATATAGGGCTTCTCTTCAGTATGAGTTCTCTCAAATAGAGTAATGGCTAAACTATTTTGGAAGGCTTCCTCACATGCATTAGAGACATAACCATTTCTCTCCACTATGGATTTCCTGGTGTTGAATAATGTCAGTCATGCAACAGAATGCTTTTCCACATGTATTATGTTTGTGGGGATGTCTCTTCAGTGTGAGCTCTAGTATGTTGCCTTAAGGAGGAAAACTCACTAAAAGCCTTCCTACATTCAGTACTTTCATAGGATTTTCCCCTAGTGTCAGTTTTTTGATGTAGGATGAGCTGGGAGGTCTTGTTTCTTGTTGCTTTATCACATTTTTTACAATCACAGGTTTTCTTTCCTACATCAGTTCTGCCATGCTGCAAGGAAGCTGAGCTGCATTTGACGGCTTCTCCCCATTGCTTGCCTTCACAGGGCTTCTCTCCTGGGTGAGTTCTCATATGTCGAAAAAGAGATGAACTATCAATAAAGCCTTTCCTACATTGACTATAATCATAAAGTTTCTCTCCAATGTGAATTTTCCAGTGTATAATAAGGTGTGCTTTTCTGCTACAGGCTTTCAGGCAGAGAGTGCATTCTTAGGATTCCTCACCTGTATAGAATCTTATGTGTCTAGCATAGGATGGGCAATCAGTAAAGCGTTCCTCACACTCATTGCATCCACAGCATTTGTCTTTAGTGCATATTCTTTGATGTCCAATTAGGTATAAATTCTGCCTGAATACCTCCTCACATTCACTACATTCTGACTTGTATGAATTTTCTCATGCTTTATTTAAGATGAATTATAACTGAATGATTTTTCATCTCCATTAAATCCATAAAGGTTATTTCTTCTATAATTAAGTAAATCAAAATTATGCTTCAAGCCCCCTCCACTTAACACATGCTCATGGAGTTTTTGTCTTGAGGGGATACTGTTTACAAAAGCCTCACGTTCACAGACTTTCTGCTCAGTACATGTTTTCTCATAGATGAAATTAATTTGATTTGGAAGTCTCTCCTTGACCAGGCATGGTGGCTCACGCCTGTGATCCCAACCCTTTGGGAGGCCAAGGCAGGTGGATCACTTGAGGTCAGGAATTTGAGACTAGCCTGGCCAACATGGTGAAACTCCATCTCTACTGAAAATACAAAATTAGCCAGGCATGGTGGTGCATGCCTGTAATCCCAGCTACTTGGGAGGCTGAGGCAGGAGAATCGCTTGAACCCAGGAGGCAGAGGTTGCAGTGAGCCGAGATCACACCATTGCACTCCAGCTTGGGCAACAAGAGAAAAACCCCTTCTCAAAAAAAAAAAGAAAGAAAAAGAAAAGTCGCTCTTCATTTTCTTGGTGCATCTCTATTTGGTTACCAGCTTCCTAGTCATTTCCTAAAAGGGAAGAGAGAATTTATCACTTGTGAATCTTCCCATTATCACACTGTGGAATTAAACTTCTTTACACATACCCCTTGGTGGGTATATACTCTTATTTTGTCCCATACATCATATTTTTTTTACTTATTGGTTTTTACATCTGACTTTCATTAACTGCGGGCACTTTAGAGACCAGGATCTTAGCTCTAGACTTCAGGGTTTTTTTTCTTACTTCTGTTTTCCTTTGCTGACAACCACGTACAATAACTTCGCTCTTCAGCACAAACCTACAATTTCTCTAGCCCACAAAAGCACAGCAAATATGAAAGATGAAGTAAATGCCAGCTTGGCACCCAATCTCATGTCACTTGGATCCACACCATGCACTTAATAATACACTTTTTTTTTTGAGACAAGGTCTGGCTGTATCACTCAGGCTGATTGCAGTGGCACAATCGTGGCTCACTACAACCTCTGCCTCCTGGGCTTAAGTAACCATCCTCCCACCTCAGCTTCCCAAGTAGCTGAGATGACAGGCACGTGTCACCATGCTTGGCCAAGGTATTTCCAACAAATAACCTTCTGCTCCATTCAAACCAGGGTGCCAGGCTCCTCAGCTTGCAGACGGCCTATAGTGGAAACTCACCTTGTATGCGTGTGAGTCAATGCCCCTTAATAAACTCCCTTTTATATATACATCTACCATATTAGTTATGTCCCTCTAGAGAACCCTAATACACAGGCAAATGATGGAGCTCTTGGTCTTGTTCAGATTCAGTTCCATAAACAATATTTCAGACTCTATGAGTGAAACATGCACAGTGCCAACCCCTCACTGATCATCAGGGATGTGTGACCTTCTTGTGCCCTGTTTGCCAGATGCTCAGGGGCTCACCTGGACTACCCTGATATGGGGTTCCTGTCCCCAACATCCATGGTTCTTCTCCCCACTCTAAATGAAAGATCACATATGTGCCAGGTACAGTGGCTCACGCTTGTAATCCCTACACTTTGGGAGGCCAAGGCGGGCAGATCACCTGAGGTCGGGAGTTCAAGACCAGCCTGACCAACATGGAGAAACCCCATCTCTACTAAAAATACAAAGTTAGCCAGGCGTGGTGGTGCATGCCTGTGATCCCAGCTACTTGGGAGGCTGAGGCAGAAGAAAGAAGAAGTGCTTGAACCCGGGAGGCGGAGGTTGTGGTGAGCCGAGGTCATGCCATTGCACTCCAGCCTGGGCAACAAGAGCAAAACTCCATCTCAAAAAAAAAAAAAAAAAAAAAAAAAAAAGATCACACCTGACATGGGAACAGGACACCATTTTTATGGGAAATGCTGGGGTCTGGGGGTTACAAACTGGAGACAAAGACCAAATTTCTATTAACAGTAGTCCTCCTGCTGTACATTAGATCTCTAGATTTATTCATCCTACGTAACTGCACTTCTGTACCATTTGACCACATCTCCCCGCTTCCTCCTCCTCCCCACCCAGGTAACCACCATTCTGTATTTGATGTTGTTGTTTTTTAATTTCACATATATTCAGACAAATTTGAGTTTAAAAAATTTTTTTAATTTTCACATGTAAGTGAAATCATGCAATATTTTTATTTCTGTATCTGGCTTATGTCACTTATCATCCCTTAGTATAATTTGAGTTTCATAGGCTCTCACCTCATTAAAATGGCACTACAGAATCTTGTCAAATAAATATATCTTTCAGGCACTGGAAAAGTCTCAGAAAGAAAAGATATCCTCTCTCCTCTTTAGCTATAGTTCAATAATACGATTTAAATAATCCGATCTGATAAGGTATCCAATGAAGAACATTTATGGGACCATAAACTTGTTCTTCTCTCCAAAATTCAGTGAATATTTGTAATTGTTAGCAATCTGTTATGCTCTCCACTAATATAAACCAACTCTTAAAAGTTATTGGAACAAAAGAACCCTGAAAAGCACTCAGTCTCCAGAAATTGTTGCATTAATCATTCTCATTAGGTGCCTTACTCAACAATTTGTTGCCTGAGTTATAATCACATCCTTGAATTTCCAACATATTAACACTTTAAATATTTCTTTATCTCATCACAAGATCAGCACTTTCCTCTCCTCTGAGAAGTATGAGGTAGCAATGTCACTGATTTTTATTAAATGTTTTGGAGTCTTGACTCACTTAAATGCATATTATGTGCCAAAATGTGACAGGAAATTAAATGAGATGCCAGGCATTTCAGAGGAAATAAAGAAAAGAAAATCAAGTTTAACAAAAGGAAGAAGGGTGTCCAATAGTCATCCTTAAAGAAAGCACATTTACTTATGTATATCTAAAGGTGTAAGGGCATGGGGCTGAGAGCCAGGTTGACAAAGGCTAGAGGACAGAGAATCAGAGAAATCATCCAAAAAAGACGAGCAAGATGATCCAAAGGACAGCGGGCTGGCCACCACATCTTCTAAAGCCCAAGGCAAGAATGACCGTGGACTCCATTTTTAAGTCCACTGGTCTATCTCTAGTGGACAATCCAGCAGTACCTATCAAAGCTTCAGCAAGTCTACCTCTAAGATCCACCTCTACTGTCTACCTCTAAGCAATCCTCTAAGTCTACCTCTACTGATCCAGCAAGTCTACCTCTAAGAATGTATCCCAGGATATACTTGTGAAGATGGAAAAGGACTGAGTATTATGATTAATTACTGAAGAATGGTTTCTAATGGTAAAAGATTGGAAACAACCTAAATATTCACCAAGAAACATCTGGCTAAATCTACGGTCTATACACACAGGGACATTGTGCAGTTATCATACCACACTTTGTATGTATACTATGATGTCAAAGTCACTCACGGTTAATGTTCTTTTTCAAAAGAACATTAGAGGTAGATTTTCTGGACCAGTGTGGATCTGAAACTTTAACAGATACTCCCAGATTTCCCACTAGAGATAAATTGGCAGTCTTAAAAATGGGTTCACGGTCTTTCGTGCCTTTGGCTTTAGAAGACACGGTGGCCAGCCTACTGTTCTTTGGATCATCCCACTCATTTCTGTTGGGTAATTTCTCTAATTTTTCCTCCTCTGGCTTTCTTTTAGCCCCTTTATTTATCTAAGTTAAAATTTCAAATATTTTTCCAAATTACCAAAAATAATTCCATTAAGAATTTGATTGAGACTGGGCGCAGTGGCTCACACCTGTAATCCCAGCACTTTGGGAGACTGACGCAGGTGAATCACCTGAGGTCAGGAGTTTGAGACCAGCCTGGCCAACATCGTGAAACCCCATCTCTACTAAAAATACAAAAGTTAGATGGGTGTGGTGGTGCACACCTGTAATCCCAACTACTTGGGAGGCTGAGGCAGGAGAATTGCCTGAACCAGGGAGGCGGGGTTGCAGTGAGCCCAGATCCCACCAATGTACTCCAGCCTGGGTGACAGAGTGAGACTCTGTCTCACGAAAAAAAAAAAAAAAGAATTTGATTGAGTGAAAATACCTGGGCAGGAGAGACACTCCATTCTTTGTGCCTTTGATGCTCTATTGTACCTTTTTCTTTTCTTTTCAAGACATGGGGTCTCACTATGTTTCTCAGGCCGGACTTGAACTTCTGGGCTCAAGCCATCCTCCCACCTCAGACTTCTAAGTATCTGGGACTGCAGGTGCAAGCCACTGCACCCAACTCTTAATGTACCTTTTACACACATTTGTGTCACAACACCTGTGCCACACCCTTAACAGTTTTGCAGATGCACATCCCAACGTTTTTCAGTTTTGAGAAAAATCACTTTTATTTGGTAAAAATCACACATGCTTATGAAAATAATTACACATTGCACCAAAGTGACAAAGATGAAAGTAATCACTCCAGATCCTAGTTCCGAGAGGTTACTATCTTTAACAGTAGGCAAATAATAAAATCCCAGGTTTTTTGTTTTTTCTTTTGAGACGGAGTCTCGCTCTGTCACCCAGACTGGAGTGCAGTGGCACGATCTCGGCTCACTGCAAGCTCCGCCTCCCGGGTTCAGGCGATTCTCCTGCCTCAGCCTCCCCAGTAGCTGGGACTACAGGCGCCCGCCACCATGCCTGGGTAATTTTTTGTATTTTTAATAGAGACGGGGTTTCACCGTGTTAGCCAGGATGGTCTCAACCTCCTGACCTCATGATCCGCCCACCTCAGCCTCCAAAGTGCTGGGATTACAGGCGTGAGACACGGCGCCTGGCCAATCCCAGGTATTTTTTCTATGCAAATATACAGAAGGCTGGATGGATAAACAGATAATACATGTAAATACTTAAATTAGAATGTGGCCCAGGAGAACATGAACTCCATGAGGTCAGGGATTTTTGTTGGCTAGGTTCACTTCCACATCTCCTGTACCTAGAGTAAGGTTTCTCAGCCTGGGCACTACTGACATTTGGGCTGGATAACTCTTTTTGTAGGAGATTGGGGTGGGTGGGGAGCGTGCCATCCACTGCACTGTAGGATGCTGAGTAGTGTCCTTGGCCTCTACCCTGGCAGAAGCATCCATGTGACAACCAAAACTGTCTCCAGACATTGCCAATTGTCCCCTGGGGGCAAAACTGCCACCAAGTGAGAATCACTAACCTAGAAAAGTGAGTGTTCAATACACAATAAGTGCTTGTTAAATGTATTACACAACCGGAAAATGATGTAAGGGCAAGTTAAAAAGTAATGCAAACTGGCCGGGCACAGTGGCTCATGCCTGTAATTCCAACACTTTGGAGGCCGAGGTGGGCAGATCACCTTGAGGTTGGGAGTTCAAGGCCAGCCTGGCTAACATAGTGAAACCCCGTCTCTACTAAAAATACAAAAATTAGCCAGGCGTGGTGGTGGGCACCTGTAATCCCAGCTACTAGAGAGGCTGAGGCAGGAGAATCAATTGAACCCAGGAGGTGGAGGTTGCAGTGAGCCTAGATCCCCGCCATTGCAAGTCAGCCTGGGCAACAAGAGCAAAACTCCATCTCAAAAACAAACAAAAAAAAAAGTAATGCAAACTCATCTGGGTTTTGGTCATGTCCTGCATCTCCTGAGGAAGGGCAGAGGGCTGAGGAGCAGTCCTTGGGAAGCACAAACATGTGAGAATCCAGGTTGGCTCTATGCCCTACCCAGTAACGTAGCCCCAAATCTCTGCCTTAGCTGACATGGGGGCACACTGAAGTCTTGTGAAGGGTAGAAGGGACCATGTTGAGGCAGGGACAACCTTGCCTACAGGTGATTCAGGTAATCCCACAAGTTCAGCCACAGAAAACAAGCATGACCATGTGCAAAGACTTCCACGAGACCACTTGTCACAGGGTTGTTTTAATTCAAGCAACATCAACATACACCAGAAACTTGTGAAGAAAATTATGGCACATTTGTATAACTTCAGTGTCAAGAAGCCAGCGGTATTTTGCAGATAATGCAAGGTCTGTAGATCGAAAATTAAGTTGGGTGTCTTCCTTTAGTGTACAAACACCTTGGATGTTTGAGGAAATCCAAAGACAAGGTTCTAGGCATTTTATACGTGTTAACTCATGTATTATGTTAATTCTCACAATAATCCTTTGGAACTAGTACGATCACCATCCCTGCCTTATTGAGGAGGAAATGGGGTACAGAGAGCTTAAGCAACTTGCCAGTGTCATGCAGCAGGGAAGCGCTGGAGGCAGGGCTCCAACCCACGCAGCCTTGCTGCATGTTTGTGGAATGAACACAGGACTCAGGCACACAACCATCTGGCTGAGGCTCCATGAGCAGCCAGGAGCCTGGTCCCAATGCAGTCTCCTTATAGGCACAAATGGGGTGCCCCTTGAGACAGGAATAATAAAGGTGGTCACAGGAGAACGGAAAATTCCAGGCAACAGTTTCACATGACTAGCAAAGGAAACCGTTGAAATCGCTGCGTAAGCTAGGGGCGGATAAGACTCTGAAAACCAGGGTGTGGGCCAAGCTGGCTAAAGCCGACTGGACCCAACATGGTGCTGGATTCGACCCGTTTCACCTAGGACCTCTCATTATGTGCTCATTAACATACTAAGTCACACACCCACTGTGACAGCTCTGGGGAACACCCGTATTTAGTATAAAAATGTGTGGCACCGCAGTACCAAGAAATGTTTACCTTTTTCCAAGAATCTTCATGAATATTCCACCCCTTGGTTAAATAAATATTTAAAGGTAGCTCCAAACCCCGCTGGGCGTGATGCTCTGTGGTATGCCTGCACTTTTCTTTCTTCAGTACGTACTTATTCCCGTCGCAATGAATCTCCACACTTTGTTCTGCTCATCCATGAATTCCTTCTCACGACAGTGTCAAGAGCCTGGACACCAGTCAGGGTCGAGGCCTCACCAGCATCTTGGGGCCTCACTGGGCACAGACGCGTGAGCGCCCGGCCTGCAGACCTGACTCTGGCAGCCGCTCAGGCCCTCAGAGGGAGAGATGGAAGCTGGCAGGACGCAGTTGCTACCGCGCGGACCCGGCCCCCGACCAGCCTTGGCCCCTCGCGCGCCGGGACAGGGCCACAAATGACTGCACCTGGGCTTCGCTGGCCCAGGCACCACGCGACTCTAAGCGCGCCCAAAGCGACCCTCTGCGCAAACTACCCCCGGGGACGACGTCACCCGTGAGGTCCCGCGGCGCCTCCTCCTAAAGCTCGGCTGGGAAACCGTCCGCTTCCCCAAGACTTGGGGGCTTGTGGCCGAGTTGTTTTAGTTTTCCTGTAGGATTCACGGGTGGCTGAGGCAAACACGCTTGAAGGCCTAAGACTTTTAAGTCTCTTCCGCACCCTCTCTTCTGTCTCTTCCACCTGGAGGATGACCGCTTTTTTGGGGGTTTTGTTGTTGTTTTGAGACGGAGTCTCGCTCTGTCGCCCAGGCTGGATTGTAGTGGCGCCATCTCCGCTCACTGCAACCTCCGCCTCCCGGGTTCAAGCGATTCTCCTGCCTCAGCCTCCCGAGTAGCTGGGATTACAGGCGCCCACCACCATGCCCGGCTGATTTTTGTATTTTTAGTAGAGACGGGGTTTCGCCACGTTGGTCAGGCTAATATCAAACTCCTGACCTCAGGTGATCCGCCCTCCTCGGCCTCCCAAAGTGCTGGGATGACAGGCGTGAGCCACCGCGCCCGGCCGGGATGACTGTTATTAACAATTCCCGGCGTGGTTTCTAGCACCAGCCCACCTACCACACCCCACCTCGCTTGAGGCTGAATGGGTAACAGGATGAACCCGCCCCTGGGCTGGTTTTCTCTGAACCCTAACTCCTGCCGTTACGCCCCACCAGCTCTAGGCCAGGAACTCTATGTGCCCCGGCCACGCTAGAGCCCGTACCTAGACCCGTAGGTCGGGAGGCCTGCGCCCGGCACTGCGCAGACGCAGCGTGCTGTGCCCAGAACTCTTCTGTTCCCAGGAGAATCAGGGGAGTCGGCGCCGGAAGGGGCGGGTCCGAGCTGAGATTTCCAGAGCCATGGGAGCCGGAAGTCCAAGGAACTGTACCTCCATCATGACGACTCCGGTTACGTAAAAACATTCAAACAGAAAATGCTGGCCAGGCTCATGCCTGTAATCCCAGCACTTTGGGAGGCCGAGGCGGGAGGATCGCTTGTGCCCAGGAGTTGGAGACCAGCCTGGGCAACATAGTGAGACCCTCCCCCCACCCATCTCTACAAAAAATTTTAAAATTAGCTAGCTGAGATCATGCCACTGCACTCCAGCCTGGACAACAAAGTGAGACTATGTCTCAAAAAAATTTAAAAATTACCCACGCCTGTAGTGTCAGATAGTCAGGAGGCAGAGGTTGGAGGATGACTTGAGCCTTGGGGATCGAGGGTGTAGTGAGGTATGATCGCACCACTGCACTCCAGCCTGGGCAACAGAGCAAGACCCTGTCTCAAAAACTATATAAAAGAAAAAAGGGCTGGGTCGGTGGCTCACGCCTGTCATGCCAGCACTTTGGGAGGCCGAGGCGGGTAGATCACCTGAGGTCAGGAGTTTGAGACCAGCCTGACCAACAAGGTGAAACCCTGTCTCTACTAAAAATACAAAAATTAGCTGGCCATGATGGTGGGTGCCTGTAATCCCAGCTACTGGGGAGGCTGAGGCAGGAGAATCACTTGAACCCCAGAGGTGGAGGTTGCAGTGAGCCGAGATCACACCACTGCACTCCAGCCTGGGCGACAGAGCGAGAGACTCCGTCTCAAAAAAAAAAAAAAAAAAAAAAAAACAGAAAAAAGGCCGGGCACGGTGGCTCACTCCTGTAATTCCAGAACTTTGGGAGGCCAAGGCGGGCGGATCAGGAGTTCGAGACTGCCTGGGCAACATAGCGAAACCCCGTCTCTACTAAAAATACAAAAAATTAGCCAGGCGTGGTGGCGGGCTCCTGTAATCCCAGCTACTCAGGAGGCTTAGGCAGGAGAATCACTTGAACCCAGGAAGCAGAGGCTGCAGTGAGCCGAGATCACGCCATTAAACTCCAGCCTCGGTGACAGAGTGAGACTCCATCCCCGCTCCGCTCCCTCACCTCCCGCCAAAAAAAAAAAAGAAAATGCACTGCAATAGAAAAATAAAAGTACTACACTTTGGTCAAACAGGGTAACTACTAGAACGTAAAATGATCTTTTTGAAACTATCCACATTTGTTACACGTGTTGAAAATGTAGGATATATATGTTATATATATACTTATATATGTTATATATACTTATATATGTTATATACTTATATATGTTATGTACTTATATATTATATATACTTATATATGTTATATCTACTTATGTTATATACTTATATATGTTATATATACTTATATATGTTATACATACTTATATGTTATATATACTTATGTTATATACTTATATATGTTATATATACTTATACATGTTATACATACTTATATGTTATATATACTTATATATGTTATATATACTTATATATGCTATATATACTTATATATGCTATGTATACTTATATATGTTATATATATACTTATATGTATGTTATATATACTTATATATGTTATATATGCTTATATGTATGTTATATATGCTTATATGTTATATATACTTACATATGTTATATATACTTACATATGTTATATGTACTTACATATGTTATATATATACATATATGTTATATATATATAATTATATATATATAAAACAAAAAGCACGGTTACTACAAAGAAAACAGGTAAACATTAAGTGGAGTAAAAGTATATCCTGTTATATAAGGGACTTGAACATGTCTGGGCATGGTGGCTCAAGCCTGTAATCCCAGCACTTTGGGAGGCTGAGGCGGGTGGATTACTGGAGGTCAGGAGTTCGAGACCTGGGCAACATAGCAAGACCTTGTCTCTATTAAAAAATAGATAGATAGATAGATAGATAGATACATAGAACATCAAAAGAGGGAGAGAGAAAGCAGACAGATGTGGCAAAATATACACAATTGGTAAATTTGGGTGAAGGGAATATAAGTTATTTCTACTAATCTTGCAATTCTTATGTATATTTGCAATGATTTCTAAATAAAAGTTTTTAATTACCAATTGAAATAAAGTAAAATAAGTCACTATCTAGCCTTTTCTAGACAAATATTTTAAACTCTTACACAGAGATAAGTTAATCAAGAAACGTATTTCCTGGAAAAACCCGTGATATGGGTGGAGCCACCTGGGAATAAAAGGTCGGAACATCATAATCACTGTCAGACTCAACTTCCATCATTCTCCTCCAGGCGCTATGGAGTCTAATCCAGGCACTTTGGAAGGCTGAGGCTGGAGGATCGATTGAGGCCAGGAGTTTGGGACCACCCTGGGCAACATAGCAAGATCTCATTTCTGAAAAAAGAATTATCATCCACTCACCCAGAACAGCTCTCCAAACTGTAAGTTTCATTCAAGGTTTGCTTGTTTGGGTGATGGGATGTGTGTGTGTGTGTGTGTGTGTGTGTGTGTGTGTGTGTGTGTATGTGTGTGTGAGTGTTGGAAGGAGGGTCTGTCTAAACTTAATGCCCTAAAGATATTGTCAGATATTGTGATGAGGGGAATTTCATCTTCTACCCTTTATGAGGTTGAATTGTAAATTCGAAAATCCTGATTCTGGGTTTTTATTTTGAGGGGATAGTTTTCTGTTTTCTGTGGCATTGGATATTGGCATTTTCAGAAAAGAGCATGCATCCAAAATGAAAATGATGAAGCCTACCTGTCTTTTGAACTCAGCTCAGGGAAAAGCTGATGATCTCTAATTTTTGTGATTCCTCCTTTCATTAAATTTAAGGTCCAGTGAGGGTGAAGTTTCCCTAAAGAGGCAATAATTTATCAGCAGCAACAGGATGAAATGGAGGGGCTTTTCTTCACACTCTATATATTATGTTAGGATCTCTCAGGAAACTGAGGACACATTAATTATAATCATGGAAGATTTTCTGCTTCCCACATGGTTTGCTGGGTTTGGCATAGTATAGCTCATGCCCTACATTGAAGAAATGTGGGCACCCATCAACAGCAGCCATTTCTGATTACACATCCCTGTTTCTTTAGCTGAGTGACTCCTAAAAGTCCCTTAATGTATTAATAATGCATTTGGACCTCAGTTTTCTTACTATGTTAAATGTAATAAAATTGAATATCATATGGTCACTTGCAGAATTAAATGGTATTAAGGCATGTAAATCATATAGAGTGATGTAGTACAACAAACAATAAACCTGTAATAAAAGTCACTAAACTCCCTTCCCTCCCATGATGGAGCCTTAATTTTCTCTATATGAGGCATCCCTGTAGTTTAATATATTCTTAGAATTAGCAATAGGAATATGATGTCAACAATTAATTTTGAGCCATTTTAGCCCAATGACTTATCCTAAGAAGTCGCTATTATTGTTGCCATCCCGTTTTCACTTATACGAAAGTAAGACTCAGGAGGGTTGAGTTTCAGCCTTAGTGTTAGAAAAGCAGTAAGCGGTGAAGCCGGGCTTGGAATCCTGGAAGTTGGAATGTACAATGTGTGATCTCGATGCATCCTCTCTGTAGTGCCTCTTTGTAACAAGAAAAAAATAAAGATACTTAAAGTTCTAGGTAAGCAAAGTCAGAACTAGTCTTTAAGTTAGAGACCCATAAAGTATAAGGTTTCTCAAACAACAAATGTTGTTAGAAGGTCTTGTTGTGGCAGAGTTCCAAGAAAACCAATGAATGTGAAGTCAGTTGATATATTAATCTAATCTGTGTAATTGGGGAGGGGCACTTTTAGGAATGCATTTAGAGATAATCCCATTAACACAGGAGGTTTTCTCCCAGATTAAATTAACGTAAACGACTTTGGAGGAAGGTTGGTTTTCCCAGTTTCTAAGATATAATGCAATAAATTAACATGAAAGATGGTTGGGACTATGTGCAGACTTTTTAAATAAACCTCAGTTTCAGGACTCTGACCTTTTTGTTTCTTCCTAGTAACAGCCGTGGCAGTCAGAGCTCTGCCTGCAGTGTGACCATGGACAGCTCTCCAAAGCTTAAACTTCAGTAAATTGACTCAAGTTTCTTCGGAAAGAACTGTGAGTAGCAAAGGGCAACTTTTTCTGTTGGTTTCATTGGGATTTCACTGCTTTTCCTGAAATTGGAATGTTGGAAGGAAGTAGGCATTCCTCACTGCCTGGGGAGAAATGGGCAAATGAGTAAGGGGAGGGAGCAAATTCAGAGAGATATTTTTTATTTTTTCTGAAACCTGTTTGTGTTTTGAGATGTCTTTCCCTTCATGTTTTTTTTTTTTTCACTCTTCATATTTCCCTTTCTCTGTCTCTCTCCCCACCTCGGTTTTGCTAATTAGCTAGCACAACAACTCGCCATCTTACTCCTTTTCCTTACTCCCTGTTTTTTGTGGGGTTTTTTTTTTGGTTTTCTTTTTTGTTTTTTTTTTGTTTTTGTTTTTGTTTTTTGTTTTTCAGACAGAGCCTTGCTGTGTCTCCCCAGCTGGAGTGCAGTGGCGAGATCTCTGTTCACTGCAACCTCCACCTCCAGGGTTCAAGCGATTCTCCTGCCTCAGCCTCCCCAGTATCTGGCACTATAGGTGCCTGCCACCATGCCCGGCTAATTTTTGTATTTTTAGTAGAGACCAGGTTTCACCATGTTGGCCAGGCTAGTCTCAAACTCCTGACCTCAGGTGATCCACCTGCCTCAGCCTCCCAAAGTGCTGGGATTACAGGTGTGAGCCACCGTGCCCAGACAGAACTTCTTTATTTTTGCCTTAATTTTGTTATTTAACCAGTAGTCATTCAGGAGCATCATATAGAGTGATGTAGTACAACAAACAATAAACCTGTAATAAAAGTCACTAAACTCCCTTTCCTCCCATGATGGAGCCTTAATTTTCTCCATATGAGGTAGTTTAATATATTCCTAGGATTAGCAATAGGAATATGATGTCGACAATTAATTTTGAGCTGTTTTAGCCCAATGACTTATCCTAAGAAGTCGTTATTATTGTTGCAGTCCCATTTTCACTTATGTGAAAGTAAGACTCAGGAGGGTTGAGTTTCAGCCTTAGTGTTACAAAAGCAGTAAGTGGTGAAGCCAGGCTTTCCATGTAGTTGTGTGGTTTTTAGTGAGTTTCTTAATCCTGAGTTATAATTGGATTGCACTGTGGTCTGAGAGCTTGTTTGTTATGATTTCCGTTCTTTTGCATTTGCTGAGGAGTGTTTTACTTCGAATTATGTGGTCAATTTTAAAATAAGTGCTATGTGGTGATGATAATATTGATCTATCTAATATTAACAGGGGGGTGTTAAAGTCTCCCACTATTATTGTGTGGGAGTCTAAGCCTCTTTGTAGGTCTCTAAGAACTTGCTTTATGAATCTGGATGCTCCTGTATTGGGTGCATATATATTTAAGATAGTTAGCTATTCTTGTTGCATTGATCCCTTTACCATTATGTAATGCCCTCTTTGTCTTTTTTGATCTTTGTTGGTTTAACATCTGTTTTATCAGAGACTAGGATTGCAACCCATCCTTTTTTTTGCTTTCCATTTGCTTGGCAAATATTCCTCCATCCCTTTATTTTGAGCCTATGTATGTCTTTGCACATGAGATAGGTCTCCTGAATATAGCACATCAATGGGTCTTGACTCTTTATCCAATTTGCCAGTCTGTATCTTTTAATTGGGGGCATTTAGCCCATTTACATTTAAGGTTAATGTTGTTACGTGTGAATTTGATCCCATCATCATGATGCTAGCTGGTTATTTTGCACATTAGTTGATGCAGTTTCTTCTGTGTCATTGGTCTTTATATTTTGGTGTGTTTTTGCAGTGGCTGGTACCGGCTTTTCCTTTCCATATTTAGTGCTTCCTCCAGGAGCTCTTGTAAGGTAGGCCTGGTGGTGACAAAATCCCTCAGCATTTGCTTGTCTGTAAAGGATTGTATTTTTTCTTCGCTTATGAAGCTTAGTTTGGCTGGATATGAAATTCAGGGTTGAAAATTCCTTAAGAACGTTGAATATTGGCCCCCACTGTCTTCTGGCTTGTAGGGTTTCTGGAGCAATCCACTATTAATCTGATGGGCTTCCCTTTGTGGGTAACCCGACCTTTCTCTCTGGCTGCCCTTAACATTTTTTTCCTTTGTTTCAACCTTGGAGAATCTGACGATTATGTGTCTTGGGGTTGCTCTTCTCGAGGAATATCTTTGTGGTATTCTCTGCATTTCCTGAATTTGAATGTTGGCCTGTCGTTCTAGGTTGGGGAAGTTCTCCTGGATAATATCCCAAAGTGTGTTTTCCAACTTGATTCCATTCTCCCCGTCACTTTCAGGTATACCAATCAATCGTAGGTTTGGTCTTTTCACATAGTCCCATGTTTCTTGGAGCCTTTGTTCATTCCTTTTCATTCTTTTTTCTCTAATCTTGTCTTCACGCCTTATTTCAGTAAGTTGATCTTCAATCTCTGATGTCCTTTATTCTGCTTGATTGATTTGGCTATTGATACTTGTGTATGCTTCACGAAGTTCTCATGCTGTGTTTTTCAGCTCCATCAGGTCATTTATGTTCCTCTCTAAACTGGTTATTCTAGTTAGCAATTCCTGTAGCCTTTTATCAAGGTTCTTAGCTTCCTTGCATTGGGTTAGAACATGCTCCTTTAGCTCAGAGGAGTTTGTTATTACCCACCTTCTGAAGCCTAGTTCTATCAATTCATCAATCTCATTCTCTGTCCAGTTTTGTGTCCTTGCTGAACAGGAGTTGCGATCATTTGGAGAAGAGACATTCTGTTTTTTGGATTTTTCAGCGTTGTTGTGCTGGTTTTTCCTCATCTTTGTGGATTTATCTACCTTTGATCTTTGAGGCTGTTGATCTTTGGATGGGGTTATTGTGTGGGGGTCTTTTTTGTTGATGTTGATGTTGTTGCTTTCTGTTAGTTTTTCTTCTAGCAGTCAGGCCCCTCTTCTGCAGGTCTGCTGCAGTTTGCTGGAGGTCCACTCCAGACCCTTTTCACCTGGGTATCCCCAGCGGAGGCTGCAGAGCTGCAGAACAGCAAAGAGTGCTGCCTGTTCCTTCCTCTGGAAGATTTGTCCCAGAGGGGCACCAGCCTGATGCCAGCCAGAGCTCTCCTGCATGAGGTGTCTCTCAACCCCTGTTGGGAGTTCTTTCCCAGTTAGAAGGCACGGGGGTCAGGGACCCACTTGAGGAGGCAGCCTGTCCCTTAGCAGAGCTGTTGTGCTGTGCTGGGAAAATCCCTCTTATCAGGATCAGCTGCTCTCTTCAGAGCCAGCAGGCAGAAAAGATTAAATCTGCTGAAGCTGTGTGCCCACAGCCACCCCTTCCCCCAGGTGCTCTGTCCCAGGGAGATGGGAATTTTATCTGTAAGCCCCTGACTGGGACTGTTACCCTTTCTTCAGAGATGCCCTGACCAGTGAGGAGGAATCTAGAGAAGCAGTCTGGCCACAGCTGCTTTGCCATGCTGTGGTGAACTTTGCCCAGTCCAAACCTCCCACCCTCCTTAGCACTGTCCAGGGAAAACTCTACTAACGCCTCATTAATCACGGATGCGCCTCCCCCAACCAAGTTCCATCATTCCAGGTCAACTTCAGACTGCTGCACTGGCAGTGAGAATTTCAAGCCAGTGGTTCTTAGCTTGCTGGGCTCCATGGGAGTGGGACCTGCTGAGTGAGATCACTTGGCCCCCTGGCTTCAGCCCCCTTTCCAGGGGAGTGAATGGTTCTGTCTCACTGGGGTTTCAGGCACCACTGGTGTACAAAAAAAAATCAACTCTTGCAACTAGCTCGGTGTCTCCCCGAACAGCTGGCTAGTTTTGTGCTTGAAACCCAGGGCCCTGGTGGTGTAGGCACACAAGGGAATCTCCTGATCTGCAGATTGCAAAAACTGTGGGAAAAGCGTAGTAACCGGGCGAGTAGCATAGTTCTTCACGGCTTCCCTTGGCTGGGGGAGGGAGGTCCCTGGCTCCTTGCATTTCCCAGGTGAGGCAATGCCCCACCCTGCTTCTGCTCGCCCTCCATGGGTTGCACCCACTGCCTAACTAGTCCCGATGTGATGAACTGGGTACCTCAGTTGGAAATGCAGAAATCGCCCACCTTCTGCATTGGTCTCGCTGGGAGCTGCAGAGCGGAGCTGTTCCTATTTGGCCATCTTGGCCCCGCCCCTTTTTTAATTTTAAAAAATTTTATGTAGCGATGAGGTCTCCCTATTTTGCCATGCTGGTTTTGAACTCCTGGGCTCAAGTGATCCTTCCACTTGGCCTCCCAGAGTGCTAAGATTACAGGCGTGAGCCACCATGCCCAACCAAATTTGTATTTTCTCGATGAGCAGTGATGCTGAGCACCTGTTCATATCTCTGTTGGCCATTTGTATATTCTTTCTCGCCTAACAGCTCCCTTGAAAATGCGTGTGCCTCAGTCTATGTCTTCTGGAGAACTGGCACAGCTTCAGAATATTAGCACCCCAAAAGAGTATTTTACTTAGAGCATAAGAAGACTAAAAATAAATCATTATTATATGTGGATGAGGTTTTTCATAAAATATAACTGTTAATATATTCTTGGTTAAAATGCATGTGTGCTTTTCTTCTTTAGGTTACATAAAGAAAGGATGATATCTCTAAAGGTATGTGGATTCATCCAAATTTGGAGCCAGAAGACTGGGATGACTAAGCTGAAAGAAGCTCTCATTGAAACAGTGCAAAGACAAAAGGAAATTAAACTGGTGGTCACTTTCAAATCTGGAAAATTTATAAGAATTTTTCAGCTGAGCAACAACATTAGAAGTGTGGTCCTTAGACATTGTAAAAAAAGACAAAGTCACCTGCGTTTAACTTTGAAAAACAACGTGTTCTTGTTTATTGACAAATTATCCTACAGAGATGCTAAACAGTTGAATATGTTCCTGGACATAATCCACCAAAACAAATCTCAGCAACCCATGAAATCTGATGATGATTGGAGTGTGTTTGAAAGCAGGAATATGCTGAAGGAAATTGACAAAACTTCATTTTACAGCATTTGTAACAAGCCAAGTTATCAGAAGATGCCTTTGTTTATGTCAAAATCACCAACACATGTGAAAAAGGGGATATTAGAAAATCAAGGTGGGAAGGGGCAAAACACACTATCATCTGATGTACAGACAAATGAGGACATTCTGAAGGAAGATAACCCTGTACCAAACAAGAAATATAAGACAGATTCCTTGAAATATATACAAAGCAATAGGAAGAACCCATCAAGTTTAGAGGATTTAGAAAAAGATAGAGATTTGAAACTCGGGCCTTCATTCAATACCAACTGTAATGGAAATCCTAACCTAGATGAGACTGTTCTTGCAACCCAGACTCTCAATGCCAAAAATGGTTTGACATCTCCATTGGAACCAGAGCACAGCCAGGGTGACCCAAGATGCAACAAAGCCCAGGTGCCTCTTGACTCTCATTCACAGCAACTGCAGCAGGGGTTCCCCAATTTGGGAAACACCTGTTACATGAATGCAGTTTTACAATCGCTATTTGCAATTCCATCTTTTGCTGATGACTTACTCACTCAAGGTGTCCCATGGGAATATATTCCCTTTGAGGCTCTTATTATGACCTTGACCCAGCTGCTTGCTTTGAAAGATTTCTGTAGTACAAAGATCAAGAGAGAATTACTTGGGAATGTTAAAAAAGTCATTTCAGCAGTTGCAGAAATATTTTCTGGCAACATGCAGAATGATGCTCATGAGTTTTTAGGTCAGTGTTTAGACCAGCTGAAAGAAGACATGGAAAAATTAAATGCCACTTTGAATACTGGGAAAGAATGTGGGGATGAAAATTCATCTCCACAAATGCATGTTGGTAGTGCTGCCACCAAAGTGTTTGTTTGCCCTGTTGTTGCTAATTTTGAGTTTGAATTGCAGCTCTCCCTTATTTGTAAAGCTTGTGGTCATGCTGTTCTCAAGGTAGAACCTAATAATTATCTCTCCATCAACCTGCACCAAGAAACAAAACCACTTCCTTTGTCCATTCAGAATTCTTTAGATCTTTTCTTTAAAGAAGAAGAGCTTGAATATAACTGTCAGATGTGTAAGCAGAAGAGTTGTGTTGCAAGGCATACATTTAGTAGGCTCTCCAGGGTCCTTATCATTCATCTGAAACGCTATAGCTTCAACAATGCTTGGTTGCTGGTGAAGAATAACGAGCAAGTTTATATTCCCAAATCTTTAAGTTTATCTTCTTATTGCAATGAAAGCACCAAACCACCTCTTCCCTTGAGCAGTAGTGCACCTGTTGGGAAATGTGAAGTCCTGGAAGTCTCTCAGGAGATGATTTCTGAGATCAACAGCCCATTGACACCATCAATGAAGCTGACCTCAGAATCCAGTGATTCCCTGGTTCTACCCGTTGAACCAGACAAGAATGCCGACCTACAAAGATTCCAGAGAGACTGTGGAGATGCAAGCCAAGAGCAGCATCAGAGAGACCTGGAAAATGGCTCTGCACTAGAGTCAGAATTGGTCCACTTTAGAGATAGGGCAATCGGTGAAAAGGAGCTTCCAGTGGCTGACTCACTGATGGACCAGGGAGACATTTCTCTTCCTGTGATGTATGAAGATGGAGGGAAGCTGATCAGCAGCCCAGACACAAGGCTTGTCGAGGTTCATCTTCAAGAGGTGCCTCAACATCCAGAACTTCAGAAGTATGAGAAAACCAATACATTCGTAGAGTTCAATTTTGACAGTGTCACTGAGTCCACCAATGGCTTTTATGACTGTAAAGAAAACAGGATTCCAGAAGGATCTCAAGGAATGGCTGAACAGCTCCAGCAGTGTATTGAGGAGAGCATCATAGATGAATTTCTTCAGCAGGCACCACCTCCAGGTGTTAGGAAGCTGGATGCCCAGGAACATACAGAAGAGACCCTCAATCAGTCTACAGAATTAAGACTTCAAAAGGCTGACCTGAATCACCTTGGGGCACTGGGTTCTGACAACCCAGGAAACAAAAACATTTTAGATGCAGAGAACACAAGAGGTGAAGCCAAGGAACTAACAAGAAACGTGAAGATGGGGGATCCTCTCCAGGCCTACAGACTCATCAGTGTTGTCAGCCATATCGGGAGCTCCCCAAATTCAGGCCATTACATCAGCGATGTGTATGACTTTCAGAAGCAGGCCTGGTTCACATACAACGATCTATGTGTATCAGAAATCTCAGAGACCAAAATGCAGGAGGCGAGGCTTCACTCTGGGTATATCTTCTTTTACATGCACAATGGGATTTTTGAGGAGCTGTTAAGAAAAGCAGAGAACTCTCGGCTACCTAGCACACAGGCAGGGGTGATCCCTCAGGGGGAATACGAAGGTGACTCTTTGTACAGACCTGCTTGACAGACTCACTCGGCCTCACTTCATCCTTGCAAAGAGAATCCTGTACTTCATCCTTGCAAAGAGAATCCTGTACTTCACTCAGAATGAAGGAACAAGTATCTCAGGATGAAATCTCAATGAAAAACACTTATTTTGGGGGAATATCTATTTTAACTGCTTCAGACACCTAGATCCCAGAACTCAGGCGCATATGCATATTTTCCCTGCAAGATTAGAATGGTGCTCTTCACGTTTTGACGGTGGTTTTCAAAATGTTGTTCTTCAACCAGCAACAGCAACAGCTAGGGACTGATTAGAAATGCAAATTCTTGGGTCACTCTCTAGACCAACTGATGCAGAAACAGGAGGTGTGAGCCAGCAATCAGATGGAGATTCTAGTGCTCATGAAAGTTTGAAGAACACTGGTAATGTGTGGAGTATCTTGGTGTATTTTGCTACTGTTGATATGGATTGCTTATGTTATATAAACGATTTTCATTAAATTTTTTGCACTCTTTTATTTTGTCCCACTGAACCTAAGACTAGATAGAGTCACCCCAAAAGTGGCAGCAGGGAAATTCCAACAAGAGAGTGCCCAAAACCATTCTGAGATCGGGCCGGTTGGGATTCCAAAGAAAGAAGCACCAAACACCAGAGGGATCTTTCCGGAGCATTTATTAGGGGGAACTTAGAGAGTTCTGCAGCATACCCTCAGGCGGACAGTGAGAGAAAAAAGCATGGTCAACCAGCTGGGCACCGTGGCTCATGCCTGTCATCCCAGCACTTTGGGAGGCCAAGGTGGGAGGACTGCTTGAGCAGACCAGTTCAAAACCAGCCTGGGAAATATAGCAAGACCCTGTCTCTACAAAAAATAATTCAGCAGCCAGGCACGGTGGCTCACATCTGTAATCCCAGCACTTGGGAGGCCAAGGCGGGCGGATCACCTGAGGTCGGGAGTTTGAGACCAGCCTGAACAACATGGTGAAACTCCGTCTCTACTAAAAATAGAAAATTAGCTGGGTGTGGTGGCAGGCACCTGCAGTCCCAGCTACTCAGGAGGCTGAGGCAGGAGAATCACTTGAACCCAGCAGATGGAGGTTGCAGTGAGCCGAGATCGCACCACTGCACTCCAGCCTGGGCAACAAGAGCAAAACTCCATTTCTAAATAAATAAATAACTTTGCCAGGCATGTCTCAGCTGCTCAGGAAGCCGATGTGGGAGGATCACTTGAGTCTGGGAGTTCAAGGCTGCAGTGAGCTATGATCACACTACTGCACTCCAGCCTGGGTGAAAGACCCTGTCTCAAAAAAAAAAAAAAAAAAAAGGCGGGAGGGGGGATGGTCTACCTTGGTGTGTCTGCTGCAGTGAGAGGGTCAGGGTATGGGGTTATATAAGTTTATAAGGAATTTGGTCAAGGGTGGGGACTAGTTTCTTTTAGTGTTTTGGGCAACAACCTAAACCTAAATACCTCTATCAGTGCCTGGGAATGTTTCAGGCTCTACTTTGGATTCAAGCCTTCTGGGAAAAGCCTGCAGCTTGGCTGGTCAGAGTGGTCAAAGCAGTCCATGATTTTCAGTCACGACACAGAAAGAAAGCAGGGGGTGAGTACTTTTCCTTTGTAAAGTTATTAAAATAATAACCCAACCCATACATATACCATTGGCTAGCTTCCACATGTGTTTATGACTGGTGACTAGTAAAATTTGCTATGCAGCAATCAACTGTTATTTACCATTTTCCAGGAATTTCAGGGCATAACATTAGGGTTATATGCAAAATGCAGTATACTAAATATCCGTGTGATTTTGTGAATTCAAAAGCACTGCAAGATGTTGCTCATGTTATTAATATGAATAAGACGATAAACCCATCCTCATAAATGTACAACATTTCCTGGTGGCCAAGCCTTAAACAGCTTATAATGTACCCAGTATCAGTGGGTGATGTGTTAGACTGTGAATTCAGCAAGGAGTAAAGAACGATTTTTTTAAATGGCCATGTGAGTAGACAAATGGAAATTGAGAGGATTTTTTGGGTAAAAAGAGATAAGAGCCTGGTATTATATAAGGAATGGGGCAAAATTAGGCAGAGTAGGTGTGGGAAAGAAGAGAAGAGCAACCAGAAACATACGTACGAGGTTTTTAAAAATACATTATTTTTAGCATTTAAGAGGAAAAGAAGGAAAGTACTATGAAAAAAGAAATGTAGGCCGGTCACAGCGGCTCACGCCTGTAATCCCAGCACTTTAGGAGGCCAAGGCAGGCGGATCACAAGGTCAGGAAATCGAGAACATCTTGGCCAACATGGTGAAACCCCGTCTCTACTAAAAATACAAAAATGAGCCAGGCGTGGTGGTGCATGCCTGTCGTCCTAGCTACTACTTTGGAGGCTGAGGCAGGAGAATCACCTGAACCAGGGAGGCGGAGATTGCAGTGAGCTGAGATCACACCACCGTACTCCAGCCTGGGTGACAAGAGTAAAACTCTGTCTCCAAAAAAAGAAAAAGAAAAGAAAGAAACGAGGCTGAGTGCCATGGCTCATGCCTGTAATCAAAGCACTTTGGGAGCCTGAGGTGGAAGGATTGCCTGAGCCCAAGAGTTTGAGGCTGCAGTGAGCTATGACTACACCACTGCCCTCCAGCCTGGGCAACAGGTGACACCCTATCTCAAAAGGAAAAACAAAAAAGGCAAATGGCAATTGCAGTGAAGAAATGCCAAGATACCTTCATGCTCAGGAGAGAAAGCTGTACTTCCTGGATGTGGTTTCCAGTCCCCTACACCTCTAGAGAAACCTCTCCACTCATGAATTATAGAAATCATCCCTAAAAGTATAAAGTGCTGTCTTATTTGTTTATTTTATTTTATCTTATTTTTGAGATGAAATTTTGCTCTTGTTGCCCAGGCAGGAGTGCAATGGTGCAATATTGGCTCACTGCAACCTCTACCTCCCAGGTTCAAGCAATTCTCCTGCCTCAGCCTCCCGGGTAGCTGGGATTACAGGTGCCCACAACTATGCCTGGCTAATTTTTGTATTTTTGGTAGAGACAGGGTTTCACCATGTTGGTCATGCTGGTCTCGAACTCCTGACCTCAGGTGATGCGCCCACCTCAGCCTCCCAAAGTACTGGGATTACAGGCATTTGAGCCACCACGCCTGGCCAAAAGTATAGTCTTTTAAACGTTTTTAAAGATATGGATACCACTGGTCATTATTCACTGGAATAAAACTCCATCAGGGTTTTAGCACATTTGGTTTATTGCTACATCTTCAGTGTTTAAGAGTTCCTGGTACACAAAAGGCATCTAATAAATATTTATACTTAATAAACATTTGCTGAGTGAGTATGCCGAATGGGTTTTCAAAGGATACTGTGATAATAAGTCCTCGCTACCTTCAAAAATAGCCTCCAAATTAGAGGCCATTTCAACATGGAATTCTGGGGTGACAATTCCAGGCAACCATATCTTCCCATGTTTTTTTAAGTGCATGGGGCTCCTATCTGGAGTGAATTCTTTTCTGGTGCCTAACAAGGTATGACCTGTCAGCGAAGGCTTTACCGCATTCAGAACATCCATAAGGTTTTTGTCCAGTATGGGTTTTTTTATGCAAACTAAGGTTTAATTTCCGGATGAAGGTTTTTCCACATTCACTACATCTATAGGTCCTCTCTCCGCTATGAGTTTTCTGATGGCTATGAAGGTTTGACTTCTGAAAGAAGGCTTTTCCACATCTGTTACATTCATAGGGCTTTTCCCCAGTATGGATTTTTTTATGTTGAATGAGGTTTTTCTTCTGGATAAAGGTATTTCCACATAGATCACACTCATAAGCTCTCTTCCCAGTGTGAATTTTCTCATGATCGATGACATTGGATTTCTGGGAAAAGGCCTTCTCACATATGCTACATTTATAGGGTTTCTCTCCCGTGTGTATTCTCTGGTGTTTCACAAGATCTGACTTGTAAATGAAAGCCTTTCCACAGTCCGTACATTGAAAGGGTTTTTGTCCAGTGTGAACTTTTTTATGTTGAATGAGGGTTGAGTTCTGCCTGAAGGATTTCTCACATTCATTACACTGATAGGATTTCTTGGCATTATGAATTTTCTCATGATTAATGCAGGATGATTTCCAGGAAAAGGCTTTTCCACATGTCTTACACTGATAGGGTTTCTCTTTAGTATGCATTTTCTGATGTTGAAAGAGATTTGACTTCTGCTTGTAGGCATTTCCACAGTTCTCACATTTATAGGGCCTTTCCTCTGCGTGAGTTTTCTGATGTTTATCAAGCTTCCACTTCTCCCCGAATGCTCTTCCACAGCTATGACATTCAAAGGGTTTTTGACAGGCATGCCTCCTCAGGTGACTTTGAAGGCGTGACTTTGAACTGAATAACTTTCTACAGGCATTACATTTCAGTTGTTGTCCTACAAATTTGGATGGATTATTGCCAACTAATTTTCTGTATCCATTATCATCGTGAGAATTATTTTGTACATAGTGTTGCAAGGAAGATACATCATCTATGCCCAGTGGAAGTATTTTCTTAGATCCGTCACATTCTACACCTTTCTGCGTAGTCAGCGTTTCCTTATTGATTGATGGGACTTCTCTTGCGAGACTCTCTTTCACATCCTTTGGCTTCCAAATCTGCCCTCCAATGTCCCCATTTTTTTCTAAAATGGAATACAAAAAAATGTCCTGTGTAAAACGTTCCACTCACATGCTTGAAATAAAATGCCATAAACAATCTATTGTGGTGATTATTCTGGCTTCAAACCTAATGTCTACGAGAAACCAAAGTTAATATAAGCTCTGTTAGAGTTCTATGTGAGCTAATGTTACATGAAGCTATCACATATCTGTCTGTAAAGGACTGAGCAACGTAGACCTAGTGCACAGGGAGCAGGTGAGAGCCTAGGGATACCAGGGAGAGGGAGATTAAGAAAGAGAGTTTGCCAGGCCAGGCACAGGGGCTCACACCTGTAATCCTAGCACTTTGGGAGGCTGAGGCGGGTGGATTGCCTGAGGTCGGGGGTTCAAGACCAGCCTGACCAACATGGCGAAACCCTGTCTCTACTAAAAATACAAAAAATTCGCCGGGCATGGTGGCAAGTGCCTGTAATCCCAGCTACTCGGGAGGCTGAGGCAGGAGAATCGTTCGAACTCGGGAGGCGGAGGTTGCAGTGAGCCCAGATCGCGCCACTGCACTCCAGCCTGGGCGACAGAGACTCCGTTTCCAGAAAAAAAAAAAAAAGAAAAAAAAAAGAGTTTGCCTGCAAAGGAAAACCCAGATAAGAATGTAAAGAAATTTCTGAGTGGAGAAAAATACCTGGAGATTTCTTCCAGCACTCCCAGGAAGTCACAGCTGGCTGCCAAACGACTTCCTCATTTAGAAAAGCTGAATTGGCTTCCATGCACCATTGACCCACAGTGCTCTCCTGGTCACCTACCTGCACGGCCACTTCCCAGCACTTCCTCTTCCTCCAACCATGGCTCCTTTCCTTGTTCCAACCTCAAGATCACATCGGGTTTGGTGGTTTCCCCTTGTCCTGTGATGGAAGATACCGCAAGGCTTGGTGTTTGTGGATGTGTGAGTTGTTTGTGCAAGTGTATGAGTGTATATAAGCGCTTGCGTATGCTTGTGTGAATATTTGTGTGTGAGTGTGAGCATTTATATGTCAGTGTGTGGGTATGTGCCATTGGTTGGGGGGAGTTGTGTGGATGGATGGTTTGAGGGAATGCACCTGAGCAGTCGAACTAAACAAAGAATGCTTTTTCTGGGCTGGGTGTGGCGGCTCATGCCTGTAATCCCAGCACTTTGGGAGGCCGAGATAGGAGAATTGCTAGAGCACAGGAATTTGAGACCAACATGTTACATGTAACATGAAGATAGCAAGACCCAGTCTCTACAAAACCAAAGCCACGTGTGGTGGTGCACGTCTGTGGTCCCAGCTATTCAGGAGGCTGAGGTGGGAGGATGGCTTGAGCCCAGGTCAATGTTGCAGTGACGCCAGGCGTGGTGGTTCATGCCTGTAATACCAGAACTTTGGGAGGCTGAGGCGGGCCGGTTATCTGAGGTCAGGAGTTCAAGACTAGCCTCACCAACATGGAGAAACCCCATCTGTGCAAAAAATACAAAAATTAGCCAGGCATGGTGGTGCACGTCTGTAATCCCAGCTACTCGGGAGGCTAAGGCAGGAAAATCACTGGAACCTGGGAGGCGGAGGTTGCAGTGAGCCGAGATCACACCACTGCACTCCAGCCTGGGTGACAGAGCGAGACTGTCTCCAAAAAAAAAAAATACTACAGTGAGCTATGATTGCACCACTGCACTCCAGCCTCGGTGACACAGCCAGACCCTGTTAGGAGAAAGGAGATAAAGAAAGAGAGAGGAATGGAGAGAGGGAGGGAGGGAGAAAGGAAGGAAGGAAGGAAGGAAGGAAGGAAAGAAGGAAGGAAGGAAGGAAAGAAGGAAGGAAAGAAGGAAGGAAGGAAGGAAAGAAGGAAGGAAGGAAGGAAGGAAGGAAAGAAGGAAGGAAGGAAGGAAAGAAGGAAGGAAAGAAGGAAGGAAGGAAGGAAAGAAGGAAGGAAGGAAGGAAAGAAGGAAGGAAAGAAGGAAGGAAGGAAGGAAAGAAGGAAGGAAGGAAGGAAGGAAAGAAGGGAGGTAGGAAGGGAGGAAGGGAAGGAGGCAGGGAGGGAGGGAGGGAGGGAGGGAGGGAAGGAAGGGAAAGAAAGAAATGCTTTTTCTTCTTGGAGGATAAAGCTTTTCCAAAAATCAAGACCAGGAGTAGGGTGAAGGGCAGGGCACCCAGCCCACAAAACTTACAGAGGCCCTCACTCATTCTCCCGGCACTTGCCGACCCTGAGAATGGGGGCTCCTTCAATACAGCACTTGGTACACTTCACTTGCCTCACCCTAGTCCCGGCTCTACAAAAACATATGCGAAGTGAGGAGCACCTCTGTGCCAACCCTATTTGGCCAGCCATGGGGTGTCTGTGTGTTTCACGCCTTAGGTTTTGAGTCCCCCTGCCCGGGAAGCCGTCCTTACCCACAGAGACAAGGTTGCTGTAATTCTCCAGCATCACATCCCTGTACAAGTTTCTCTGTTCGGGATTCAGCCGCTGCCACTCCCCCTGGGTGAAGTTCACAGTGACATCCTCGAAGGTCACTCTTCCCTGTAACAACAGATTCCCGATCAGTATAAAAATGCCATTGAATCCTGCGGCTGAGGATACAGAAACTTGTTTCTGCTGAACCAAGCTTTAATCATGTCCATAATTCACTCTACTCTGGATGAAAATAAATTGTGCCCAGAGGATCTTGCCAATGAGCCATAAACCTTAGACCTACTCATGACACTGCCATCTTTCTCCACCCTCTAGTCCCACCAATTTTACTTCCTGAATCTCAAACCCAGCCATTAGTTTCCATCTTCTCCACCATTCATAAATCCACCTTGTCATCTTTTACTTAGAGTAAGGCAGAGGCCGAGTATGGTGGCTCACACCTATCATCCCAACATTTTGGGAGGCCGAGGCAGGAGGATTGCTTGAGGCCAGGAGTTTGAGGCTAGCTGGGGAACATAGCAAAACCCCTATCTCAAAGAACATTTTATTATTTTGGCCGGGCACGGTGGCTCACACCTGTAATCCCTGCACTTTGGGAGGCCGAGGCGGGTGGATCACCTGAGGTCAGGAGTTCGAGACCAGTCTGGCCAACATGAAGAAACCCCATCTCTACTAAAAATACAAAAAATTAGCCAGGCATGGTGGCAGGCGCCTGTAATCCCAGCTACTCAGGAGGCTGAGGCAGGAGAATCACTTGAACCCAGGAGGTGGAGGCTGCAGTGAGCCAAGATTGCGCCACTGCACTCCAGCCAGGGCAACAAGAGCAAAACTCTGTCTCAAGAAAAAAAAGAAAAAGAAAAAGAAAAGAAAAGAAAATGTTATTATATTTTTTTTCTATTTTCCATTTTTCTTTAAGACATCCTGCCTCTATTAGAAATTCTTTTTTAAATAGAGGCCTGGCATGGTGGCTCACACCTATAATCCCAGCACTTCAGGAGGCTGAGACAGGTGGATCACCCGGGGTCAGGAGTTCGAGACCAGCCTCGTCAACATGGTGAAACCCCATCTCTACTAAAAATACAAAAATTAGCCAGGTGTCGTGGTGCGCGCCTGTAATCCCAGCTACTCAGGAGGCTGAGGCAGGAGAATCGCTTGAACCCTGGGAGGTGGAGGTTGCAGTGAGCTGAGATCACACCACTGCACTCCAGCCTGGGTGACAGTGAGACTCCATCTCAAATAAATAAATACATAAATAAGTAGAATAAGCCAATAGCCCCCTAATTCTTCCAGCTACATCTAAACTGACTGTAATCTATTTTCCACAGTCGACATTCAGACTGGATGGTGCGCTCCCCTAATTTATCAGCTTTCCTTGCATTTGGGAGAAACAGGTGACACCTGTTACAGGGGCCAGCGTCTGGCATGTCTACCACACTCCCACTCACACAGGGTCACACAGCACTCCCCTGGGTCTCTCCTGCAGCCATACTGGACTTACGGCAGCATTTTGCCCCTGCCACTCAACACTCACAGTGTTGGAAGTCACACTTGTAAAGCGAATTCCTTTGTCAGAAACTGAAAATCTCACCTCTAAGAGCCAGCACCTAGTGTCCTCTTGGACAGATAAATTTTTTAGTTGTGTTTGTGCTCTAGCTCGCTTTTTTAAAATTTTGTTTATTTATTAATTTTTTTTGGCGGGGAAGGGGACAGAGGCTCACTCTGGTAGCCCAGGCTGGAGTGCAGTGGCACAATCTCGGCTCACTGCAACCTCCACCTCCTGGGTTCAAGCGATTCTCCTGCCTCAGCCTCCTGAGCAGCTGGGATTACAGGCGCGCACCACGACACCTGGCTAATTTTTGTACTTTTAGTAGAGACGGGTTTCACCATGTTGGCCAGGTTGGTCTCAAACTCCTGACCTCAAGTGATCTGCCCGCATCGGCCTCCCGAAGAGCTGGGATTAAAGGGATGAGCCACCGCACCCGGCCTTTTTTTTTAAATTTTTGACACAGGTTCTTGCTCTGCCACCCAGGCTGGAGTACAGTGGCATGATCATGGCTCACTGCAGCCTCAACCTCCCAGGATCAAGCAATCCTCCTACCTCAGCCTCCAGAATAGCTGGGACTACAGGCATGCACCACCATGCTAAGCTCATTTTTTATTATTTGTAGACAGGGTCTCACTATATTGTCCAGGCTGGTCTTGAACTCCTGGCCTCAAGTGGTCTTCCTGCCTTCGCCTCCCAAAGTGCTGGGATTACAGGTGTGAGCCACCACACCCAGCCTTAGTATGCCTTTCCTGTCAACAGGAAATTGGTCAACAGGCTTAATTTTAACAATTGCAAAGAAACTACTATCTGCCTAACTGCATACAACTTATCCTTGGTCTTTCAGCTATCCATAATTTACTTTGATTCCGACTGGTACTAGTTAATGATTTTTCAGTTTATTGTGTGGATTTACAGAATTTGTTTCAAATACACACCGAACAAAGTTGGGAGAGGACACACATTCAAGACACCAATCATTTAAAAAATAGGTTGGGGTGAAACACACATGACACTGTTACATCTCAGGGCTTAGCAGTGGACCAGGTTTGTAAGAGCAATGGTCAAAAGATGCTTGAGGCTGGGCGTGGTGGCTCACCCTTGTAATCCCAGAACTTTGGGAGGCTGAGGCGGGTGGATCACCTGAGGTCAGGAGTTCGAGACCAGCCCGACCAATATGGTAAAACCCCATCTCTACTAAAAATACAAAAATTAGCCGGGCGTGGGCGTGGTGGCGTGCGCCTGTAATCCCAGCTGCTCAGGAGGTTGAGGCAGGAGAATCGCTTGAACCTGGGAGGTGGAGGTTGCAGTGAGCCAAGATCAAGCCATTGCACTCCAGCCTGGGTGGCAGAGGGAGACTGTCTCAAAAAAAAAAAAAAAAAAAAAAACAACAAAACAAAGATGCTTGAGCTGAAACCAGCCCAGTAATCCCATAGACAGTTGTGGGTTTTTTGTTTTTTGTTTTTGTTTTTGTTTTTGTTTTTTGGATAAACATAGAAATTGACCCTTCCGCTGTTAAAGCTTGAAACCTGTATTTGTTTTGTCTGAGTTCCTTCCTCAGGAAAAGACCTTCAGATCTCTCAAAGGCAGGCAGATCACCTGAGGTCAAGATTTCGAGGCCAGCCTGGCCAACATGGTGAAGCCCCGTCTCTACCAAAAAATACAAAAATTAGCCAGGAGTGGTGGTGCGCACACCTGTAATCCCAGCAACTCAGGAGGCTGAGGAAGGAGAATCGCTTGAACCTGGGAGGCAGAGGTTGCAGTGAGCTGAGATTGCACCACTATACTCCAGCCTGGGTGACACAGCGAGACTCCCTCAAAAAAAAAAAATCAACTGAAACTCACCACAACTGAAACTCACCACAACAGATGTCTCCTTGCCCCCTCCCTAGTCTTGCTTTCTTACACATTGTTATATTTCTTCCATGCTGTATAAACCCCTAGTTTTAGTGAGTTAGGGAGATGGATTTGAGGCTGAGCTCCCATTTCTTCACCTACGGCAGCTGATTAAAGCTTCTTCCTTGGCAATACCCATTGTCTCAGTCATTGGCTTTCTGTGCAGCCAGTAGCAGGACCTAGACCAAACTCCTGGTGTTTCCGTAACCAAGCTTTTTTTTTTTTTTTTTTTGAGACAGGGTCATGCTCTGTCACCCAGGCTGGAGTGCAGTGGCACAATCATGGCTCACTGCAGCCTCAACCTCCCAGGTTCAAGCGATTCTCCCACCTCCGCCTCCAGAGTAGCTGAGACTACAGGTGTACGCCACCACCACCACACCCAGCTAATTTTTTGTAGAGACGGGATCTCGCCATGTTGCCCAGGCTGGTTTCAAACTCCTGAACTCAAGCGATCCGCCTGCCTTGGCCTCCTAGATTGCTGAATTACAGGTGTGAGCCACCATGCCCAGCCTTGAGCTTTACTTGAAATGTTTCAGCTTTAATAGGAAAGCAGAAAGTAGAGTGTGTGTTACCTTTTAATAGAAGTATGGAAGGAAGGAGGAAAATATGCCAAAAGGTTAGCACAGTTAATTCTGAGCAAGAGGAACGTGGGTCATACGTTTATTCATTATGAGATTTAGATTTTTTTGAAAAGCTCACCTGGGAATTGTTCATTTCCTGTTCTTCACCAGTCAGTAAAGTCTTGGGAAGGCAGATCTGAGGGAAAATGGAAAAGAACCATGAAATAGCAGAATTCGCTTTGGAAGTTGGGGATCATCCAGCATAGAATGCTCCACACCCTGGATAAAAGCTCTCCCTAACCCACTCAGAAAAGCCCTGACTTGTACCTCAGTGATCCCCTTCTGAAGGTCTTTTTTTTTTTTGTTTTGGTTTTTTTGTGTTTGTTTATTTATTGAGACTGGGTCTCAAAGAAGAAAGTGCAAGCCAGGCACGGTGGCTCACGCCTGTAATCCCAGCACTTTGGGAGGCTGAAGCAGGCAGATCACCAGAGGTCAGGAGTTCGAGACCAGCCTGTCCAACATGGTGAAACCCCGTCTCTACTAAAAATACAAAATTGGCTGGGCGCGGTGACTCATGCCTGTAATGCCAGCACTTTGGGAGGCCGAGGCAGGCGGATCACGAGGTCAGGAGATCAAGACCATCCTGGCCAACACGGTGAAACCCTGTCTCTACTAAAAATACAAAAACAAAATTAGCCAGGCGTGGTGGCGGGCGCCTGTAGTCCCAGCTACTCGGGAGGCTGAGGCAGGAGAATGGCGGGAACCCGGGAGGCGGAGCTTGCAGTGAGCCGAGATCGCGCCACCGCACTCCAGCCTGGGCGACAGAGCGAGACTCCGTCCCAAAAAAAAAAAAAAAGAGAGAGAGAGAAAGCTAAACAGCAGTTCAACAGCACCTTTAAAACAAGCCTGTGCAAAGACAATGAGGCAAGCATCAGATCAGCTAGAGCACAGTAAGGAAGGCCGAGAGCAGAAACCATGAATCCTGAAGCAGCTGTGGTCGTGACGAATAACGCCGCAGTGAACATGGGATGCAGATAGCCCTTCAGCTTTGCCATAAGCGGGACAGCTGGATCATTGGTAATTCTTTGCCAAAAGCGTAGATTTTGGCCACGCGTGGCAGCTCACACCTATAATCCCAGCACTTTGGAAAGCCAAGGTGGGAGGATCAGTTGAGCCCAGGAGTTACTTTTTTTTTTTTTTTTTTAAGACCAAGTCTTGCTCTGTCGCCCAGGCTGGAGTGCAGTGGCACAGTCTCGGCTCACTGCAACCTCTGCCTCCCGGGTTCAAGGGATTCCCCTGCCTCAGCCTCCCGTGTAGCTGGGATTACAGGCATGCACCACCATGCCCAGCTAATTTTTGCATTTTTAGTAGAGACAAGGTTTTACCATGTTGTTCAGGCTGGTCTCGAGCTGCTGATCTCAAGTGATCCGCCGGCCTCAGCCTCCCAAAGTGCTGGGATTATAGGCGTGAACCACCACATCCAGCCAAGCCCAGGAGTTTGAGACCAGCCTGTGCAACATAGTGAAACCTCTGTCTCAATGTTTAAGTAATAAAGTTTTTATTTTTTATTTTATTTTATTGAGGCAGGGTCTCATTCTGTCACCCAGGCTGGAGTGCAGTGATGTGATCCCGGCTCACAGCAGTTTAAAAATCCCTGGCTCAAGCAATCCTCCTACCTTGGCCTCCTGAATAGTTAAGACTATGGGTGCATGCTACCACATCAGCTAACTTTTTATTTTTTGTAAAGAAGGGATCTTGCTATGTCACCTAAACTGGTCTCAAACTCCTAGGCTCAAGCAATCCTCCTCCCTCAGCCTCCCCAAATCCTGGGATTACATGCATGAGCCACCACACCAGCCAGGAATAAAGTTTTAAATAAGTAAATATGTTTTTAAAAAGAATAAACTTGCCGGGCACAACTTTAATGTTTATTAAAGTTTGAGGAGTCCAATTCTAGCACAAAAAATATATATAATTTTAAAAAACAGTAAATTGTAAATGCTTTCACCACAAAAATAGATTAATTAGCTTGATTTAATCATCCCCCCAATGTAAACATGTATCAAAACATCACATTGTACCCCATAAATAAACACAATTATTATTTGTCAATAAAAAGTTTTTAGAAGTAGCTGTGGGCCAGCAGTAATGCTAAGGACTGGAGGGCCACGAAAATAATTTTGAGTGTCCTGGGAGCATCACTTTTCAATATGACAACTAAAAAAAAAATCTAAACTACCAATGTAAAATATTTAGCTTATTCCAGCAAATAGGAGAGGTAGAAAAATGAAACTAAGTAAAAATGCAAAACAAACAAACAAACAAAACCCAGACATTTGGTTTTCAGGGAGAAAAAAAAATCAGCTTACCTCCAGTGGAATCTGGCATAAATTAGCAAGTTGATTGATTTCTGATGCCTGTGGTCTTTTCTTCTGAAAGGGACTGAAAATGAAAAGGCGTGTATACTGAAAAGCTACACTAATGACTAAAACTTAATCGGCCCTCTACCCGCTGTATTCCGCATCATAATCCAGTCAAGAAACAACCCAAAACACTCACTTCCTATCAAAAGCCCCACCTGATCCTATCAGGCCACATCAAAATTTCAATTCCCAATTCTTTCCTCGACTTCTCCAAAACTGAATGAACTCTCATAAAAATTGTGATTGTGAAAGCTTAATTTTCAAATCTGCCCAATCAGTTTCCAATGGAATTTTTTTTAAGTTCATGCAAGTAAAAATTTTTTACCTTAACTTTGAAATAGAAAGCATGGAAAACATTATCCAAATGTCAGAGGATGAAAATAAATTAAAACAACAAAAATTGGCTGGGCACGGTGGCTCATGCCTGTAATCCCAGCACTTTGGGAGGACAGGAGTTCAAGACCAGCCTGGCCAACATGGGGAAACCCCGTCTCTACTAAAAATACAAAAATTAGCTGGTCATGGTGGCACGTGCCTGTAATCCCAGCTACTTGGGAGGCTGAGGCAGGAGAATCGCTTGAACCCGGGAGACGGAGGCTTCAGTGAGCCAAGATCGTGCCACTGCACTCCAGCCTGGGCAATGAGCGAGACTCCATCTCACGTCTCAAAAAAAAAAAAAGAAAGGAAAAGAAAAAAGAAATAGGGCCAGCGGAGGTGGAACAATGCCTTAAAGTGCTCTCCGCCCGACAGAAAGAATTCAGGCTCCAACCTCCAACTGGCAAAATCTCTTCAGCTGTACTAATACTCTCAAAATGAGATCAACATGCCAATCCATCCCCACCCTAGTCTGGGTGTTGAATTTAAACACAGGCTACATGCCCTTGCCTGCAGACATGGAGACCTTCCAAAATTGAGCGTCCAACTGAATTCCAAGAGATTAAACCAGACTTCATGGGACAGGATGCACCAGACTAGACCTCCTCCCAGGAGAAGAGGTATCCAAAGATCGTATTAGCAAATGACCCTTGGCGGTGTGCGGTGGCTCAAGCCTGTAATCCCAACACTTTGGGAGACTGAGGCAGACAGATCACCTGAGGTCAGGAGTTCAAGACCAGCCTGGTCAACATGGTGAAATCCTGTCTCTACTAAAAATACAAAAATTAGCTGGGCATGGTGGTACACACCTGTAGTCCCAGCTACTCAGCTACTCAAGAGGCTGAGGCAGAATTGCTTGAACCCAAAACACAGAGGTTGCTGTGAGCTGAGATCATGCCACTGCACTCCAGCCTGGGCGACAGAGGGAGACTCCATCTCAAAAAAAAAAAAAAGAAAAAAAAAGCAAAATGACCCAGCCAGCCTGAATCCCAGCCGCCGTGTCGGACTACTATAGTCCCAGATACTTGGAAGGCTGAGGTGGGAGGATCAATTGAGCCCAAGAGGTCAAGGCTGCAGTGAGCAAGGATCTTGCCACTGCATTCCAGCCTGAGAGACAGAGCAAGCCTGCAGGTGAACGGAAAGGGGTGGAGTGATTTTATATATATATATATATATATATGTATATATATATATATATATATATATTTTTTTTTTTTTTTTGTCTGAGCCGCTGTGCCTGGCCTTTTTTATTTTTTTTTAGAGACAGGCTGGTCTCAAACTCCTGGCCCCAAGTGATCCTCCCATCCCAGCCTCCCAAAGTACTGGTATTACAGATGTGAGCCACTGCAGTTGGCTCAACAGCAGATTTTCAATGTAGATGAAAAAGCCATCTATTGGAAGGAGATTCCATCTAGGATTTTTATAGCTAGAGAGAAGTCAATGCCTGGCCTCAAAACTTCCAAGGACAGGATGATTCTCTTACATGAAACTAATGCAGCTGGTGACTGAATTTAATCTAATGCTCACTTACCATTTAAAAAATTTTAAAGCCTCTAAGAATTATGCTGGCCAAATGCGGTGGCTCATGCCTCTAATCCCAGCAATTTGGGAAGCCAAGGCGGGCAGATCACTTGAGGTCAGGAGTTCCAAGCCAGCCTGGCCAACATGGTGAAACCCCATCTCTACTAAAAATACAAAAAAATTAGCCAGGCATGGTGGCCCGTGCCTGTAGTCCCAGATACTCAGGAGGCTGAGGCAAGACAATCACTTGAACCTCGGAGGCGGAGGCTGCAGTGAGCCGAGATCACACCACTGCACTCCAGCCTGGGTGACAGAGTGAGACTGTGTCTCAAAAAACAAACAAAGAAAAGAATTATGTTAAATCTACTCTATCTGTGCTCTATAAATGAAACAACAAAGCCTGGGTGATAGCACATTTGTCTACAGTATGGTTTTGATTATTTTAAGCCCACTGTTGAGAACTATTTCTCAGACAAAAAGAAAAAGATTCCCTTCAAAGCATTACTGCTCTTCAGATCCCAGGTGTTAAGCCAGTAAACACAATAAATAAATAAATAAATAAGTAAATAAATAAATAACTGCTCATCAAACCTAAACACAAAAATAGAAAAATAATAAAAAAGCAAAAGACCACACAAAAACAAAATATCACTGCTCATTGAAAATGTATCGGGTCACTCAAGAGCTGATGGATGAATCTTAATTTCAGTTGAAGAAAAAAACTCTGATGGAGATGTACAAGGAGATGAATGTTGTTTGCATGCCTGCTAACACAACATCCATTCTGCAGACCGTGGGTCAAGAAGTAATTTTGACTTTCAAGTCGTGTTATCTAAGAAACACATTTCATAAAGCCATTTCTCCCATAGATAGTGAATCCTCTGATGGATCGGGGCAAAGTCCATTGAAAACCTCCATGAAACAGTTCATCATTCTAAATGCCATTAAGAACATTTGTGATTCATGGAAAGAGGTCAAAATATCAGCATGAACAGGATTTGGAAGAAGTGGATTCCAACCCTCATGGATGACTTTGAGGGGTTCAAAAATTCAGTGGAGACCAGGCACATGACTTATGCCTATAATCACAGCATTTTAGGACCTAAAGTGGGACGATCACTTGAGGCCAGGAGTTTGAGACCAGCCTGGCAACATAGCGAGACTCCCATCTTTATTTTTAAAATATATATTAATAATTCAATGGAAGTAGTGACTGCAGATGTAGCAGAAATAGCAAGACAACTAGAATTGGAAGTGGAGCCTGAAGATGTGACTGAATTTTTGCAACCTGCTGGTAAAACTTGAACAGATGAAATTTTTTTTTAATTAAAAAAATGTTTTAAATGAAAGACCCTTTGAGAAGTGTCTGTTCATGTCCTTCACCCACTTTTTGATGGGGTTGTTTGTTTTTTTCTTGTAAATTTGTTTGAGTTCATTGTAGATTCTGGATATTAGCCCTTTGTCAGATGAGTAGGTTGCGAAAATTTTCTCCCATTTTGTAGGTTGCCTGTTCACTCTGATGGTAGTTTCTTTTGCTGTGCAGAAGCTCTTTAGTTTAATTAGATCCCATTTGTCAATTTTGTCTTTTGTTGCCATTGCTTTTGGTGTTTTGGACATGAAGTCCTTGCCCATGCCTATGTCCTGAATGGTAATGCCTAGGTTTTCTTCTAGGGTTTTTATGGTTTTAGGTCTAACGTTTAAATCTTTAATCCATCTTGAATTGATTTTTGTATAAGGTGTAAGGAAGGGATCCAGTTTCAGCTTTCTACATATGGCTAGCCAGTTTTCCCAGCACCATTTATTAAATAGGGAATCCTTTCCCCATTGCTTGTTTTTCTCAGGTTTATCAAAGACCAGATAGTTGTAGATATGCGGCGTTATTTCTGAGGGCTCTGTTCTGTTCCATTGAGAAGACATTTATGCAGCCAAAAAACACATGAAAAAATGCTCATCATCACTGGCCATCAGAGAAATGCAAATCAAAACCACAATGAGATACCATCTCACACCAGTTAGAATGGCAATCATTAAAAAGTCAGGAAACAACAGGTGCTGGAGAGGATGTGGAGAAATAGGAACACTTTTACACTGTTGGTGGGACTGTAAACTAGTTCAACCATTGTGGAAGTCAGTGTGGCGATTCCTCAGAGATCTAGAACTAGAAATACCATTTGACCCAGCCATCCCATTAGTGGGTATATACCCAAATGACTATAAATCATGCTGCTATAAAGACACATGCACACATATGTTTATTGCGGCATTATTCACAATAGCAAAGACTTGGAACCAACTCAAACGTCCAACAATGATAGACTGGATTAAGAAAATGTGGCACATATACACCATGGAGTACTGTGCAGCCATAAAAAATGATGAGTTCGTGTCCTTTGTAGGGACATGGATGAAATTGGAAATCATCATTCTCAGTAAACTATCGCAAGAACAAAAAACCAAACACCGCATATTCTCACTCATAGGTGGGAATTGAACAATGAGATCACATGGACACAGGAAGGGGAATATCACACTCTGGGGACTGTGGTGGGGTGGGGGGAGGGGGGAGGGATAGCATTGGGAGATATACCTAATGCTAGATGACGAGTTAGTGGGTGCAGCACACCAGCATGGCACATGTATACATATGTAACTAACCTGCACAATGTGCACATGTACCCTAAAACTTAAAGTATAATAAAAAAAAAATAGAAAAAAAAGAAAAAATAATAAAATTACAATTCATGTTTCCATAAAAAAAAGAAAGACCTCATGAAGCGGGCAGATCACGAGGTCAGGAGATCAAGACCATCCTGGCTAACACGGGGAAACCCCGTCTCTACTAAAAATATAAAAAATTGGCCGGGCATGGTGGTGGGCGCCTGTAGTCCCAGCTATTAGGGAGGCTGAGGCAGGGGAATGGCGTGAACCCAGGAGACGGAGCTTGCAGTGAGCAGAGATCACGCCACTGCACTCCAGCTTGGGCGACAGTGCTAGACTCCGTCTCAAAAAAAAAAAACTTGACCTGATGAGGAATTGCTTCTTATGGATAAGCAAATAAATTGTTTTTTTGTTTGTTTGTTTGTTTTTTGAGACTGAGTTTTGCTCTTGTTGCCCAGGCTGGAGTGCAATGGCGCGATCTCAGCTTACCACAACCTCTGCCTCCCAGGTTCAAGCAATTCTCCTGCCTCAGCCTCCCAAGTAGCTGGGATTACAGGCATGCACCACCACGCCCGGCTAATTTTTTTTTGTATTTTTAGTAGAGATGGGGTTTCTCCAGGTTGAGGCTGGTCTCGAACTCCTGACCTCAGGTGATCCGCCCACCTCGGCCTCCCAAAGTGCTGGGATTACAGGCGTGAGCCACCGTGCCCAGCCTTAAAGTGTTTTTTTAAAGGTACTCAAATATGTCAATTTTATTGTTTCTCTATGTGCACATTTATTTGCTACTGAAAATTGCAAAAGCAGTACATCATGGCTTCTTATTGCAATGCATCCTCCCACCTCAGCTTCCCAAGTAGCTGGGACCACAGGCATGTGCCACTTCACCTGGCAAATTTTTTTGAAAAATTTTTTTGTAGAGATGGAGTCTCGCCATGTTGCCCAGGCTGGTCTTGAACTCTTAGCCTCAAGCAATACTCCTGCCACAGCCTCCCAAAACGCTGGGATTACATGCAATAGCCACCATGCCTGGCCTACTTCAAGTTCAAAAATTTAAACCAACCTTCATCCCAGTGTCTTCACAAATGCTCAGCAAAGAAAATTCCTAAGACAATTCAGGGACCTCTCATAACCTTACTGAGAGACGTTAATAAAGAACCTTAGTAACTTGACTCTCAACTCTACTACCAACCCTTCCCCTCTAGCAGAAGTTTCACCCCAACAACAGGATAGAAGAGAAACAATCTTCCAGGACATCAGAGATGGCTTGCCTTACAGGAGGAAATTAGTAAGAACATTGCTCTCTGTGGGGAAAGAAAGGATGGTAAAAATCGAGATACCTATTAATAGATTTTCTCAGCTTGAAAGAGAACTGACACTAGGCTTAAGGGAGCGCAGAATGAATCAAGAAGTGAACCATTCAAATGTGGCTGCAGTTTTTGTGTGTATCACAGATGGGATCCTTCTGAGAATGCTAGAAAAGGGAATTATGACACAGAGCCTATTCAGCCATAAACATTATTTTTGTACTTTTTCTTTCTTGCTGGTAATTTTTTCCTATTCTTTTGAGATGGAGTCTCACTCTGTTGCCCAGGCTGGAGTGCAGCGGCATGATCTTGGCTCACTGTAGCTTCCGGCTCCTGGGTTCAGGCAGTTCTGCCTCAGCCTCCCAAGTACCTGGGATTAGAGGCGCCCACCACTACGCCCAGCTAATTTTTATATTTTGAGTAGAGATGTGGTTTCACCATATTGGCCAAGCTGGTCTTGAACTCCTGACTTCCAGTGATCCACCCGCCTCGGCCTCCCAAAGTGCCGGGATTACAGGTGTGAGCCACCACGCCCAGCCTTCTTGCTGGTAATTTTTTATATAGTGGGTTAAGAAAGCTACTCTATGCTAGGATAGACTATCGCAATATTTTTGATATCTTTTTCTGTGATATCTTTTTCTCATACATTTTCCTTCCTACAATGACACTGGTAACTTATAAGGAATCTGTGTAGTTTGAATGTATTTGAATAATTTCAATATACCTTAGTGCTACTCTTTGATTTAATCCCTAAAGCACCAATAGGTCCTAAATATTCTCATGTGTTTTAGAAGCCTGAAGTCAGTGAGAAAAACCCACAGAGAGCAATGTTTTTACTAATTTCCTCCTGTAAGTCTAGCCACCTCTGATGTCCTGGAAGATTGTTTCTTTTCTATCCTGTTGCTCGGGTGAACCTTCTGCTAGAGGGGAAGGGTTGGTAGTGGAGTTGAGAGTCAAGTTACTAAGGTTCTTTAGTAACATCTCACAGTAGAGGGTATGAGAGGCCCCTGAATTGTCTTAGGAATTTTCTTCAGTGAGCATTTGCGAAGACTCGGATGAAGGTTAGGTTAAACTTTTGTCATGGGTCCATTGGCAGGCTAGTCACAAGTGCCTCCTGGATCTTTGGGTCCTGGCGGAAAACGATGCCAGACTCTCAAATTGCCACAAGGTAGCCTGGAAAGAACGCCACAGTCCAGAAGGAGCCTCGAAAGTGGTTTCATGAGGTGGAATTTACTCCTGGTGAAGATGCTGTGAACGCTGTTTAAACTACAACAGAGGATTTACAATATTGACGCACGTAGTTAAGAAAGCAGTGGCAGGGTTTGAGAGGATTGGCTCCAATTTTGAAAGAAGTTCTATTATGGGTAAAATGCTATCAAACAACATCTCATGTTCCAGAGAAATCTTTCGTGGAAGGAAGCGTCAGTTAATGTGGTAAATTTCATTGTTGTTTTAACAAATTGTTACAACCACTTCAATATTTAGCAACCACCACCCTTATCAGCCAGCAGCCAATGACATTGAGGCAAGACTCCTCACCAGCAAAAAAGATTACGACTCCCTGAAGGCTAAGATCATTATTAGTATTTTTAGCAATAAAGTATTTTTATATAATTTCTTTTTAAAAAATAATGGAGCTTCAAATAAGGGCATCAGGTATTTTTTCTTTTAATAGATGGGGTTTTGCCATGTTGTCCAGGCTGAGCTCAAGCAATCCACCTGCCTCGGCCTCCCAAAGTGCTGGGATTACAGGCGTGAGTCACCCCACCCAGCCAGCATCAAGTGTTTTAAAATTAAAGTATGTGCCTTGTTTCCTAGACATAACACCATTTTACACTTTATTAGACTACAGTGTAGTGTAGTGTAAATGTAACTTTTTTTTTTGAGAGGGAGTCTCGCTCGGCCACCCAGGCTGGAGTGCAGTGGCGCGATCTTGGCTCACTGCAAGCTCCGCCTCCCAGGTTCACGCCATTCTCCTGCCTCAGCCTCCCGAGTAGCTGGGACTACAGGCACCTGCTACCATGCCCGGCTAATTTTTTGTAATTTTTTTTTTTAGTAGAGACGGGGTTTCTCCACGTTAGCCAGGATGGTCTCGATCTCCTGACCTCGCGATCTGCCCGCCTCCGCCTCCCAAAGTGCTGGTATTACAGGCATGAGCCACCGCGCCCGGCCATAACTTCTTTTTTTAAATAGAGACAGGATCTCCCTATATTGCCCAGGTTGACCTCACAACTCCTGGTCTCAAGTGATCCTCCCCCTTCCATGTCCTAAAGTACTGGGATTATAGGCATGAGCCACCACACCCAGCCAATGTAACTTTATATTCACAAGGAAACAAAACCATTTTTGTGACTCACTTTATAGCAATATTTGCTTTATTGTGGTGGGCTGCAACCCAATCCACAATATCTTTGAGGTATGGCTGTACTTTCTAAGTGTTTCCTGAGTCAGCCTACTTTTTCTCCATTTTTTGGTCATTATTCTATCCGGTTTTTTTTTTGTTTTGTTTTGTTGTTGTTTGGAAACAAGAACTTGCTGTGTCGCCCAGGCTGGAGTGCAGTAGCACGATCATAGCTCACTGCAGCCTCACCATCCCTGTGTTCAAACCATTCTCCTGCCTCAGGCTCCTAAGTTGCTGAGACTACAGATGCACACTACCACACCTGGCTCATTTTTAAAAAATTGTTTGTAGAGATGGGGTCTCATCATGTTGCCCAGGTTGATCTGGAACTCCTGGCCTCAAGCAATCCTTCCGCCTCAGCCTTCTGAGTAGCCCTGATCAATCCATTGTTGAAGAATACATGGATGTTACTTTGCAGTCTGTCATCCTGAATTTGTGTTCACTTGACATTGCCTAATTATTAGTTTCAGCTTACCCACTTTTTGTCACTAACACGCAGAAGAGACTGTGGCCTTCTTACTGTATCATATCAGGAAGCATCTCACATTGGTTTGTGCCATTACTGGTGCAGTGACTTTCAGCCACTTGGTTAAGGTGGAGTTGGCCATATTTCTCTGCTGCAAAATTACTGATTTTCCTTTTGTAATTAATAAGTGTGTGTGAGTAGATTCTTTTGAGATGAAGTATATATCTTGTTCTTCCTTGAACTTAAAGGTTTTTTTTTAAGTGAAAGCAAATTTGTTAAGAAAGTAAAGGAATAAAAGAACGGCTACTCCATAGGCAGAGCAGTGTCACTTTAAGGTTATGACGTCAAGTGATTTTTGTACAAATCAATAATTACTGTGATGATTGAAAAAAGATTATTACCAAGTTTATTTTCATTGTCTCAAGGTCTTCTGAACTCTGGATCTAGGCTGTGTCAACAGGGTAGTGTGGTACCCCCTGTACCCGTCTCTGCCTCCTACAGTCCTTTTCATTTATTTTGTTTTTTTATAATAGAGGCAGAGTCTTGCTATATGTTGTCCAGGCTGGTTTCAAACTCCTGAGCTCAAGCAATCTTCCTGCCTTGGCCTCCCAAAGTAGTGGGATTACAAGTGTGACCCACCACATCTGGCCAAGTCCTTTACCATCTTCAGAAGGCTTAGCTTGCAGTTTCAGCAGAAGGATAGACTCCCAGGAAGACCGTGAGACAGATTTGGGGTCCAGTTGATATTATCAAGTACACTGAATTTGACTGTGTTCACCACGTTCTGGCTCCAGAGAAATGAGAGTCACTAGTGAAGTTGGTGCCATTTTGTGTATCTTCTGCACCTAAGGAGGAAAAAAGATAGAGGAAAGAATGTAAGAGATCAGCTTATATTCACAAACATGGACGTCAGCCTTTTCCCACCTTTTCTTTTTTTTTTTTTTTAGACGGAGTCTCACTTTGTCGCCCAGGCTGGAGTGCGGTGGCGCGATCTCGGCTCACTGCAAGCTCCGCCTCCCGGGTTCACGCCATGCTCCTGCCTCAGCCTCCCGAGTAGCTGGGACTACAGGCGCCCGCCACCACGCTCGGCTAATTGTTTGTATTTTTAGTAGAGACGGGGTTTCACCGTGTTAGCCAGGATGGTCTCGATCTCCTGACCTCGTGATCCGCCCACCTCGGCCTCCCAAAGTGCTGGGATTACAGGCGTGAGCCTCCATGCCCAGCCCCCACCTTTTCAATCCAATATGGAACCTACTACCTCCTGGGAAAGCCATGCCCCCGCTGCCCCTGGCAGACCACACCTGAGGATTCATTCCTCCTCTCACTCAATCACACCTTCAACAGAAGTGTATTGAGCGTTTCCTTTGTACCAGGCACTGGGGATACAACAGTGAATTTGTATCCATGGGGTTGCTGGAATCCAGTTGGAAAGTGGGCAGTGGATTCTTCAGAAGGTTCATAGGCCTGGGAAGAGTCTTTGGGGACTGTGAGCAACCCCATGGTACCGTGGAGCACTTGAGTGGGGATATCCTCCACCTCCCAGGAGGAGCTGTCGGCTCCACCATGACGAAGCACTGGACATCCAAGGGCTCCGCTTGTGAACCACATTGGAAACAACAGGCTAGTTACCTTGCAGTCCCTCAGGAATCTTGCCCTGCTCTTCTTGTTCTAAGGACGCCACAGGTTCCCTTTTTCTCTGGAGAAGTAATCTAGATCTTCGATTTTGGAACCAAATCTAAGTGGTAAGACAAAGAAACTTAATTTAAACAAAGAATGTTGTGTAAAACTCATGATTGCTTTCTTCTCTTTTTTCTTTTCTGTTTTTTGAGACAGCGGTCTCTCTCAGAGTAGCTAGTGCCACAGCTGTGCATCATCACCTTAGGCTAACTTTTAAACTTTTTGTAGAGACGAGGTTTCACCACGTGGCCCAGGCTGATCTTGAACTTCTGAGCACAACCAATCCTCCCAAGTAGCTGGGACTAGAGGCACACTTGACTGTGCCCAACCCAAGATAGATAGATAGATAGATAGATAGATACTTTTTTTTTTAATACGGAGTCTCACTCGGTCACCCAGGCTGGAGTGCAGTGGCACAATCTTGGCTCACTGCAACCTCCACCTCCCAGGTTCAAGCAATTCTCCTGCCTCAGCCTCCCAAGCAGCTGGGATTATAGGCGCCAACCACCATACCCGGCTAATTTTTGTATTTTTAGTAGAGATGGAATTTCACCATATTGGCCAGGCTGGTCTTGAACTCCCGACCTCAGGTGATCCACCCACCTCAGCCTCCCAAAGTGCTGGCATTACAGGCGTGAGCCACCGTGCCCGGCCCAACATTATTAACATTTTATGACATTTGTGAGAGTCTATAAGGCCTAAAGAGAACACCCAAAATTCTGAAACTCACACCCAGTCCCTTTGTGATAGGTTTTAGATCCTGAAAGTTCACAGGTCCACCTCATTACAATACCGGTGTTTCTCTAAAGTGACATGCTACATTGCAGCTCTTCCTTCTGCCTGAAATTTTTTTTTCTATCTCTTTTTCTTCCCCTCAGAAATGCCCATTTTACTTCCAATTCCCAGAATAGAGAATGTCTAGGAAAACATTCTTCATCCCACAAGACAAACTTAATTTCTGTTCCTTCTTTGTGCCCATAGATTATACACATAGGCATGTAAAACTTATGCATATATACTCACATAATTTGAAATAGCAGTTCATATATACTTGTACGCACACACTCACAAAAATCCCTCACCTTCCAGCAGCTACTATATTTTTGAGACAAAATCTCACTCTATCGCCCAGGCTAGAGGGCAGTGGTGCGATCACAGTTCACTGCAGCCTCAACCTCCTGGGCTCAAGTGATGCTCCTGCCTCAGCCTCTCGCGTAACTGGGACCACAGCCATGTGCCAGCACACCCAGCTAACTTTTAATTTTTTTCATAGAGTTGTGGTCTCCCTGTTCCTCCTGCCTCAGCCTCTAAAACTGCTGGGATTCCAGACATGAGCCGCCGTAACTGGCCACAACTCTTTTTATTTTGAGACAGAGTTTCGCCCTTGTTGCCCAGGCTGAATTGCAGTGGCGTGATCTCGGCTCACCGCAACCTCCGCCTCCCGGGTTCAAGCAATTCTCCTGCCTCAGCCTCCGGAGTAGCTGGGATTATAAGCATGCACCACCATGCCCAGCTAAATTTTTGTATTTTTAGTAGAGACGGGGTTTCTCCATGTTGGTCAGGCTGGTCTCGAACTCCCGACCTCAGGTGATCCACCCGCCTTGGCCTCCCAAAGTGCTGAGATTACAGGTGTGAGCCACTGTGCCCAGCCACAACTCTTAATAGTGTGAAAATGGCAGTTAAGTTTCAACATTGGTTTTGGAGGAGACAAACATTCAAACCATAGCAATCACTACCTAGTACAGTACCTAGCACATAGTAGATGCTCCGAATAATGCAAAATGAAAGAAGGACAGAATGAAAAATGAACACGAGACGAGGAAAGTAAAACGAAAGAACCATCAGAACTACTAATGTGCATTCATGTCCTGCTTACAGGAGGGAGCACTGGTTTAAACGCACACACACCCTACACAGCAGTCTGACAATTTTATTCCATTTCAAGATGTGTCAGGAATGAATCCTCGGACAGACTGGTACATTTCTCTGAGCTAAATGTTAAATGTCTAAAGTGGACCTCATAATTTTTTTTTTCAAGACGGAGTCTTGCTCTGTCACCCAGGCTGGAGTGCAGTGGTGCAATCTCTACTCACTGCAACCTCCACCTCCCAGATTCAAGTGATTCTCCTCCCTCAGCCTGCCAAGTAGCTGGGACAACAGGCATGAGCCACCGTGCCCGGTTAATTTTTGTATTTTTGTAGAGATGGGGTTTCACCATGTTGGCCGGGCTGGTCTTCAACTCCTGACCTCAGGTGATCTGCCCACCTCAGCCTCCCAAAGTGCTGGCATTACAGACGTGAGCCACCGCACCCAGCCTGGACCTCATAACTCTAACCTCAGGGCATAATTAGAAGATCTGAAGGATACAGTAGACATAAAGACTTCAGTCAAATAGGCCGGGCACGGTGGCTCAGCCCTGTAATCCCAGCACTTTGGGAAGCCAAGGAGGGTGGATCACCTGAGGCCAGGAGTTCAAGATCAGACTGGGCAACATGGCGAAACCCTGTCTCTACTAAAAATACAAAAAATATTAGCCAGGCGTGGTGGCACACACCTGTAATCCTAGCTACTCAGGCAGCTGAAGCACAAAAACCGCTTGAACCTAGGAGGTCGAGGTGGCAGTGAGGCAAGATTTCGCCGCTGCACTCCAGCCTGGGTAATAGAGTGAGACCCCATCTCAGAAAAAAAAAAAAGGCTTTAGCCAAATGCCTGGCTTATATGCAATGTTAACTAATATTCACTCACTCAACAACTTCTCATTGGGTGTCACGTGCCACGCACTGTTCAGGGCCCAAGGAATACAACATTGCTCAAGACAGACAGAAAATACCAGAAGGGGATGTGAGATTGAGTCCTGTGGGCACCTGGGGGTAGAAGCCAGCAGACAGGGAACAGCTGTGAAAGACCCTGAAATGTGCCCAGCATGATGAGGAACTGCCTGAGGCCCATGTGGCTTCCCTTCCTGTATACCTAGATCCCTAGGAGATGGGACAACCACCTTCTTATCACTCACTTGGACTCTTGACTCTGGAACACCGATTTCTTTAGCAAGTTCTTCTCTGGAATCAATCCCAGGATATGGGTTTTTCATAAATGCCTTGATGAGAGTGTGTAACTGAGAGGCGCTGTAGGTGGTACGACACCGTCTGGCTTCTCTACCTAGGGAAGGCATGGAAAGATGGAGGGGGGCGGTCAAGGAATATTGCAAGGGTCCATTCACATATTCAAACACAGAACCCAAACTTGTCACTCTCCCTCCAATTTCGATCCCACTGACTCCTCCTGAGAGGATCTTGTCCCAGGTTCCTTCCAGGTGGAAGGTTCTAGAGGAGACCCAGGATGATATGTCTGGGCTTCTGGACTCCAGTAGAAAGAAAGTAGGCAAGAGGCCGGGCGCGGTGGCTCACGCCTGTAATGCCGGCACTTTAAGAGACTGAGAGGGGGCAGATCACAAGGTCAGGAGTTCAAGACCAGCCTGACCAATATGGCGAAACCTCGTCTCTACTAAAAGTACAAAAATTAGCTGGGCATAGTGGCGCGCACCTGTAAATCCCAGCTACTTGGGAGGCTGAGGCGGAAGAATTGCTTGAACCTGGGAGGCAGAGGTTGTAGTGAGCCAAGATCAAGCCACTGCACTCCAGCCTGGGTGACAGAGTGAGACTCCATCTCAATAAATAAATAAGAAAGCCTGGGAAGAGGGCAGGGGAGAACTTCTAGGGTACGATGAACCCTTTGCCACCATAAGACCCTGAACAGGAGGTCATCAGGGAGGAGACATTCTTTTTTCAAAGTCGCAGTTGGCTCCGCCGTAGAGAAGCTCTGCTGGGGAACAGAACTAAGAGGGTTATTTACTTTGAAACTCCACACCAGGTTGATCTTGCCCCTGGCTCTGGCTTGATTCTAAAGTCTCAGCTTCTGGTCTTTTCTGGAATCCGTGCCTAGCTCTTCGATTCTGAAACCAAATCTAAGTGAGGAAAAGAAAAGGAGAGAATTACGTGTTAATGTCATTTAAGCTACATCACTGCCTGTTCCCAAAGTGAGCAATTCTTATTGGGCCTAGGCCCAGGATTATTACTTACTTCTGTCACATTCTACCAAGTCCTTTTTTTTCTTTTTTGAGATAGAGTCTCACTTTGTGGCCCAGGCTGGAGTGCAGTGGCGTGATCTCGGCTCACTGCAACCTCCACCTCCTGAGTTCAAGTATTCTCCTGGCTCAGACTCCCAAGGAGCTGGGATTATAGGTGTGTGCCATCATGCCTGGCTAATTTTTGTATTTTCAGTAGAGATGGGGTTTCTCCATGTTGGTCAGGCTGGTCTAGAACTCCTGACCTCAGGTGATCCACCCACCTCGGCTTCCCAAAGTGCTGGGATTATAAGCATGACCTACCACGCCCAGCCCATCTACCAACTCTTTGGTCAAGACTTGGCATTCACACCCAGGGCAACATTGTGTGACACCATAATCTCTACTAAAAACAAAAAAGTTAAAAAAAAAAAAAATTAGCCGGCCAGGTGCAGTGGCTCATGCCTGTAATCCCAGCACTTTGGGAAGCCGAAGCAGGCAGATCACGAGGTCAGGAGTTCAAGACCAGCCTGGCCAACATAGTGAACCTCAGTCTTTACTAAAAATACAAAACAAAATTAGCTGATCATGGCGGCAGGCGCCTGTAGTCCCAGCTACTTGGGAGGCTGAGGCAGAAGAATCACTTGAACTTGGGAGGCGGGGGTTTCAGCAAGCCAAGATCACACCACTGCACTCCAGCTTGGACGACACAGCGAGACTCTGTCTCAAAATTAAAAAAAATTAGCTGTGGTGGCACATGCCTATAGTCCCAGCTATCTGGGAAGCTGAGGGAGGGTTGCTTGAGACCGGGATTTCAAGGCTTCGGTGAGCCTTGATTGTGCCCCTGCACTCCAGCCTGGGTGAGACAGTGAGACCCTGACTCAAAAAGATGAAAACAAAAATAAAAATAAAAGATTGGGCATTCAGCATCTTCACAATCTGCTGCCAACATGATTTGCTCTAATTATTAATATTTAATTGGTAAATAGCTGCTACAATTATTACATGTTTAAAAGCCAGCTCAAGTATCTCCTTCTCTGAAGGTACGCCTACACGTGTTCTCTCACCTCCTGTGAGCTCGCTCATCCTCAGTATCCACATCTGTGAAGTGAGGCTAAGACCAACACCTTCGTGGGTTTATTGAGGGTCAGTTGAGATACTCCCTACCAAGCCCTCAGCACATGGGTACATAGTATGGGCTCCGTTAATGGTTCTCTCTCCTGCCTTTTTACTTCCAGTCCTGGAGATATTGAACTTTAACTTACCTGGATTCTGGACTCTTCTGTATTGATTTCTAAAGCAAGTTTTTGTTTGGTAGCATAACCTGGGTAAGGCTTTTGATTGAAGGTATTGATGAGGATTTTCAACTGTTCTTCTGTGAATTTTGTGCGACAGCGCCTATGATTTGTTTTTACCATCTCTGTAGGAAGATTACAAAAGAAGAAGCATGTAATAGGTTAATTTATATACTCAAACTTCAGGTTCAAGCTAGTCTCTCACTTCCTCTTCCCAAATCCACTGGAATCCACTCCAGGAGAACTACCCTCATACAAGTATGGAGCTCTTGAACACACAATGGCGATTTTTCAACTTCTTTAGCTCATCTGAATGCCATACTAAGAAGTCAGGGATCCTCTGTTTTGAAAAACCATTAAAAACCATTGTGAGCCGGGCATGGTGGTTGACGCCTGTAATCCCAGCACTTTAGGAGGTCAAGGTGGTCAGATCATGAGGTCAGGAGTTCGAGACCAGCCTGGCCAACATGATGAAACTCCATCTGTACTAAAAATACAAAAAATTAGCCAGTCGTGGTGGCGTGTGCCTGTAATCCCAGCTACTCAGGAGGTGGAGGCAGCAAAATCGCTTGAACCTGGGAGGCGGAGGTTGCAGTGAGCCGAGATCGTGCCATTGCACTCCAGCCTGGGTAACAGAGTGAGACTCTATCTCAAAAAAAAAAAAAAAAAAACTGGGCGCGGTGGCTCACACCTGTAATCCCAGCACTTTGGGAGGCCGAGGCGGGCGGATCACAAGGTCAGGAGATCGAGACCATCCTGGCTAACATGATGAAACCCCGTCTCTACTAAAAATACAAAAAATTAGCCGGGCGCAGTGGCGGGCACCTGTAGTCCCAGCTACTCCGGAGGCTGAGGCAGGAGAATGGCGTGAACCCGGGAGGCGGAGCTTGCAGTGAGCCGAGATTGCGCCACTGCACTCCAGCCTGGGTGACAGAGCGAGACTCCGTCTCAAAAAAAAAACAAAATGAAGTAAAATAAAAAATAAATAAAAATAAGAATATGTATGTCATGAAAATGCCAATAATTTTTTTTAAAAAACAATGTGTTCTGTTCATATGGATTAGAAACAATCTAAGTCAAGAATGCATGCAATATGTCATTGTAGTGATGAAACCATAGAAACGAAGAGTTTGTGATACAAGGACCATTTCAACCCCTTTCAGTTTTTCAGGTCAAAATTCCTTGGTATTTTATTTTTATTGGCATATATTTTATTTTTATTATTTTTATTTTTTCAGGCAGGATCTCACTCTGTTGCCCAGGATGGAGTGCAGTGGCGCAATCATGGCACACTGCAGCTTTCACCTCCACAGGCTCAGGTGATCCTCCTACCTCAGCCTCCTGAGTAGCTGGGACTACAGGTGCACACCCCCACACCCAGCTAATTTTTCTACTTTTTGATAGAGTTTCGCCACGTTGTCCAGGCTGGTCTCAAACTCCTGGGCTCAAAAGCGATTCCCCAGCCTTGGCCTCCCAAAGTGCTGAGATTACAGATATGAGCCACCACCCCTGGCCGGAGCATATTTTTTTTACTTTGACCTCCATTGCTCAATAGCAATAACAGGCAAACAGTAACAGTTTCCAAGGTATTTTTAAAAACACCACAGGGAGGACAAAATTAGCTGGAAAAAGAATTTCATACTTTCAGTGGAATTTTCCAATAGGAAAAAAAATACCACATCACATAATTTGCTGGATAGGACATCTCCTTGAAATAACCAAATCTGGAAAGCATTTTGGAAGATACCATTTCGTAACAGAATTAGACTTAGTGAATTGAGATAAGAAGAAAATTTACTAGAGATGCTAGAAGTTCAGTTAAAAGACCAACAGCTTTTTTGTTTGATCTTTGAATGCTTGCCCTTGTCTTCAGTTTCACACACCTGGTCCATTGTTTTGTTTTTTGTTTTTTGTTTTTTGAGATGGAGTTTCACTCTTGTTGCCCAGGCTGGAGTGCAATGGTGCAGTCTCGGCTCACTGCAACCTCCACCTCCCAGATTCAAGTGATTCTCCTGCCTCAGCCTCCAAAGTAGCTGGGGTTACAGGCACGTGCCGCCACGCCTGGCTAATTTTTTGTATTTTTAGTAGAGACAGGGTTTCACCACGTTGGCCAGACTGGTCTCGAACTCCTGACCTCCTGATCCACCCACCTTGGCCTACCACATTGCTGGGATTACGGGTGTGAGCCACTGCACCTGGCCCCTGGTCCACTGTATTTCACTGAAGGGGGAAGTTTCAACTTTTACAAGCTCAATGAATTGGCTCATACAATCCACCTTTGACATTACCCATCATTCCTCTTGAACCTTGACCTCATCATACGCGACATTCCATACCTTGACCTCATCTCCTTGACCTCATCATACGCGACATTCCACTTGGCTTTATATGTTGCAATGTGTACTCCTGCCATGATATCTAACTTCCATCTGACCCCCAACCCGGCCAACTTCTTCCTTCTCCAGAGTTTTCACTTGCTCCTCCGTCTACCCACAAGGCTCTTCACACGATGATGGATGAGATCACCTTGCTCAGGTCTCAGCTTGCACACCATCTTCTCAGAGTCCCTCCCTGACCCTCCGGTCTAAGGCAGTCCACACCCCATGCTATGACCTCTCACTTTACCACCATGCTTAGCTAAGTTTTTGATGTTTTGTAGAGATGGCCTTTCCCTAGGTTGCCCAGGCTGTATGAGACTCCTGGCCTCCCCATACAATCCTCCCACCTCAGCCACCCAAAGTGCTGGAATTACAGGAAAGAGTCACATCCTCTCTCTTTTTTTTTTCTTTGAGACAGAGTCTCACTCTGTTCCCCAGGCTAGAGTTCAGTGGCACAATATCGGCTCACTGCAGCCTCAGTCTCCTGGGTTCAAGTGATTCCCCTGCCTCAGACTCCTGAGTAGCTGGGATTACAGGCACCTGCCACCATGCCTGGCTAATTTTTGTATTTTTAGTGGAGACGTGGTTTTGCCACGTAGGCCAGGCTGGTCTGGATGATCCACCCACCTCAGCCTCCCAAAGTGCTGGGATTACAGGTGTGAGCCACCATGCCTGGCCAATTTCTTAAACTTGTTTAAAGGGTAGTTGTCACATGGAGTCTGAAAACATATCAATGAACTTTTCTTACTGCGTTATATTAAAATACATTTTTGTCTTACATTTTTTTCAAGTTTCCAACCCATTATCTTACATTTTGAATGGCTCTTTTACCTATCGATGATTTTGTAGCCTCTTGCATTGATCATTTAAAATAACAGTTTAGACTGGGCGTAGGTGGCTCACACCTATAATCCCATCACCTTGAGAGGCCAGGACAGGTGGGTTCCTTGAGTCCAGGAGTTCAAGACTATCCTGGGCAACATAGTGAGACACCATCTAACTCATTCTACAAGGCCAGTATTACTCTGATACTCAAAAGCAGGCAAATAGACACATCGAAAAAGGACAATATCCCTAATGAACACTGATGCAAAAATCCTCAACAAAATACTAGCAAACTGAATTCAACAGTAAAAAGATAATTCCTCATGACCACATGGGATTTATCCCACGGATGCAAGGATGCCTCTGTACCCCATACATATATACACTTACTATGCACCCACAAAAATTCAAAATCATTGGCCGGGCACAGTGGCTCACGCCTATAATCCCAGCACTTTGGGAGGCCGAAGCAGGCAGATCACCTGAGGTCAGGAGTTCGAGACCAGCCTGACCAACTTGGAGAAACCCCGTCTCTACTAAAAATACAAAATTAGCCAGGCATGGTGGTGCATACCTGTAATCCCAGCAACTTGGGAGGCTGAGGCGAGAGAATCGCTTGAACCCGGGAGGCAGAGGTTGCAGTGAGCCGAGATTGCACCATTGCACTCCAGCCTGGGCAACAGGAGTGAAACTCCGTCTCAAAAAAATAAAATTAAAAATAATTTTTTTAAAAAAGGCTAGATGACTGTAGGATTTTGGTGGAAACAAAAATTTTTTTTAAGATAAAAAATATTTCAAAATAATAAAAATGTGAAAGGCTAGTTTTATGCTAGCAATTCAAATAATTACATACATCCTTCTTTTCCAGACAAGCATCCTATTCCAGTATGAAGCACAGGGTTTGATGCATATGTCCCTTTGTGTTACACAGGATATTAAAAAGGTGTAATCAAGGGTTAAAGTTTAATAAAATCAATAATTGTTACTGCTTAAGGACATTCCTAAGTGAAACCACTTTTTGTTCTTGCACTGAAAGTATGAGGGTAACCACAGTAACTACCAGTACAATTTGGTTATACTGGTTTGATGTCCTCTGAGGTACCAGCAGATTTACCCATCATTGTTTTTGTATCATCAGTGCAAAAGAAAAATGTCTTAGTATAATTAGGAAAATTGTGTCAACCTTACAGTTCCTGGAAAGGGCTCTGGAGCTCCACAGGCCATACTTTGAAAACAAGTGCCCTAAAATAAATCTTCTATTCTTCCGTATATTTGTAAGTAACACCACCCCTTTCAAAAGACCACTTCATAAGATTTACATAGACCTGCCCTGATACCTTGAGAAATTGATCCTCTCTGCTTTTGTAATTAACCTCAGAAAGCCACTCCTAAATCCATTTTGCTTTTCCTCAACTTCTACATTTCTGGAGTAGGAAAAAAAAAAAAAAAATATATATATATATATATATGTATATATATATATTCATTCTTTTGACTGAATTCTAATTTCTAACACTTTACCTTCTCCACACAACAAACATTCACTTCCAGAAATGGCTAGGTAAGTCCTAGTAGAATTAACCAGAATATTTTCATCTAATTTTTCAAGTGTTAAAAAATTATTAACGCCTATTAAAAGCCAGACCCTGGCCGGGCACGGTGGCTCACGCCTGTAATCCCAGCACTTTGGGAGGCCGAGGCGGGCAGATCACGATGTCAGGAGATCGAGACCATCCTGGCTAACACAGTGAAACCCCGTCTCTACTAAAAATGCAAAAAATTAGCCAGGCGTGGTGGCGGGCGTCTGTAGTCCCAGCTACTCGGGAGGCTGAGGCAGGAGAATGGCATGAACCCGGGAGGCAGAGCTTGCAGTGAGCCGAGATCGCGCCACTGCACTCCAGCCTGGGCGAGAGAGTGAGACTCCTCTCAAAAAAAAAAAAAAAAAAGCCAGACCCTATTCTAGGCACCATAAACAAAACAGTTAAGATATCCTTGATCTTTAAGGAGCTGAAAGATATCAAGCAAACAAGCAAAAGATGTAGTGTATCAGATGATGAGTATTTCCACGGCAAAGAAGACTCAAGTGGCAAGAGTAGAGAGTGCAGGGGTGAGGTCACAGTTCTAAGTGCAATAGTTAGGGATGGGCTCACTGAGAAAGTATAACATGAACAAAGGCTTGAGGCACATTAGAGAGTGAGTAATGCTGACGTTTGAGAGACATTGCAGGAGGTGGGGAGAGGCCCTGGGCTGGGACGCTGCCTGTCCTATTTGACATAAGGCAAGGAGGCCAGAACATCTGAAAAAAAAGAATAAAAGGGAAGCAGACGAGGTCACAGACCATACCAAGCGCCACGTTATCTAGGGCACGATAGGGCCAAGTGCCTTTTTGTTGAAGGTTTTGAGCAGATAAGTGACATAATTTAATTTATGTATGTATGTATGTATGTATTTTTGAGATGGAGTCTCGCTCTCTGGCCCAGGCTGAGGTACATGGCATGATCACGGCTCACTGCAACATTCACCTCTTGGGTTCAAGCAATTCTCCTGCCTCAGCCTCCCGAGTAGCTGGGACTACAGGCGCCCACCACCACGCCTGGTTAATTTTTGTATTTTTAGTAGAGACAGGGTTTCACCATGTTAGCCAGGCTGGTCTTGAACTCCTGACCTCGTGATCTGCCCACCGCGGCCTCCCAAAGTGCTGGGATTACAGGCGTGAGCCACGGCGCCCGGCCGCCATAATTTAATTAACAGTTTAACAACATCACATGAGGTACAGCGTTGAGAATAGGTTGGTGGAAGCAGGGAGATCAGTTAGGAGAAGACTGCAATAATCTCATGCAATGGGCCAATAATCTAATGAGATGGACCAAGAAATGGTCAGATTCCTTAAATATTTGAATGTTAAAGCCATCAGAATGTCCAGCCTGACTGTGTTATGGGGGAAAAAATGGAGTCAGGGGTGTTTTCTAGATATGAGGCATGACCTGGCACCTCCTGAGCTGGAGAAAACAGTGCGAGGAATAGTTTAGATATGAACATAGGGAATTCAGTTTTTGGAACACATTGAGTCTGAGATGCCTGTTAGAGACAAGCAGGCAATTAGATGAAGTCCAAAGTTCAGGAGAAAAGTTCAAACATTCTGTAGAGAGAAATCAGGAAAGTGCTTTCCAGATCTGGAATCCTTGATTCCAAGGATATTTTGAGCTCTGAACTTTGTGATGTGTCCCATAGTTGCTCTGTTTTAGCATCTGTCTCCCTCTCCTTTTTTTCTTTTCCACTCCTTCCTCCTCTCTTCCTTCCTGAAGCTCAAATATGTCTTATTTAGTTCTTGAATATCTGTACCTTTCTGAAATTCCCAATGCTCAAATGCACTGAAAACAGCCTATTTTCATAATATCACATCAGAGAAACCGGTTTTCCCCTATCCAGATACAGTTAAAGTTTAAAAATGGAACTCTCACAACTTCTGACAAGACCACTGGGTTTTTAGCCCTACTTTTTCCCCAAACCAACAAAAGCTCAGTCAAGCACAAGGGAACTTACTGTGTGAATAGGTGTCTTCGGCCATGCTGGAAGAGAGTCCTGAAGGCTGAGCCACTGTCTGGGAGACAAGTCACTCTGCGCAGAGACTGGGTTTTATATGCGTAGCCAGGTGGTCCCGCCCACTTTTTTAAACCATTTACATAAATCTCTAGTTCCACCCTTAGTAATTGTATCACTCCTTAGAAACATGTATCCTCCATCTAAAAAGGACTAGATAGGACCCCTTTCCGTCAATTGATATTTAATAATTTACACCAGTGTATAAATTATTACCAACCCCTACACCTAAGCCATCACAAGAAGAACATTTCGGCCCATGCCAACTCACATACACAGAGTCATGCTCCTTGGCTCCCCCAACCCCCTTGTGGGAAAAAAATTCGTCCCAAATCACTGGAACCTGAACAGGGAGACAAGCTTGCAATAGTTGCCAATTTTTTAAAAAAGAATATTTTTGAGTACTATTCTGCTTACACATATTTTTCAATGCTTATTATATACATATAGTCTTTTGTAAATGGGGTTTTTATGCTCTCCACCTATCTTTTGACATAGTGGCCTCTCCTTATAAATTAAAAGTGTTATTTCTAATTAGTATCACATAAGAGTGAGGCTAGTGAGACAGGAACAAAATTTAAGGTGGTGCTAAAAATTCTGTGATCAAGATAAATAGTATTTGAAAGCAATGTATATTTTAAGTAATGTAAAAAGTCCATCTTAACAAAACATAAAGATTGTAAATAAAAAGAAGATCCCACCCTGCACGTGCACGACCCTGCAAGTTATGCAAGTGAGGGTACCTGCGCATTGAAAAAAGATGTCTCACCATTGACCAGTCATTGATCAGTCATTGATCAGTCTTGAGGGAAGCTGGCTGGTGGCTGTCACTTTTTATAGCTGTAATCTACAATAGTGCAGGATAAAAGGGAAAATTTTATTACATGTCTATATTTGTGTAATTTTTTAACTGTTATTAAGAGCACATAAAGAAGTGATATGAATTTCATTTATTGATATATTTGACTATCCATAAATAAAATTTGGCCAGATATCAAGCCATTTTGGAGAAACAATTTCGAACCAGGAAAATGACATGAAATAACATTTAACAGGAAAATTTTACACTTTATTTAATTAAAACAATGATAAATTGTTTTTCTTTTCTGTATATGACATTTCATCACAATATTTTTTCACCAAATTTGTCTGGAAATCTAGAGCAGAATTTTCTGCTGTTTGTTTATATTGATGTTTATATTTTGATGTAAATTATATGTACATCTACTTGAACATTAGTATTACAATTATAAATGTGCTTTAAATTAATTGACACAATATTGGATATTCATTATAATTATATTATCATTAAATATATTATATTAATATATAATATTAATAATATAATCTTGATATACCATATAACAGATATATTACATATTATATTTACTCCAGTTAAATATTATATTTACTTTTTAGCTTTATTGAGGTACAGTTGACAAAAATGATATATATTTAAATATACAATTTGAATTTTGATATACACATATAATTGAATCCCAGATTCAATTACCATAATCAAATCAAGCTGATTGATGTATTTACCACCTCAAACCACACCCTTTGTGTGTGTGTACATATATATTACATTATATTATATTTACTCCAATTATTGTATTTACTTTTTAGCTTTATTGAGGTACAGTTAACAAAAATGATATAAATGATATATATTTTAAATATACAGTTTGAATTTTGAAATACACAAAAGATATAATTACCATAATCAAATCAAGCTGATTGATGTATTTACCACCTCAAACCACACCCTTTGTGTGTGTGTACATATATATTACATTATATTATATTTACTCCAATTAAATATTGTATTTACTTTTTAGCTTTATTGAGGTACAGTTGACAAAAATGATATAAATGATATATATTTTAAATATACAGTTTGAATTTTGAAATACACAAAAGATATAATTACCATAATCAAATCAAGCTGATTGATGTATTTACCACCTCAAACCACACCCTTTGTGTGTGTGTACATATATATTACATTATATTATATTTACTCCAATTAAATATTGTATTTACTTTTTAGCTTTATTGAGGTACAGTTGACAAAAATGATATAAATGATATATATTTTAAATATACAGTTTGAATTTTGAAATACACAAAAGATATAATTACCATAATCAAATCAAGCTGATTGATGTATTTACCACCTCAAACCACTCCCTTTGTGTGTGTGTACATATATATTACATTATATTATATTTACTCCAATTAAATATTGTATTTACTTTTTAGCTTTATTGAGGTACAGTTGACAAAAATGATATAAATGATATATATTTTAAATATAGTTTGAATTTTGAAATACACAAAAGATATAATTACCATAATCAAATCAAGCTGATTGATGTATTTACCACCTCAAACCACACCCTTTGTGTGTGTGCATATATGTTACATTATATTATATTTACTCCAATTAAATATTGTATTTACTTTTTTTTTTTTTTGAGACAGTGTTTCACTCTTGTTGCCCAGGCTGAAGTGCAGTGGGGTGATCTCAGGTCACTGCAGCCTCTGCCTCCCAGATTCAAGTGATTCTCCTGCCTCAGGCTCCTGAGTAGCTGGGATTACAGGCATCTGCCACCACGTCTGGCTAATTTTTTGTATTTTTAGTAGAGATGGGGTTTCACCATATTGGCCAGGCTGGTCTCGAACTACTGACCTCAGGTGATCCACCTGCCTCGGCCTCCCAAAGTGCTAGGATTACAGGTGTGATCCACTGCCCTGGGCCTTGTATTTACTTTTTAGCTTTATTGAGGTACAGTTGACAAAAAAGATACATATTTTAAATATACGATTTGAATTTTGATATACACATATAATATGATATGGTTACCATAATCAAATCAAGCTGATTGATGTATTAACCACCTCAAATTATACCCTTTGTGTGTGTGTGTGTGTGCGGTCAGAACACTTTTTAAAAAAAATATCCTTTTCTCCCCCATGCAGAAGAACACTTAAGGTCTATCCTTGTCGCAAAAAATAAAAATCTATCCTCTTAGCAAATGTCAAGTAGTATTGTTTTTTTCATTTCTGATCATCCAATTTAAAATTTTTTTTTCTAATTTGTTAACTATGTCACATAATGTCACAATGTACATGTCAAATAACGTCACTATGTACCTTAAATCCCCAAAACTTATCTTGCAAAACTGAAAATTTGTACTTCTTGACCAACATTTCCCCATTTCCCCTTCACTCAAGCCCCCGGCAACCACCATTTTACTCTCTGCTTCTATTTTTGATCCAACCTCACTGTTTGTGTCCACGCTCCTTAATTTTCTTGGTCATGAGACCACGAGCTTAGATAACACCTTAGACAATGAGACCAGTGACCCTGACCTGTTTCAGTTTAGTTATTTAAAATATTTTTCTTTCTTTTTTAAATTGTATTTATTTATTTATTTGTTTTGAGAGGGTCTTGCTCTGTCGCCCAGGCTGGAATGCAGTGGTGCAACCATGGCTCACTGCAGCCTCCGACTCCTGGGCTCAAGCGATCTTACCCCCTAGGGCTCCAAAAGTGCTCTGACAGTAAATGCATGAGCTACCATGCCCAGCCATCAAATTTTCAATCATTATAAATCTTAGAGCTGGAAATAATATCTCATTGTTTTATTTTTAATTTGAGCGCTAGCGTGCTTGAACACTTTTAATCAAATGTATTTGCCATATTTTATTTTTCTTTTATTAGCTTTCAGATTCTTTGCTTCTTTCTTAGGTAGAACATTTCTTTGAGACTTAAATATTATGCTGCATTTGTCCTATGTCCTGCAAGTGTTTTCTTAATTCAGTATTTTAAAATAATATTTTGTTTTTATGTTTTTTGTATCTTTATAGCATTCTTCTAAATTGGATCTATGTTTATTTTAATTGTCTAGTCAAAGTACTGACAAGGAGGAGTGAACTTCCTGAAAACGGAGAACAAGATGTGATGCCTTTTAGTAAATGTTTACCAAAAGACACAGGATTCCATTTCCAATTCCATATCGAGAACCTTTAAAATTGTACATAAAAATGCAGGTGAAGTCGTGGAGAAGGGAGGCCAACAGTGCACACAGGTAGTGCCTCTGGGGAAGAATCAGAAGTCATCCTGCATCCTAAATTCCTGACCTGACTTTTCTGCAGGGCGAGTATCTGACCTGTGCTACACCATCAGCAACACAAAGAAAACTTGATGAGCTTTTATTTCCTTTTATTTGTATGTTTCACTCCAGTTTTCAATTCCGTGCCCTCAAAAGCCCGGATATCATCACCGGTACCTCTTTTAAGCTTCACCTCTCTGTGCGGCTCCGCAAGTATGTTGGTCTCCCTGAGAGAGTGGGGCCTGCAACCTGCTGGGCGCAGGCGCCTTGAGCTGCCACGTCTGCCCTTTTACCGGCTTGGGTGCAGGCAAGGGAAATGCGTCCCCGGGCCGGGGGGCGCGAGCGGGGGTCCGGGGCCGCGAGCTGGGGTCCGGGGAGCGCGAGCGGGGGTCCGGGGGGCGGGGGCCGCGGGCCGCGAGGGGGGCGGGGGCCGCGAGGGGGCGGGGCGTGCGAGGGGGCGGGGGCGTGCGAGGGGGCGGGGGCGCGCGAGGGGGCGGGGCGCGCGAGGGGGCGGGGCGCGCGAGGGGGCGGGGCGCGCGAGGGGGCGGGGCGCGCGAGGGGGCGGGGCGCGCGAGGGGGCGGGGCGCGCGAGGGGGCGGGGCGCGCGAGGGGGCGGGGCGCGCGAGGGGGCGGGGCGCGCCGGGCTCGTCCTCTCCGCGGCGCTCAGTGGCAGCAGGGAGGGCCGGTGAGATGCCAGAGCAAGGTAGGGTCCTGTATTTGGGGACCGCTGACGTTTGGGTCCCCCTCCCGCGGCTGTTAGCGCTGCGTGGCCCGAGACCTGCGGTCGGGCGGGGATTAAGGCTGCTTTCCGGAGGGCCCCGGCCGCGTGGTCGCCCTGCCAGAGCGGTTGATGTCAGGCAGTGCTGGGAGGCGTTGCTCTCCGGGTTCGCTTCTCTCCTGTTGTCCTAACTCTGCATCTCTCCCGGGTGAATCACAGAGCTGTAAACTAAAAATCAAATTCTAAGCTCCCAGCCAACTGAATGGACCCCTCCTCTCAGCTAAGAGCATGGCAAACTTAACCGGAAACACTAGTTCGGCCGCGATAGGAAGGAGATGGGACATGCCTCATTTTACCCTCCTCTCTTTGAAATTCAGGCACAGGTCGGGCGCGGTGGCTCATGCCTGTAATCCCAGCACTTTCGGAGGCCGAGGTGGGTGGATCACATGAGGTCAGGAGTTCGAGACCAGCCTGGCCAACATGGAGAAACCCCGTCTCTACTAAAAATACAAAAATTAGCCAGGCGTGGTGGCGGGCGCCTGTATCCCAACTACTCAGGAGGCTGAGGCAGGAGAATTGCTTTAACCCGGGAGGTGGAGGTTGCAGTGAGCCGAGATCGCGCCACTGCCACTCCAGCCTCAGCACCAGAGCAAGACTACGCCTCAAAAAAAAAAAAAAAAAAAAAAGGAATTCAGGCACAGCTGACCAGTATTAACATTAAAACAATTTTTTTTTAGTATCTTCATGCTAAAGGGGTAAGTAGAAATTGCATGTAGCCTCCCATCAGTTTATTCCAAATAGCAAACATTTACCAAGCCCTGAGTTATTAACTACGTATTTTCTTTTTGTAAACCTTACAATTGAGCAGGCAAGTAATAACATTATCTCCATATTTTTAATGTGAGGAAACTGAGGCCCAGGAAGACGTGTAATTTGCCCAATATCAGGTATTCAGTATATTGGAGATTTGAAGGACAAGTTATTTATTTTGAAAAATGTATACCTTTTCCAAAGTTCCAACAATAATTCAATGAACACATTTATTTTGCCCCAGAATTGCCAATGATGTTATGTCCTATAAGGAGGCACCTAAGTATACAGTTTGTCCATTTGGGAGATTTGGATTTTGACTACTTGGTTAAGATGGTATCTACTAGATCTCTCCACTCTTTCTTCTTTGTAATTAATAAGTAATCTGTGGGTCAATTCTTTGCAATGTCTGAATAATATTAAGTCCCCCCACTTCAGCCTCTAGTTTTAGCCTCTGTTGATGATTCTTCCCTGAATCTGTGATCACTGCTTGTGGGGATTCTATTTCTATTACTTCTTTACATTTTATACTTATAAGTTGACACTCCTGTAAAGAACTTTACCCATCCCATTCTTTTTTCTTTTCTTTTTTTTTGTTTTTGAGAAAGAGTCTCACTCTTGTCATCCGGGCTGGAGTGCAGTTGCGCGATCTAGGCTCACTGCAGCCTCCGCCTCCCGATTTCAAGTGATTCTCCTGTCTCAGCTTCCCAAGTAGCTGAGACTACAGGCGTGTGCTACCACACCCAGCTAATTTTGTTTTTTTTGGGTTTTTTTTTTGTTTTTGTTTTTGTTTTTTTTTAGTAGAGATGGGGTTTCACCATGTTGGCCAGGCTGGTCTCAAACTACTGACCTCAGGTGATCCACCCCCCTCGGCCTCCCAAAGTGTTGAGATTACAGGCGTGAGCCACCGCGCCCGGCCCACCTCAGGTGATCCACCCCTCTCAGCCTCCCAAAGTGTTGAGATTACAGGCGTGAGCCACCACGCCGGGCCCACCTCAGGTGATCCACCCCCCTCGGCCTCCCAAAGTGTTGAGATTACAGGCGTGAGCCACCGCGCCCGGCCCACCTCAGGTGATCCACCCCTCTCAGCCTCCCAAAGTGCTGAGATTACAGGCGTGAGCCACCGCGCCCGGCCCATCCCATCCCATCCATTTTAAGTTAGTTAATTATTTTAGAAGCCACATGGAGTGGATGATTTTTATCTGCGGCATTATAATCCATTTATCTCATTGTATTGGTGCTCACACTACCCAGCATTAGCCTCTCCAAACTCAAGTAGGCTTGACTTTCTTATTTCTATCACAGAGCTCCTGAAACCCTTGGAATTTCCTGTGTGTTGAAATGTCTTTTGTTATTTTTAATGACTTTTTGATCACATCTCAGTTTATACCAATGAGATGGCTTAGGGTGGAGACCCTAGACAGCCTCAAGATGAAGCTGGTCACCAGAAAGATTAGAGAGTTGGAACTTTCAGTCCTACCCACCAACCTCTGTGAAGTGGAAAGGGTGGGATGGCTTGACATGAAGCTCTATAAAAACTCTTGGACAACAAGATTTTAGCTTTCCAGATTGCTGAACACATTCAGTGTTCCTGGAGAGGGCATGGAAGCTCCACACCTCTTCTCACATACCTTGCCCTGTGTATCTTTTCTGACTGTTTGTTTGTATCCTTTGTGATATCTTTTATTATAAAACAGTAAACATAAGCAAAGTGTTTCCCCGAGTTCTATGAGCCATTCTAGAAATGAGTTCTAGGGGGTTGTGGGAACCCCAATTCTAATGTAGTTGGTCAAAAGCACAGGCCACAACCAGGTGATTGTGACTGGCATCTGAAGTGAAGGGCAATTCTGTGGGACTTAGTCCTCAACCTATGGGATGTGACACTTCCTTCAAGTAGATAGTGTCAGATTTGAATTATAGGACACCTACTGGTGTCTCCTGGAAAACTGGGATGGATGAAAAAACCTCCACTCATTTGGTCACACAAATGTTCTGTTTTGAGTGAGTTGAAAGAAAAGAACAGTTAGTTTTTTTGCTTTAGATGTGGTGTCAGAAATGGGATGTTGAATGATTGTGTAAGAGTGGGAGCACTTGGCAGAGAAGTCAAAGATGGCGGCTGTAGCTGCTGTTCGCTGGCTGGGGCTCTGCAGCAGGCTTGACCAGCCACTGACGGGTCAGCCAGCAGGTCTATGTGAACAAGCACACAGCTGAGATTTTATTCTGGAAGTGCAACCCTCTCAAATATTGAAGGAACTGATATAACAGGGATTGAAGAAGTAGTAATTCCAAAAAAGAAAACTTGGGATAAAGTAGCCGTTCTTCAGGCTCTTGCATCCACAGTAAACAGGGTTCCCACGGCTGTACCTTGCGTGTTTCAAGATAATCCTTACCTCATACCAACATCCTCTTCAGAATCTCGTTCATTTTTACTGGCAAAGAAATCCGGGGAGAATACGGCCAAGTTCATTATTAATTCATACTCCAAATATTTTCAGAAAGACATAGCTGAACCTCATACACTGTGTTTAATGCCTGAGTACTTTGAACCTCAGATCAAAGACATAAGTGAAGCCACTCTCAAGGAATGAATCAAGCTCAGAAAAGTCAAAGTCTCTGTGGACATGTTTGATGAGCTTTTGCAAGCAGGAACCACTGTGTCTCTTGTAACAACATATAGTCTCTTGGATTTATTGTGTTACTATGGTGACCAGGAGCCCTCAACTGATTATCAGTTTCAACAAATTGAACAGTCAGAAGAATTGGAAGAGGAAAATAATAAGAGGTCTAGGAGGAAAGCTGGTGATCAATTTGGAGTTACCTGGTGAGCACAAAACAACGCTGAGAGAATGTTTTCTCTAATGCCAGGGAAAAATGCACATTCCTATTGCACAGTGATCCGAGGAATGGTGAAGCATCAAGCTTATGAGCAGGCATTAAACCTGTACACTGAGTTACTAAACAACAGACTCTGTGCTGATGTATACACATTTAATGCAGTGATTGAAGCAACAGTATTGGTGATAAATGAGAAATTTGAGGAAGAATGGAATAATATACTGGAGCTGCTAAGACAAATGGTTGCACAGAAGGTGAAACCAAATCTACAGACTTTTAATACCATTCTGAAATGTCTCCGAAGATTTTATGTACTTGCAAGATTGCCAGCCTTACAGATTCTATGTGAAATGAAAGCCATCAGACTAGAACCCTCGCTTGCAACATATCACCATATTATTCAGCTGTTTTATCAGCCTGGAAACCCTTCAAAGGGATCATCTTTCATCATCTATGATATAATGAATGAATTAATGGGAAAGAGATTTTCCCCCAAAGGACCTGGATGATGATAAGCTTTTTCAGTCAGCCATGAGAGTATCTTCATCTCTCAGAAATCTAGAACTTGCGTACCAAATACATGGCTTTTTTTTTTTTTTTTTTTTTTTTTTTTGAGAGAGAGAGTCTCGCTCTGTCACACACGCTGGAGTGCAGTGGTGCAATCTCGCCTCACTGCAAGCTCTGCCTCCCGGGTTCACGCCATTCTCCTGCTTCAGCCTCCCGAGTAGCTGGGACTACAGGTGCCCACCACCACGCCTGGCTAATTTTTTTTGTATGTTTAGTAGAGATGGGGTTTCACAGTGTTAGCCAGGATGGTCTCGATCTCCTGACCTCATGATCCGCCCGTCTCGGCCTCCCAAAGTACTGGGATTACAGGCGTGAGCCACTGCACCCGGCTACATGGCCTTTTAAATACCAGAGACAACTGAAAATTCATTGGACCTGATAAACGGCATAATTCCTATTATTCCATGTTCTTCAATTTGATTTGTCTAATGGAACGAATTGATGTCACCTTGAAGTGGTATGAGGACCTGATACCTTCAGCCTTCTTTCCCCACTCCCAAATGTTGATAGATCTCCGAGCATTGGATGTGGCCAACTGGCTGGAAGTGATTACTCAAATTTGGAAAGATAGTAAAGAATATAGTCACACTTTCTGCAACAACCTGAGAGAAGAGATCCTGACACTCATGGCAATGGATAAGCACCCACCAGAGCTTCAGGTAGCATTTGCTGACTGTGCTGCTGATATCAAATCTACGTATGAAAGCCAGCCTGTCAGACACACTGCTCTGAATTGGCCAGCTATCTGTCTCAACTGTAGAGCTGTCTTTTTTTTTTTTTTTTTTTTTTTTTGGGACGGAGTTTCGCTCTTGTGGCCCAGGCTGGCGTGCAATGGCATGGTCTCGGCTCACTGCAACCTCTGCCTCCGAGGTTTAAGTGATTCTCCTGCCTCAGCCTCCTGAGTAGCTGGGATTACAGGCGTCCACCACTATGCTGGCTAATTTTTGTCTTTTTAGTAGAAACAGGGTTTCACCATGTTGGCCAGGCTGTCTCAAGCTCCTGACCCCAGGTGATCCACCTGCCTCAGCCTCCCAAAGTGCTGGGATTACCTACATGAGCCACTGCGCTCAGCCAGCTGTCCTCTTTTTAATGGCTGGGAGAATCCAGGAAGCCTGGAAAATGTTGGGGCTTTTTAGGAAGCATAATAAGATCCCTAGAAATGAGTTGCTGAATGAGTTTATGGACAGTGCAAGAGTGTCTAACAGCCCCTCCCAGGCCACTGAGGTAGTAGAGGTGGCTCAGCTTACCTATTTGTGAGGGCCTCACCCAGAGAGTAATGACTGACTTTGCAATCAACCAGGAACAAAAGGAAGCCCTAGGCAACTTCACTGCATTGACCAGTAACAGTGATACTGACAGCAGCAGTGACAGCGACAGTGACACCAGTGAAGGCAAATGAAAGTGGAGATTCGGGAGCAGCAATGGCCTCAGCGCAGCTGCTGGAATCACACCTGAGAGCGAGATATGCTAATATTTAACACTGTTACAAAGAAGACAAGATACAGATTGGGTGAATTTGTTACTGTGAGATACAGTCAGTACACAGCTGATTTATGTAGATTTAAGCTCCTAATTTGCAACTTAATAACTGTCTATTAATACACCATTAAAGGTTTAGCATTTAAGTAGCAACATGGCCGTTTTCAGGCCAGGCGCAGTGGCTCACGCCTGTAATCCCAGCATTTTGGGAGGCCGAGGCAGGCGGACCATGAGGGCAGGAGATCAAGACCGTCCTGGCTAACACGGTGAAACCCCAACTCTACTAAAAAATACAAAAAAAATTAGCCGGGCGTGGTGGCGGGTGCTTGTAGTCTCAGCTACTTGGGAGGCCGAGGCAGGAGAATGGCGTGAACCTGGGAGGCGGAGCTTGCAGTGAGCCGAGTTTGTGCCACGGCACTCCAGCCTGGACAACAGAGCGAGACTCCGTCTCAAAAACAAACAAACAAACAAAAAACAAAAATTGCCGTTTACAGACACATGGTGAGGTCCATCGCTCTTGTCATCAGGATAAGCCTGCAACCTACAATGTTGGTGCGCTGACCTCGTGCTGCCGTCCTCGTGTGACTGCCCTCTCCCTGCTGCCGTCCTCGTGTGACTGCCCTCTCCCTGCTGCTGGGTCCTCATGCGATTGCCCTCTCCCTGCTGCTGGGCTTCTGCCTTTGTTGGCCTGATGTGCTGCTGTGATGCTGGTCCTTCATCTTAGAAAGGTGTTCATGCAGTTTTATCACAGGTGGTGTTGGGTCAATAGTTTCCCAATTTCAGGATATTTCCATGTCAGAAATAGTGCATCTTAGGAATGACTAAACAGGATATTGTTGGTTTAGGCTGCACAACTGATAAAATGACTGTAAATAAATGTTGTAATAAATGTAGAAAAAAGAGTGGGAACACTTATAAATATTTGGAAATTAAAATAGTGCCTTTTTAATTTGCATTTTTAGATTTTAAAAATAATTATAGAGTTGCAGAAATTATAAAAAATAGTGCAGAGTTCTGTGTATTCTTCATCCAGCTTATTCAAATGATGACATATTTATATAGTACAATGTTAAAACCAGGAAATTGACATTGCTACAATCTGTAGGCCTTATTTAGAGTTAACCGGTTCTCTACATCTCTCGTTTGTGTGTATATGCGTACTTCTATGCAATTTTAATTTTTTCTTTTTCTTTTTTTTTCTTTTTTCTTTTTCTTTTTTTTCTGAGACAGAGTCTCGCTCTGTCCCCCAGGCTGGAGTGCAGTGGTGTGATCTCGGTTCACTGCAAGCTCCGACTTCCGGGTTCAGGCCATTCTCCTGCCTCAGCCTCCCGAGTAGCTGGGACTACAGGCGCCCGCCACCATGCACGGCTAATTTTTTGTATTTTTAGTAGAGACGGGGTTTCACTGTGTTAGCCAGGGTGGTCTCGATCTCCTGACCTCGTGATCCGCCCGCCTCGGCCTCCCAAAGTGCTGGGATTACAGGCGTGAGCCACCGTGCCCGGCTGCAATTTTAATTTTTTTAATGAAGCTGTAAAGGGAGACTTATACAATAGCATAATATCCATTATTAGTAGCAAAGTAACAGTGTAAGAAACAGTACATCAGACTTAGTCAAAGGGCAAACAAAAGCCAAGTTTGGTGATCAGGGAAAACTCTGCATCCCCAAATGCTTATTGAGTAAAATGAAGGCCTACCAGTCAAAACACCACATTAAACCAGATGCTGGAAAAAGGATGGTGATATGGTTTGGCTCTGTGTCCCCACCGAAATCTCACCTTGAATTGTAATAATCCCCATGTGGCAAGGGCAGGGCCAGGAGGAGATAATTGAATCATGGGGATGGTTTCCCCCGTACTGTTCTGACGATGGTGAGTTCTCATGAGATCTGATGGTTTCATAAGGGGCTTCCCCCTTCACTTGGCTCTCACTTTTCTTACCTGCTACCATGTAAGATGTGCCTGTTTTACCTTCCGCCATGATTGTAAGTTTCCCCAGGCTTCCCTTGCCATGCAGAACTGTGAGTCAAACCTCTTTTCTTTATAAATTACCCAGTCTCGAGTAGGTCTTCATAGCAGCATGAAAACAGACTAATATAGATGCCATGCTCCTCTAATACCAATGTTGCTCTGTGCATGTGTCTTTGTCTATGTAAGAAAGAACTGAAACTAGAAAAGTAGAACCATTACATTTAGATATGTCCTGGCTGTAGTTTGGATGGGTTTGGAGGGCTGACACGATAAAAGTAATCTGACAGATGAGAGTAATGGGTTTAGAAAAATAAATGTGTTGGCTGGGCGCGGTGGCTCATGCCTGTAATCCCAGCACTTTGGGAGGCTGAGGCACGTGGATCACGAGGTCAGGAGATCGAGACCATCCTGGCTAACACAGTGAAACCTGGTCTCTACTAAAAATATTAAAAAAAAAAAAAAAATTAGCTGGGCATGGTGGCGGGCGCCTGTAGTCCCAGCTACTCGGGAGGCTGAGGCAGGACAATGGCGTGAACCCAGGAGGCGGAGCTTGCAGTGAGCCGAGATCGCGCCACTGCACTCCAGCCTGGGGGACAGAGTGAGACTCCATCTCAAAAAAAAAAAAAAAAGAAAAAGAAATTTGTTTCTAATGTGCAGGTTTAATTAGAGTGGAAGATGTCAATAAATAAGGTTTTAGCCAGACACGGTGGCTCATGCCTATAATCCCAGAAATCTAGGAGACCAAGACAGGTGGATTGCCTGAGTTTAGGAGTTTGAAACCAGCCTAGGCAACATGGCAGAACCCTGTCTCTACAAAAAATACCCCCCAACAAAAAAATTGGCCAGGTGTGGTGGTAGGCGCCTGTAGTTCCAGCTACCCTGCAGGCTGAGGTGGGAGGATCGCTTGAGCCTGGGAGGCAGAGGCTGCAGTGAGCTATGATTGTGCCACTTCACTCCAGTTTGGGTGACTAAATAAATAAATAAATAAATAAAATACAATAAAATAAAGAAAAGAAAAGAAAAAGAAGGAAGATTTTAAAGATACCATTGAGTAGCCTAGAGCGCTAAACTCTGATCTGCTTCTCCTTACCTAACCCTTTTGGGTTTTTTGTTTGTTTGTTTTTTGTTTTTTTGTTTTTGTTTTTGTTTTGAGATGGAGTCTTGCTCTGTCACCAGGCTGGAGTGCAGTGGCATGATCTGGGCTCACTGCAACCTCTGCCTCCCAGGTTCAAGTGATTCTTCTACCTCAGCCTCCCGAGTAGCTAGGACTACAGGCAGGTGCCACCACACCTGGCTCATTTTTGTATTTTTAGTAGAGACGGGGTTTCACCATGTTAGCCAGGCTGGTCTCGAACTCCCAACCTCAGGTGGTCCGCCCACCTCGGCCTCCCAAAGTGCTGGGATTACAGGTGTGAGCCACCGCACCCGGCCAATCCTTTCTTGTTACTTTCCTTTAATGCAGAGTTTCTCAATCTTGGCATTGAGAATGGGATGGATAATTTTTGGTTGCAGTGGGACATCCTGTGAAGTTTAATAACTTTAACAGCATCACTGGCCTCTTTTTAGTACATACCAGTGAGGCAGGATAGGTAGTCAAGGAGTGACCATATCCTGGGGACGCAGCAACCAGGGTGTCCATACAATCAACACAATAAGCCTCAGCATTCGAGTGGTAGTTCAGCTCATTCAAGCAAAGCTTTCTTCAGCAGGGAATTTCACCTGTAGGAACATGTGCGCTTTGATTTTACCTTTCCTCAGACACCCTTTGCTCATTATAATAGTAAAAAACAGGCCGGGCATGGTGGCTTACGTCTGTAATCCCAGCACTTTGGGAGGCCGAGGTGGGCGGATCACCTGAGGTCGGGAGTTCGAGATCAGCCTGACCAACATGGAGAAACCCCGTCTCTACTAAAAATACAAAATTAGCCGGCGTGGTGGCACATGCCTGTAGTCCCAGCTATTCAGGAGGCTGAGGCAGGAGAATTGCTTGAACCCGGGAGGTGGAGGTTGCAGTGAGCTGAGATCACGCCACTGCACTCCAGCCTGGGCGACAAGAGCAAAACTCCATCTCAAAAAAAAAAGTAAAAAACACACCCATGGGTGGCGATTTAAGATGTTAATGAGACATGTGACGTATGAACAAGTGTGTACAGCTACTGCACATGTGCACCCAGAGGAGCACCCAGAACATGGTTACTAGTAACACCTCTTTCCCACCTCCTCATGAATAATCATGGAAGTCTGCCATAAAGGGAATCCCCCAGCACCAGTCTTTGCTGTCTAATCCTTAGGAGCACCCCAGCCTGAATTCTCTCTCTCAGGGTGTATTGTCTATTTTTCACCTAATTTTCAAGATATTCTTTTTGCTTTACAATAAATTACTCTGTGCTCCATCTCTTGCTGTGTGATTCTTATTTAAGTTCTTTTAAACTAAGAAGACAAGAACTGAGGTATCACAACACCATCAACACCAGTAGCACCTCCCATCCCGAATATATGTTAGTGAAAAATGTCTCTGGATTTTGCTAAATGATCCCTGGACCATGACACTGACCCATTGCTTGCCTGGCTCCATCATGCTCCAGGAGGAGTGCAATTGAGTCTTTGAGGTTGTTAGGGCTTGTAAAGTTTGGAGGCTTTAAGTTGTACCTGCACCAGTTTTGGAGGTGGACACACACATTTGGGGATGCTAGGACTCTGTTCCTCCCCCAACCCCCAGACTTTTAAGGCACCAAGGAATATAAATATCATTTATTATTTTCCAGGCAGGTGCCAAGCCCTTTTTATTTAATATTCCATACAAAATTTGAAAAATTAAAAACAACCTAAAGTGGAGATTTCTACCTCTACTTTTTCAGATGAGAAAATTGAGAAATCAAAAGTTCTGAGACTCATTTTTTAAATTGAGCTCATATGTTTTGAGTGTTTCTTATGTTGCCAGATGTCAATGGAGTTTCTGGGATCTGAGGGGATGTGGGAAAAACATCGTTTCTTTTTTTTTTTTTTTTTTTTTTTGAAACGGAGTCTCGCTCTGTCGCCCAGGCTAGAGTGCAGTGGTGCGATCTTGGCTCACTGCAAGCTCCGCCTGCTGGGTTCACACCATTCTCCTACCTCAGCCTCCCAAGTAGCTGGGACTACAGGCGCCCGCCACCACACCTGGCTACTTTTTAGTATTTTTAGTAGAGACGGGGTTTCACCATGTTAACCAGGATGGTCTCAGTCTCCTGACCTCATGATCCACCTGCCTCAGCCTCCCAAAGTGCTGGGATTACAGGCGTGAGCCACCATGCCCAGCCGAAAAACATCGTTTCTTAGTTGAGTTATAATTAATATTGAGAGCATTAAATTTATGTAGAAAAATCATTTTTCCTTAAATCCTCAAAGATAACAAACAAGCATAAAAATCATTTATAGATTTAGTATTTTTCTGTTAAAATCATTTACTCTTCTTTGTTTTTGGGTCAGTGTTCAATTGGTTTATACCTTTGATAGTTGAAATTTACTTACTGAATACTGATATCATTTGTGGGTCCTGGTAAATATTTCAAAGTTGTCGTACAAACAGGACAATAGATTCTCTCAACTCTTCAAACGTCTAACATGACAGACTTATAAGTCTTTTTTCTTCTTTTTTTTTTTTTTTTTTTTTTTTTTGTAGAGATGGGGTCTCGCTATGTTGCCAAGGATGATCTTGAGCTGCTGGGCTCAAGGGATCCTCTCACCTTGACCTTGGCCTCCCAAAGTGCTGGGATTATAGGCATGAGCCACCACGCCTAGCCTCTTGCAAAGTCTTATAATGTCGTTTTTAAACTCTTAAGCTGCCAAGTGTGGGTGGCTCATGCCTGTAATCCCAACATTTTGGGAGGCTGAGGTGGGAGGATCACCTGAGCCCAGGAGTTCAAGACCAGACTGGGCAACATGGCAAGAACCTGTCTTTACAAAAAATTAAAAAATAAATTAGCTGGGCATGGTGGTACACACCCACAGTCACATCTACTTGGGAGGGTGAGGTAGGAGGATTGCTTCGGCCTAAAATGTTGGCTGGGCATGGTGGCTCACGCCTGTAATCCCAGCACTTTGGGAGGCCAAGGTGGGTGAGTCATGAGATCAGGAGTTCGAGACCAGCCTGGCCAACATGGTGAAACCCCGTGTCTACTAAAAATACAAAAAAATTAGCCAGGCATGGTGGCAGGTGCCTGTAATCCTAGCTACTCGGGAGGGTGGGGCAGGAGAATTGCTTGAACCGGGAGGCAGAGGTTGCAGTGAGCCAAGATCACGCCACTGCACTCCAGCCTGGGCGACAGAGAGAGACTCCATCTCAAAAAAAAAAAAAAAAAAAAAAAAAAAAGTCAAGGCTGCAGAAAACTATGGTCACTCCACTGCAACTACATCCTGGGCAGCAGAGTGACCTTTAATAAAATAAAAACACCCTTGAGCTACTCTCGTAAACCCAGTAAGACTTACACATTTAATAAATCAGATTGTCTTAAGCCTTTTGACATCCTAAATATAAGCTTATGCAAAGCAGCAACACACATGTAAAATATAAAAGTAACAAAGATAACTTCAATACAATTTTTTTTATTTTAAAAATTTTTTAAGAGTTGGGGGCTTGCTCTGTTGCCTGGGCTGGAGTGCAGTGGCAGGTTCATTGCTCACTGCAGCCTGAAATTCCTGGGTTCAAGTGATCTTCCCATCTCAGCTTCCCAAGTTTTGAGGATTACAGGTGTGAGCCACCATGCTCAGCTCTTAACAACTTTTTTTTTTTTTTTTTTGAGACAACGTCTCCCTCTGTCACCCAGGCTGGAATACAGTGGCACCATCACAGCTCACAGCAGCCTCAACCTCCTAAGCTCAAGCGATCCTCCAGCCTCAGCCTCCTGAGTTACTGGGACGACAGTTGTGCACCACCATACCCAGCTACTTTTTAATTTTTTTGTAGAGATGGTGTCTCACTATGTTACCCAGGCTGATCTCAAACTCCTGGCCTCAAGCAATCTTTCTGCCTTGGCTTCCCAGAGAGAGTTTTTCAGTCCATCATTTTTCAGGATTGTGAGCCAGGGTTCCATTAGATCTTATTGAGATATCTCTTGTGTGTCTGCTGTGTGCCAGACATGGTTTAAAAGACTAGAGATACAGGCCAGGGATGGTGGATCACACGTGCAATCCCAGCACTTAGAGAGGCCGAGATGGGCAGATTGCTTGAGCCCAGAAATTTGAGACCAGCCTGGGCAATATGGCAAAAGCCCATCTACAAAAATAAAAATAAAAATTAGCCGAGCATGGTGGCATAGCTGCATGTAGTCCCAGCTACTTGGGAGGCTAAGGTGGTAGGATCGATTGAGCCTGGGAGATCAAGTCTGCAGTGAACTGAGGTCGCACCACTGCACTCCAGCCTGGGTGACAGAGCAAGACCCTGTCTCAATTAAAAAAACAAACAAACAAAAAAAAAACTTAGGATCCAGCAGTGAACAAAATCATCACTGACGCTTACCCTCATGGAGCTAACATTCTGGATGAAAAGTCAGAAATAAACAATAATTATAATACAGAAATAGACATGATAAGTTAACCAGTGCTATAACAAAAAGAAGGAAAAGGAGAGTAAGGTGGATCAGGGTGTCAGAGTTTGGGGAGTTGTTTGCAATTTTCATTAGAATGATCAGGAAACAGCTTATTTAGAATGTGACATAGATCAAAGTCTATAGGGAGATGAGGGGCTGAGCCATGTGGAGATTGGGGTAGGAAGTGGATTTCCTGCCACAGGCTTTCAAGCAAGCATATAATATCCAGGGCTGGGTGCTGTGGCTCACGCCTGTAATCCCAGCACTTTGGGAAGCCAACGTGAGAAGATTGCTTGAGGCCAGGAATTCAAGACCAGCTTGGGCAACATATTAAGACCCCCATCTCTATTTTTTTTAATCTTTTTTTTTTTTCTTTTGAAACGGAGTCTCGCTCTGTCGCCAGGCTGGAGTGCAGTGGCCCGATCCCAGCTTACTTCAATCTCTGCCTCCTGGGTTCAAGCGATTCTCCTGCCTCAGCCTCCTGACTAGCTGGGATTACAGGTGTGTGCCACCACGCCTGGCTAATTTTGTATTTTTAGTAGAGACTTCCCCATGTTTGCCAGGATGGTCTCGAACTTCTCACCTCGAGTGATCCACCCACCTCAGCCTCCCAAAGTACTGGGATTACAGGTGTGAGCCACCACACCTGGCCAAAATAAGCCTTTTTTACTGTATTTATTTGAAGATTAAAGATGGTTTAAGGTGACAAGGGGTAGAGTATGATTGCCAACTATATGTGTAAACTTGTTTAGGCTGTACTACCCAGAAATTGTATTAAACACTGACCAGGGTATTGTTATGAAGGTATTTCATAGAAACGGTTAACATCTATAATCAGTTATTTTGATAATGTAGGTGGTTCTTATCTAATCAGTTGAAAGGCCTTAAGAGAAAAACAGGGTTCCCTGGGGAAGAAATTCTGCCTCAAGACTGCACCTTCAGCTCCTATCCACGTTTCAATTCTGCTGGCCTGAACTCTAGCCTACAGATTTGGGACTGGCCTGTCCCTGCAATCACATAGCCCATTTCTTCTTCTATCTTTTTTTAAAATTTTTATTGTAGGCAAGGTGGGTGGCTCACACCTGTAATCCCAGCACTTTGGGAGGCCAAGGTGGGCGGATTATGAGGTCAGGAGTTCAAGACCAGCCTGGCCAACACAGTGAAACCCCATCTCTACTAAAAGATATAAAAAATTAGCCAGGCACAGTGGCGGGCACCTGTAATCCTACCTACTCAGGAGGCTGAGGCAGGAGAATTGCTTGAACCCAGGAGATGGAGGTTGCAGTGAGCCAAGATTGCAACACTACACACCAGCCCGGGTGACAGTGCCGAGACTCTGTCTCAAAAAAAAAAATTATTGTGGAGGAATGGTCTCACTATGCTGCACAGGCTAGTCTCTTAACTCCCGGCCTCAAGAGCCGGGTCTGTCCTGTAGACCCTGGCTGAGCGATGGATGAAAGGAGTACTCAGACACAGGTATGTAGTGTAAGAGCAGCTAGGGGACTGCTGAAGAGTGAGCAGTCTTGATAAGCTGGGACTGCTTGCTTTTATTCAGTACAGACATAATGCCAAAAGCCTGGAGCCAACACAGTCTGTGGGTAATTAACATTATTGTTCCCCCTTTTGGGGGCAGCCTCACTCGTGAATGATCAAATGTTGGTTCCTAGTTAACATAAGTAAACAAGCCTGTTTATGTTAAATTCCCCTACACTTCCTTGTACCTACTCCTTGCCCTCTGCCTTAGGGTAAGAGAACAGCTGCTTTCAGCTTATTCTCCCGTGAAGCTATGCAGAGACTTCTGACCTTTCAGAAGGTTTGCGTCCTTTTCTTATAGCTTCTCCCACCACTCTGACCGATCTCCTACACTCAAGCAATCCTCCTTCCTCAGCCTCCCAAAGTGCTGGGATTACAGGCATGAGCCACCGCACACCACCCCCATTTCTTGCAGTAAAATATGTGTGTGTGTGTGCGCGTGTGCGCGCGTGTGTATTCCATTTCTCCCTAATACCATTTCTCAGCTGCATGAATCCTTAACTCATGAAAGATACTTTTTATCCTCTTGACTCTACAGTTAATGGAAAATAAAAATCATCAATAGTGACTTCTAAGATTGCTTAATATACCTTTCTGGGAGGACAGTTAGAACTCCTAATGTGAGCTTGTCAGTTTCTTGTGAAAACCAACCCAGTTGTCCCATAGAACTGATGTTTGTGGTTTCTTTTGACTGAACCTAGAAATTGACCCTCCCACTCTTAAAACTTGAGAAAAGTACATTTGTCATAATCGTTTGTCACAGAAATAACCAAATTTCCTTGTCCATTGTTTTTTAACTATGGTTGTCCTAAGACTTTTGTCATCCACAATTATTGTTTGACTTTGAGTCTTCTCCAAAGGTGGCTTACAGTCAGCTACAGTTCAGGGCTTCTTTGAGAGAGTTCATAAAAAGAACACTTGAATTCAAGTTTCTGGTAACTTTGGAGATTGTCCTATCAGCCTAGAGAGAAAACTTCCAGGACTCTAATTAGAAGGCTGATATATTCATAAAATACATAATTATGTATACATATGTTTATGCAATATGAAGCAGAGCAGGAGTTTCATGGACTGTACTAATTTATTTCATGATAAATAAAAATATTTTATTATATAGTATATTAAGCCATCTTAGAAGTCACTGTTGATGATTTTTTTTTCTCCATTAACTGTGGAGCCAAGAGGGTAAAAAGTATCTTTCATGAGTTAAGGATTCATGCAGTTGAGAAATGGAATTAGGGAGAAATGGAACACACACACACAAACACAGAGATTTATTTCAAGTACTGAATTTATTTTATTATTTTTTGTGTGTGTTTGAAACATTGCTGATTCTTTTTGTTTTGTTTTTGAGTCAGGAGAACTTTTTTTGTAAATCTACTTTCTGTCTCTATGAAACTTTTTTCTTTCCAGCTATTTATAGCCTTTAACAATTGAATATACATTTGTAAACAAAATTTGAGGGCTATTTCTCTCTCTGCCTGATTTCTCCAGAATTCAGAAACTATTTGTGAATATTCTTAATTCACGGCAATGTGGTTGTTTGCATATGTTCAATAAGAATCTGTTTTCTAGCTAGGTGTAGCATATGTTCAATAAGAATCTGTTTTCTAGCTACTTGGGAGGCTGAGGCAGGAGGATCGCTTGAGCCCAGGAGTTTGAGGCTGTAGTGAGCTATGATCGTGCCACTACACTCCAGTCTGGGTAAACAAGCAAGACCCTATCTCTATTTTTTAAAATCCATATTATTTTATAACACAATTGTAGGCACTGGGTCTTTTCCCAAGGCTTTGACAGGAATGGCATATTTTTAACTATGCGAGACTGCTTTGAGGAATTAAGACTGACTTTATGGGCCAGGCGTGGTGGATCATGACTGTAATCCCAGCACTTTGGGAGGCCAAGGCGGGTGGATCACGAGGTCAGGAGATCGAGACCATCCTGGCTAACATGGTGAAACCCCATCTCTACTAAAAATATAAAAAATTAGCCGGGTGTGGTGGCAGGCGCCTGTAGTCCCAGCTACTCAGGAGGCTGAGGCAGGAGAATGGCGCGAACCCAGAAGGCAGAGCTTGCAGTGAGCTGACATCACGCCACTGCACTCCAGCCTGGGCGGCAGAGCAAGACTGTGTCTCAAAAAAAAAAAAAAAAAAAAAAAAAAAGACTGACTTTATGGAGCTGATGGGAGCCCTTGGAAGGACTGGCCTCATATCTTGTGCACACAGTTCCTTTGTGGGGTTCCTGGCCTGTAGTAAATACAGTGTCATTTTCTGATAGGCCTAGGAACCTCAAGATGTTCTGGGGCCTCAAGAAAAACGGGTTTCACCCAATTCATGCAGGTATGTACAGGTGCAGACAGATCTTTGGCTGGGCTTAAGAGGTCTTTGGGTGTTGAGTCTGAGAGATTCCTTATGAGGGGTTCCAGCAAAGCCAATTTAGGAGGAATTGTATAAACAGTGATTCTTGCTGTAGTTTGGATAAGTATGGTGGGACTGAAGCTTGTTTTGCAGGTAAGTTGTTCCTGCTGTGATTTGCTTTTGATGGAAGTCAGGGACTAGAGAGAGAAAAACTGTTTCCAAAGAAAACTATAGTGCTGCCAGGTGCAGTGGCTCAACTTTGGGAGGCTGAGGTGGGCGGATCATGAGGTCAGGAGTTTGAGACCAGCCTGGCCAACATGGTGAAACCCCGTCTCTACTAAAAATACAAAAATTAGCCAGGCATGGTGGTGGGCACCTGTAATCCCAGCTACTCGGGAAGCTGAGGCAGGAGGATCGCTTGAACCTAGGAGGCAGAGGTTGCAGTGAGCGGAGATCGTGCCACTGCACTCCAGCCTAGGTGAAAGAACAAAACTCTGTCTCAAAAAAAAAAAAGAAAGAAAGAAAGAAAACTATAGCGTTAGATTAACCTTTGAGTTAATCTGAGTGGCCACGTGGTCATCTATGGTATGCAGCCACCCACAATACCCCTCCTCAGCATAAAGCAGCCAGAAAGATCACGTCCAGATTCCCCATGATTGAGGAATTGATAAATAGAAACAGGGAACTGAAACCAGCTCCAGTGTCCCATAGAACTGATATTTATGGTTTCTTTTGAATCAACACATTATAGACATTGAGCCTCCCCTTCCTAAAACTCGAGACACTTTTATTTGTCTTATCTGATTTCCTTTCTCAGGAAACCAAGCATCAGGCCTCCCAGATAGTATAAAGAAACTGAAACTTACTGGATTACCACATCTGGAAAAACGAGATGCTATACCCCTTACCCATGATGATTGCCTAACTGACCATCTGCTGCCTGTTGACCCATTCCTCTTCCTTACCCCTTCCTAATTCCTGTTTTCTCAAACATAGTTACACTTCTTCCCTGATGTATAAACCCCTAGTTTTAGTCAGTTGAGGAAAGAGATTTGAGATTGATCTCCCATTTTCCTCAGCTGCAGCACCGAATAAAGCCTTCATCCCTGACAATACTCATTGTCTTGCTGACTGGCCTTCTGTGCAGCAAGCAGCAGGATCTAGATGCAAGGACCTGGCCTTTCTGGTAATATTGTCATCAACCATTTAATGATGTAGACTTGGTCCCCGGCTCATGCTCTGTGTATTTTCTTCTCCATCTACATGCATTGCCTTGATGGTCTCACTCAATATCATGACTTGAAATAACAGTGTAAGGTAACTCCTAAATTCATATATTCATGCTCAAACCTTCTTCCAACATTCAGTCGTAAGTCGAATTGCCTGTGACAGAGATACTTTGTGGTTCTGTAGACATTTCAAACTAACCATCCTGAGCCTCCGAACCTCCTCCACTTGCAGCCTCCCCACCTCAGAAGTGGGCAAATCCACTTTTTGTGTGGTCTGGGCCAAATACATGACTCCCTGCATCACGTAGAGGCTGTGCTGGTCCAAAGAAGGCTCAAAAGAGGGCAGTTTGCGCACACAACGTGTCGGGGCAGGGCTTCCAGATGATCATTCGGCTTTTTTGTGTCTTCCAAGATGATGATCCGGGGAGGAGGGATGTGAAAGGGGGTCAGTCGCCAGGCGAGCTGAGGACCCAGTTCTGCGCCTTTGCCTGTGCCCTGACCTGAAGGAAAGTCCCTGTCTCCCGAGCTCCGATTTTCCCGAGAGAAGAATGCAATGTAACCCTTGCCCCTCGGTTCCCTCCCTCCATCCTTCCCCTCGAGTTGTGCCCACCGTAAAGAGGTGGGTCTGGAGCGTCTCCTCGGGTCCTGGAGTGCCTTTCCCTGGGAGGAAAACTTGCGCCGTGAAGCGTTCCTCCCGTTGTTGAACACATGAGGAAAACTACACTACTTAGAAGGCTGTGCATTATGCGTACGGCGGGAGCTGGGCCAACGACGGCCTAGGACGGGGACGTTTCCGACGGCTCACGCCGGTGGGGGCGGGACTTCCGGGTTGCTCGCTGCGGACGCCATTTTCTTCTGCACTTCTGTCTGGAGAGGTCTGTAGCCACTGAGGGCCCCGGTCGGGGCCGCTTTGCAGGTCCCTAGTCAGGACCGAGCAGGGGAGTAGGATAGGAATCCCCGCCGCACCTTTGTACGAGCCTGACCCCTTCCGTGGGTTTGTTCCTGGGTCGCCGTCAAGCTGCGGTCTCTCCTCCCCCGCCCTTCAGCCCCGCGGTCTCCAGGGGCGGCGCCCTGGGTCTGGAACGCGGTTGCCACCGAGGAGGCGGCGGCCCTGCGTCTGGAACGCCGTTGCCACCGAGGAGGCGGCGGCCCCGAGCGCGCCTGGAAGCCCCGGGCAACCGGCCAGGGTCGGGCACAGGTGGGGTCCGTCAGGCCGCCCGGGGCTCCTCTGTCCCAGCTCTGCGGCCCAGGGGGTGACGTGATGGCGGCAGCGGTGCTGACGGACCGGGCCCAGGTGAGTGGACGGTGGCTTCGCGGTTGCCGCTTCCTTGCCAGCGCTGAGGCGGTTTCCGAAGTGGGTGGGAGCCCAGGTATCCCCTGGATTTGTCTTCGCAGTCGTCGTTCGCTTTGGTGTGTGGAGCTGGTTTGCCACTTAATTTATACCTGGCCGTAAGGAGTGTTGGGCCTACTGGAAGGAGCTCCGTAGGTTGTTGAGTGAATGATGCTTCCTCTGGGGACTCCCATCATCCTTGGCCTGCAAGCATTCTCTGGTGGACCAGGTCTCATTCCAGCATGAATTGGGGGCCTGAGGGGGGAAGGGGAGGGCAGGGCAGTAGCAAGCCGACAAATGCGCGAGCAGAGACAAGGTATGTTGTATGTTTAAGGAGGCTCAGGAGGGTGTGTAAGGTTGCCATGGTTTTCCTGCGGCCGCTGAGACGTGGAGGGCAACAGTGTGTGGTCTTTTCCTGGATGTTCTAGCCATCCGCAACTACTGCAGACATTGTGGCCAGTCAGATGCCCTTACTCTCATCGCTACAGCCTGCATTATCCTTGGCCGCTCGTGTTCCGTGGCCCCAAAGTATCCTGGCGTCAGAGACAAGTTCTGTCGGAACCCAGTAAGGAAAGAGGCCGATGGTTGGTTCATTGTGGAATTTCCTTGGGGGATCTGGGAGACCCAGGGAGATCCCAGAGGGCATGGGAAGCTGGTCTGGAGCCTGTCGTTCCCCAAGTAGATGCAGCCCTTCCAGTGCCGCTCTGTGGGGTCAGTGAGGAATGCTGAGCTTTTTGTGCCCGTGTTCACATACTTTTTTTTGTTTTGAGACAGGGTCTCACTCTGTCGCCCAGGCTGGAGTACAGTGGTGCACTCTCAGCTCACTGCAGTCTCTGCCTCCCAGGTTCAAGCAATTCTCCTGCCCCAGCCTGCCGAGTAGTTGGGATTACAGGCATGCACTACCACACCTGACTGATTTTTGTATTTTAGTAGAGACTGGGTTTCACCATATTTGCCAGGCTGGTCTTCAACTCCTGGCCTCAAGCGATCCGCCCACCTCGACCTCCCAAAGTGCTGGGATTACATGCATGAGCCACCATGCCCGGCCCACAGATACGTTTTTCAGGGCTAATTGAAATAGACTTAATGTTAGAAATGAGTGGAAATGCTTATAACTTCATCGCATTAGATTTGCTTTGATGTTGGGGGAGTGTTGGAGTTACACTGTTAGACCGTGAATCATAGTAACCCCATGTTTAGATCCTATCTATGGTGGTGAGATGTGTGACTGGGTGAATTGATAGCGCTTCCTTAGCATGAAGTCATTGACTGTGAAGGTGATGATGGTGTTGACTGCAGGGACTGTGAAAGGATTAATAAAAATCCCAGAGCACACTGAGCATTGAATACTTTAAATTTAACAACTGTTACTGGTGGGAAGTGTTATTGTATTGATCCAGAAATCAAGGCTCAGAGAAATGAAATGCTGTCTTTGAGGTAAGAGCTGTCAAGTGTCAGTTTCAAGTGTTTGGAGCTAGGAACTTCTAGTCACTGTGTTTACACAGGATGTGAAGCCTTCAACATGGGGCAGGCACCTAGCTGGACCAGTGAGACTCAGGTACTGCCGTTGTAACCATTATTGCTATTATTACCATTTCCCCATTTCCCTGTCGTTTTAGAGCCCTTAGCTTCTGTATTTCACAGTCCACAAGTTGTTTCCGTTGTCCTGTGTCATTCTCTAACGGCCGTTAAATAGGAGGCTTCTCTCCTTTACTCTGGTATTATGTTAAAAGCATCTATCTTCCCTCTTGAGCCCAGCACAGAGCTAGGCCCTCAGGAGGTGCTCTGTGATTCAGGCCGCCATCACTGTACACCTTTTCCAGTGGAGCACAGTCTGTGATCTCATTCAGCAGCTGAAAGGCCAATACTACTAATTCTGTTTGACTTTCCAGGTGTCTGTGACCTTTGATGATGTGGCTGTGACTTTCACCAAGGAGGAGTGGGGGCAGCTGGACCTAGCTCAGCGGACCCTGTACCAGGAGGTGATGCTGGAAAACTGTGGGCTCCTGGTGTCTCTGGGTAAGGCCTTCCTTCCCCCTCCACCATGCAGGTGACCTGCCACTTCCTTCATTCCATCTTCTGACTCCAGGCCTGGCTGCACAAGAAGGCCTCTAGAATCTACCTTGCCTCTTTCCCACAGCTTTAGTCATTTTCCACAGTAACCTCTTCCTATCTGGTCTCCTATATCTCTGGGCTAAAGACAGGGTACTCTTTGGCTCCCAGCCAAAGGAGAAGGTGGTAAAAGGAAATGGGGTGTTTTGCAAACTCAAAGGTAATTTTCAGCTGTGCCTCATGAGGGGCTGGTGTAGGAACTGAGAACCACCACGATGGTGTCCTGGCTTCTCTGTCTGGGTCTGCTCATGTCACGTCTATTCTCTATGGCTTTTTCTGCCTTAGTGAGTTCAAGACAAGAGTGGCCACCTGGATTAGGGTTCTCTAAAGGGACAGAACTAATAGAATAGATATATATAAAAAGGACAGTTTATTAAGTAGTAATAACTCATGATTACAAGGTCCCACAGTAGGCTGTCTGCAAGCTGAGGAGCAAGGAAGCCAGTCCAAGTCCCAAAGCTGAAGAACTTGGTGTCCAATGTTCGAGGGCAGGAAGCATCCAGCATGGGAGAAAGATGTAGGCTGGTAGTCTAGGCCAGTCTAGTCTTTTCATGTATTTCTGCCTACTTTATATGCTGGCCTCGCTGGCAGCTGATTAGATGGTGCCCACCCAGATTAAGGGGGGGGTCTGCCTTTCCCAGCCCACTGACTCAAATGTTGATCTCTTTTGGCAGCACCTTTACAGACACACCCAGGATCAATACGTTGCATCCTTCAATCCAATCAAGTTGACACATTAATAAAAATCCCAGAGCACACTGAGCATTGAATACTTTCTCTTTAAATTTAACGACTGTTACTGGTGGGAAGTATTATTGTATTGATCCAGAAATAAAGGCTCAGAGAAATGAAATGATGTTTTTGAGGTAACAGCTGTCAAGTGTCCGTTTCAAGTGTTTGGAGCTAGGGACTTCTGGTGACTGTGTTAACACAGGATGGGAAGCCTTCAACATGGGCCAGGCACCTAGCTGGACCTAGCTGTTAACCATCACAACTCCATCCCTTGTCAACTTGAACCCATACACATCTCCTGAGATCATACATAATCTTCAAATAAAGACAATAAGGTCATAATTATGCTTAACATAATACAAGTATCGTTCATGCAACCGAAACACACTAATCCCCAACCCAAGTGCTATTACATAAAGGTAGCAATACTTAAATGCTGATATGAAGTCAGTAAATCTTACGTCACATGATAAAGGAAATAAAATGCAGATGTTTTCTTAGTACAAGTGTATACATCACAAACATGTTTTTAATAAAAGAAGGAGGAAATACAACAATTACAGTCCTCATTTCTGCAACTGGTCACTTGGTCGTAGTTGGTATTAATGACTACCTTCTTCTCCTGCACATTCTGTATTCACTTTGCCTTCAGCAAGCACCTCAGCAGGTCATGGTTTTTTTTCCTGGTGGAGTGACCCAAACCTTCATTCCTGAAGGGTCTGGGCCATTTGTAGTCCTGCCTGGATTGGGCTGTTGTAGCTTCCCATTGACCTTAATCACAGGGCATGGTAATACTAAGAGATGCCCTAATGGATCTTCTGTATTCCATGCATACTCTTCCTTACCTCCATTGTGGAGTAGTAGACTGATTTCATCTTGATAGTCTGGGTCATTCATCCCAGCCAACACTGTAACTCCCTTCTTAGGCTATTGACTTAAAGGTAGGAGGAGCCCAAAGTGTCCAGGTGGCAATCTTAACTTCCAGTTTAATGGAATCGTTGTGTCTCCTGGTGGCAGCATTCCTCCCTCTGAAACTAAGACTTCTAGGCCAACGGAATGTAATGTCGCGGGAATAGGAAGCAAAATTTTGCTAGTTGATCACTAGGGATGATGTTGAGTGGTGCCATTTGCACTTCCACCCCTTGATTCCTGGACCCATGAATCCTGGCTATGGGAGAAACAGTACCATATATTGGATGCTAATTCAGAGCATACATGGCCTACTGGAGAACTTTGCCCCAGCCCTGCAAAGTATTGTCACTAGTTGGAGTAATTATGACTACAAAAGGTCATTCCACCATTCTGTCAATCCAGTTGCTTCAGGACTATGGGGAACATGGTAAGATCAGTGAATTCTGTGAGCATGAGCCCACTGCTACACTTCTTTAGCCATAAAGTGAGTGCCTTGGTCAGAGGCAATGCTGTGTGGAATACCATTACGATGGATAAAGCATTCCATGAGTCCGTGAATGGTAGTCTTGGCAGAAGCACTGCGTGCAGGATAAGCAAACCCATATCCAGAGTAAGTGTCTATTCTAGTGAGGACAGACCTCTGCCCTTTCCATGATGGAAGAGGTCCAATATAATCAACCTGCCGCCAGGTAGCTGGCTGATCACCCCGAGGGATGGTTCCATATTGAGGGCTCAGTGTTGGTCTCTGCTGCTGGCAGATTGGGCACTCAGCAGTGGCTGTAGCCAGGTCAGCCTTGGTAAGTGGAAGTCCATGTTGCTGAGCCCATGCGCAACCTCCATCCCTGCCACTATGACCATTTTGTTCATGGGCCCATTGCACGATGACAGGGGTGGCTGGGGAAAGAGGCTGAGTGGTGTCCACAGAACAGGTCATCCTATACACTTGATTATTAAAACCTTTCTCTGCTGAGGTCTTCCATTGGTGAGCACTCACATGGGATACAGATATCTTCACAGTTTTTGACCACTCAGGTCCATCCACATCCCTCTTCCCCAGATTTCTTTGTCACCAACTTTCCAGTCATCCTTCTTCGAAGTCCCTGACCATCCAGCCAAACCATTGGCTACAGCCCATGAATCAGTATATAATTACACATCTTCTCATTTCTCCTTCCATGGAAAGTGCACAGCGAGGTGCACTGCTCCAAGTTCTGCCCACTGGGAAATTTCCCTTCGCCACTCTCCTTCAGGGATGTCCTAGAAAGGGGCTGTAGTGCTGCAGCTATCCACTTTCAGGTGGTTCCTGCATATCATACAGAACCATCTGTGAACCAGGCCCTAGTCTTCTCTTCCTCCGTCAACCGATCATAGGGAACTTCCCATGAGGCCATCGGTGCAGGCTGGGGGAGAGAAGGTGGGGTGGCAGGAGTGGAGTCTGTGGGCATTTGAGCCACTTCCTCATGTAACTTGTGCCTTCAGGATCCGCTTGAGCCCAATCACATATATACCACTTTCATCTGATGATGGAATGCTGCTGTGCGTGACCCACTTGATGGCTAGCTGGGTCAGAAAGCACCCAGTTCATGGTAGGCAGTTCAGGTTGCATGGTGATTTGATGACCCATAGTGTAACAGGCCAAGAGCTGTCTCTCAAAAGGAGAGTAGTTATCTGCAGAAGATGGCAGGGCCTTGCTCCAAAATCCTAGAGGCCTTCGCTGTGATTCACCTATGGGGGCCTGCCAAAGGCTCCAAACAGCATCCCTATCTGCCACTGACACCTCAAGCACCATTGGATCTGCTGGGTCTTAGGGGCCAAGTGGCAGAGCAGCTTGCACAGCAGCCTAGACCTGCCTGTTGCAGAGCCTTCTCCTGTTCTGGATCCCACTCAAAACTGGCAGCCATTTGGGTCACTCGATAAATGGGCTGGAGTGGCATACCCAAATGAGGAATGTGTTGCCTCCAAAAACCAAATAGGCCCACTAGGCATTGTGCCTCTTTCTTGATTGTAGGAGGGACCAAATGCAGCAACTTACTCTTCACCTTAGAAGGCATATCTTGACAGGCCACACACCACTGGACCCCTAGAAATTTTACTGAGGTAGAAGGTCCCTAAATTTTAGTCAGATTTATTTCCCATCCTCTGGCACACAGATGTCTTACCAGTAAGTCCAGTGTGTTTGCTACTTCTTGCTACTGGATCCAGTCGGCATAATGTCATAAATGTAATGGACCAATGTGATATCTTGTGGAAGCAAAAAGCGATCAAGGTCTCTCTGAATAAGATTACGACACAAAGTCGGAGAGTTGATAGGCCCCTAGGGTAGGACCGTGAAGGTATATTGCTGGCCTTGCCAGCTGAAGGCAAATTGCTTCTGGTGGGCCTTATGGACAGGAATGGAGAAAAAGGCATTTGCCAAGTCAGCGGCTGCATACCAGGTACCAGGAGATGTGTTAATTTGCTCAAGCAATGAAACCACATCTGGTATAGCAGCTGCAATTGGAGCAACCACCTGGTTAAGCTTTCTATAATTCACAGTCATTCTCTAAGATCCGTCTGTCTTCTGCTCAGGCCAGATGGGAGAGTTGAATGGGGATGTGGTGGGAATCACCACCCCTGCATCATTCAAGTCCTTGATGGTGGCACTAATCTCCACAGTCCCTCCAGGGATGTGATACTGTTTTTGATTTACTATTTTTCTAGGTAGAGGTGGCTCTAATGGCTTCCATTTGGCCTTTCCCACCTTAATAGCCTTCACCCTAACAGGGAGCCAGTGTGGGGGTTCTGCCAGCTGCTAAGTATGTCTGTGCCTATTACGCATTCTGGCACTGGGAAAATGACCACAGGTTGAGTCTGGGGACCCACTGGACCCACTGTAAGTCAGGCCTGAGCTAAAACTCCTGACCTCCATAAGCCCCTACTTTAACTGGAGGACCACAATGATGTTTTGGGTCCCCTGGAATCAGCGTCAGCTCGGAGCCAGTGTCCTGTAGTCCCCGAAATGTCTGATCATTTCCCTTTCCCCAGTGCACAGTTACCCTGGTAAAAAGCCAGAGGTCTCCTTAGGGAAGGATGAGAGAAAGATTAACAGCATAAATTGTCAGTAGTGTAGTGGGGTCCTTCCTCAAGGGACCTGGCCTCCCCTTCATTCAAGGGGTTCTGGGTCTGTAAACTAGCCCAAGTCTGGAAATTGAAGGGCCATGATTCTGTTTTTGTAATTCAAATTAGTCTTTTGTCCATTCGACCTGGAAGTTTTCTGCTTATATAAATTAAATAGGATTGCAGTAGGCTTCCTATCAGTTTCATTTCTGGGAACACTGTGATTAATTAGCCAACGCCAGAGATCTACATGAGTCAGACTATTCTGATTGCTGCTTTGTCTCTGTTGTCCATTATGATAGCTATGCCTACCTTGCCTTTGATGGTTGAGTGCCACCACTTGGCCCCTGCCACCTCGGGATCCAATTATTCCCAATGTATTAAATTTTTGTAGGTGAGTGACTGAAATTCCAACTGCTGGATCTGGCAATTACAGGGCTCTTCAAAGATGCAGGTGCTGCCCTCGCAAATCTATTTTGCAAGCCATTGGTTAAGGTTATGTCTTATGGACCCTCCCAGCTGGGATGAGTAGGTCTAAAGTGACTAATCTACTCCATCATCCCAATCTCCCTAAGCCTTTGGATCCCTTCCTCTACATTAGACCAAGGGAGATCAAGCATTCCCAGCTCACCCATGATGGGCCATCTTTTAATCCATATTTCAGCTAGCCAAGCAAATAAGCTATTGGAACCTTTTTTAACTCCTCAGGCTGCAACATTAAATGCAGGATCCCTAATTAGTGAGCCCAAATCAATAAATTCAGCCTGATGCATCTGTATGTTCCTTCCAGCATTATCCCACACCCTTAATATCCATTCCCGTGCCTGTTCTCCAAATTTCTGCTTATATAAATTAGAAAACTCAATTCAAGTGTAGCTCACCTCCCCATGGGTCACACTCTGAACCTCACTTCTGTGGGCCCATCGGGACTTTAGTTATAGGTCTAGAAGCAAACAAAGGTGTTGAGGGTGCTAGAGGAGAATCGATATTATCTTGCCTGGCAACTGCCTCAGGGGAGGCCATCACTGTTGCCTCAGGCAGCACAGGGTTTATCTCCTCAGACAAAGGTGGAAAGGCTGATGGCAGCATGGGTCGGGGAGAGGATGTTGCCACTATTGGGGATGCCATTTTCCTTTCTCTTTCTTCTGCCTATTAAACCTCCACTCCTAAAAAAAAAAAAAGAAAAAATGATGAACTCAGGGATTCTAACTCCTGGCTTCAGAAGCAGATACTAAGCCTCAAATCTGCTAAGATTGCCCTGAGTGAGTCTTATCTCCTGTAGAGAAAAAGCTGAAATTGTAGAAAAACAGACATAAGCTAGTCATGTGAGTGGCTGACCTGCAACAAAAGGTGCATGCACAGCCTCACCAGGTGTCTACTGTTAAAGTGAGGGCACTGATTGGAAAAGAATGGGACCCTGAAACTTGGAATAGGGATGTGTGGGAGAACCCTGATGAAGCTGGGGACACTGAGCTTGTAAACTCTGATGAACCTTTTTTGCCATCCCCCAAATGCCATCCCAGCGCTTTGGGAGGCCAAGATGGGAGGATCACTTGAGCCTAGAAGTTTGAGACAAAGCCTGGGCAACATAGTGAGACCCTGTCTCTAAAATAAATTGAAAAAAAAAAAAGCCACTCAGTACCCTGTTTTACTCCCCCACCCCACCCCGACCTTTGGGTCTTGTCTTTTTCTTTGTCTTTGTCTCTTGTCTCTTGTGTCTTGTGTCTTGTCTTGTCTTGTCTTGTCTTGTCTTGTCTTGTCTTTTCTCTTTTCCTTTTCTTTCGTTTTCTTTTCTTTTCTTTTTCTGTCTTGCTGTCTTGCCCAGGTTGGAATACAGTGGCACAATCTCGGCTCACTGCCTTTGCCTCCTAGGTTCAAGCAATTCTCATGCCTCAGCCACTTAAGTAGCTGGGACTACAGGTGTGTGCCACCACACCCAGTTCGTTTTTGTATTTTTATTAAAGACGGGATTTTGCCATGTTGGCCAGGCTCGCCTCGAACTCCTGAGCTGAAGTGATCCATCCGCCTCAGCCTCCCAAAGTGCTGGGATTACAGGCGTGAGCCACCACACCCACCCTTTACTTTTTATAATAAAATTTTTTTTATACATTTGTTATATATGTGCTATATATAATTACCATATATGATTTGTTATAAACATTAGTATATAAATGCTGGATTTCTAATTGGATCAAATTATGGACATTGTTTTAATTTACTTATTGTATGTGTATATATATACAACTTATTTATGTGAAGATATTTATATATATAGTTTTTAAGACTAAATAAGGGTGGTATTGTGTTTGCTAGGCCTGGCATTTGTATGGTACATAAGGTTTAAAAGTTCACTTTCTTTTTTCTGCCCCTTGGGTTTGTAGCTGCCTTTTTCTTTTTTTCGTTATTTCTCTCTTTGTGTTTTAGGCTTTTGGCATCCAGAAGTAGTGGATCTTAGTTTCTGTCCCTGGGTAGTAAAAAGAAGCTGGGGAGAGGAAGAGGTTTGATGCCTCCAGGCAGCTGCCTCTCCCTGGTACAGCCTCTGTCCCAAGTGTAATCAGTCCCCCGCTAAATGACTAGTCTCTTACAGGATGGGAAGAGAGAATAAATAACTCAGTTAAGCAGCCCACCAGTGACTTTGGTGTTGGCTTGGTTGATTGGACTTGTATCCCAACACAATCCATCAGAGGAAGTCTCTACTCACTACCTTTTGTGAGGAGCCTCAGCCTTGTATATTACCCCGTAAACCAACCCAGAAACTAGGTGTGTTTATGTTGGAAAAGTAGACTAAGGAGATCAGTCTGTCCCAGAACGGTGCCAGCTGGGGAATTACTGCCCTTGCGTATCTAGACTGTGGCATCTTTAAACACTGGAAGGATCTGAGGAGCACTCCTTTAGGATTCCTACAGCACTTTAGGCCAGAAACCCATGGCAGCAAATGCCAGACGCAGCTGAAGCACAAGGCTGCCAGCATCTCGCAGCCTTCCCCGGGCAGAACTTTCTGTGTGGTACAATCCCTTAGTGAGCTGATCTTCAGCCTTCCCATGAGCGCAGAGTCAGCCTGCTGGGTGCACCAGTTGTATTAATTTGTATCTATGGGCCAAGTGTGGTAGCTCATGCCTGTAGTCCCAGCAGTATGGGAGGCAAGAGGGTTGCTTGAGCCCAGGAGTTTGAGACCAGCCTGAGCAATAAAGTGAGACCCAGCCTCTACAAAAAAAATCAAAAAAATTATCTGGGCGTGGTGGCACATGCCTGTAGTCCCAGCTACTCCTAAGGCTGAGATAGGGAAGATTGCCTGAGCCTGGGAGGTAGAGGCTGCAGTGAGCCATGATCACACCACTGCACTCCAGCCTGGGCGACAGAGTGAGACCCTGTCTCAAAAAAAAGCAAATTTGTACCCATGGGATTTTAATTTATAGCAGTGACTTAGTGATGACACAGAGAGGTTAATAACATTGAAAGAAGAATTCATTATTTACAATTCGTGAAAGAAGAGGGCATATGCTGGGCCTCATGGGGATACAGCTGGAAGCACAGGGGAGGAGAAAGCCTTTAACTGGGTGTGGTATTCTGATACATACTGGTTTTTGTCCACCGTTCCTGATTCATAACCCCTATAGCCCTTTTGTTAAAATGCTGGGTATGTTAGGCCTCAGGGTCAGGCCTCTGACCTCCTGCCCTCCTTTCGCTCTAACGTTCCTCCACCTTTCTGACTGTGGGTCTCATGAGTGGGTCCAACCCTATACCCTGGGAAAGGAATGTTGATGTTTTGAAGCTTCCATAAAGACTCCAAGAGGTCACAGTTGAGTGAGCTTCCAGGTGGTCCCCCCAGGAAGGGCATGGAAGCTCTGTGCCCCTTCCGCCACACCTTGCCCTAGGAGTCTCTTCATCTGTATCCTTTGCAATATTCTTTATAATACACTGGTAAACATGAGTGTTTCCTTGAGTTCCGTGAGCTGCTCCAGCAAATTAGTTGAACCCAAAGAGGGGGTCGCGGGAACCCCAACTCAAAGCCCATTAGTCAGACATTTTGGAGGCCTGGACTTGTGACTGGAGTGCAGGGTGGGGCAGTCTTGTGGACTCAGCCCTCAACCTGTGGGATCCGAAGCTATCCCTGCGTGGATAGTATGGGAACAGAATTAGAGGACACCCCCCACTGGTGTCTGCTGCTTGGAGTTTGGGGAAAACCCCCCACACATTTGGTCATAGAAGTCTTGTTCTGTATTGTCATGGTGTGAGAGTAGAGAAAAAACATGATTAGAGAGAGTTTTCCCTGCGTATTGGGTTTCTTCTGGAAAAGCAAGACAGGGCATGGTAAACAGTTTAGAGCTGGCTAGTTTGAGTAATTTCAGTGAGGTTTGGGGCATAGGGACTATCTCTAGTTGTCTGGCACTTGGCCCTGGGTTGATTTAGGGCAGGGGAAATACTGGCTTGGTATGTGAGAGTTTGTTAAAGAAGTGGTTGGGGGTATGGTTTGGGGTTAGGTGGATTGCACATGAAAGGCATGTGCTTGTTCCCAGGGGAGTTTATTATCCTAGAAATTACCTGTCCCTGAGAGGAGCAGTCTCTCCCAAAGTCTGAAAAGGCTTCAAGATGTTCTGAGCAACGTCAAGAAAATATGACTACTGTATTTTCATCTGACATGAACCTAAACTTACTCGGTTTAGAAGATAAACCTTCATCTATGAAGCTGTCCTTTGAGGGTTTTTTGTTGTTCTTGTTGTTGTTTTTTGTTTTTTAAAGTAGAAGTCCTCTTTTTATGAAATGTTGGTGAGAGTAGATACTATTTGATGTTTCTGTAAATGTCCTTATTTAACTCTATCACAGTAGAACGTTCAGTTTTTTAAATTTTTAATGGTTCATGAAATGCAGAGGTCTGGAATCACTGAACCTGCCCCTCCCCCTGGCTGCTGGTCCCTGAGGATGACCTCCAGCTCACATCTCTGCATCGTCATCACTACCCACCACCCACTCTGTGGTGCTAGTAATTTCCTCCTTAGTGTGGTGTTTGGAAGGGGAGCCCGAACCCTGGTGTCCAGCCCCAGCTCTGCTCTTTAAAAACTGTGTGGCCATGGCCAGGCGCGGTTGCTTACGCCTGTAATCCCAGCACTTTGGGAGGCCGAGGTGAGCAGATCATGAGGTCAGGAGATCGAGACCATCCTGGCTAACACAGTGAAACCCTGTCTCTACTGAAAATCCAAAAAAATTAGCCAGGTGTGGTGGCAGGCGCCTGTAGTCCCAGCTCCTCGGGAGGCTGAGGCAGGAGAATGGTGTGAACCCGGGCTGAGGCAGGAGAATGGCGTGAACCCGGGAGGCGGAGCTTGCAGTGAGCCGAGTTCACACGCCACTGCACTCCAGCCTGGGCGACAGAGCGAGACTCCGTCTCAAAAAAAAAAAAAAAAAACTGTGTGGCCTTGGTCAAATGACTGACCTTGTCTGTTCCTCAGTGTTCTCATTGGTGAGATGAGGATTTACCACATCTGCATCCCAGGGTTGTTACTGGGGTAAAGGGTTATTGATAGGGTTTGGCTCTGTGTCCCCACCCATATCTCACCTTGAATTGTAATAATCCCCATGTGTCGTGGGAGGTAATTGAATCATGGGGACGGGTTTTTCCCATGGTGTTGTCGTGATAGCACATAAGTCTCATGAGATCCGATGGTTTTATAAAGGGGGGTTCCCCTACGCATGCCCTCTTGCCTGCTGCCATGTAAGATGTGCCTTTCTCCGCCTTGTGTCATGATTGTGAGGCCTCCCTAGCCATGTGAAACTGAGTCCCTTAAACCTCTTTCTCTTTATAAATTACCCAGTCTCGGATATGTCTTTATTAGCAGCGTGAGAACAGACTAATAAAGTTATTACGTGAAAAGGGCTCAAAACAGCACCTGGGAGACCACGCTGTGTGCAGGGAGCCATTGCAATCCTGTTGCCATCAGTACTGTTATTGTCATCCTCATCAAGATCACTGTCGTTGGCATACCTGGACCCGGGACTTTCTGGGTAGCGTTGTGGAGCTTTGTGGTTAAACAGCACCGACAGCAGAGATGGCAGGACCTGGGCCTTACTGACTCAGCCATTCACCAGTTCTGTGCTCTTCAGCAAATCACTTTACTTCCTGATCCTGGGTTTCTTTGTCAATAAAATGGTGTTGATCACGATGTGGACTTCCTGGGGATGCTGTGAGAAAATCCTCAGCTGGAATCCTCATTTTTTCTTTAGTCTAGAGGAAGAGCATTATAAAACATTGCTTAGGATGTAAAAAAAATAAGACTTAGATCAATGAAATCACATACCTTGTTTGGAATGAAAAGAGTCAATATTTAATATTTAAATACATCAGTTTTTCTCTAAGATACTCTATCAGTATTCACTTTTGGAATTACATAATGCATTTATGTAATTATGGAAACCTTGGTTTCCAGGTCACATGCCAGCTTTTCATTCCCATGCACAGGAGCAGCTTCACTCCAAGGTCTGGTCTCCATCCTGAAGTCCCAAACTAGATTGAAGGTCTTTATTTCTTTTCACCCACATCCATGTGTCCACTTGCTTTCTCCATAAACAGGGTGTCCTGTTCCCAAAGCTGAGCTGATCTGCCACCTAGAGCATGGGCAGGAGCCATGGACCAGGAAGGAAGACCTCTCCCAAGACACCTGTCCAGGTAGGAGCCAAGATCTGGGCAGGTTGGAGTCCCTTCTGGCTTAAGACTGGATGGAGACCACTGGCCCTGGAATCTCTTGGGAAGCTTCTCATTGTGGCCTCTCTCTATATAACTCTTATATAACTCTATCACACTAGAATGTTCCATTTGAGAGCCATGGAGCCCTTTGACCTGTGTTTTCTCTGTCCTCCTAGCCCCATCACAGTGTCACCATGCCTGGGAAGAAGTGAGATTTAAGAACTAAGATGTGTTCAGGGGTTCCAACTGTGTGGGCCTGAAATGTGGCTTGCCAGTCACCTGCTGTGTGGCCCTGATGAAGTTGCAGGATCTCCTGTCTTTGTATATAACTTCAGCTAAGTTAACAGTAGCTGCTGTATCAGACAGATTCTAAAATCTCAGTGGTTCACATATGAAAACTCTTTCCCACTCATACCAGGGACTGTGTGGGTCAGCGAGGAGCTCTGTACGACACAGTTATTCAGGACCCAGGTTCCTTCTGTCATCAGCCTGTTGCATTAAGATTATCCTAACGTCCTCGAGCTGGCAGAGAATTGAGGGAATAAGGGAAGTTAAACCCACTTCCAGAAATACCAACTCCCCTCACATTCCACCCACAGGAACTAGGCATTTGGCTTGGGTCCATGGGACTGGGAAATGTGGCTGAGCTGCTTGTCCAAGGAGAAGAGCAGAAGGTTTGGTGAGCACCTACTCTCAGTCCACTACATTGAGTCTGTTCCTGAAAAGTGTTATTAGAAATCTTTTTTTTTTTGAGACGGAGTCTCGCTCTGTCACCCAGGCTGGAGTGCAGTGGCACAGTCTCGGCTCACTGCAAGCTCCGCCTCCCGGGTTCACGCCATTCTCCTGCCTCAGCCTCCCGAGTAGCTGGGACTACAGGCGCCCGCCACCACGCCCAGCTAATTTTTTTTTTTTTGTATTTTTAGTAGAGACGGGGTTTCACCGTGGTCTCGATCTCCTGACCTCGTGATCCACCCGCCTCGGCCTCCCAAAGTGCTGGGATTACAAGCGTGAGTCACCGCGCCTGGCCTAGAAATCATTTTTATGTCATTGGGCAGTTTAAAGATGTTATGTGATACATTAATGCATAAAACTGGATAGTTTCTGAGCCATAGTAAGTGACTCATCCGAATGTCATTATTAACCTTAAAGAGTGATGCTATGTTACATTTCCTTCTGAACTCTAGGGAATAGGGCCTTTCTTACTCTCCCAATTTCTCTTTCCACTTATATTCTGCCTATCAGCCTCTCCCACCTTCTCCTTCCACCCATTCCCTGAGTGTCAATCAGACACTAAGAAGCAGTAGTTTGCCCATGTCTTCCTATATCTCCTGTTTTCCAAAAACCTCAGGGTGACATTTGACCTTCTGTGTCCCACACTCAGGCTGCTGAGGGCACTGAGGCCATCTGTCATGTGTGTGGATTGGTGCCACTGCAGAGCCTTGGCCTCTGCCCGCGTGGGTTCCTTGAGCTGCTCATCCAACCCTGAGTGTCTGTGCAGTCCCTGTTCAGCCCTTCAGAGTCTGTTCCAGATTGTCCCCTCCTCAGTGCCACATCTGCACTTGAAAATCTCAAAAGCACAAAACTCAACATGCCTAACAAGGAACCCATGATCTTGCTCACTCCTGCCACCTCCCAAGTTTCTGTGAATGGTTCTGCCATCCAGGCAGATTAGGGGACTGGCCCCAACCTCAGACAAGTCAACCCCTCCACCTCCATGAGTCCCTGCATCCAGCCAAGTAGACAGTTTTTGTCTCCAGGCACAGATGTCTCAGCATGTGAGTGCTGATGTGTTAGCAGGCTTTCAGGTTGAAAAGAAAGTCTCCTGTCTTGTATTGCTTGATCAGCAGCCCTTACATGTTCATCTCAACTTCTCTTTTCCTTACTGGAAGAGGTCTTGCCCCAGTCATGGCCAATTCCTATACCAGGGTCTAGAACACACTTCCTTTCATGGACATCCTTTCTTCATTTATATTCTGCTTGTTTTGTGATTCTCTACTCAACCTAAAAATATGCTTGTTTCTTCTTTTTTCTTTTCTTTTTTTTTTTTTTTTTTTTTAGAGTCTCTCTGTGTAGCCCAGGCTGGAGTGCAGTGGTGCTATCTTGGCTCACTGCAGTCTCTGTGCCTCAGCCTCCCAAGTAGCTGGGATTACAGGTGCATGCCATTACACCCGGCTAATTTTTGTGGGTTTTTTTGTTTGCTCGCTTGTTTGTTTTTTGTTTTGTTTTGTTTTTTGAGATGGAGTTTTGCTGTTGTTGCCCAGGCGGGAGTACAATGGCGCAATCTCGGCTTACTGCAACCTCCGCCTCCCAGGTTCAAGCGATTCTCCTGCCTCAGCCTCCCGAATAGCTGGGATTATAGGTGCATGCCACCACGCCCGGCTTTTTTTGTATTTTTAATAAAAATGGGGTTTCACCATGTTGGCCAGGCTGGTCTCGAACTCCTGACCTCAGGTGATCCACCCGCCTTGGCCTTCCAAAGTGCTGGGATTACAGGTGTGAGCCACTGCGCCTGGCCATATTTTTAGTAGAGACAGGGTTTCACTGTTGTTGCCCAGGCTGGTCTGAAACCCCTGGCCTCAAGCAGTCCATCTGCTTCGGCCTCCCAAAGTGCAGGGATTACAGGCGTAAGCCACTATGCCCAGCCTCGAGTTTCTTACAATTGAAGAAAATAAAACAAATGCTTGTGGCTCATGATATATTTATATATTCATTGATACATTCATTTACTATGTGGGCATTTAATTGTCTAGATTTGGCTGGCACAGTGGCTCACACCATAATCCCAGCACTTTGGGATGCTGAGGTGGGAGGATTACTTGAGCTCAGGAGTTTGAGACCGGCCTGGGAAACATGGTGAGACCCCGTCTCTGCAAAATTAAAAAAATTAGCTGGGCATGGTGGCTCATGCCTGTGGTCCCAGCTATTCAGGAGGCTGAGGTGGGAGGATCTCTTGAGCCCAGGAGGTCGAGGCTGAAGTGATCTTATTCATGCCACTGCACTCCAGCCTGGGTGACAGTGAGCTCCTGTGTCAAAAAAATAAATAAATAAAAATAATTCATGAGAGACCATGAACCAGAGGCAAAAAAAAATTAATAATAATTTTCTATGTTTCATTCACAGAAACAGTGATACTGTGGATATTCATATATGTATTTCATTTTCCACTTGTGGAGGTGCATTTTTTGATCATTCTTGGAGTGAAATTATTGGTTTGTAGGCTATGCAAATGCTCAAGTTTGCAAGATCATTCCCTTTGTTTTCTAAAGAGCTTATGCCAATTTGCACTTAACCAGGAAAGAGAGGTTCCGTTGACCCATATCCTTTCCATTATAAGGCTTATCAATGTTTGCTCATCAAATGGACACAGAATAGTCTCGTGTTCTTGATTTCCCTTTCTTTCACTGCTGTAATGTTTTAGCAACTTACTATGATTTTTGGTTGATTTATATTTTCTTCTGTGAAAATAGAAATCATTTTTTATTTTATGATGAATGCCTATTTCCATTAACCTGTTTTCCTTTCACTGCTTGGTAGGGGTTCTTAGTACATTCTTATCCTTACCTTTTATCACTTATATATGCTGAAAAATATTTTCTAGTTTTTAATTTTGTTCTCTTACTCTCTTTAAAGTATCTTTCTCCAAAAGGTCTTAATTTACTGTAGTCTAACTTATGACTTTTCTTATATAATTAATGATTTTTTTGTCTTGTATAAAAAATGTTGGTTTACCTCAATATTAAAAATATATTTTATTCTAAAAGTTTTAAAACTTGGCATTTGACATTTTTTCAGTGAGGTTGATTTGGAATATATAGTGTGATAGCAATGCAGTTATTTTCGTTCTCCATGTGGCTACCCAATTTTTCTAGCTTCGTTTCCTTAATTTAACAGACCATCAAGTTCCATAGTTAAGTATAGTTGGTATTTTACAGGGAATTATATTGAATTTATATAATTTGGGTCGAATTGTCAGTTCGTATTATTAAATTCTTCATTGATCTAGATCATCTTTATTGTCTTCAAATAAGATTTTATAATTTTCTTCATCTTGATCATGTGTATTTGGGGTTTTTTGTTTGTTTTAAGAGAAAAGGTCTTGCTCTGTTGCCCAAGCTGGGTGCAGTGGCACAGTCATACTTTGCTGCAGTCTTGAATTTTGCGGCTGAAGCAATCCTCCCATGTCAGCCTCCCGAGTAGTTGGGACTACACAGGCTTGCACCACCATGCCTGGCTAATGTGTTTTTAGTTTTGTTTTTAAAAAATTTTTTTTAGAGATGGGAGCTTGCCGTGTTTCTCAGAGTGGTCTAAAACTTCTGGGCTCGAGTAATCTGCTCACCTCGGCCTCCCAAAGCACTAGGATTACAGGCTTTGGGGGGCTGAGGTGAAAAGATGAGCACCATACACAGCAGCCTGGCCATTGGTCATGTGTATGGTGCTAATCTTTTCACCAGGCTGTTCCTCAGGCATACAAGACTCATTGTGTCAAGCCAGGTCCTCTTACCTCTTTCCTTATGAGCCTTCAATTGATATAACATCAGTCATATCACCTTCACTGTCACCCAGCTCGGAATCATGGGAATCAGCCTCCCCTCTGTCCCTGGATTGTCATCAACACCATCCTGCAGTTTCTTTGTACTTTCTGTCTCTTTAGACTACAGTGTCCAGTGTCCTTCCTGCTTTCTCTTTATGGCAACTCTTCTTCACAAGCATAGGACTCACTTCATTGAGCACCTCTTACTGGAAAACTGATTTCTTCCTACCCAGGATTAGCCAAGCTCAAGGTTAAGGACACAGTCCTCTAAGACTACCAGGTCTAACTCTTCCGACACGGACTACAGGTTTGGGTCCCAAAGCCGTTGTCAGGTTCACTAATTAGCTTTAGACTCACAAAATTCTCTAAAACCTGTTTTAGTTACAGTCATGTTTATTACAGACAAAGGGAACAAATTAGAAGTGACACAGAATGTTGGGTTGGAAAGGTTCCCAACACAAAGCCTCAGTGTTTTCAGGAACTCGCTGTGCCCCAGTCTGGCATATGGCAATATGAGCTTAGAATGTTGCCAACCCAGGAAACTCACCAGCTCTTCATTGTCCAGAATTGTACTGAAGCTTCATTACATAACCACAGTTGATTGTCTCATCACCTGTGTGGCTCGGTCTCCAGCGTGCCATCCTTTCCAGAGATTCAGCATTTAAATTATGACATAAGCCCTAACCTTCTAATCACGTGGTTTAGCTTTCTGGAGTGGCCAGACCTTAACCTGAGTCATCTCTTCAGGATAAACTGTGGAGGACTCCATAGTGAGTTCCCCGTTTGCATAAACTGTCAGATAGGGCCATTGGGTCCCACCATAAGTAAAAACATTTTGGAACTACTCAGTGTTTACAGGTTACTTTCCATGACTTCACAGGAAAAGCGTACTTCTCTTTGGGGATTAATTTTTGTTACTCACTTCCTGTCTTCCATGTGGGCTCATTAGGTGCTCCTTCCTCGTGTTCTTGTAGCAACACAGCATGTCCTTGCTTAGTTGCTTACAGGAAGCTTACCATGCACGGTGTCGTCGTTACTCTGTCTACCCAGGTCCAATCTGTAATTGTGAAGGTGGCTCCACGAACAGACGCATTGTCTCCTGACCCAGCCTCTGCCCCTAGGTCTCCCATGCAGAATATCCCGAGTCCAAGGACCAGGATAGAAAGAAATTGCAAACCCAAGAATTTGAGATACAGAAAATAGCAACACAGAGGCAATATTTTTATCTATGGTTTTTCACAGAAATGGTAATATTCTTTTTTCCATGTTGTCCTTTACTAACAGGCCCTTTTGTGTGCTGGATTTCTTTCAGGCGACAAAGGAAAACCTAAGACCACAGAACCTACCACTTGTGAGCCAGCCTTGTCAGAGGGAATCTCACTTCAGGGACAAGTGACACAAGGAAACTCAGTGGACTCACAGTTGGGGCAAGCCGAGGATCAGGATGGGCTATCAGAAATGCAGGAAGGACACTTCAGACCAGGAATAGATCCCCAGGAGAAGTCTCCTGGGAAGATGAGCCCTGAATGTGATGGTTTAGGGACAGCTGATGGTGTGTGTTCAAGGATTGGACAGGAGCAAGTCTCTCCAGGAGATAGAGTCCGTAGCCATAACTCATGTGAGTCAGGTAAAGATCCCATGATTCAGGAAGAGGAAAATAACTTTAAATGCAGTGAATGTGGAAAAGTATTTAACAAGAAACACCTCCTTGCTGGACATGAGAAAATTCACTCTGGAGTTAAGCCCTATGAATGCACAGAATGTGGGAAAACCTTTATTAAGAGCACACATCTCCTGCAACATCACATGATCCACACTGGGGAGAGGCCCTATGAGTGCATGGAGTGTGGAAAGGCCTTCAACCGCAAGTCATACCTTACCCAGCACCAGCGGATTCACAGTGGAGAGAAGCCTTACAAGTGCAATGAATGCGGAAAGGCCTTCACCCACCGCTCCAATTTTGTCTTGCATAACAGGAGACACACTGGAGAAAAATCCTTTGTGTGCACAGAATGTGGCCAAGTCTTTCGACATAGGCCAGGCTTTCTCCGGCACTATGTTGTCCACAGTGGTGAGAATCCCTATGAGTGCTTGGAGTGTGGCAAGGTCTTCAAACACAGGTCATATCTCATGTGGCACCAGCAGACTCATACCGGGGAGAAGCCCTATGAGTGCAGTGAATGTGGGAAGGTCTTCTTGGAGAGTGCAGCCCTGATTCACCACTATGTCATCCACACTGGAGAGAAGCCCTTTGAGTGCCTCGAGTGTGGGAAGGCTTTCAACCACCGATCCTACCTCAAGAGGCACCAGCGGATTCACACTGGGGAGAAGCCCTTCGTGTGCAGTGAATGTGGAAAGGCCTTCACCCACTGCTCTACTTTTATCTTGCATAAAAGGGCCCACACTGGAGAAAAGCCTTTCGAGTGCAAAGAGTGTGGGAAAGCCTTTAGCAATCGGAAGGACCTCATTCGCCACTTCAGCATCCACACTGGAGAGAAGCCCTATGAGTGCGTGGAGTGTGGAAAGGCCTTCACCCGCATGTCGGGCCTCACGAGGCACAAGCGGATTCATAGTGGAGAGAAGCCCTATGAATGTGTTGAGTGTGGGAAATCGTTTTGCTGGAGCACAAACCTCATTCGACATGCCATTATCCACACTGGAGAGAAGCCCTATAAATGTAGTGAATGTGGAAAGGCCTTCAGTCGCAGCTCGTCCCTCACTCAGCATCAAAGGATGCATACTGGGAAAAATCCCATCAGTGTAACAGATGTGGGAAGACCTTTTACAAGTGGACAAACCTCAGTTACCCTTCGAGAACTTCTTTTAGGGAAGGACTTTTTGAATGTAACCACTGAGGCAAATATTTTGCCAGAGGAAACATCTTCCTCTGCATCTGATCAACCATACCAAAGAGAAACCCCACAAGTGTCTTCACTGTGAGAAAACCTTCTGTTGCTGAATATTACTTGTCATCTGAAGAGTCATATTAGAAATTCGTTCAGTCTAGAGCCTTATTCTCCATCTGATAATTTATCCTGGAGAGAGACCCAGTGGTTATTGTGCACATAGGAGAACCTTCAGCTGCATCTTTCTCCTTAGTTTACAGTGCAATTTTATCTCAGGAATTATTTTTAAAAGGAGGAGGGGACATAGAAAAAATGAAATGCAAGCACACATCTTTTCAGGCTTCTCTGCCAAGCCTATGGCGCTTTGTCATGGATTTCTTAGTGTATTTGGGGGAAGGGAAATGTTTCAAGGTAAAGAACCTTGACCCTTTATGTGCTTGTATGTACATTTATTGCTATCCAGTGTCAGAACAGTTAGTTTAGGAAAAGTATGCAAACTTTAATCGCACATCTTCTGTATTCCACAATAGTACTTACTCTTGAGAAGCATAACTTTATGACAACTTAGGGGGCTTGAGCCATGAAATACTCACGTTTAAGTCAGTAAGGATACACATGTTAACATTCAGGCTTTTGTCTTGATGCCCGTCTTTTGGTTTACGTCATCATTGTAGCCATATGGTAAATTTTTATTTGTTAAATTTTTAAAAATTACTTAGCTCAAAATGTCAGTGGTAAATTTTTAAATTGAGTAAAGTGATTCTTCTTTGCTCTTATTTAAAATCGACAGCATTTCTAGTTCCTTTGACATTCCATATAATTTTTAGGATTAGTTTGTACTTATTTACAAAACAGTCTTGTTCAGATTTTTACAGAAATTGAGTTAAGTCTGTGGATTAATCTGTTAAGAATTGGTATCTTTACTATGTTGGGTCTTGTAGTTCATGAGTGCAGGAGTAGGCCTCTTAATTTATAATAGTTAAGCATTCCTTAAAGTATTTCATTAATGTTAAAAATTTTCAGCGTATAGATCCCTATGCATTTTTGTTAGAATTTGCATCCTAGGGTGCTTTTTTGTTTGTGTGTGTGTGTAATTTGAGTGATTGTAAATGGCATTGATGTTTGAACTTTGAATTGCACACAATTTTTGGTAGTATACAGAAATATAATATTTTTGGACATTGTTTTGCTACCCTGCAACCTTATTGAGTTCACTTATTATTTTTAGCTATTTCTTTCGACAGAATCCTTGGAATTTTCTATATAGAAATGTCATCTGCAAATACAGACCATTTTTTATCTTTCATCTTACCTGTAATATACCTTTTATTTCCTTTTTGTTTGTCTTATTGCATTGCACAAGCTGGGACTTCCATTATAGCGTTGAATAGGAATAGTGAGAAAGGCCATCCTTACCTGGTTCCTGATAGTAGGGGGGACAATGTTCAGTTTTTTGTTTTTTTGTTTTTTGTTTGAGACAGGGTCTCGCTCTGTCACCCAGGCTGGAGTGCAGTGGCACGATCTTGTCTCACCATAGCCTTAAGTTCCTGGGCTCAAGTGATCCCCCCACCTCAGCCCTCACCACCCCCCAGTAGCTGGTACTACAAGCATGCACCACCAGTCCCAGCTAATTTTTGTATTTTTTGGTAGAGACAGGGTTTCACCATGGTGCCCAGGCTGGTCTTGAACTCCTGGGCTCAAGCAACCTGCTTGCCTGGGTCTCCCAAAGTGCTGGGATTACAGGCGTGAGCCACAGTGCACAGCATGTTCAGTTTTTCATCATGAAGTATAATGTAAGTTTTATAAAACATATGTCCTCTATAAGGGTAAAAAATTTCCTCTGTTCCCAGTTTTCTGAGACTCTGTGTTGCTATGAATAAGTGTGGAATTTTGTTCAGTACTTTTTCTCCACCAGTTGATGTCATTATGCTATTTTCCTTCTACATCCTATTGATGGAATGTATTGCTTTGATCAAGTTTTGAATATTGAGCCAGCCTTGCATCCTTAGAATAAACCATACTTGTTTGTAGAGTATAATTGTTTTTATATATCATTTGACATCATTCCCTTTGTTTGTATTTTGTTGAGGAAATATTCCTCTAATTTATTGGCTAATAATGTGTAGTTCTTTTTTCTTTTGTTTCTTATGTTCTAAATGTCTTATGTGTGGTTTTGATGTCTAGGTGATCTTGACCTTTCAACATGAATTGGAAGGAGTTCTCTTCTAATTTTTGGAAGACTGTGTAGAATTGGTGTTATTTGTTCTTGTCATGTTTGATGACCTCTAGTCAACCATTGGGCCAGAGATTTTTCTTCTGGAGGCTTTTAAATTACATATTTATTTTATTGGATAGGTAGAACTATTCGAAGTATCTATTTCTTGTGTAATAAATTTTGATAGTCTGTCCTGTTGAAGGAATATTTCATCTGTATTTGTAGCACTCCCTTATTCTTTTGATAGCAGGATCTGCACTTCTTTTTATTTTTAATATTTAAAATGTGCATACTCATTTTATGATTGAGTCTTCTTAGACATTTATCAGTTTTATTGCGCATCATGCTGAAAGATGTAATTTTTGCTTCATCTCTCACTTCAGAGAACTAGCACTTTATATTAATGATTTGTCTCTATTCTTGATTTCTTTGATTTCTGCTCTGATCGGTATTATATTCCACTTGCTTTGGTTGTATTTGGCTCTTTCTAACTTTTCAAGGTGGGGTTTTAGATTATTGATTTGAGATTTTTTTGCTTTTTTAATGTAAGCATTACATTGTATAAATTTACCTCATATCACTATTGGTTTGATCCCACAAGTTTTAATGTTTTCATTACATTTTAATTCTAATAGTTTTTATTTTTTGAGACATTCTCTCTTAGCCATGAATTATTTAATAGTATGCTTAATTTTCTGGTGTTTGGCATATTTGTTACTGATTTCTAATTTGTTCCATGTTTGATCTGACTGTTTAAATGTGTTAACATTTTTTTATGACCCAGGATAGGGTCTATCTTGTTTCGTATAGCTGCTTGAAAAGAATGGGTGTTCTGCTGTTACTGGGTGGAGTTTCTATAAATGTCTCTATGATCCTGCTCATTGTTATTCAAGTCAGCTATGTCCTTGCTGATTTTCTGTCCAGCATTTCTGTCAGTTGCTGAGAGGGGTGTTGAAGTCCTGAACATAGGCCGGGTGCAGTGGCTCACGCCTGTAATCCTAGCACTTTGAGACCACTAAGGCAGGTGGATCACCTGAGGCCAGGAGTTCGAGACCAGCCTGGCCAACATGGCAAAACCCTGTCTACTAAAAATACAAAAATTAGCCAGGCATGGTGGCGTGTGCCTGTAATCCCAGCTGCTGGGGGGCTGAGGCAGGAGGATCAGTTGAACGTGGGAGGCAGAGGTTGCAGTGAGCTGAGATCTCACCACTGCACTCCAGCCTGGGCAACAGAGCGAGACTCTGTCTCAACAACAACAACAAAAAGTCCTGAACATGATTGTGGAAGTGTGTTGCTCTTTCAAGTTCTATCACTTTTTGTTTGCAAAGTTCAAAGCTGTATTGTTTGGTACATATACATGTAGGTTTGCCAAGTCTTTGTGGTGAATTGACTCTTCTGTCATTATGTGATGTCATTTTTTTGCCTTTTAATAGTCTTGTCAATACTTTACCTGATGTTCTCATAGTGACTCCTGCATATTTTGATTAATGTTTGCATGGTTAATATTTCTTCATTTTATTTTAAAGCTTACCTGTATCATTACTTATGAAGTCAGTTTCTTTGAACAGCATATACTCAGGCCATGCTTTTTTTATTCATTCTGCATATGTCTCTCTTAATTGGTATGTTGAAATGATTTACATTAAAATAATTATTGATATTTTAGGGCTTAAGTGTGCCCTTAAATGATTTTTGTGTTCTTTTTTATTGTTCCTCTGTTATTTGGGGTTGTTTACTAGTCTTCCTATAGGTTACTTCACCTTTTTTTTTTTTAATAATTTGATTTGATACATATGTAGTGTTTTTTAGTATAGATCCTCCTTGACTTATGATGGGGTTATGTCACAATAAACCCATTGCAAGTTGAAAATACTATGTCAAATATGCATTTAATACACCTACCCTGCTGAACATCATAGCCGATCTTGCCTTCAGAATGCTCAGAAAATTTACATTAGCCTGCAGTTGGGCAAAATCATCTAACACAAGGCCTACTTTATAATAAAGTTACTGCAAAGAATTTTAAATAAAAATTCAAGTGTGGTTTCTACTGAATGCATGTCGCATTCGCACCATTGTAAAGTCAAGTAGTAAGTCGAACCATCCTAAGTCAGGGACTGTCTGTATATATCTGCATTTTTTAGTGATTGTTCTACTATTACAGTGTAAATATATAACTTATGACAGTTTAATAAGTTATCAGCAATTTAGCACTTTACTTCCATTAGGTTCCTTTAGCTTACCTACTAATGTAACTATCTTAAGTAATAGTAATTCCTCTTCAAAAATTGAGCGCTATGTTGCAAGATGTAATTTTTCTTTTCCTTTTTTTTGAGACCAAGTCTCACTCTGTCACCCACGCTGGAGTGCTGTGATGCGATCTCGGCTCTCTGCAACCTCTGCCTCCCGGGTTCAAGCAATTAACTGCCTCAGCTTCCCTAGTAATGGATTACAGGCGCCCGCCACCACGCCTGGCTAATTTTTGTATTTTTAGTAGAGACGGGGTTTCACCATCTTGGCCAGGTTGGTCTTGAACTCTTGACCTCATGATCCACCCGCCTCGGCCCCCCAAAGTGCTGGGGTTACAGGTGTGAGCCACTGCACCCGGCCACAAGATGTAATTTTTACTTTATCTCTCACACGTATTTTACAAAACGTCATGAGAAACATTGTCTCTTGACCTTTTTTTTTTTTTTTTTTTTTTAAAGAGACAGAGTCTCACTCTGTCACCCAGGCTGGAGTGCAGTGGCACGATCTTGGCTCACTGCAACCTCCGCCTCCTGGGTTCAAGCGATTCTCCTGCCTCAGCCTCCTGAGTAGCTGGGATTACAGGTGTGCGCCGCCACACCCAGCTAATTTTGTATTTTTAGTAGAGACGGGGTTTCACCATGTTGCTCAGGCTGGTCTCAAACTCCTGACCTTGTGATCCGCCAACCTTGGCCTGTCGACCTCTTTACCCATTCCATTGTTCATTCTTCTTTCTTGAAATCCCAAACCTTCTATTAACATTTCTTTTCAGTTATACACTGAACTTTACTGTAGCCTTTCTTCTAGAGTAACAAATGTTCTTTGTTTTCCTTCCTCTAAAGATGTCTTTATGTTTCCTTCATTCCCAAAGAATATTTTTGTGGAATATAAGATTCAGAGTTGGCAGTTGTTTTCTTTTAGACTTCAGAGATGTATCTCTCTGTTCTGTACATTATTGTTTAATATAAGAAACCTACTAGCATTCAAATAATCATTCCCTATTTTACAATGCATCAGTTCTGTCAAGCTTCATTCAAAGTGTTTTTCATTGTCTCTAGTGTTCAGAAGTTTGGCTGTGATGTGCGTGGCATGGAAGTTTTTGGGTGTATTCTATTTGGCGCTCCCTGGTGCTTGCCCAGCTTTTTGATCTGTAGGATTATGCCTTTTGCAAAATTTGGGGAACTTTCAACTATTATTTCTTCAAATATTTTTTCACCCCCCAGTCTTGTCTTTTTTAGGGACTTCAATAACATGAGTGGCAGATCTTGTTTTACACTCCCATGGGTCCTTCAGGCTCTCATCTTTTTTCTTTTTCCAGTCTATTTTCTGTCTTGTTAATATTGATTAATTTTTATTGACCTTCCATGGTCCTCACTGATTGTTTTCTTTGTCATACCTAATCTGTTGAGTTTGTGCAGTGAGTTTTCATTTTGGTTTTGTATTTTCCAGTTGTTTAATTTCCATTGGGTGGGTTCTTTTGTACACCTTCTGTTTCTTTGCTTATTTTTTAACGCCAAAGAAAGACTCTCAGAGAATAGACAACTATATTCCAAAGTCATGGTTCTCTGGTGGTTTGTCTTGACATTTGAATAGAAATGTTAAACTATCTGGGGGAATAGAAAGCCCACAGTCTTCTGAGTTGTGCTACACCAATATTTCTATGAACAGATCTTACAACTGAGAGTGATCTGCAGATTTTTCAGAGTCATGTTCTCCATGGAATGTTTGTAAAATTCCCTAGCTCTCTGCACTGAGCTGAGATCGTGCCACTGCACTCCAGCCTGGGCAACAGAGCGAGACTCCATCTCAAAAAAAAAAAAAATTCTCTAGCTCTCTATGCCTTGTTGTATCCTCAGGAAGGAGTCACCTCTCTTCCAGGATCACTCTTGCCTTTTGTTATTGGACACATTTTCCTACCTCCTGCCCAGTCTTTTTTAGGCTCTCTGTCATACTTCCTCGCCTAGTCTTTAACTTGTCTCTGATAACCAGATTTTTCCCCCATAATCTGTATCTGTATTCAAGTCTCTATCCTCATCCCCAAATGGATTTCACCCCGCTTGTCCATCAGTCTCTGCCCATTTCTTCTGTCTCCCACAGACATGGTCTGTGTAGTTGTTCTGCACACTACCCGTCCTCGCCCCTTCTCATTTCCCTCACTCCACGGACAGCTACAGGAGGGCTTCCATCATTTGTCCTCTTACTTCCTTGTTAGAACTTTGTGCTGCTGACCACCACTCTGAACCAAAACTTCTTTCTTGGTTCTTGAAAGTTGCTGTCTTTCTCCTCCAGAGGGTCTGTGTCTTCCTTCCAACTCTTAAACATTTTTGTTTCCCAGAATCCATCATTGGCCATTGCTTTTTCACTTGCCATGAGCTCTGTGAATGAGATGGTTCCTGCTGAAGACATTTACTTTCAATGATCTACAGAATTTCCCAAATCTATGTCTCCAGACTGGATGTTTCTCACGTCTGTGGCCCACTGGGCATCTTCTGCACTTTCTCTGCATTTGTAAACACTGAGCCTGTATGCGTGTCTATGTGGCCATGGCCCTGGCCGTGGGGATGCACCCATAATTATAATGAGAGCAGGTGAATGTCATGTGGCTATGTATGAGACATTGTTGTGAATGTTTTACATGCATCAGCTCTTTCAACATTTACAGCATCTGTGTGTGGTAGGTAATGTTGTTTCCTTCATTTTGCAGAGCAGAATATAGATAGGCTCAGGTTAAGAATTTGCCCAAGGTTACACAGTTATGAAGTTTGGATTTAGGAATGGGAGGCCACGTAGACTGGCTTCAGAATTCATGTCTTTAACCACTTTATTGCTTCTCATGTTGGGGGGTTTGTTTTCTGGTCACTATTTTTACTAAAGTTGATTCAACAATGCTATAATCTGTTACTCTCATTCGACAATACATCTTGACTGTTTCTTCAACTTGAGGAAGGTAAACCAAAGCCACTCTTTAATGGGTGCAAATATCTGTTGTAACTATGTAGAAGATACAGTGTCTGGGTTTGAGGACAGGGGAGTGGGAAAACTGAGTAGGGAAGCGGTAAGACATGCATCTGGCTTTAGGAGTGTTTGAAGTGCCTAAAGATCAGGGTGAATTTCCCAAATTTGAATCTTGTTGCCCAAGCCACATTGCAACCACCTCTTTTTCTCTTACCTCGTCCCCACATCCAGGCACTGCCCCATTCTGTTCATTCCACCTTTTTTTTTAGTAGACCCTCCATATATGTGTGTGTTTTGGTGAATGGCCACACACAGCAAAGTTATTTTTATTGCAATTTTGTTGTTGTTGTTTGAGACACAGAGTCTCATACTCTGCCACCCAGACTGAAGTGCAGTGGTGCGATCTCAGTTCACTGCAACCTCCATCCCCCCATGTTCAAGCAATTCTCCTGCCTCAGCCTCCCAAGTAGCTGGGATTACAGGCATGGGCCACCATGCCCGGCTAATTTTTGTATTTTTTGTAGACACGGGGTTTCACCATGTTGGCCAGGCTGGTCTCACACTCCTGACCTCAGGTGATCCACCCGCCTCGGCCTCCCGAAGTGCTGGCATTACAGGCATGAGCCACCACACCCAGCCTTTATTGCAATTTTTGGTTCCCTCACAGAATGTTTACCATGAAGCTGTGCGTATAGGTGGTACCATGTATGACATACCTTGACCTCAAAGATAATCTACCTGGGCTTTTTTTGTTTGTTTGTTTTGAGATGGAGTCTCACTCTGTCACCCATGCTGGTGTGCAGTGGCGTGATCTTGGCTCACAGCAGCCTCTGCCTCCCGGGTTCAAGCGATTCTCCTGCCTCAGCCTCCTGAGTAGCTGGGACTACAGGTGCCTGCGACCACACCCAGCTAATTTTTGTATTTTTAGTAGTAGTGGGATTTCACCATGTTGGCCAGGATGGCCTCCACCTCCTGACTTCATGATCCACCCGCCTCGGCCTCCCAAAGTGCTGGGATTACAGGCGTGAGCCACCGCACCTGGCCTACCTGGGCTTTTTTGGACAGATGTACATGATTTTAGAAATTGTTATGAATGACTGTCTTGGGATCCTCAAGAACACCCCCAGGTTTGACGATTTGCTGAGAAGACTCAGGTCTCAGCATTCTGTCATACTCAACAGCTATGATTTACTGCAGCAAAAAAATACAAAGCAAATAGTAAAGGGAAAAAGCCAAAATTCAGAGAAAACCAGGCACAATCTTCTGAGTCTTGTTTCAGTGAAGTCACAGGATGTGCCTTATTTAAGTTCCATCTGGTACTTATGACAACACATGCTATATGTCCACTGGGAAGCTTATTAGAGACTCAGTGCCAGGGTTTTTATTGGGCATGTTTTCTAGCACATCCCACAATTCTGGACTTCCAGAAGGTTAGCAGGGGTTCAGCTTTTCAGCTGAAAACGTTATCCCCCTTTCAGCTGGGGGGAAAAAAAGGCACCGAAAAACAGGGCAGTGAGCTACTCCTGTTTTGGGTGGGTGGAGCAGTAGTAAGCCTCCCAAAATCTAAGGTCCCACACTCCAGCAAGGGTGAACCTTGCAAACTCAAAAGGATAGCAGTCTCCAACCTGCTGTTTTATACAGTGACTTAAGTGGTACTAAAATGCTATATAAGTCAAATTTACGTAACATTAAGCAAATAATTTTTTTTCAGCAAAAAAATAATGGTCATGACTTTGTGGTGAAGGCTTATGTAATGATTGTAATAAATTCAGGTGGCTCACGCCTGTGATACCAGCACTTTTGGGAGGCTGAGGCGGGTGGATCACTTGAGGTCAGGAGTTTGAGACCAGCCTAGCCAACATGGTGAAATCCCATCTCTACAAAAATGAAAAATTAGCCGGGCGTAGTGGTACATGCATTTAGTCCTAGCTACTTGGGAGGCTGAGGCAGGAAAATCGCTTGAACCTGGGAGGCAGAGGTTGCAGTGAGCCGAGATCATGCCACTGCACTCCAGCCTGGGTGACAGAGTGAGACTGTGTCTCAAAAAAAAAAAAAAAAAAAAAATGCCTCAGTTTTGTTAAGAGGAAAAAGCAAATCCTAAGTTACAGTGGAACTTATGAACACCCTAGCCTAGAGATTTAATTTAGTGATGAAAAGGTACAGAGAGAGTCTTTCAAGAAAGGACCTAGTCTGCTCGCGTTCTCTCTCTCTCTCTCTCTATATATATATATGTATATGTGTGTGTACATATGGACCACTTCAAGCTACACACACACACACACATATACACGTGTATGAATATATATATATGGCTATAAGTGGTGCGACTTGCAGGTACTCCCTTTGTTCACCTTTGTAAAGATGTTATTGCCAGTTCAGTGTGTATTTCTATAGTATATATGTAAACAATTTGTCATCCTTTTGTTGCTGCTTTTGAAACTAGTTCATGGCTTCAGTGGGGGAGAGATTTAAATAATATGGGTTTATAATTTCTGCATTATTAAATGCAGATAACTTGTGATTAAAGAGTATGTTATTGGAATCATGTTTGCCTGAGTTTTACTTTGGAGGAGTTGAACAGCTGACTCCAGCCGAGAGGTCCCCTACAGAGACGGGATGTTGGAGACCCACGGGAATCTGGCTTGTGGGAATTGCACAGCACCCTTTTTATCATACCGCAGCATGGCCTTTCCTGTCTCGATTGTGGGAAGCTGGAGTGCCTCTGCAATGTTCAGTAGTGTGCTTGGGTTTTGAGGGTCAAAGATTTTTAATCTTTGCCACAGGCATGTTACACATCTTAAAATTGTGTGGTCTCAACTGAACTGCTCCAAGGAGAAGAAACACTGCCTTGGGCGCCCAGTGTTGGATTACAGGTGTGAGCCACCACACCCAGGCTGTATTGCCACTTTCGAGCGAAGAAATGGGCAAGGCAGAATAAACAAGTTATGAATTGGCTAGTCTGAATAATTTCAGGGAGCTCCAGAGTATATAGACTGCTTTTAGCTAGTAACTAGTACTGGGGTACTAGTTCCCAGCTAAAAGTAACTGAGTAAGAAGGGGGATAGTAGCTCCACATGTGAGAACTTGCCAAAGACAGTTGAGGGGTAGGGCTGTGGAATGGCTGGTTTGCATGTGACAGGCAAGATAGCGGAGGAGAAATACCCTCTTGAGTAAGGGTTACGAGCCATGGGCCTTGTGTTGACTGGCCAGGTGACTTTAATGAAATTTTGTCACCCAGGCTGGAGTGCAGTGGCACATTCATAGCTCACTGCAGCCTCAATCTCTCGGGCTCAGGTGATCCTCCCGCCTCAACTTCCTGAGTAGCTGGGATTACAGGTGCTTGCCACCATGCCCAGCTGATTCTTTTTTTTTTTTTTTAAATCTAGAGATGAGATATCTGTGTTCGAAACCCAGTCTGGTGTCGAACTCCTGAGATCAAGTGGTCCTCCTGCCTCAGCCTCCCAAAGTGCTGGGATTACAGGCATGAGCTACTTTGCCTGGCTCAGCATGTGTTTTTATTCTGATATTTTGACAAATGAGACCTTGCTGATCCTGGAGACACTGCTCCTCTTAGAGGTAGCAAAAGTCTCCTCCGCTTTTGCTAAGTTATGAATTGCTAAGCCAATTCATAACTTGTTTATTCTGCCTTACCCATTTCTTCACTCGAAAATGGCAATACAGCCCGGGTGTGGTAGCTCACACCTGTAATCCAACACTGGGCGCCCAAGGCAGGAGGCTCACTTGAGGCCAGGAGTTTGAGACCAGCTTGAGCAACATAGCCAGACCCCATCTCTACAAAAAAAAAAAAAAAAAAAAAATTCACGGGGCACAATAGTGCACACCTCTAGTTGCAGCTACTTGGAGGCTAAGATAGGAGTGTTACTTGAGCCTGGGAGTTTGAGGCTGCAGTAAGCTGTGACTGAGCCACTGCACCTCAGCCTGGACAACAGAGCAAGACCCTGGCTCTTTAAAAATAAAATGAAGAAATGATAACACAGGCTTTACCCACACTTTCCCCTTCCTCCTGTCTCCTAACCAACCGTGAGTCTTCCCTGTTTAGCCCTGTGTGGCTTCATATACCCCCTCTTCATGGGAACTATGAGTTACACACTCATCAGTGGCAGTCTTCTGATCTGTTGGCATCGTCAACGCTAAATAATAAAATCTACATTTTAAAAAACCTACCTGAAAGCACTCATGAATTTCAAGAATTTAGCAAAGCAAATCAGCCATTTCCATGTCATTTCCAAAGAACTGTGTCAGTGCACCAAGCCAAATGTGATACTTAGGTTGGAACTCAGTGGACAGCCATGGAAGGAGGAGGGGGTCAATGCCAAAGAGGGGCTCTCCAGATGCATTGGTAGGACCCAGGCGTTTGAGGGACCATTGTGTTAGCAAAATCTCAACCATCTGAGGGGTTGGGGTTTTTAGGAAGGTAGCTCCTGATGCCCTTCTCATAGCCCGACACTCAAGAAAGCTCAAGCACAACTAATTGAGGGCCCCAAATACACAACACCTTCCGATATCATTCTCCCCGGGCCACTTCTTAATGTTTGCAAGTTTGAAGGAAGAATGCCATCTCCCGGCCCGACCACATGGTGTTTTCTTGATTATCCTCCCTTTCATGGGCATCCTCCCTCCTTTCTTAAGCCTTTAGCCATTTGTAGCTGTGTGGTCTTTCAACATCTCTGTACTCTTGTTCTTCCTAGTTCCATGTCCTGGCTCTCAGGTATAAGAACTCACATATGTTCAAAGTGTGTCTCTTGATCTTTGAAATTAGGCTTCAGCAGTGACAGTAATCTTTTTTCATCTCAGTTTCTTGACTTTTGGCATACATGTCATTTCAGCCACCTACAAGCCTATTTTCCATCTGCATGTTCTTTTGCTGTGTGTGTGTGTGTGTGTGTGTGTGTGTTTGACATAGGATCTTAGGCTGGGCGCGGTGGCTCACACCTGTAATCCCAGCACTTTGGGAGGTCGAGGCAGGTGGATCACTTGAGATTAGGAGTTTGAGACCAGCCTTGCCAACATGGAGAAACCCCGTCTCTACTAAAAATACAAAAAATTAGCTGAGTGTGGTGGTGCATGCCTGTAATCCCAGCTACTCGGGAGGCTGAGGCAGGAGAAATGCTTGAACCCGGGAGGTAGAGGCTGCGGTGAACCAAGATTGCGCCATTGCACTCCAGCCTGGGCAACAAGAGTGAAACTCCATCTCAAAAAACAAAAAACAAAAAAAAAATAGGGTCTTCTGATCATGGCTCACTGCAGGCTCAGCCTCCCAAGTATCTGAGACTACAGGTGCACATCACTATGCCCAGCTAATTTTTAAATTTTTTGTAGAGATGGGGGTCTCCCTGTGTTGCCCAGGCTGGTTTCAAACTCCTGGGCTCAAGCAGTCCTCCTCCCCTGGCCCCCAAAGTGCTGGGGTTACAGGCATGAGCCACCGTGCCTGGTCTTCATCTGCATGTTCTTTTGTCATTTTCAAACCCTTTCTGAATTATCCTCACACTTCTTGAGTATCAGACATCACCAGTCTGATCTTCCATATGTCCCTATGTCTGTATGGGCTTCTCCAGCTTTGAGTTCTTTGTCTTTTCCTCACTCTCTTCCTCTAATGGAGGAGCCTCTTGGGGCTCATGTCACGCTCCCATTACCTCTTCCTTGTGTTATTTCTCTCCACGTCCCGCAACTCCCCTCTCCTTGTAAACTCCCCGGCTACAGCACCACGCTTTTTACCACTCTGGTGAAGGTCAGCAGTGGCTCCCTGTTTATGAATCCTAAGTCCTTGTCTTTTCTGGGCTATGGACAGGACTTGAAACTGTTGTTGTCCAGTCCTTTCTCCAGATGTACTCTTGGATTCTGTAAGGTTATGCTTCTGGTTTTCTCCCCTGCACCCTCTCACTCCTTTTCCCCTTTCATGTTGGTGCATCCACGTGTATCCAGCCATTTGGTGTTGAATTTTTTTTCTTTTTTTTTTCTCTTTGAGACAGAGTCTTGCTCTGTCTCCGGGCTGAAGTGCAATGGCATGATCTCGGCTCACTGCATCCTCCGCCTCCCAGGTTCAAGTGATTCTCCCGCCTCTGCCCCCTGAGTAGCTGGCATTACAGGCATCTGCCATTATGCCCGGCTAATTTTTGTATTTTTGTAGAGACGGGGTTTCACCATGTTGGCCAGGCTGGTCTTTAACTCCTGACCTCAGGTGATCCGCCTGCCTTGGCCTCCTAAAGGGCTGGGCTTACAGGCATGAGCCACCGTGCCTGACCGGTGTTGAAATTTCTAAGGCTTTGTCCCAGGCCTCTTTTTTCTCTTACTGGTCTCTCCCCAGGCCTCATCTGCACTCTTGGGTTCAGCTACCTACTTTAGTGAACATACCCTAAAACGTATTTCCCCAACCCTCATCTCATACAAGTCTTACTGCTCTCCTTTCACTCCATGCTTCCCTTTCCTTTTCCCACTCGAGATGGAGCTTCCACCACCTGCTTTGCCCAGTTAGCAAATGTGTATCCTTCATTTTGTCCCAGAGAGCACACCTTCACAGAAGCCCACTAGAGCACCCAGCTAGCTCATACCCATTCTTTCATGATTATCTATTGATTTGTTTGGTTATTGAATAATGACCGTATCCTGAACTCAATTTCCAGCTTCGAAAAAGCACAGACCTTGATCTAGATTTTCTCCTAATGTTCCATGTGCATAGTTTGTAGTCAATAGTATGTATTCAGATATTTGTTAGGTGAATGAGCCTTAATCATTTTTGACATTTTAGGTTATGTGACATTCTCTCCCCAGTACCACCTCAGGCTCGATGATTTGCCTGAAAGTCAAAATTCAGAAAAGAAAGTCACACACAACTCAGAAAAGCTGTTGTACTCATGGTTACAGTTTATTACCACAAAAGGATAGAGACCAAGATCACCAAAGGTAAAAGGCACATAGGAGGAAATCTGTGAGAAACCAGGCACAATTTTTTTTCTTTTTTCTTTTTCTTTTTTTTTTTTTTTTTTTTTGAGATGGAGTCTCGCTGTGTCACCCAGGCTGGAGTGCAATGGCACAATCTCGGCTCACTGCAACCTCTGCCTCCCAGGTTCAGGTGATCCTCTGCCTCAGCCTCCCAAGTAGCTGGGATTACAGGCATGTGCCACCACACTGGCTGATTTTTGTGTTTTTAGCAGAGATGGGGTTACACCATGTTGGCCAGGCCAGTCTGGAACTCCTGACTTCAAGTGATCCACCCGCCTTGGCCTCCCAAAGTGCTGGGATTACGGGTGGAAGCCACTGTGTCCAGCACAGGCACAAACTTAGCAGGTGTTCCCTCCCAGTGCAGTTGCACAAGGGCACACTGAATTCTCCCAGCAAAGTTGTGTGCAACACATTCACAGTATTGCCAGCCAGGGAAGCTCCCCCAAGCCTTGACGTCTAGAGTTTTCGTTAAGGGTCATTGAGGTAGGAATGCAGAACCCACATGAATAACCATAAATATCCAGTCTACAACCCTTGCAGAAAACAAACATATAGCATGGCCCAGGGCCTCATGCATGCAAAAGCCAGCATCCACCATGAATCATATTGTTAGCATAAATTATCTGGTCAAACGTGCAGCAGGACCTACTTATGGTTTTCGACATAAAAATCTTACCAGGCAAGATACCCCAAGAGGTTGTTTTCCTGAAGTTGGCCCTAATTCATTCTAGGGTCAGATATCAGATAGCTGCGGACAGTGCCTGTGTCCTAAAACCTGCCAACATTATTCACAGTAGCAAATCCTATTCTGTTTATGCTGCCCCTGCCCTGCCTTGCCTTGCCTTTCTGGTGGAAAACACAGCGCAGGCTCTGGGCCTTGCTTTCTCCTCTGCTGCTGCTTTCTAACCTGCTCTGGTGCTTCCACCCGCATGGTGTGCTCTGCCTCCTGTTTCTAGGGATCTCTTACTATAAACTTCCTCCATAATAATCACTTCTGTATCTGATTGTCACACCCTGCCTGACTAAATACAATCCCAGGTATATTCTAGAATACACAGGGAGCCTATTACAACATCCTTGGGCCAGGCGCAGTGGCTCGCGCCTGTAATCCCAGCACTTTGGGAGGCTGAGGCAGGACTGCTTGAGCCCAGGAGTTCAAGACCAGCCTGGGAAATATAGTGAGACCCCATCTTTAAAAAGAATAAATTTTTAAAAATTGGCTGGATGTGGTGGCATGCACCTGTGGTCCCAGCTACTTGGCAGGCTTAGGTGGAAGAATTGCTTAAGCCTGGGAGTTCGAGGCTGTAGTGGGCCATGATGGTGTCACTGCACTCCAGCCTGGGTGGAAGAGTGAGACTTTGTCTCAAAACTAAAAATAAAAATATGACCTCCTTACTGTGGCCTCCAGGACACTACAGAATTCACGTCCATCTATCTCTGTGATTCAGTTTATCTTCAGCTGCAGCCATACTAACCTTGTTGCACTTCCCCAAACACGACAGGATCCTCCTGCTTTCATTCCCTTGTCTTAGGTGCTCTCTCTATGAGACCCTGTTACCTCAGATGCTCCATTCCTCCAAGTCCATGCTCAGATATAACTGTCTTTTAGACATTTCCCAACTACTCTACCTCCCTCTAACCTTCTATATTGTTTACTTTTGTGGTTGTGGTTGTTCTTTTTGAGTTACTGATTGTTGGAATTAAAAGGTCCCCGAGGGCCAGGGACAGTGGCTCACGCCTGTAATCCCAGCAATTTGGGAGACTGAGGTGGGTAGATCATCTGTGGTCAGGAGTTCGACACCAGCCTGGCCAAAATGGTGAAACCCTGTCTCTACTAAAAATACCAAAATTAGCCGGGCGTGGTGGTGTGCACCTGTAGTCCCAGCTACTTGGGAGTCTGAGGCAGGAGAATTGGTTGAACCTGGGAGGCAGAGGTTGCAGTGAGCCGAGATCGCACCACTGCACTCCAGCCTGGGCGACAGAGTGAAACTGCATCTCAAAAAAAAAAAAAAATTCCTCAAGTACAGGAATGCATAATTATTTTGCTATGTACATATCTGATTTTTTAGAGCAGTGCCTGTTGCAAGATAGGCACTCAATCGATACTCATTAAATTAACAATATACACATATATAAAACAGCACTTTCACATGGTTATGAGTGACCTAAGGAAAAACAGAACAGGATGACGTTGTAGTGGGGGCTGTTTTAAATTGACAGTTTGGAGCTGGGCGCAGTGGCTCACACCTGTGATCCCAGTATTTTGGGAAGCCGAGGCGAGTGGATCACCTGAGGTCAGGAGTTCGAGACCAGCCTGGCCAACATGGTGAAACCCTGTCTCTACTAAAAATACAAAAATTAGCCGGGCATGGTGGCAGGTGCCTGTAATCCCAGCTACTCAGGAGGCTGAGGCAGGAGAAATGTTTGAACCTAGGAGGCGGAGGTTGCATGAGCTGAGTTCGAGCCACTGCACTCCAGCCTGGGTGACAGAGCAAGACTCCGTCTCAATAAACAAACAAACAGACAGGTTTGGGAAAGCCTCTGAGAAAGGAATGGTTGGCCTGAGCTAAGCGCCATTACCCTGATCCACCTATTGTAACCACCTAATGGGTTCATTATTTTCCCTGCTCCCCAGATAGAGTCGACTTATCAAGACAGGATAATTGCAATAAAGGGTTTAATTCACATCAATCGAGCTAAATGAGAGACCAGAGTTTTATTACTCAAATAGGTCTCCCCAAATATTTTGAGACGAGCTTTTTTGTTTTTGGGTTTTTTTGTTTTTGTTTTTGTTTTTTTTGAGACAGAGTCTCGTTCTCCTTCTGTCGCCCAGGCTGGAGTGCAGTGGCATGATCTTGGCTCACTGCAACCTCCGCCTCCAGGGTTCAAGCGATTCTCTTGCCTCAGCCTTTTGAGTAGGTGGGATTACAGGCATGCGCCACCACACCCGGCTAATTTTTGTAGTAGAAACGGGGTTTCGCCCTGTTGGCCAGGCTGGTCTCGAACTGCCTACCTCAGGTGATCCGCCCGCCTCGGCCTCCCAAAGTGCTGGGATTACAGGCATGAGCCATCACGCCAGGCCTTCAATTATATTTCTGCAAGATATGTTCCCTGTCTAAAAGAATTCAATTTTTAATGTTTTTGAAACTTATGTGTTTGCTAAACAAATACGTGGGGGCTGATTTTACGATCTGAGGCCAAATCCACAAACTGATTACAGGGTCCAACAAATATTTGGCGAGTGGGAGGAGAGGGGTAAGTGAGCTGGACTGGTGGCGTCCTGGCTGTGAGCAGGCACAGCCGCAGGCTTCAGGGAGCCCCATCGCGGTGACCCTGGAGAGTGGCCTGAATCGGACGTGACCTTGAAGCAAGGTGGTTTTGGGGTCGCCGGCTGCACAAGGCGCGAAGTGGTTTAGGGTCACGGGCTGCACGAGGCTCCAGCACGTCAGGAGTGGGCGTCTGTTCATTCCCACGTGCATCGCGGCTCTCTCCTAGTTGACGCATGCACACCCCGTGGGTGTATGCGTTGTTCATTCCCACAACGGCCATCACCACCTCTCCGCACCCTCTGTCTCCTTCCTTCTCGGGCCTCACCCCTGGCCCTCGCTTTCAGTGCCCAGCCCGGACCGCAGCACTCCAGTTCCGCCCCAACCCGGGAACCCTGGACTGAGGCTCCCGTTTCTGTCCTTTCTATTGGGCGCACTTCCGATGGCGTCAGGAATTTCAGCCAATAGGAGCCAGCCAGGAAGTACCTCTCTGAGCGGTTGGTGCCGGGTATAAAAGAAGGCCGCGCAGCCACGGCTGCTCACGACGCCGCGGATCCCGAAGCCTGTGTAGCAGTGAGACATCAGTGAGGCTGCAGGACGAGCAGGATTGGAAGCGCCCCGGCCAGAAAGTGACCCCCCACCCCTTTCAGGACCCTGTGAACGGGAACAGCCATCCAGAGGGTTCAGGAAGGCGTCCGCGCCCTCACCTCTTCTCCCCATGAGCTCCCCCAGAGCTGTGGTGCAGCTGGGCAAAGCTCAACCTGCAGGCGAAGAGTGTGAGAGCCAGCGCCAGAGAAAGGACGCAGGGAAGGCTGGGGACTGGGCCAGGGGTCGGGTGCACAGAAGACACATGTGTTGACATCTCCCCTCCCTCTCCTCCTCCCCAACGCTCTTCTTTTCTCCCCACTCCCTCCCTTCCCTCCAATTCTTTCTTTCACCTCTCCCTCCCCTACTCTCTCCTCCCCTTCCTTTCTCTCTGCCTCTTCTTCACCTCCTCCTCCCCTCCCTACCTTACCTTACTCTTTCTTCTTCCCCTTACCTCTCCCTCCCCCTCTCCCTGCCTTCCCCTTCCCTCTCTTTCTCTCCTCCCCTTCTTCCCCTCACCTCTCGCTCCCTATTCCCTTCTCTACTGTTCTCCTCTCCTCTCTTTCTCTCCCCTTCTCCTTCCCTCCCCTCTCCCTTCCTATCTCCCTCCTCCTCCTCTCTTTCAGTGGCTACAGCAAACCAAACAGCCCAGCAGCCCAGCAGCCCAGCCATGTGAGTCCCTTGGGATTGGTATCTGGAAAAGGAAGGAAGGTGGGACGTGGGGATGAAGAACAGACTGGGTGTGTGGGGTGCTGGCTCCTGGGAACGAGAACTACTGATAGGGCTGGGTCTGTGTGAGAAGGGAAAGCGGCAGAGGAAGGATACAATGAAAGAGGAAGGGGAGCATTGGCATCCCTGACTTTCCCTCCGCCTACCCTACCTCCCAAGCTGAGGCTTTTTTCTTCCTCTCCTGTCAGGCGGCGCCTCACAGTCGATGACTTTGAAATCGGGCGTCCCCTGGGCAAGGGGAAATTTGGGAATGTGTACCTGGCTCGGCTCAAGGAAAGCCATTTCATTGTGGCCCTGAAGGTTCTCTTCAAGTCGCAGATAGAGAAGGAAGGACTGGAGCACCAGCTGCGCCGGGAAATTGAGATCCAGGCTCATCTACAGTAAGGACAGTCTCTGCTTCCTCTTTCATCTTTGACGTCTGAGCCCAGCATTTTCCCCAAATACTAACCCCAAGTAAACCCTGCACTTGTACCTTGAAGACTTCTCTGCAGTTCATTCCATTTACACTACCTCCTACCCTGGGTCAGACACTCGAATCCTGGTTCCTGTTCTCCGTTCTCCCCTCACTTGCTCCCAGATAGGGCTGTTGTTATTCTGGTCCCAGCATAATTTGCCACTTGTGTGACCAGGCAGTGACGGTGGCATCATATGATAGGCCTCAGGGAGAAATCTGACTCTTCCAACATTAATCCTTCAGACACCCCAATATCCTGCGCCTGTATAACTATTTCCATGATGCACGCCGGGTGTACCTGATTCTGGAATATGCTCCAAGGGGTGAGCTCTACAAGGAGCTGCAGAAAAGCGAGAAATTAGATGAACAGCGCACAGCCACGGTGAGGTGCGGGTCTGGAGGCTCTGGGGTCTCTGAGTTTACTGTGGGCTGGTGGGAGCTCTGTTTGTGGCTGTCAGGAGGGTCCGCATTGCCTTCTGAGAAGTTTACTTCTGAATGTTATTGTGTAAATTTAATATAATGGCACGTATGTTCTACAGCTTTATCCTTGGATACCCTAATTAACCTCATTGTATCTCCAGAATATTAATAAGTACTGCGTATAGGTTTGGATTCTTTGGTTATAAGCAACAGAATCTAACTCCACTGCCTTATGTAAAGAAACATATTGAAAGGCTCTGAAGGAGTTCACTGAATAAATAGCTAGAACTGGCTTAGAGATAGGTACAAAGAGATTTCTAGAGGGTTCCGGAAAGGGAACCATGGCAATGATTTTCCCAGGAGCAATGGTCCAATCAGCTTGCTGTGTCAGGATGAGTGGTCTTCCATCTTTCCTCCTGTTTCTGTTTCACTTCCTCGGGCCTCAAGTCCTGTGAGAGATCATCTGAGTGGCTCAATGTAGGTTCTATGTCTGGCTACTTGCTGTGCTAGGACAACAGGGAGGATCTGTGTCCATGTTACCATCCATCCTATAAGACCACATAAAAAGGAGAGGAAAACCACACCCCACACACCAGTAACTGGTGCAATTTAAAAGGAGGAAATGGAGTTACTGGACCAAAAAGATTCCACTGTAATCATACAATTCATGGTAAGTGTTCCACCTCAGACGGAAATTGTGGCAGGCTTCACTTCCAGGGTGACTTTTCTTTGCACCCACAGATAATAGAGGAGTTGGCAGATGCCCTGACCTACTGCCATGACAAGAAAGTGATTCACAGAGATATTAAGCCAGAGAACCTGCTGCTGGGGTTCAGGGGTGAGGTGAAGATTGCAGATTTTGGCTGGTCTGTGCACACCCCCTCCCTGAGGTAGGTCAGGTGGTGGTGGTAGGGTGAGTTCTGAGTACCAGTTAGGAATGACCCAGTTTAATGTATTTCATGTGTCCATGTGTAAAACCTAGATACGAACTTGGGGTTTCTATTGGAATACTGCCTTTTTCTTTTCTTTTCTTTTCTTTTTTTTTTTGAGACAGAGTCTAACTCTTTCACCCAGGCTGGAGTGCAGGGGCACAATCTCGGCCTCCCAGGTTAAAGCGGTTCTACTGCCTCAGTCTCCCAAGTAGCTGGGATAACAGGCATGTGCCACCACACTCGGCTAATTTTTGTATTTTTAGTAGAGACAGGGTTTTGCTATGTTGGCCAGGCTAGTCTCGAACTCCTGACCTCAGGTGATCCGCCCACCTTGGCTTCCCAAAGTGCTGGGATTACAGGCGTCAGCCACCATGCCTGGCTGAACTACTGCCTTTTTCTTTTCTTTTTTTTTTTTTTTTTTTTTGAGACAGAGTTTTGCTCTTGTTGCCCAGGCTAGATTGCAATAGTGTGATCTCGGCTCACTGCAACCTCCCCCTCCCAGGTTCAAGCGATTCTCCTGCCTCAGCCTCCCAAGTAGCTGGGATTACAGGCATGGGCCATCACACCCGGCTGATTTTGTATTTTTAGTAAAGACGGGTTTCACCATGTTGGTCAGGCTGGTCTCCAACTCCTGACCTCAGGTAATCTGCCTGCCTCGGCCTCCCAAAGTGCTGGGATCATAGGCATGAGCCACGATGCCTGGCCAATGCTGCCATTTTCAAACACCTATACTTGATATGTATTCGTAGATTTAAATAATGTGGTCCAATCAAACCTTTTATTTTCTGATCTTTGTTAATATATAACTATACCAGTAAGTTTGCATGTAAATAAAGTCATTGCTCCACAATTCCAAAGGAGTGCATTTTTCTGTATGAATGATTTTCATACAGAAATTTTCTTACCATAATTTATTTACTTGGCTCTCATTGATACACCATCAGTTTGTTCTAGATCTTTCTTAATGCTGAGAATATTCTTGTGAAAACATTCTGGAGCATGAGCTAAATCACTGTGTGAATAATTCCAAAATATGGATTTATTAATAGTAGGCCCCAGTACTTTTCTGAACCTTGATCCATATTAAAAATTTGTCTCTCCAAACTCCTGTGCTTGGGAGGGACTTTCCAGGGTGTCCTAGGGTCTCCACATCTCAATGAAAGCTGGGGAAGGAGAATTTCCCTCATCCTGGGCCTCTGCTTAGTACTTATTCCCTTTTCTGCCTTCCTCTAGGAGGAAGACAATGTGTGGGACACTGGACTACTTGCCGCCAGAAATGATTGAGGGGAGAACATATGATGAAAAGGTGGATTTGTGGTGCATTGGAGTGCTCTGCTATGAGCTGCTGGTGGGATATCCACCCTTTGAGAGCGCCTCCCACAGTGAGACTTACAGACGCATCCTCAAGGTGGGACAGTCACCTTTGGGCATTCATGGGGGAGCTGGTCAGTGATGGCTGCTGGGCTGTGGGCACACACACACACAGGGTTGTCTTCTGTGGTCCAGAACAGCGCCTTAACAAGGCTCAAAGAAGAGGGAGGACATTGATCAAAGAAATTAACCAGACTTCTCTTTCTTCTTTCCTGGCCTCATCAGGTAGATGTGAGGTTTCCACTATCAATGCCTCTGGGGGCCCGGGACTTGATTTCCAGGCTTCTCAGATACCAGCCCTTGGAGAGACTGCCCCTGGCCCAGATCCTGAAGCACCCCTGGGTTCAGGCCCACTCCCGAAGGGTGCTGCCTCCCTGTGCTCAGATGGCTTCCTGAGCCCTGTCTGCCTCTGTTCCCTTTGTGTGTGTTCAGGGAGCTCTCCTGGCTCTGCCACCTCATTTGTCTTTATTTTTTTCTCTTTTAAGATGTAAGATGCTAATTAATAAAAGCTGAATCATTTCATACCAGCTCTTCATAGTTGTGTGAGTTATTATGTGACTGGGTAGAATCTTTATTTCTTGTGGGAACTCTTTCCCATGAGAGCTGCCCAAGGTTGTTCTCCCTGCTACCCCCACCTTCCACCTCGGGAGATGGTGACTTCATTCTTCTGAAAACTCTTGCCTACTTTCAGGTCAGGCACGGTGGCTCACGCCTGTAATTCCAGCACTTTGGAAGGCCAAGGCAGGCGCAACACTTGAGTTCAGGAGTTCAAGGCCAGCCTGGCCAACATGGTAAAACCCTGTCTCTTCTAAAAATACAAAAATTAGCTGGGCGTTGTGGCGGGCACCTATAATCCCACCTACTTGTGAGGCTGAGACATGAGAATTGCTTGAACCTGGGAGGCAGAGGCTACAGTGAGCTGAGATCGTGCCATTGGAGTCCAGCATGGGAGACAGAGTGAGACACCGTCTCAAAAGAAAAGAAAGAAAACTCTTGTCTACTTTCTGCAGATAAATTCCCTGAGGGTACATAAACCTGCCACCTATCACAGTGGCTCCTTGATCCAACTTACTATTCTCCATGTTTTCAGGAGTATGCCATTTGTAAAACAGGACTGTCATCAACCCAAAGGTCCACTCTCTTTTTATGGACATCAATATGCTGCTGTCTCAGAAATAAAATGTTTCACTGCACGTCAGTGCAACCCACTTCTTAAGTGAATACACTAGCACCTCTGTGTTGTGTTGCACTCTGATGACATTAGAATAAGTCATTCCTCATAATAAATGTAATATCACCTCTTCTGAAATTACTGCATGCTGCAATTTGGGGAGTGGCCTTCCAGCCTTCTGTAACCTTCTGTGACAGCTTCATGTGGCAGCTGCTCCCTGCACCCATTATAAACTGACTACCACAGTAAGCATCTAGACTCCTCAGCTGTAAGCTCAAATGTTTTTTGATCAATGCAGTCAGTTACACCAGTATTTCTCCTAACTTTAGTTGTTAAGCACTTTATATGGAGTTTGCCTTGTTAATGTTACTCCTATCATTATATTCTACAAAGTCTCCTCATTGTGAAATATCCAGCAGTTGCAGGCATGATTTCTGCTATGACCAGACCCACTACGTAAGCATAAATAACTCAGCCACTTCACTTGGATGAAAAGCTCCCACTATTGCAGATCTATAAGTTAAATACTCCAAGACATTGGTTCATGGTTTTTAACCTGCACTTTCAGTATTTACCTCTTTTTTGTTTTTTCTTTCTTTTACCTGCATGGGGAGACACAGTGCTTACCTCTATATGCTTTGCTTCATCCTATCAGTTTTCCTGAATTAACATTTTAAACACTTGGCAATTCCTAATAAATTAACTGGTTCACACATATAAACTCTTACACATTTTAGGTGCTGGATAAACACATCACTGGGCACATTTTTGGCAGGTAAGGATAGAAAAATCACTAGGGCCTCAGCACTGATCACCAGATGATATATGTTTAAATAATGAAAACTCTGTCATGCTTTACATGAGGGATTTGAAAGTGTCCCCAGGCCGGGCGTAGTGGCTCACACCTGTAATCCCAGCAATTTGGGAGGCTGAGGCAGGCAGATAAACATGTGAGGTCAGGAGTTCGAGACCAGCCTGACCAACATGGTAAAAACCTGTCTTGACTGAAAAATACAAAAATTAGCTGGCCATGGTGGCTGTAATCCCAGCTACTTGCGAGGCTGAGGCACGAGAATCACTTGAACCTGGGAGGTGGAGGTTGCAGGGAGCCGACATTGCGCCACTGTACTCCAGCCTGGGCAACAAAGTGAGACTCTGTCTCAAAAAAAAAAAATTGTCACCAATATCTACATAGCTTTCTTCAGCAGCACTGATTCCAGACATTCCATGATGGAATATAAATATACTAACTTTAATATCTGTTCTGCATCCAAAGCGAAAACTAATTTAACCCTACGGGTCATACACATATGGAAAGGAGAATTATTCCTCTCTTCTAAATTGGGCAAATTAGTATTGTCAATGATGAGTAACAGTGTCAACAGCTTGCACGCTAATTAAGCAACATTTCTCAATAATCTCATTTTACAAATAATACCTTCTAGAAAATTGATTCCATCTACATTTCCACCCAGTTAACATCCTGTCATGATACTTTCTCCACTTTCAAATCTCTGGAGGGCATTTTCTGCACACCTTGTTTCCATTTTCATAACCATATGTATTGTCAAATCATTGAAAGCTGGATTTTATTCTCTAACCTTCATAGTCATGAGAAGAAAAAAAACAGTCACCAACGGAGACTACAAAGGTTTTGTATAATATGATTTTTTTTTTTTGAGACGGAATCTTGCTCTCTGGCCCGATCTCGGCCCACTGCCGTCTCCGCCTCCCAGATTCAAGCGAGTCTCCTGCCTCAGCCTCCCAAGTAGCTGGGATTACAGGAACCCGCCACCATGCCCAGCTAATTTTTGTATTTTTAGTAGAGACGGGGTTTCACCATGTTGGCCAGGCTGGTCTCAAACACCTGGCCTCAGCTGATCCACCCGCCTTTACCTCCCAAAGTGTTGGGATTACAGCCGTGAGCCACTGCACTCGGCCTGTATAATTCTTAAAAGATTGTTATGACCCTAACATGACTTTGTTGCTTTCTTGTTTGCAACCAGTTAGTTCAGGGTTGTCAAAAGGCCAAAATTACAACAAATTTAGTTTTAGATCTAATTGACTTTTGTTTGTGATTCATGAATTGAGGCAATCTCTGTTCTACACAATAGAAATTAGAGTTCCCACTGGGCAATGGCAGAACAGTGGGTTTTGTAAGGTGGGAACAATAAAATAGAACAATAGAAAAAAAAGCTGATTGGTTAACAGATTACTTTTTCTAAGGGTTAAAGCAGAGGGGACTTCCTAATTTCACTAATTCAGGTAGACTGAAATCTGCTTTTAGGAAAAACTGGGATCTGTCTGCTTCCTTAAAACTTCAGTTTGATTAGATGACATTTAGTATGAGAGACGCCATTTTGATTTGGTCAGTGAGGCCTGCTGTAGGAGCTCCAAAACAATGGCCTCCTGTAATTTTTGTTTAACAATGTTCACCTCTTTCCATTCCTTTCTCCATCTATGCTCATTTTTTTTCATGGTCTTGTCCAGTATCATAACTTGAAATAACAGTGTTTGCCAAAAACTTCCAGATTTTTATGTCCAGGCACAACTTCTCTCCCAATATTCAGTCAGAGATTGAACTGCTGTGACACAGACACTCTGTGGTCATACAGACATTTCAAACTGATCATGCTTAAAGTTGGAGTCATGAGCTCACCCAGTCCAAGACTCCCCACGTTAAGGAATGTCAAATCTACTCTACCAGGGCTCTCAGCCAATACCTAAAGCAAAAGTTGCTGGACCATGTGAAGACCAAGCTTGGCCAAAGAAGGCCCAAGAGAGACAATGCATTTGCAACATGTCCCAGCTGGACAGGGTCTTGCTCTATTGCCCAGACTGGAGTGCAGTGGTGCAATTACAGGTCATTGCAGCCTCGACCTCCTGGGCTCAAGAGATCCTCCCATCTCAGCCTCCTGAGTAACTGGAATTACAGGGGTGTGCCACAATGCTCAGCTAATTAAAAATTTTTTTTGAGTAGGCTGGATGCTGTGGCTCATGCCTGTAATCCCAGCACTTTGGGAGGCCAAGGTGAGTGGATCACTTGAGCACAGGAGTTCAAGACCAGCCTGGGCAGCATGGTGAAACTGACTACAAAAACTACAAAACAAAACAAAAAAACCCTCAATTTGCTGGGCGTGGTGGTGCGTGCCTGCAGTCCCAGCTACTTGGGTGGCTGAGGTGGGAGGATCACTTGAACCCTGGAGTTTGAGGCTGCAGTGAGCTGTGATCGCGCCACTGCACTATGGCCTGAGCAACAGAGCGAGACCCTGTCTCAAAAAATATATATATAAATATATATATAAATATATATGTGCATATATATACGTATATATACATATGTATATATACGTATATATGTATATATGTATATATAAATATATGTATATATAAGTAGAGAGAGAGAGAGAGAGAGAGACGGAGTCTCACTCTGTCGCCCAGGCTGGAGTGCAGTGGCGCGATCTCGGCTCACTGCAAGTTCCGCCTCCCGGGTTCACATCATTCTCCTGCCTCAGCCTCCCGAGTAGCTGGGACTACAGGCGCCAGCCACCACGCCCGGCTAATTTTTTGCATTTTTAGTAAAGACGGGGTTTCATCGTGTTAGCCAGGATGGTCTCGATCTCCTGATCTCGTGATCTACCCGCCTCGGCCTCCCAAAGTGCTGGGATTACAGGCGTGAGCCACCGCGCTCTATTTTTTTTCTTTTCTTTTTCTTTTTTTTTTTTTTTTGGTACCAATGAGGTCTCGCTCTGTCGCCCAGACTGTTCTCAAACTCCTGTCCTCAAGCGATCCTCCTGCCACAGACTTCTGGGACCACAGGTGTGCGCCAGCACACTCAGCTTATTTTAAAAAAATTTTTTTTTTTTTTGGTAGTCTCCCTATGTTGCTCAAGCTGGTCTTGAGCTCCTGGGCTCAAGCGATCCGCCCCCCTTGGCCTCCCAATGCGCTGGGATCCCAGGCCTGAGGCATCGCGCCGCCCGACGTCCCCCTTTGGTTACTCTGACTGCCCGCTGATCTGTATAAGAGGATCCGGAGGGGAAATAATGCAAGGTGGAAGTCAGAGTCCGGAGCCTGGTCCAGGGTCTCTGCACTGGCCCTGACCCTGGCAAATGTCCCTGACTCCTGGGGCTCGATTTCCTCCGGCCAAGAATGGACGGTCTCGCGCTTGGTCCCTGGCCTCCGAGTTGTGCCCCCAGGACAGAGGCAGGTCTGAGCCGGGCTGTAGGCCCGCTGCGACTTTTACACCGAGGCCTGCCGGCTCAGGATCTGTCCCCTTTGCAGGTGGTTTGTAGAGAAAAACTACATTAACTACAAGGCATTGCCAGGTGCGACGGCGGGCCCTGGGGCCAATGATGGTCCAGGACAGGGGCGTTTCCTGTGGGTTGCGAAGCTTGGGGCGGGACTTCCGGCATTTGGATGGGACGTAATTTGGGAGCGACGGTTCCGTCCACGCCGGCTCTAGGGAGGGGGCGGTGTTCCGTGGCCGCCTCCCTGGCGGCGCTGGGGAAATGAGCAGGTAGGAGGCCGACAGCGACCTCCGCGTCTCGGAGCGAACCGTGAGCCTCCCCGTAACGAGAGAGTTTGACTGTCAGCCAAGGTCACCGGGCCCGGCGCAGGGAAGGGGTGGGGCTCGGCTGAGCCCGCGAGACCCGCCCTGCTCGCCGCAGCCCCCGCCCCGCTAG